>NC_000002.12:225614618-226239618 GCF_000001405.40 Homo sapiens | reverse complement strand
AAAAGTGCTGGGCATAGCGGCCAATGTCTGTAAACTCAGCACTTTGGGAGGCCGAGGCAGGCAGGCAGATCGCTTGAGCTTAGGAAGTTCAAGACCAGCCTGAGCAACATGGAACAACCGTGTCTCTACAAAACATACAAAAATTAGCCAGGTGTGGTAGTGCCACGACTGTAGTCCCAGCTACTTGGGAGGCTGAGGTGGGATGAACACTTGAGCCCAGGAAATTGAGGCTGCAGTGGTTACAACACTGCACTCCAGCCTGGGCCACAGAGCCAGACCCTGTCTCTCTCACACACACACAATAATAATAATAATAAAATAGAGTCAATCAATGATGTAGATTGGTAGATTTTCATTTATTCATACAGAAGATGTTCATGGTACAGCGGACTAATGCTACAGTGCCTACCAAGACCAGATGCTTCTTTGCTTGAGAACTGCAGTATGTTATTCTCAATTCCTAATACAAATGGAGTCAAAGAGATTCTCCCTTCTGAGAATATGGAATTGGGGTAAGAGGTGCTAGTTTATCTGAAATAGTTACAAGAGCGAACTGTGAGAAAGCCAAAACGATGAGAGTAGTGACAAGCAAAGGTGCAAAAAGAAGCAGACATGAGTTTCAGTGGCCCCAGAGAAAGATAGAAGAACGTAATGGAAGACAGTGGTTTTCCCAGCATCTCTTCTTCTTGATGCCGGTATTTCTTGATGCCCAGCTGTTCTCTCATCCTTGGGTTTTCTGAAAGATCTCCTATTCTTTATTTCAAATATCCTTTACTCCGTTAGCTAATCTTTCCTTTGGAGTTGAAAGATTACATGAAAAATAATGCTTAACAGTTTACGGACCCCCAAAAATGTCAGAGAAAGAGAGAGAATGAGTAAGCTTGGGCAGGAGATATACAAACCTGCTACTAGTGATTATCTGTAGATGGTGGGGCCATAGATGATTTTATTTTTTTAATACATACCTTAAATTTAGACATGAGCAGTTGTTCAATACATAGACACAGGAATGTGCCATTCCATCCCAGTTTAATTATTACAAGTGAAAATTATTAATGGTTTGATATTTACAGTAGTTTAGAATTCTTAATTATATCACTGAAGTATCATATTTTTCACTTTCAAGTAGTTTTGTTTGCAATGATAATGCATTTCTTTTTATAATAAAAGACCCATAAACATGTTTAAAATAAGTTAAAATCAATTTGTTGTGAATATAGCCTGTTTTCAGATATGAAATTATATCACATTTTCTCATTTCCTTGTAACACTGTGCCATTTCCCCTTGAAAATACATTTTCTTTTAAGTTGATGCTTTCCTTAGCTTCAGTGATCTTTATACAAGCAGAAGGAAAAATGTTTGTTATTATCTTCCTTTAAGTAAATCTTCTTATAGTGAAGAATTTCCTAAAGGAGCTCTAATTTCTTTGCTTTTATTGGAATTTATCATATTTAATATTGTTTCATTAAATCATAGGCATTTTTGATAACCATGTTTTTTAAAAAATTACTACTTAAATTTCTCACTCTTCAAATGACAAGAATAACACCTAGAAATGTTAAGTTACAGAGATCACCTTCAAGTTGATATTCTGTTTTCTAGAAGAAAATAACTTTGTATGATGTGATGTCTCAGGATATTAGACATTTCTTCTATCAGTGGCATCATTTCAATAGCTATAATTTATTCCTTTTTAATATATGAATTTGTAATCTGTGTATCTAAGTGTATCTAAGTGTACATCTAATGTATATTCTAGAATGCATTTGCTCTTCCTCCCCTTCCCATCCTTCCTCCTGCTCCCCCTTTTTCTCCTCTTCTCTTTCTACTTTCTCCTCCACTTTTAAATAAGATTTGACATACCAAGCTGTTTTAAGATCTTGTCTCCACTTCATTTTGAATTGGGTAACAAGTGAGACAAATAAGACATTGTCTTGATAGGGAGTTGACATTTGTTTTTCTTACTCTATTTACGTTTACAAATTTGAGAACTCAATACCTCACATTTGCCAAGTATGCTCTGTGAGCCAGATACTGAACTAAGTGATTTATACTGATTATTTTGTTTAAACCTCCCATCAACTGCTTAGAGTCTCCTATGGAAACTGAGGTCCAAATAACTTTTTCAAAAATTCAAACAGATTGCAAGAGGTAGACTTCTGATTCAAATACAGGTGGTCTGATTTCAGAGACCAGACTCAAAATCTGGGAAACTAAATTTGGTCAAGGTTATAAGGCTCAATATTTTAACTTCTCAGGTAGGAAACCAGTATTTCTAGATCACCACAATGATCTGCAGATGTCTGCCATTGTGACCACTGACCAAGTTTCTCTACTGGGAGAGGCTACTATGGACTCCAGCCGGGAACGAGGACATCCAGTTAGATCGAATTCAGAATGCTAAATTACTCTTCTAGCTGTGTGTGTGTGTGTGTGTGTGTGTGTGTGTGTGTGTGTGTTTTCTTTTTTTTTTTTTTTTTTTTGAGACAAAGTCTCACTCTGTCACCCAGGCTGGAGTGCAGTGGCGCGATCTCGGCTCATTGCAACCTCAGCCTCCCAGGTTCATGCAATTCTTGTGCCTCAGCCGCCAGAATAGCTAGAATTACAGGCGCCCACCACCATGCCCGGTTAATTTTTATAGTTTTGGTAGAGATGGGGTTTCATCATTTTGGCCAGGCAGGTCTCAAACTCCTGACCTCAGGTGATCCACCAGCCTTGGCCTCCCAAGGTGCTGGGATTACAGGCGTGACCCACCATGCCTGGCCTCAGGGTAATCTTTTAAGGAAAATTTCTTATCTGCCTTGAAGCTCAAGATGTTCTATGCTAGAAACTAAGCGACTATATATATTTTTAAAAAGTTCTTTCTTAAGGCTATTTACTTAGCTCCATAAGCAATATTAAAGGTTATGTTGCTTGCACTGATTGTTTATGGCAGTCACATAAATTCATGTGGACTGACAGTTTTGTCCTGTTCTCCAATGACCTTGAAGTGTAGATAAATATGATTTCTTAAAATAATTAAATATATGCTATATTAATACCTTTATTTAGGCATATGATGGCCAAAAGATACTTCTTTGCTTTTGTCATATTAATGTGGAAAAGGCAGAAATATTTGGGGCTGATAAATATATTATTTGGTGGTGAATCACTTGAGCCCAGGAGATGGAGGCTGTAGGTTGTGCCACTGCATTCTAGCCTGGGTGACAGAATAAGACACCATCTCAAAAAAGAAGACGAAAAAAGTATATATATATATATGTGTGTGTGTGTGTGTATGTTACATACGTGTGTGTATATATGTGTGTGTGTATATGTATATATATATGGTGGCTAGCATATTTTTACTTTTATTATGCCATGGCTAGCATATTTTTACTTTTATTATGCCACTAGATGTTAGTTAATCATACATCATAAATTACAGTGTTGTTTATAATTAAAAAAAGAAACCTAAATCTCTAGCAATATGGAATTGGTTAAGTAGTTTCATTCATAAGATGGGAAACTACACTCACTAAAATGTATTCAGATGAATAATCACATTAAAAAGCTTCATGAGATGTAATTAAATGGAAAAATATTTAAAAACACTATAAATCAGGATATGGGATATGAGTTTATTTTTGTAAAACCATCAACAAGTTAAGATATTTGCCCTAGTGTGAGTTATTTTACCTTTTCTTTTTGCACATTTCTATTTTTAACACCCAATATTTTTTTTTTTTTTTTTTTTTTTTTTTTTTGAGATGGGAGTCTCACTCTGTTGACCAGGATGGAGTACAGTGGTGTGATCTCTGCTCACTGCAACCTCTGCTTCCCAGGTTCCAGCGATTCTTCTGCTTCAGTCTCCCTAGTGGCTGGTATATTACAGGCACTGGCCACCATGCCTGGCTAATTTTTGTATTTTTAGTAGAGACAGGGTTTTGCCATGTTGGCCAGGCTGGTCTTGAACTCCTGATCTCAGGTGATCCGCTCGCCTCAGCCTCCCAAAATGTTGGGATTATGGGCATGAGCCACCATACTCGGCTGTATATTCTGTATAAGAAAAAATAACATACATAAAATATTACTTGAGGACAATGTATAAGGAGATAATCTGTGTTTGAAAGAAACACTGTTTAGGTGTTGTGAATGAAAGACAAAAATAAAAGTACCTCACTGAAAATGCTATCTTAAGATTTTATTTATGCAAATATTTGGGACCATATGCTGAACCTTACAGTTTGGCATGCAAATATCTCAGCTTCTAATTGCCCGGGGATCTTGCCTAGATTTGGGAGATTATTTAAAGTTATTTCCAATAACCAAGACCATTTAGTCTGTAAAACCAAGTAGAGTACAAAAAGATACCCCAAATAGAAATAGGTCAATTACATTATCAAAACCTATGGGCTTGTTATATTATTAATTATCTTTAAGGCCAATTATGTCAGTATGCATTTGTATTATATCAAGAATAAAATTTATATCAGTTTGAATCAGAAATCTTATTCTTTCTAAGGCCCATCTGGCCATTTGCAATCTTACTCATTGGCAGCTTTCCAAAGAAGGTCCAACATGCTCCAAAAGAGGTCTTCCCTTACAAATGCAAACAAACATTAAAACAATGTTGTCAATACACATGAAATGCTCAAACCTCTTACAAAGCTCCCATTGCTCTTAAAGTCTAAAACTTTAAAAATGATGTATAAGGTCCTCTGGGATCCGTTGCCTGCTTGTTCCCCTGGTCACCTCTGTCATGATTCCCCAGTCTCTCAGTACACTCAGACCAAACTGGATTTATTTCAGTTATTTGATTGTGTCACACTTTCTTGTCTCTGTGCCTTTGTATGTGCAATTTCCTCTGCCTAGAACATCCTGCCCCTTCTTCAGGCCAACTCCTGCTCAAATTTGAGATCTGGGCTGAGATATTCCACTTCTTCCAGGAACTACATGGTATCACTTTTTAGAGGGATGGTCCTGCAAATCACCTTTCCACTTAGATATGGGATAGAGACCGAGTCTCTCCTTCTCCATGGCATCACCTGGTCCTAACAAAAGAGGTATAGAAGGTGCACATTGAAAATGCAATGATCAATATCAATGCAGTTTCTTTTGAAATATTATGCTGTTTTCAGAAGATCCATGTGATTTTTCCCTCACTATGATGTGTGGGAAAGAGACAAATTTGAAGTTGAAAGGGTTCTTGTCCTTGGATGTTGAGTTAACTGTGATTGTGATCTGTCATTGGTTTCGCAACTTCCCCAACTGTCAGTTTCTTCAGTTGTAAATGGGGCCAATAAAGATATTCTTAATCTCTTCCTTAGATTAACTTCAAGAACAAATTAACTCACGCATAGGAAGTCATTCTTTAAATGAGCAAGTACCATGTATATGTCAGTTATTTTATTGACATTTTCAGTGGAAATCTCATTTGCCAGTGGTGGTGCTTGGATTGTCACTTCCCCTAAGGCTCTATCATCATCTCTCAACAAGGAACACCAAATGGATATATAAACTGAGTAAAAATAGTATTCTTGCTCTGCAAGCACATTGTCATACATCCTGAACAATACATACATTCCAAATATGTTTCTGCTCCTCTTATAATGAAATTGGAGAGACATCGCCATCTTTATGTTCAAAATTCTTATAGCTACAAGCATGTGGTAAACAAAATCCATCCCAAACAGATTAGCTTAAAATTAAATTGGCCAAATCTATTAAGGAAATTTTATAGTTGCCTTATTGTGTTACTGGATATCATTAAAGTGAAGTTCTGAATGGTGAAGAAAACATAATTTGGCATAACATTAACACCAAGATCAGTAGAAGAAATGCTGTTTTTAAATAGATTTTTAAAAGGGTTATCTGTAGAAAAATCTCCATTTAGGAAATGGTGACATTTGATAATTAAAACCTGGGATATCTCCAAAAGCAAAGATTCAAAATGGTTTTCTCTATTGCCTGTCAAATGTTCTCTTTTAAATAAGGTGTGTTGGGCTCATTGATTTGCATGAATTCTTCTGGTTTCTGTCATCTGAAAGTGTGTCTTGCAACTTTGAATGTTTATGTGCTTTGACAGTTCCCATCTGCTGTGGGGATGGCTAAGTGCCCCAAGCCTCATTGGCAGAACTCAGTTAAATCTTTGTATTTAGTTAATAGTTTTAAATTATTTATAGTGATTCTGTCTCATTGATTATTAGATAAAATTTTTGATGACACAAGAATGTCCTGTCAACATTTTCCAGATTATAAATAAATGCAAAGTAAAATGACACACACTTCTTATTAACATGAACTTTCTGATATTGTGATCATAATTAGTTGATCTGTGGCCACTTCATTAGTTATTTATTTATTCGCCTTCATTTTCCACTTCATTTTGGAAAGGATTTGTGGTGGTGTCATTTCATCAAGAAAAGTACAAGGGCAACCGTATCAGAAATGTCAATTCAGATATCGTCGACCTTGAAAAAAATCACCCTTCGAACTCTACAGATCTAAAACTCTTAACTATGACAGGAAGGCTTTCAACAAGAAAGGAGCTAGGGGAGAGGTAAGTTAGGAATGCCAACCCTATCAAGATGGCTGGCCCACATGCCATAGATGCCGGCTTTTTATGTTCAGGTCATGAGTATTCAAGCTCTGTGTATCACTGTACTTACTACACTTTACTTACTTGGGAAGTGACTGTGTGATAGTCATTAGCCATAGCTCTGGGAAAAAATAGAAAACACAGAGAAGGTACCTGTCCTCATGGAGTTTACATATTAATGGGACAAATCAGACAATAAATATGCCCCAAAACTTTTTTTAAGAGTTCTTCGAAGAAAATAGAGTGAGCTGTGGTTGAGAACAATGGAGATCAGACAGGGAGATATCCTCCTGCATAAATCTCTAGTTTCTCTGTTCTTGTCTTTGCTGTAAAATACCCTTTCAAATTAGAATGTGAGGTTGTGATCTTATATAAACAATGGACACTACACCTCTGATGTTATAATTTTAGGTCCAATTTTTTCTCTAGTGTAAAATTATCATTTTTCCTAATTGTAAGGTTGCCTAGTGAAAATTTTTCTTTTCATCTTCCTTTACTAGTTTTTGTAAGAACAAAGTAATGCTATGTAGTATTTATTGAAATTTTATCATGGTAAGCATGAGCTATGTCATTTAATCTCCACATATTATGAGATAGGTAGATATTATTTCTAGTCATTTTGTACAAATATACAAATAGTAGAACGTACAACTCTTAAGTCTACAACTTACAACATTTTACAAAGTGAATATACCTATGTAATTCCCCCAGATGAAATTATCTGTTCCTAGATAATGCTGGTGAGTACCCCTCCAGATCTCACCCCATACTGAATCTAGTCATTGCCTCCTCCTAAAGGCAACCACTTTTCTGAGTTTTATTACAATTGATTAATGAACTTCCTATAAATATGCATTCTTTTGTGTTAGGCTTCTTTTTCTCAATAGCATGTCTTGAGATTCATTTGTGTTGTTGCATGAAACAAGCTTGCTCCTTCTCCCTGATATGTATTGTAATGTGTGGCTATCTCATGCTGGATTTATTCCTCCTCTGTAGATAGACATTTGGGTTGTTTCCAGTTTGGGGCTATGATGGATAAAGAGCTATGAATATTCTTGTTTATGTATTTTTGTGCACATAGGTACTTGTTTCTAAGGGTGGATATTTAGGAATATAGCTGCTGATTTATAGGGCATGCATAGGTTCCACTTTAGCAGGTATTGACAAAAATTTTCTATCAGTTGAGATTTCATCAGAAACCTCAAGCCACTATAAATAATATATAATAAGAGATTTATTACCATGATTAAACTTTACTCAATTGTGGAAACTAGTGGAGCTGTCTATTGAGGATGCTGTCCCCCTGTCTAGTATCAAAATTCAAATTATTCTGCAACAGCTAGACCAGAAGTCAAGAAGAAATGTTGATTTTAAAAGAGAACAATAAGAAACTGGAACTCACAAGGCAGAACTAGAACGCTTGGGGAAAAACGGAAACCTTTGAGAAAAACTCAGTGATAGCTGATGAGCCTCTGGTGAGCCCCTTCTAAATCTCATTTAGAATGTCTTTTCCAACCAGGGCTAACAAAGAATCACATGCGGAAAGAACTTCTGTGAAATGCAGTTCCAGATTATTTGTGTAGACAAAGGAAAAATCCACTACATTCCAGCTCTCTTTCAACTATCCTTAATTCTTAAAAAAAAAGAAGCAAAATTATATTTCTATCTAACATAATGCAACTATCTCTCATATAACCCCAAATATGCTATCCTTCTCTTCAAAAGGGAACATAAAATAGTTGAATCTATTTTTGGATTATACTATTTATCCCTTTAGCTAAGTCAAATTCTCATTTTTTAACTCCTGTATTTAAATTTAATTTCTATGAGTATGCATTATAGTAGGTGGTAGAGAATAGGGAGAGAAAAAGGAAAAACATGGTTAATATAAATACAAACACCGTCATATCAAAATAAAGAAGAATATCCATAGCTACTCTAGTCATCATTTCTACAACTAGTCACACAGTTGGAACCAGTATCATTCTTTTTAAAATGGTAATTGTTAATTATAATTTGTATACACTTATGGGGTACAAAGTGATGTTATGACTCATGAATGCAGTGTGAATAATTAAATCAAGCTAGTTCGCATTCATCACCTCAAATACTTACATTTTTTTGAAAACTTTCGAAATTTACTTCCTTAGCAATTTTGAAATGTACAATATTATTAACTATATTTACCACACTGTGTGATAGAACTATTAAAAAAACCTATATTCCTCCTGTCTGAGATTTTGTACCGTTTGGCCATCATTGCCCCATTGCCCCCAGGCCCCAGCCTCTGTAACCCCATCATGCTACTCTTTGCTCCTAGAGTTTGATTGTTTTAGATCCTACATAAAGTGAGAACCTCCAGTGTTTGTCTTTCTGTGCCTGGTTTATTTCAGTTAGCATAATGTTCTCCAAATTCATCTATGTTGTTGAAAGTGACAAAATTTCTTTCCTTTTTAAGGCTGGTTAATATTTCATTGTTTAGATACGCTACCTATTCTTTATTTGCTCATTTGTTGATGGACAACTTTGTTGAGTCCATAACTTGGCTATTGTGGATAGTGCTGCCTTGAACATGAGAGTGCAGACATCTGTTCAACAAACAGATTTCAAATCTTTTGGATCAATATCCAGAAGTGAGATTGCTGGATCCTCTGGTAGTTCTATTTTTAGTTTTTTGTGGAAATGCCACAGTTTTCCATAGTGGCTGTACTAATTTACATTCCCACCAATAGCGTACTAGAGTTCCCTTTCCTCCACATCCTCATCAACACTAGCTATCTTTCATCTTTTTATAATAGCCATTCTGACAGCTGTGAGATGATATTTCATTGTGGTTTTAATTTGCATTTCCCTAATGATTTGCGATGTTAACCATTTTTTCATATTTCTGTTCATCATTTGTATATTTTCTTTTGAGAAATATCTATTCAGGTCCCTTGCCCATTTTTTTATTGAGTTTTTTGTTTTCTTGTTGTTGAGTTGTTTGAGCTCCTTATATGTTTCAGATATAAATTCTTTATTAAATGCATGGCTTACCAATATTTTCTCTCATTCCACAAGTTGTCTCTGCATGCTGTTGTTTCCTTTGCTGTGCAAATGCTTTATAGTTTAATGTAATCCCATTTGGGTCTATTTTTGCTTTTGTTGCCTGCACTTCTGAAGTCAAATCAAAAAAATAATTGTTCAGAGCAATGTTGTGTAGTTTTACCCCTATGTTTTCTTCTAGCAGTTTTTGGTCTTACATCTAAGTCTTTAATTGATTTTGAGTTGATATTTGTATAGGATGTGAGATAAGGATCCAATTTCATTCTTATGCCTATGAATATCCCGTTTTCTCAATGTCAGTCCCATAATTATTTTTTCCCTAAGCAAGACCTCAGCTGGTTGTAATTCCTTTCCTGGTATGGTGATTCAAATATTTATTTCTGAAAGAGCTGGGCGATCTACAGCCCTGCCTGTCTTGGGTATAATTTTCCATTTATTTTAATGACAGGACACGGGAGTACTAAGAGACAACCAAAGGATATTCCACATTCCAGGTATATTCCCTTATGCTCACTATGTAGTAGTACAATTTCCCCTTGATAATCAGGAATCATTATTCCAGGCAGCCTAGTAACTGTTGGATCATTCTCTTAGAAGCCTAAAATGGACAGTTATCAATTTCAACTTTTAGTGTAATGGAAACATTACAATCCCCTGGTTAAAGTATTAATCTTTTAAAACTGTAGACTTTGAGATAAACATTAGTCTAATATGATAGTCACTAGGTATATGTGGCTATTTATATTAAATTAAATTATTTTGAATTAAATCAATTTTTAATTATATTATCTGAGTTGAAGTAGCCATCTTTCAAGAGTTCAATAGCCACATGTAGCTAGTGGCTACCATGTTGAATTACACAAATATGGAACAGTGTTATCTGGTCTAGAGACCACCAGAATTCAAAGTTTTGTTAACAAACAACATTTTAACTAGGGGAATATCAGGGCTAATAGTTAGAAGAGTTCCTCTCATTTCCAACTATGTTGATCCTTGGACCCATGAATTTTGGATATGGGGAAACAGCACTATGTATAGCTGCTGAGTTAAAGCATATACTGCATCCTGGAGGACATTATCTCAGCCTCATAAGGTGTTCTTACCCAATTGGTGCCATAACTGATTTTTCTAAAAGCTATTGCACTATTCTATCATACTACTGCTTCAGAGTGATAGGAAACATTGGAAGACCAGTGAATTGCATAAATATAAGACTGTCCCTTGGTCAGAAGCAAAGATGTATGAAGTGAATAACATGGAAGTTGCTGTTTGGTAAGGGTTCACATGAAGAACAAATATTGTCATAGTCTGCACCCAGTTACAGAACCAATTTTCTGATTATGTTTCTTCCAAGCCCCTGTCCACTTATCTATTAGCCTCTGTCCACTAAGTGGCACAGATTCACGATTGTGGCCAGAAGCCATGGTTTTGGCAGAAGCATTACGGGCAAAGAAGGTAGATCCATATTCAGAGTAATATCTATTCCAATGAGAACAAGGTGTTACATCTTCCATTATGAATGGTCTCACAGGAGTTTCCAAGGGAGAGAATACAGTCATGGGTTCTTAGTTTCTGTTTCTGGTTTGGCCAGTAAAGCCCCTTCTTCATCCTCCTTTCTGCATATTACTAGAGACAGACAGTTAAATCCATGGCTTCGAGCTGCTAGAAGCCTAAAACAAAACAAAACAGAACAACAACAACAACAACAACAACAACAACAACAACAACAAAATAAGGAAAGTTGGACAAGCTTGGATGCAATCGACCTGCAGCATGTTCCTCAGCAATCTCCTTGGTAAATGGTGCAAAAATGGGGGCTCAACATTTGTCTCTGTTGATGGTAGGTCAGCAATGGCTTTAGCTAAATTGGCCTTGGTGAGTGATAGTTTATGTTTCTGAGCCCAAGTTTAAACTCTAGCCCTAAAACATCACCACTTTGTTCATGAAGCTCACTCATGACAAGGACAGAAGTGGCTGACTTACCTTCACAGAATGGGTCATTTTGTCTAAATGATCATTAAAATTCTCTTGTTTGAGGTTGTTGTTTTGTAAGTGTTCAGATGAAGAGCAAATATTGTCATAGTCTGTGCCTAGTTACAGAACCAATTTTCCAATTATGTTTCTTCCAAGTCCCTGACCACTTATCTAATCTTTTAGCCACTGTTCATTAAGTGGTGTAGATTCACAACTCTGGCCCTATCTTCTTCCAAGCAAAGCAAACAGCCAGATTCACTGCTCAAAGTTTTGTCCACTGGAGGCCTTCCCTTCACCCTTGTCCTCCAAGGCCACCCCAAATAGGTCTGAAAGGGGCTCCCATCTTTAAATGAAGCTGTATTATTTCAGTCAACCAGCTATAGGGAAATCTCTATGTGGTTATGAGGGCAGGTTGAGAAAGAGGAGGCATTGGATCAGGAATGTGGCCTGTGGGCCACTTGCTCATGCAACTTACATTTGCCTTTAGGATATGACTGGGCTGAATCTCTTACATGTCATTTGAATATGAAGTGCTGCTGTGCTTTTTGGTTTGATGGTTAGACAGCAACCAGTTCATGATAGGCAGCTAAGGCCATGTGGTAATTTGGTAGCCTGTGATAAAATGTTCATTCTTTGCTTGGCCCCAGCAACAAGACAGAAGTTGTTCCTCAAAACTATAATAGCTGTTTGCAGAGGATGACATAGCTTTGATCCAAAATTTTAAATGTTTGTACTGTGAGCCTCCTAGAGTGTTTTGTCAAAGTCTCCATGAAGCACCCTATCTGTCACAGACATGTCAAGCATCATGAGGATATTCAGGGTCATCTGGTCCAACTAGTAGGGCAGCTGAAGAATTATTATTTTTTTCCTTGGCCACACTCAAAATTGGTAGATTATCAAGTTACTCAATGAGTTGGTCTGAATAGCAGGCCCAAGTGAGGTTTATGGCTCTGCAAACTCTAAAGTGGTGCACTAGGCATTTTGGTTCTTTTTTCATGATAAAAGGGTGCACATGAAGCAACTGATCTTTCACTTTGAAAATATCACGCCATTCCTCTGTGCCCCTAGAAATGTCACTGAGGTGGCAGGTCCCTAAATTTGTGTAGGATTTATTTCCTTTCTTCTCTCATGCATATATCTTTGGAAGATGCCTAAAGCAGTAGTTACTTTCTGCTCATCTGATCTAATCAGCGAATCATAAATGTAATGGATTATCAGAGTAATGATGCCCTGTAGAATGAAGATGCCATAGAAGTCCCTGAGGAGTAGATTATGGCATAAGACTGGAGGTTTAATATGATACTGGCTCTGTTAGGGAAAAGCAAGTTGTTTCTGAAGTTCTTTACACACACACAGACACACACACACGCGCACACACACACAAAGAGAGAGCAGAGGGAGAGAAAGAGATAGATGCATTTTCAGATTGCAGATGCCAGGGGTGTGTTGATTGTTCCAGTAATGATACTACAACTGGGCCAGCAACTGCAATGGATTTCACCACCTGATTAAGTTTACAGTAATGCACTGTCATTTTCAAAGTCCCATCTGTCTCTTGCACAGGCCAAAATAATGGGTGTGTTGAATGCGGGTGTGGTAGTATCACCATACTGCATCCTTTACACCTTCTTGGTGGCTCTTATCCTTGAAGTCCCTAAAAAATATGCTATTTGCTATGGGTTTAGTATTTTGGTAGGTAGAGGCAGTTTCATCTGGATTTTTCTGCTGTATTTGCATGGAGATGTTCATGGACTTGGTTCATGCCTCTAAGAAGCTGACAGAGGAGACAGTGGGAGCAGAAGGAGTTGAAGGTCTGATTTATGCCCCAGGCCAACCAGGAGAGCTGGCAGATTAGTGACAAATTACATTAGCTGCCCTAGTGCCTGGTGCCCCAAGCTGGCTTCAGGGTATAAGCTATATGAATATTGCTTTACTTTGCCATCCAAATACTACCTCATAATCATGAAGATTTGTTTCTATTTTATCTTACAGAAGATTTATTGTTTACCATTCAAATTTAGTTCTACAATGTATCTGAAGTGGATTTTTTTTTTTTTTTTTTTTTTTTTTTTTTTTTTTTTGAGACGGACTCTCGCTGTGTCGCCCAGGCTGGAGTGCAGTGGCGCGATCTTGACTCACTGCAAGCTCCTCCTCCTGGGTTCCTGTCTCAGCCGCCCGAGTAGCTGGGACTACAGGAGCATGCCACCATGCCCGGCTAATTTTTTTTTTTTTTGTATTTTTAGTAGAGACGGGGTTTCACCGTGTTAGCCAGGATGGTGTTGATCTCCTGACCTCGTGATCCACCTGCCTTGGCCTCCCAAAGTGCTGGGATTACAGGCGTGAGCCACCGTGCCTGGCCTGGAATGGATTTTTATATGTGGCTTAAGATAACTACTGAAATGCATACTTTTCCTATATTGATACTGTTAGTCCACTTCTGTTGCTATAAAGGAATACCTGAGAGTGGGTAATTTATAAAGAAAAAAGAGCTTTATTGGTTTATGGTTATGCAAGCTACATATGAAGCATAATGCTGACATCTGCTTTTGGTGAGGGGCTCTGGAAGCTTACATTCATGACAGAAGGCAAACGGGAACCAACAGGTCACATGGTGAGAGAAGAGGCAAGAGAGAGAGAGTGGGAGGTGGCAGGCTCCTTTTTAAACAATCAGATCTTGTATGAACTCATTCTATGGGGAGGGGACCAAGCCACTCATGATGGATCCACCCCCATAACCCAAACACCTCTTACTAAGCCCGACCTCCAACACTGGGAATCACATTTTAACATGAGATTTGGAGAGGATAGACATCCAAACTATTAATATATCAGATACTGATTTGATTCAGCATCATTTTCTAAAAAGGACATCTTTTCCTCCATTTTGCAGCAAAATCTTTGCATAAAACAGGTGACTGACTGTATAGGGATTGGAATGGAACATAATTATTGTACTTTAATAATATATTTTTTCTTTTTCTTTTCCTTTATTTTTTATTTATTTATTTTTTTATGGAGTCTCACTCTGTTGCCCAGGCTGGAGTGCAGTGGCACCATCTTGGCTCATGGCAGCCTCTGCTTCCTGGGTTCAAATGATTCTTCCGCCTCAGCCTCCTGAGTAGCTGGGACTACAGGCATGTGCCGCCCTGCCTGGCTAATTTTTGTTTTTTTGGTAGAAATGGGTTTTCACCATGTTGACAAGGCTGGTCTGGAACTCCTGACCTCAAATGATCCACCCGCCTTGGTGTCCCAAAGTGCTGGGATTACAGGCGTGAGCCACAGTGGTGAGCCAATAATGTCTGGATGTCCAGTAGTGCAAATTCTCCAAAATTTTTGACTTCACAATTTTCATCTTTTGTTCTTTCATACATGTTTCAGAACTCGCTTGTCAATTGTCACCACAGTTTCTGTTGAGATTTTGATTGGGGTACATTGAATCTGTAAAACAACTTGTAGAGAATCAACATTTTAACAATATTGTATCTTCTCATCTGTGAACATGATGTATTTCTCTGTTTAAGCCTTCTCTAATTTCTCTCAATAGGATATTGTAGTTTTATGTCATGTACATGTCATTAGTTAGATCTAGTCATAGGTATTTGATGTTTCTGTATTGTTTCTGTGGTGCTATTGTACATAGTATCTTTTTTAAAAAAAATTGTATCTGAATTGTTTTAGTACTATGTAGAAACTTTTTATATAGATCTTTCATGTTGTAATTTTCTACATTTAAATATCAATAGTCTATGGAATTTTTTATGTACTCAATTATTTCGTATGAAAATAATGACCCTATAATTCCTATCTTTCCAATTCTTATAACTTTTATTTTTTAAAAAAACTTCCTTTGCCTGTTTTCTAGAATCTCCAGCACAATGATGACTAAATATAAGGACAATGAACAGTCTTGTCTTATCTATAATGTTAGCTAAAATTTGTTTTGTAGATTCTCTTTATTAGGTTAAGAAAACTCTGCCTTTCTATTTCTTGTTGCTAAGCTTTTAAATTAATGGAGGGTGATTGATTTTCCTTAAAATATGAAGATAATGATATGACTTTTCTTTATTTTTCTGATAAAAGGGTAAATCACATGAATCAATTTTTGAATATTAGCTGACTTTGCATTTCTTTAATGTAATTTTTAAAATATGTTATTTTGAATTTGACTGCTATCATTAGTTTGGTATATATGTACATATACTTACATTTATGCTCATAAGAGAGATTGCTGTTAGTTTCTTCTATGATCCGTAGACTACAGATTTGGAAATTAAGGTATAGAGAGATTAAATAATTAAACGAAGCCAGACAGTTACTTAAATTAAGGAAGTCTGATTCAATAATATATTTCCATGAAATTAAATTATTAAATGGCAGTTGCAGATTACAGTGTTTTCAGAAAATGGTATAAAAAATGATCCTGCTGTTCCGTGAAGTGCCCTATAATAAAGACTATAAATTTGTATTTGTCTACACATCATATCATTTTGGCAAGTTTTGTTTTTTTTCATACAGTGGTAATGTGTTTTTATCTCAACTTATAAGGCCGTAAATAATCTCTCTTCTTCCTCTTCCACATTCACACACACTAGTCTTCAGCTACACTGCCCACTTACTGGTTTTTGAACATGCCAAGGCTAACTGCTCTTCTCTGTCAAAGTCATTGTACATGCTATTCCCTCTGCTTAGAAATATCTCCCTGTAAACATCTGTGAGCCTCAGTCCCTCACTTCTTTCACTGCTCTGAAGAAATGCCTTCTTATTAGACAGGACTCCCAGAGCCATGCTGCCATCCTATGCAAGTGACTAGCATAGAAACAGAGCCACACTCCCTCCTTCCTGTTCTCCCATAAACTTTTCACTTGTTCCCTTGTATCTTACCTCTTACAGCCAGATATTTTAAATTCATTTCTCTAAGGTCTCCAAAAGTATGTAAATTCCTTTAAAAGAAAGGGCTTTGTTCTGAATCCTGCTCTATGTCTAAAACACAGATGAGTACCTGACATACTATAGTTTTTTTTGCTTTACAAATATTTGTTCTATGAATGAACAAAGAAATGAATGAATAAATTTACAAGTGTCAAAAGTTACCAAATTTATCAGAAATTCTTGCTAATTATTTTTTTTTCCTATGAATCTAACCTGTTTTCCCCTTCCGTGAATCTAACCCTGAAGAAAGACAAGCTTGGTGCCTTCATCATTATCTTCTCTTTATAGCAATCACTGCAGAAGGTGTTGATAGATATTTAACACATCTTTGAGATGCATCCTGGCTGTGCCCAAGGTAACTTGGAGGTGGCAGCATTAATCATTTGCCATATGATAAGCTTCTGTTGTTCGCTTGTGGTGCATGGAGTTCATAATGCCCACTTTATATGCAATATGCTTGAAAAATGAAAATTGTTGATATTATAGTAAGATATGTAATATCATATGTAATTCATTTCCCTCAATGTATGCCCTTTAGCTGTATTCAACCCTGTCCTTCACACCTAGTCCTGAGATAAATGTAAATGTGAGATTCTGTGTATAAAGGGTGCATCTATTTACCAAATTGATTTCTGGGGCCAAAGAAATAATTGTAATTTATGAGATACACCTGTGATAGTCAGGCATGTTAAGCAGAGTAGATAGGCTGAGTGGCATGACTTTGATTTTTAATTATAGGTCAGCTCAGCTTAGCTTAATTCCATTGTGTGAAGCATCACCTTTCTTTCAACTGAAAGCTAAAAGTGCAACGAACTAACCTTTGAATGTTAATCTGAGTGCCAGCAACTACATGTACAATTCTGAGCAATTATTCAGCCTCCTGGGACCTGAGTTTTTTTTGGCTTAGCCCATAGGATTTCTCAATGTCCATCTTTACACCTGCAAAATATGATTCTATATATCATCGTTAATGAAGGGAACCAATTTGAGGTTCAGAACTTAGATGAGAAGAAGTGTTTTAGTATGTCCTATACACAGCTTTCTGATAGAGAGGGGAAAAGAAAGGGAGGAAAGGAGAGTGACAGTTCTAAGTCAAATTTTTTAAAAAAATACAACCCCAGTTTTTAAAAAGTACAACCCCAGTTTTCCAGACCTTGTTTTCCTGTGGGGCCAGATTGGGGTCAGAGTTACAGAGTAACCCAAGTTTTACAGGCTCTTTTCTTTGCCTGCAGACCCAGAATCTCACTGTCTTCTTAAACACCAGTCTTCCTCTCCATGCAGGTGTTTCTAAATACCCCAATGACATGTGCTTGAGAGTGAGAAAGAGAATTGGGCAAGATTCAAGCAAAGAGGTTTTGGTGATGTCAACAGCAAGGATAAAGGTTTAATTATCTGATGCAGCATAGTGCAATGATGTAAGTAGAGCCTAAATAATGGGGCTTGAGGGGGAAGATGCGATAACATAAGACCAGAAAGGAAGGCAGGGGCTAGATCAATCAAGGGTCTGTAGGACAGCTCTTTTAGCTTGTATGTATAATCCTTCTGTTCAGTCCAAGTAGGGTTGATATGGGAGGAACATTCAAGTGCCAAATATCATATTATATTTAGGATTGATCCTTCTCCCACTTCTTTACTAGTTCAAATTCCTTCTAGGTGGTTCCTTCTTACCTAAGTGTAAGAGGCCTCCCAGGAGGTCTCCACCTTTTCATAAATTTGTTGGAGATCAGCCTCGCTAACTTATTAGATCAGTCTTGCTAACTTATTCATCATATCAGAATCACATTTTAGGTATAAAGTAATTTATCTTAGGCTATATCATAACATAGTATTATAATCAAAACTTGTGATGCCTTCAGGTGCCAAAAATCGTACATACTAAGTAGACATTGACATCTAATTAGAGATTAAAGATGTTTTGATAGGATTACTACTTGCCTTTCTCATCAAAAATGGATTTTTCAATCGCTTCTTTGCTATCTCCTTATTGACCCATGAATCCGGGCCAATCTCACTTCTTTATTATGGAGATGAAATCATACCCCTCTTGAAATAGATCTTAGTATGACAGGCCAGTGCCAGTGTGAAGATTTTCAAACTCTTTGACATAACATAGCCATATGTTTTCAGAAGGGCTGACAGAGAAATAGTTGAAAGTTGATATTTAAAACAATGATTTAGAATCTTTTGTACAACCTTAAATGTACACTGACTTCATGCAAACATGTTAAGGACACACATTGCCTTCCTATTAGGAAAGATGAGCAAATACATTCTCATATTACATATATGTAGCAAGGCTAGTTAGCAAGGTCTAACAGAATATTTGTTTCAGCCATAATGATGAAAACAAATGCTTGCATTTGGGAAACTTCCTCAAGTGAAACCAATCATTTTAATGGAAGGAACTCATTGTAATGCTAAAATTATGTTCCAGTAAAAAATGTTTACTTGTGGAAATGACGCTCTATTTAGAAATGCTTACAAAGCTTGATGAGGAAGTAAAAGGGCCAATAAACTGAAGTGTAGTATTAATTTCTTTGTAAGGCGTTTTATGTGGCTTAACTGTTTTGTGAATTCGTGTAAGGCTGTTTGTTTTTGTTCATTTGTTTTAAAGAGGAAGAATTCATTTGCTGATTCTTTTCCCCTTTTTGGGTTTATTAAATGATTTTCAGGCACATTATTTCAGGCCCTTTATTGGTAGGCTTTTATTGGGTTAATATTGCCTTTATTTGTTTCAAAGAGTTGATTCTATGGTTATTTGAGGTGAATTTGTTGACACCTAGGTTTTTTTGTGAAAAAAAGAAGCTTTAATCGCTAAGTTGTGAATAAGACGTGGGAGTTTGTGATGTCCACTTTGCTAACCATATTATGTTGCAGAGAAACCCAATAAAATTTCATTGACGCTTACTTAATTTTATTAACTAAGAGATGTATCTAAGTTATTTTATAAGATATCTCAGTACAGATTAATTATTAGAGATCTAAATACAAAATTCTCTCTTACCCCGATGATAGCATGAAGAATTACACATTGTTTGAACAAGTGTGCAAATTTCCAGGCATTTCTGTGTATCTATGGAATAGTTTCTTAAAATTCTTTTATCAGTTAATTGCATTTAGTTGCCCAGAATAGAAGAGTATATAGTTATGTAAGGCTAATAAAATTCTGTCAAAATTAAATTTTCTTACAGTTTGAGATATAATTTAAAACTTGAAACTCATAGAAAAAAAGCATCACTTTTGATGCTATTGACTCTTGGAAAGTTTGTGTGCATGGCCAAAGACCAATGTCATAAATAGCAGAAACAGAATTGCTTCAGTAGGGAAGATTTAGAGGTGAAACAATCATAGAAAGTGTTAGGAATGTAGGGTGCAGGTTGGGCTCCAGAAACAAGGATCCTTGCAGTAGAATCTGAAACCTCTAATGAAAATTCAGAGAAAATGGCTAGAGAAAGTTTGTTCTTCAGAAAGTAATGAGACAAAAGTCAATCTCCTCCTGTAACTTAAAGTTACGTGGCACTATTGCAGAGTCGAATCATGATAATAACAACTACTATCTTGAATCTAGGGCTTACTGTGTGCCAGGCACTTTGCATATTTTAGCTCATTTAATCTTCACAGTAATTCTCTGGGGTAGGCTTACTGTTGTTATCCCTGTTTTAAAAATGATAAAACTGAGGTACAGAGAGATTAAGTGGCCAAAGCTAGATAGCAAAAAGACAGAAGGGGTAGGATCTGAACCCAGGACATTTCTAGAGTCTGTGCTCTGTACCACAGGTCTATGCAGGAAGTTGGTTACCACCATTCTTGCTCTGGGTGGGTTGTAATACTGCCTGGACTCATATTGGCTCAGGAAGCTGGAAGAACAATTCCAGCTTAAGGTTCTAGTGGTTATTCTGGACACTTCCACAAGGGTCGGACCCTCTTGCCCTCTGTTTCCTGTCTTGGTTGCAGGTGGTAGCAATCAGGTTAGTTTTATGAACTTTGTGAAGGGAGAGAGGAAGGGGAGACAGAACTAACATTTGTTCGAAAGCTAAGCATAAAGAAGGAGAGCTTATCAAGACACAGTCAGGACTTTCCAAATAAGAAACTTGAAAAAAAAAAAAGTAAAGAATCTTAGCATACATTTTACCATAGCCTTGAATAATGGCCCTCCATTAGAAATGCATAATCTACCTACACCAGGGTTTCTTAACCTCGGCACTACTGACATGTTGAAACATGATTTTGTTGTTGTTGTTGTGAGAGGCTGTTATGGGCATTGTAGAATGCTGACCAGCACTTCTGGCCTCTACTGACTGGATGCCAATAGCAGTTTGATATGGTAACCAAAAATGCCTCCAGATGTTGTTCAATGTCCCCTGGAAGTAAATTTTTTCGTAGTTGAGAACCACTCAAACATGTAGTTGTGATATTCTACCTAGGTAGGGTAAAAGGTTTCCATGACTTTAGTTAGTATTAGTAGAATGATATGAATTCCTGCATTTTTGGAAAAATGAGAATTTTTCTTTCTTTCCTGATTTGAATTCATATTTATCTTTTAATTCATTAATTGATGGATTGATTTTTAGTAGCATGGTTAGTGGTATAAGATAAGAAGGTTTGTTTTCAGGGTATTAAATACTGAAGCCTAAAACAAACAGGAATGCTAAGATACTGACTTACTGAGAAATTTCAGAAATGATTCAAAAGAGATTTCTACTATAAGAAGAATGAAAGTTTTTCATATAAAAAGATAGGGCTCAGATGGACATATCAAAAAAAAATCAAAGGTGAAATGTTGATTTTATCAGCTTTCTTAAAAGATTACTATCATGGCATGTCAGAGTCAGAAATATCATTTAAGATCCTCTTATTCAATTCTTTCATTTTAAAAAGAAGCAGGGGTAGGCCGGGTGTGGTGGCTCACGCCTGTAATCCCAGCACTTTGGGAGGCCGAGGCAGGCGGATCACGAGGTCAGGAAATCAAGACCATCCTGGCTAACATAGTGAAACCCCGTCTCTACTAAAAATACAAATAATTAGCTGGACGTGGTGGCGGACACCTGTAGTCCCAGCTACTCGGGAGGCTGAGGCAGGAGAATGGCATGAACCCGGGAGGCAGAGCTTGCAGTGAGCCGAGATCACGCCACTGCATTCCAGCTGGGGCAACAGAGCGAGACTCCATCTCAAAAAAAAAAAAAGAAGCAGGGGTATAGGAAACCCAGATAGGAATGGGAGGCAGATCTGATCCTCATTTTCACTAAACACAGTTTCTCTGGTGAATGCATGAAATTAAGAAGTTAGTTGTCCTAAAGAGCCTTCAATTCCTACTTATAGAATCAAGGATTCCTTTTTTCTCTTCCCATTAACCATTTGGTTGGTTTCTCTTTCGCCAACTAAGTTTTGTTTTCTGTAGAGGAGAGGCTATCTTTATGTCCTTTCACTACCTAGCACAGTAAGTTCAGTGTTAAGAAAACAATATTCTATGCATCTTAAGAATTATAAATTCCAAGCACTGTAGATTGATATAGAGATGGTTGCTAAGTGCCCAATGGTACTTGTGCTTTCCCAATATAGGGGAAAGTATTGTTAGACACTATCATTTTATTTGATTGGGTTTTCCATCTTCCCAGATGGGCATGCTTCAACGTGGACAGGGCCCTTTTCTCTCTTGCTCAATCTTGGTTCCCCAGGGCCTCACATGGTAATTGGCAAAGAGGAGGTCTTTAATAAATTTATTTGTTGAATGATGAAATAAAGCAGTAGATTTGCCAGGGTAGACACAGTGGAAATTTTCAAAATGAGTTCACATGGAACATAGATACTTGACAACCATTTGCCAAACAGGGTATCTAGCATAATGTCTAGAAGTGGCAGACTCCACCAGTCAGACTTGGATGAGAAAGCCAGTTCTGTTTGCTGGCAGCTTTACGACTCTAGTCAAGTTTTTTAACTCCCCTAAATCTCAACTTCTGCATCTGTAAAATGGACACAATAGTAGTATTTATCTATCAGGATTGTTATGAAAATTAAATGAAGCAATGTAGATATATTGATTAGAGTAATGCTTGACACTTGGTAAGCAGTCGACAATTGTAAGCTGGGAGGGAAGGATGCCCCTCTCCAATCTCATCTGGCTATTCTTGCCTATGGAGAAAGTTTTATGGGCACAAACCCAGGTTTCTGGAAGGACTGTTACGCTGTCAGTATCAGGAGATACACCAGGCAAGTCTCTCATCACTTCAAACATCTGGGCTGTAAGTGCCCTCTGCTTCCCTCCCTCCCCGCCCTAGGTGCTCCAGGGGCAGGACATGGGCCCTAGGCCAGGCTCGCCATCTTTATCCATGTGACTCACTCTGTAACTGGACCCAGAGCCTCACCCACAGGACAGCCATCCTAGATTCACAGACACGGTGAAAAACAGCTCTTTGAAATTCAGCCTGAGTCCTGCAATTCAGCAGTGGTTTCCAGAGAAGCCCTGCATGAGGAGCGTTATAGAGTGTTCAGTAACTCCGGTAAACTGCACTTCATTTTCCACTTGGCCATTTTTGTCCTTTGTGTAAGGAACCTCTAGAGAGAGCACCAGGAGTGAGGTAACAAGCCCCAGCCCTTTTATTATTATTAAAGGAAATGTCGGCCTGAGGATCCTATCCTTTATCGAGATGAATAAATAAAATATACGTAACAACTAGCTAAGGGGTGAAATATTTAAGTGAAGAAAATGGAACAAACTATATATTTAAATACCGCAGAGAGACACTGAGGAAATGCTGACTGTATCATAATCTACCCCCCACACCCTCAGCCACTGCCATTCACTTCATGCCAAATTGTATCATGTATGTACTTCTGAATGTTTCCTCCTATGGTGTGACTTTGGGGTTGCATATAGAGTTTTTTTTCAGTCATTCCAGACAGCGTAATTAGAAGATGGTGAAGACTCGGGGTGTTGTATGGAGGTGAAGCTGAAGCTGAGCCGTCTAGAGTCTGGAGCGCCCCCTTGAGGAAGAGGAAGGAAAGGAAGGTAGCACAACATAGCTGAGGCCTGCAGGAGGTGGGGAGTGAAGGAAGAGGATGGGAAAAGGTGGCCTCGGAGAATGCCTATGTTCTGATGACCACTGCAGTGTGGATCTGCGTAGATTATTTTTAAAAAGTTATCTTTTCTTTTTCCCTCGAGCATGAAAACATTTTATGTCTCTGGGACCACTTGTGGGCAAGAATTAGGAAGGTGACAATTTTGAAACTTAAACAGGCCTTAAACATTAGAAGAAAGTACTCATTCATTCACTCATTCACTTATTTGTTCTTTGAATAAACAGTGTGTTTCTCTTATGTTCCAGACAAGAAAAAAAAATTCAGATATACATCTCAGTTGTGTCAAAGCTCTTATTGAAAATTCTGGAGATAACAATTTTGGAAACATTCTAGCAAGCCAGAGATGGTATATTAAAAATAACTGAGCTTTTACTGCAAATGAAGCACATACGAAATATCAAAATGCTTCTTTGTTATTTTATTTTAGTGAATATTAGGAAAATATTCTATCTACACTCTACATTTTGTTGTAACTGCTTTATCTTATAACAGAATGATAAAAATAAATGCAAGACTTTTTTAGAGAAAATTATCTATCACCCACTCATAACTGGGTGATAGGTGATTTATTTTAGTTCGTACTGTTGATTGGCTGTTTATGATAATTGCTTTTTGATTGGTTTGTGCAAATTGGAACTCGAAATTCCAAGGTGAGATTTATAACACTAGGAAGATTTTTATTAAGCCCTGAACAAAAAAAAATATGTTTATAATGTGAATTTTAATTGCATTCCACTGGAAAAAAACAAGTTCATATTTCACAATTAAATGAAAATCACTTAGGATTAAGAAATTCCTATTGCTGAAATATTCTAAGTTCCTTAAAAAGGTAAGCATTACTGGCTTGTTCTAGCACTACTGACTCTAATAATCAAAATCACATATAAATTCCAAAATAATAATACTGATAGCTTACATTTATTGATCACTTAGGATGTGCCAACTTCTGTGCCAAGCACAGGTCTGCTAGTTATTTAATACTCACCACAGCCATATGAGACAAGTATCATTATTTTCACTTTACAAATGAGCTGCTGTGGCACAGAGATGTTGAGTAATTTGTCCAAAGTCACACAGCTGGTAAAGAGTAGAGTTTGGATTTTCCGGGTCTGTCTGGTTCCTTAGCTTACTAGATTAACTAAGCTGGATGTCATTATATAGAAATTACTTTCTTTCACATTGTCAACTGACATTTGCATTAAAGAAAGATAAATATTCTTACTATAATTCTTGTTTGAATTCAGAACATGAAGGAGAAAATGGAGAGGAGAGTGGAGCCTGTCTCTTGGTGAAAATTATAAATGCCATCTCAATGGGACATGCCCTTTGATAGTTACTCTATTCTGCATCATGGCCTCCCACTCGGCTCTAAGAACTTTTAAGCTTGAAGAACAGCACATCCTAACCATAGTGAGCATTTAAGAAAACTCCCTAAAGTATGCATTATAAGGGGAAAATCCCAAGTGAATCTAAATAAAATAAAATGGGAAAGAATAAAATGAAACACACACACACACATACACACAGACACACACACACACACACACACACACACACACACACACAGAAGTTCAGCTCTATTCTTCCATTCTGCTCAACTCACTTTTTTCCCACCATCCCCCACTTTTTTCCCACTATCACCATTTGGGACACTTTCAACTTTCTCATGGTTTGAGCACAGATTTAGCTTTTTTGAGAAAACCATATTTGTCTTAGGCTAGAATATCTTTCATAAACATCCCCTGCCTATTTATTGAGGAGAGCTTCTGTTCCTTCTCACATTTTCTCCCTCCAAATTCTCTATTGTGATAGCAACCATAGCCTCCAAACTTTAATAATTAACATTTAGTAATAGGAATGTAGGCAAATTTATTCTCTGTTTCTCTTATCCCAAAGTGAAATTGCTTTTTCTTTAAGATCTCGAGGGAACACTAGGTAATGTGGCTGTCTTTTCTGCATCTCATTCCTGAAAAATTCCAGTGATGGAGATTAATCAGTTAGTATTGCGTTGAGAATAGATTCTTTTCCTTAAAAGCTCTTGACTGACTAATGCCACAAAAATGACATTTTAGCCAGAGATCCCGAAATGAATTGAGTCCTTCTTTCTCACTATTCTTAAGCCAATCACAGATGTCTGTAGTATTTATCCATTTAAAATGACAGGCCAGACAAATGCCAGATTGATCAAATAAAGATGAAAATAGAAAATGGGGCTGTAAGAGAGACTGGGAATTAAGATGAATGCTACAGAAATATGCTGTGGTTTCAGATGAAACATCAAATTTGTTCGTGGTATAACCCCAAGTATCAATTTATGAATAATATGTTATTTGGGTAATACTTACGTTTGAAAATATTTGGAATTCTTAATTTGATTTTTTATAGCTTGTGATATTTTTTATTTTCAGTTTTATTATGAATTTCTTTCTCACAATCTTTCAGCTGGACTGGTAATCAACTTTCCCCAAAACTAGTCCTAACTAGCCTTTGAAAACTATTCTCACAGTTCCCATCTAAGCCTGTTAAAATTAAGCCTCTTATAATGTCCTCCCTCTTCTTACCCCCGATGCTAGCTTGAATCTACTGTTTCTTTACAAGAAATCCTTTCCACGTTCCACATTCTGTACTTGTTAATAATTTCTGCTACTCTACTAGTGGGAAGAATATTTGCCCCCACTTTATTGGGGAGAAAAGATAGATGAAATATTGTACCTTTTGGGGCTGAAACATTTTGATTATATAATTTCAATACATTGTTTTTTGTTATGTTTTTCAATCTTCTCAAGAGTGGCAAAATTGTCAAAATGTTAGAAAAATGTAATTGTCTCTTCAAGAAAATACAAAGAACTGATATGAAATATTTGGCCATTTTCTGTATTAAATAAAGCAACAAATATATATTAGCTTTCTCATCCTAATCATGAGTAGAAGATTTGTTTCTGGGATACTCAGAAATGTTAACCAATTCTACCCAGGAGATAGAAAAAAAATTCCTATCGATTTTTTGAGGTTTAGCTGGAGCTATAGTTATCATTTTGTTCTTGAGACACCTATATCTTTATCACACTTGAGAAAACTAAAGAAAACAGACAATATAGATCTAAACTCTTGAAAATAGGCAGGTAAAGTCATTAACATGTGATGGGTTTTGAAAGATTCTAGAAGGTTCTGATTCCTGCCCCTCTCCCAAACTCTCTCTACTCCTGCCTCTTCAGAAACATGTCTACATGTCGGGTTGACCCTCTGTTTTCTTCACTTAAGTTACCCTTTTTTAATGTATGGTTTCAAGTCCTGTTAAAATGCAAGAGCATCCTTTTTCTTGTTTTGCAAAAACAAAAAACACAACAATGAGTGTATTTACTTTGCAGAGATAGCACCATTGTTACTGCAGAGTGTGACCATGATTAATAGCAACTTCAGGTGTTGCTTGCCTAGGAGGTAGCCTCATTAAATTGGACTGCATCCTCATCTTCTGAATGAAGAATCTGGGTGGTTTTGATAAGACAGTAAAAGGTTCAGGGAGAGAACTTAACCACTTGAAGTGCAGGTGCAGGTGATGGTGCCACAGAAGAGGTTCAAGGACACAGAAGGAGACAGACACTGAGTAGAGACAAACTTACTTGCTTTACAATTTTGCTGAAAGCAGCTTTGGCAGAAGCCTGCACTTATTGTCACCCAACTTGTTTATAGTTGCCAGCCCACATTTTAACCTCACCTCAACCTTCAAAATGCAGCTAAAAGACATGATTAGAAATGAGAACACCTACTACTCAATAAAAAACTATTAGGTCCCAAGAATCCACAGTGACAAAATGCAATTTCAGATAGATACAATTGTAAATTTCCTTATTTAAAATCTTGTCTCTCATTTAAACTCTCTTCATTTCATCTTTTGTAGGCAGGGCTTTTCTGCAGTAGAATCTGAATATGAACAGTCAATATGCCTATTAAAAATATATTTCTAAGATAAGGAGGAGTTGTTATTTATTCTTTACCCACACCATTAGCATATTATTAGCAGGATATTTTAAGATTACATAAAGTGTCTTTATGTCACTGAATCATATAACACATTATTATATATATATATAATATACACATATATAAACACGTATGTACACATATACAATATACACAAATACACAGAAATGTGAAACAACCTTTTACTTTTGTATTAGCCTTAATAACTAGTAATACATGACCTCCTATGGGCCTAAGATTATTAATATTGTTCTCATTTGACAGAGGAATTACCTCAAATAACCTGTTCCCACATAGAGTTTTATGGTCTGCTTTCCAAATAGTACAAATTACTCTGAAGTGAAATTCACAATGGAAAAGTTCCAGAATCACATTCTTGGCTCTGGAACACAATGCCTTGGTTGTCTGCCAACTTTCTTTTCTTCATTGTTCAGAATAGTTTGTAAAAAATGTTTATATGTGTCTATATTGAGCAATAGCTCCACTGTGTTCTCCTTTAAATTTATTGCTGGCAGCTTCCAAGATAATTTGGGAAGGAAAAGATCAGTATCAATTGAATAGTTCATTGATATCTAGGAGATCTCGCATTATCCTAAATACATGATTAATTTGTATTACAGAGACTCCATCTGAAATGTGTGGTCAGAGAGCAAAGGCATGAACCAAGACTTATAGGA
Organism: Homo sapiens; assembly: GCF_000001405.40. Taxonomy (NCBI): domain Eukaryota; kingdom Metazoa; phylum Chordata; class Mammalia; order Primates; family Hominidae; genus Homo; species Homo sapiens. Next base: position 226,211,354 of record NC_000002.12, on the reverse strand, counting down.
ACTTGCCGATAGAAAAAGATGCTACTGCCAATTTATGATCTTACCAGGGTAAATCTTTCAATGTCCCGAAGTTTCATTATAAGCATCATTAAAAAAAAAAATCATTTAGTATTCCATACAACATTCTGGGCATTTAAACACAGTGCTGTATAAACAATGCAAGGAACATATATTCTAATATTAATATACCTGTAGAAATTATAATACAGTATTACACTGAAATAGCATAAAATATGATTATGTAAAGTTCATTCAAGAATGCAAAAATGTTTTACTATTAGGAAATCTGCTTATCTACTTACATAACTCATCATATTAATAGGATGAAGAAGAAAAATATGTAACTCAATAAAGAAATTTGATAAAATTTCATAACCATTTCAGTTGAAACTTATTAAAGTGGTCTATTTTTCTTAATAGGATAAAACTAATAAAATTCAACTAATGTCTTACATCACACTAGAAGGATTATTATAAAATAAAGAACAAAATGTGAATTTACTCTCATCATCGTTTTTTAACATCATTCTTCAAAAGCTCACCAGTCCATTAAAAAAGAATAAAAAAAGGAAGTGGTATAAGGACAGAAAAAAATAAGGTACAATTGTCAGTATTTTATTTTTTGATTCTATGTCTATAGATCCCAAGACAACCAGGTGGAGGGAGGGGTGTTAGAACTACTCAGAGTTCAGCAAAAATAAGCCATTTAAAAATTAATTTACAAAACTATTTTTATTTTGACAATAATCCATTGAAATATATTGGAAACAAAAATAAAATGTTCTAAGAAGAGCAAGAAACACATGACACCTTCGTGAATAAAACTATAAATATTTTCTTGAAGTACATAAAATAAGACTTAAAATATGGACAGTCGGTTTTCCAAAGATGTCAAATTTTTTAATGAATCTATGTTAAGTCAATCCTAATGAAAATCTAAAGATATTTTGTTTATTTTCTAGAATGTGATCAACAGATTCTAAAGTTGATGTGGAAAAGAAAATATCTGATTATACAGAAACATCTGAAAAATATGAATGTTGAAGGAAATTTTAAAATTCATTGAAAAGCCATGGTAGTCAGAAAAGTCTGGTACTGAAATAAATATAAAGATATAGGTGAATTTAAATCCACTATTATGCTCCCTTAGTGCATATTGAACAGAAGAATCATTTCCTGGGCATGGTTTTTAATCACTTTACTCCCATTGACCTTGGCTCCATAAGCAAACAAAATTCACTGGAAAATTTACAGTTCTTGCTCTTGTATTCAACAATCTTTTTTTTTTTTTTCATATGGATGGACAGGTTATCTGAATGCAAAAAAATCACTTTTTAATGTCAAAGGTGCTAATTCATTAGTTCTAATTTCCTATAAACATTTATAGATTTTGCTGGTGTTTACGTTTTATAATATTCACATATTTAAAAAGCTATATGAATACACACATATATGTATATGTGTGTGTGTGTGTATATATATATAAAGAACACATGTTTAGAGACAAATGAGAAAATATAGATCTTTACCCACACTAGACATAATTCTTCTTTGTCATCATTGGCAATCTGATGGACTAAAATTAATATCTCATCTTAAAAATGTTATATTTAATTACTAGTGAGTTTGAAATTTTGCCTTGTGTTTATAGGATACTTATATTTTCCTGTGTGGATTGAATATTTATATTTGTAGGCCGTTTTTCTTTCTAATCTGGGTTTATATTTTTACAAACTGATTTATAAAAGTATATTTTCATACTAAAGGTATTAGGCCTTTATCTTTCAAACATGTTGCAAATGATTCCCCATATTGTCATTTGACTTTATTTAAAATGCATTTCATCATGGAGAAATTGTACTTTTTATGTAGTCAAACCTGTCGATCTTCCCCTGAAAATTGGAAGAATAGAAAATGCAGTGGAGGATATGAATGCAGAATATTTGTGGACAATTAGGGAGCAGTATTATTCTCCCTGAAATATTAGACATTTTAGTAGTTTTTTTTTCCTACCATGATTAACTCCGTACATGTCTTACATTTACCACAGTATCACTAGCTTTCATTTAATTTTTTTTTCTTGGTTTGCCTATTTTTGTTTGCTAAATAACGGAACTCCATGAAATGGGACCTTAACTTTATTTGAATAAAAATGTTTATGTATAAGAACTTAAAAACAAATCAGTCAGCTTCACTTAATTCCTGAGAGGGCCTCAGCAATAGTGATTGTTTCCCTCCTATGCTAATCATAGGCAGCATTTCCCAAAGACTATGACTTGGAACTTCTCCAGAGGTGACTGGTAGACCTATCCCCAACAAAGTGTTCTAGGGCCAATGAATCTCTGGGAAATTCTATATTAAACAAAGTCAAATATGTTTTTTTCTCCTCAGCATGACTTAGAGTCTTTTATATACTAGTATACACTATGACTTCCTCCCCATTCAGGGTATTCAAGGGTGTTTTATTCAGGGTTTCTCAAACATAGTGAGTCACAACCCCTGTTTTCCTCAGAGCTGTCAGGAATACAGGCCCGGGGATCTTTGCCACATCTTAAGGAGTCTCTGCTTCAAACGCCACCCTATCAGAGAGATTTTCCCCTGTTCCCACCTACCTAACTTACTATCACACCCACATCAATTTCTACCCTCTCATCTCACTTTTTGTTTCTTCAAAGAACTCAGTACCTGGCATTCTTATTGACTGTTCCTCACTAACCCTTGGAATTGAAGGTCTATCAGAATAGAGTTCTGCTGTCTCCTTAGTGCTTGCCACATAGTAAATACTGAAAAACTATTTGTTGCCTGTGTTTGTTTCTGGCTTTTGGCCCCAAGTCTACAATATGGCTGCCCTGCTTCCGGGCGTCATAACTATATTCTAGATAAAAACGGGCAAAAGGCAAAAGCCATGTGCCTGCTGGGTCTGTCCTTTCTGTCTGGAAAACCACTGTTTTCCAAGTAGGTCTACCCTGCAGACTCCTAAATTGGTCAGGACCATGTCACATGACTGCCATAGCTGCAAGAGGGGAATATTTTAACTAAGTAGTTGTGTTAAGTGAAATAAGATTTCTGTTAATAAAGAAGGCTATGCTGGGCATTTTGTGCACAACAACTCCCAGAAAGCTGTGATTGTCACACACTTGGCTTCACTCATGTCACTTGTTTGGCTCTCATAGGCATTTGAGTTTGCAAATTTGAACTAGAAATTTCTTAAAGTCATTTGCAATCTTTAAATTTAATGATTTTATGATCTATACATCTCCAGAAAATGCCCCAGACTTATCTGTATACAGACGATTTTCATGTGATGAGTTTAAGGGGAAAAAAGCTTTCTTTTTTTCCCTCCCATTTAAAAATAAGTCAACACTTCTAGGTAATGGTCAGCTCTGCTCTGAAGTCATTCTTGGTCATGTTCACTGAAGTAGAATAAATGCTCTGGAACAAGTGAGCGTCCCTCCCCTGGGATGGTCTGTCATGCAAACATCACGAGTCCTAATCACAGTCTTAGGACAATGATGACGCTGTCACTGGAAGGTCAGGAGAGGAAGCTGAGAAGCTCTGAAGTCTAAGCCAGAGCAAAAGCGACAAGGACACATTTTTTAAAAATTAGACCCAGACACACAAAAAAATGAAGACACCTGAAGAAAACACTTTGTGAAATGTGTTGAAAATTGGAACATTTGGTTCTATAAAATATCCTGTCACCTTCTAACAACTTTCCATTTTGCTGCTTGATAAGTGACAAGTTTCACGTTGCACAGGTGGCCAATTTCACTAAAAATAGTTTCTTGAGCCTTATCAGTATCATTTATCAGAAGCAGCAGGGAATGTTGCCTTGCACTGGAGACATTTTTTCTGGGGCTATCTAAACTCCTGACTGGCCACCGGACTTCAGGATGGGCTAAGATCAGATGAGGACATTTATTAAGTGGCTGCTAAGTGGGAGGCATTATAGGAGACATGTTCACATTTATCATACTATTTCTATTATAACCTTTTTCAACATACTACGAAAGAAGAAATGGAAGCACAGGGTTTAGATGTAGGCAAATTATTTGAATCTGCTGGTTTCTCTTTTTCTCTAAGCTTATTGCGATTGGACAGGGTGACACTCTTTTTCATTCATTTAAGACTAATTTTCAACAAGTGTCTTCCTTAAAATTTAGTTTCCTCATTTGTGGAATGGAGATAAGAATAGCTACGATACATCCCTCGCTGGGTTTGCATAAAAATAAAATGAAATAATATGTAAAAGTGTTTTTGTTACTGTCAACAATATGTAAAATTAAGTTGGTTTTAGAATTTTCAATTTATGTTCTTATGAGATTTTCACAAAACAATCTAGAATTGCATTTTTGTTTATGATATAAGACTAGAGGGTGAAGACATGTTTTTTCCCAGTAAGTATATCCAGTTGGTGCACCATTATTTTTAAATTAATGCCAACCCCTTCCCACTGTTCTGCTGTGTCACCTTTGTAATAATTAAGGTGACATATAGCTACAAGTCTGTCTTAGGACTCTGTTCTGTTCCATTAGTCTGTCTAGCCTTGTTTCAGTGCTACATTGTCTTAATTATTATAAATTAAGTAAATAGACAGCTTTAAAATAATTATCAATGCATAGTAGTGTTAGTCTACTAAATTTGTTCTTTTCTGGATGGCCCTAGTTATATTTGGACCTTTACAACATTGAGTTTTCCAATCCAAGAACATAGAATATCACTCCACTTATATGGGACTTCATTAATTTCTCACAATAATGTTTTATAATTTCCAGTGAGGGAATCCCACATACCTTTTCTTAAATTTATTTCCAGTCAATTTTTTTAAGTTTTTATGAATTTTTTAAATTTTAAATATCATTTTTTAGTTTTTCCGTGTGGTATATAGAGATACATTGTGCTTTTTTATATTGACCTTGTATCTAGTATCTTAGTAGATTTACTTATTTATTTTAGGTGTTTGTCTGAAGATTCACTTAATCTTTTTAATTTACACATCCATGTTATGCATGAATAATCATGGCTTTATTTTATTTCTTCATTTCTAGTCCCCATGACTTTGGTTTGGTATTCTTGTCTTTTTGCACTGCCCAGAGCCTGTAGCATATTTTTGAATAGAAGTGGTGACAATCGGCGTCCTTGTCTCATTCTCAATATCAAGGGGAATATTTGCAATATTTTATCAATAAGTATAAAGTTTGCTTAGGTTTTAAAATAGATATTATTAGATTTAGGATAGTCCATTAGGTTCCTAGGATGCTGAGATAGTTTTAAACCATTGAATCAAATTTTTAAAAATCTCTGCCTCTCAAATGTGACTGGATAGCTAAATATCATCAAACATATGTTGGGAGTTTGTGATGTAAAAGATTCAAAGATTCAAACAGGCAGGTAGAAACTATAAACAAGGAACATGCATTTCTGGAATGAAAAGATCCACCAATTGATTTGCACAGTGAATTTTAAAAAGCCCACTCCAGTGCACATCATTATGAAATTTTAGAATAGAGATTTTAAACATTTTCAAAGAAAGAAAAAGAAGACATAAATAACAAGGAAATATATAAGCTCAGAATCAGACTGTCTTTAGATTTTTTAAGAGCACCATAGGGGGGAAAAATACGAAATAAATAAATAAAACAATCACTTCAAAATCTTCAAGAAAAATTATTTTCTCCTAGAATTCTGTACCTTGACAAATATCAAGACAGTAAGAGGATAGAGTAGAGGTATTTTCAGAACTGCAGTCTCCAAAAATTCACTTAATTTCATGCGATCTCACCTGCCATCCCTCCATCATCCTTTCTCCCTCTGTTCCATGAAAATTATTACAGCAGTGCCTCAAATATAAGATTCTTTTGTGAAATTCAGTAAAAAATGAATTACTGGAAAAATTAAAGTTTTATTAAGACATAAGCACACACATTAAATTACATTCCAATAAATATGATCTGAACAAACCTAACATCGGGAAAAAAGGATCTCAACATCTGTATGTGTTGTTCATTGAAAGTGAGTGTAAATTAATAACAGGAGGAAAATTGAAAAATTCACATATGTGTGGAAATTAAACACACTCCAGAACAATCAAAGAGTAAAAGAAGAGATCAAAATGGAAATTTAAAAATATTTTGAAAAAAATGAAAATGGAAACACAGCATATTAAAGTTGTTCAATGCAGCAATAGCAGTTATAAAAGGAAAGCTTAAAACCACAAATGCCTATATTAAGAAATGCAGAAAAATCTCAAATAAACAGTCTAGTTTTATATCTCAAGGAGCTAGTAAAAAAATAAACTAATCTCAAAGGTAGCAGAAGAAAGGAAAAAATAAGGATTGAGTAGAAATTAATGAAATAGAAAATTAAAAGACAATAGAAAAGATCAGCCAAATGAAGAGTTGGTTATTTGAAAAGATAAACAAACCTGTAGTTAGACTACCAAGAAAAAAGGGACAGGGCTCAAGTAAAAACAATTATAAAAGGAAGAGGAGATATTACAACTGATAGCCCCCAAATCCCAAGGATTGTAGGACTATGAACAATTTTGCACCAGCAAATTCGATGACCTAGAAGAAATGAAAAATTTCTAGAAACCTACTAAGTCTGAATATTGAAGAAATAGAAAATCTGAATAGTTCAGTAACAAGTAAGGGGATTAAATCGGTAATCAAAAACCTCCCAACAACAACAACAAAAAACCAGGACCAGATGGCTTCACTGACGAATTGTACCAAAAATTTAAAAAAGAATTAACACCAAATCCTTGTCAAACTCTTCCAAAAAACTGAAGAGGAGGGAACACTTCCAAACTCATTTTATGAGGCCAGCATTACACTGATACCAAGGCCAGACAAGGACACTACAAGAAAAGAAAATTACAGGCCAACATCTCTGATAAATGTAGATCCAAAATTCTCTACAAAATACTAGCAAACTGCATTCAACAGCACACTGAAAGGATCATACATCATGATCAAATTGAATTTATCTCTGGTTTGCAAAGATAATTCAACAAATGCAAATCAATAGATGTAATATACCATATTAACAGAATGAATTTTAAAAATCATGTGATCATTTTAATAAACGCAGAAGCAGCATTTGACTGAATGCAGCATCCTTTCATAACAAAAAGTCTCAGCAAATTGGGGATGGAAAGAATTACCACAACATAATAAAGGCCTTATATGACAAGCCCATAACTCACATGATACCCAATGTTGAAAAGATGAAAGCTTTTTTTCTAAGATCAGGAACAAGACAAGGATGTCTACTCTCATCGCTTCCATTCAACATAGCACTGGAAGTCTAGCCAGAGTAGGCAAGAAATAAAAGGCATTGAAATCAGAAAGGATGAACATTGTCTCTGTACATGACATGGTCTTTTGTATAGAAAGACCTAAAGAGACCTCATTTAAAAAATGAACTAACAAATTCAGTGAAGTTGCAGGATAGAAAAACAACATGTCAACATCAGTTGCATTTCTATATACTAAGGGAAAACGATATTAAAAAAACATTAACAGTAGCATTAAAAAGAGTAAAATACTTAGGAAAAAATTGAACCAAGAAGTTGAAAGATCTGTACACTACAAACTAAAGCATTGTTGAAAGAAATTGAAGACACAAACAAATGGGAAGAGATCCCATGTTCATAGATTGGAAGAATTTACATTTTTAAAATGTCTATACTACACAAAACAGTCTCTAAATTCAATGTAATCTCTATGAAAATCCCAATAGTGTTTTTCACAGAAATAGAAAAAAACAATTCTAAAATTCATATGGTGGAATCACAAAAGGCCCAGAGTAGTCAAAGCTATCTTAAGAAAGAACAAAGCTGGAAACATAACACTTCCTGGTTATTACACTTGAAAATTGTAGTTGCTCCACATTTGTAACTTACAGTTATTACTGAAATAGTAATCCCTTATTTTAAACATCTGTATTTAGAATGAAATGAACACTATGTATATAAATATTTAATGTTTGTAATGCCACAGATGTGCTTGCTTTTTGCTTGTTAATGTATCCATTCTAGGTTGCACTGATTACAACAGTATTCTAGGGAAAGATGTATATCTAAAATGTTTCTATCTTTTTAAAAAATTACATTCATAATAGAAAAACCAGTTTTCCAGAATATGTGACAAAAACTAAAGAAGAAATTTCAAAGCAGTTTCAGCATGCTCAGGATATTCAGTTTTACCTTTTATTTAAAATGAAGCAAATGATGCTACAATTTCAACAATCATTTTCAATCTTTCACCAATAGAAAGTTGCAACAATCTATGCCTTAAAATATAAACGTTTTGTTTCCAATGAAATAACAAGGTTCTAGCTCATGAATGTCCTGTTGCCTTTTTTGTGATATAAAATAGAGATTAAAATGTTCTATCAAATTTGTGAGGTGTTCAGTTTTAACTTTTTCAGACGTATAATATCAAGATTACCTTCTACTTTATGGAAAATTGTGTTAAATTATGAAGTATATATCATAACAGCCTGCAAAAATTCTCTAACTTGTAAATTTTTCCATTGCCTTTCAATTTGATTTACCACTGAAAAGTATGTTGCATTCCTTCTTCACATAGTAGTCAGATAATTAGAAATATCAGTGATATTAAACACATAAGCAAATTTGTAAAATTTGTGTTCAATTTTTGTCTTTAAATTTGGGGGACCCAACAAATTTCTTATTTTTCAGGAGCACCAGAGTTGATTCCCTATTTCAATTTAGTCTAGAGTGAGTTTTTCCCCTTGATAACCATTTTACTTCAGCATACAAAAAAGCTGTTTGCAATTACTTTCCTTATTGTTCCATAATTAATAGAATAAGCTGAATATAATACATTAGCCTTACAGCTGATAGCTTTTTGAGTAAAAAATAAGACTTTTTGAGTAAAAGATGTTATGTTATTGATAGACATATTGATACAAAGTGTAATATTTTATAGTTTATACTCTAGACTGCAAACCTAGGTAAATTATTTTCTGCAATGAAAAAGCTTTCTTTAATTTTTACACATTTTAAAATAATTACTACATTAGCCATATATGACCAATACTCAACTTGTACTAAAAAGTTTTAAAAAAAATACTCGCTGGGTTGATTTGTTCCAAGTTAGAATTTGCTATGTGCTAATTGTGAACATGGCCCTTGATCAAATGTGTGCATGGAGTAGCACTATCAAAGTATTATAAAAGCCTTCGAATGCTTCCTATTGATTTCTGGATCCCTCTCATCACAGAACGATGATAGTCTGTGCACCAGAAATGGCTTGCAGACTCTCTAGTCTGCATGGCACTGTATTAGACGATGTACTCCACCAAGACAAGGAGGCAAAGGAAGAACAAGAAAGACCAGACCTAAGAGAATTCAGAGTAAGTGAAGTTATAGAACTTCACTGCTGAACTACTCAACTTCAGCAACTGTTGAGTAGACATAGAGCAATTTCCAGATTGGGCAAGGAGGCAATTTCCAGAGGACCAGGAATAGGCTAGAAGGAAAAAAGAAAATTGAACTGTTAGCTTCCTGGATGTGCTTGGCAATGTGACAAGGTGAATTCATGGGTGTTTTTAATTCATTTGGAGAGCTTAGGAAGCATTAATTACAATGATAAAAAGTCATGAACGCAAACAAATAGATATGATTATTAGCAGCAGAAAAAATGAAGTAAATCATGCTTCAAATGATCATCACAAAAGTATGACATAACTGCTGGAGAATGTAGAGAAAGGGATTTGAGGATGAGGGATGTTAAGGGTGCTTTTTGTTCTCTTTAGAAATTCAATAGATAATGCCTAAAAATTATAAGTGAAGAGGTAACAGGAAAAGTATGTTATTTAGAATTGTGGAAGCATATACCTGACTAAAGAATTGTCAGTAGTTACTTCTGATGAGAAGCAGGCCAGATTAAAGTGAAGTCAGAGACTTCTGATTTCTGGATAAGGTTCCTAAAATAATTTGACATGGAAAAATCTGTACATGTATAAAATAACATAATGAAAATTGCTAGTCTAATTTAGTATTTTTATTTTTTAACTTTATTGAAATTTTGATCTACTAAAATATGTTTCACACAGGATTCTTTTTGCTAAGTGTATGTACATACCAATCTCTATAAACTGTTTAAAATTAAACTCAGTTATCCTAACTACATCTAATATTCTAACATAATTTTGAGCCATTCTTAAAACTTCTAAAATTTTATATGAAGAATAAAATAATTCCCACATCATTGATATTTGTGTTTAAAGTTCAAGAATCTTTATATTTTAAAGGTTCAATATGGGTGATTGTTTTTTGTGCTTATGACTAAAAAGTGGCTCAGAAGACTTCAAATTATCTTTTTAGACATTCATCTCACCTCTGAGCAGAGAAACCCCTGCCCCTTAGAGAGAGAAAGCATTTGTACAAATTTCAACCGAGAAGAAATGAGGTTAGAGTGGAAAGTATTTGGCAATGATAAATTTTAGATCTTGCCAGAATTATAGTTATTGTGTTTTAAGTTTGTAAAATTTCATATCGCCATGCTTAGTATAAAATACGGTGATGTTCTTTGGGTACATACATTAAATGTTGTATTAAAACAAGTGAAAGCATAGGTGAGCTTGGTTTCATCAACTGCTATCATATCCTGACAATATCTTTTTCATGATTTCTTTTTCTATTATTATTTTAATTATAAAGGTAATGCCAAGATAAGGCAAAGAGCTTAAACCTAAAATGAATTTCATTCTGCTCAGTGACCTAAAACATCTCCCTGGGACATTCTTACTTCAGTCATATGACCCTTGTTTGTTCTTTGGTCTTTTATGGCCCAAAATCTTTCAGTGATTCTCATCCTTCTAAATGAAAAATTACTGTCTGACTGCAACTTACGGTCTCTGAAATTCCCACTGGAAATGCTACCAGGGTATGTGGATAGAGTGATGCCTGGAGAAAAACACATGAGAAATTGCCTTGAGTTATTCTGGAGCAAAATGACACTTGTGTTTGAAATGGAGAAGAGGTTGCTTTCTTGCTCAATCCCTAGGCTCCAAGTAAATTATACCCTCTATCTGAAGATTCACCATAGGGTTCACACTGACCTGGAAAAGCCATGGGGAAAGAGAAATAATGGTGTAAAAGCCAACTCATGAAATGAGTCTTTCATTCCCAAAATGAGTGTGCAGTTGAAATCAGGGTAATATGAATATCAGGGTCACAGCATGGCATAAGGAGGCTATGTGGAAACGCAAGGGCAGAATGACCTGCTTTGCCTTGGTGATGGCAAGTAGATTAATCTTAGGCTGCTTTGGCAATACATTGTGATGATGAGACCTTCTTCTCTACTGGCTATCTCCTCAAGGTGTCCCTTAGTCCTCTGTTTCTATGGAGTTCCCAAAGGCTCTGGGTTCAGGTTCACAATCCAATTCCTACACCCTTGTTGTAAGTAGCCACAGGGAGTAGAGCAAGAGAGATTTTAAGGACTGATTAGTTACTATTTGATTCCAAGTCTTTCAATTACTCCAACCCACAGTTGATCTCATTCCATCTCCCCCAACCCACTATTGAAGATTCAGTTTCTAGAACCACTTCTTCAGCCCTGTAGAGGGAGTTTGAACTAGCTTCAACTGTGTCCAGAGTAGTTAAGCATTGCCATCCTTTTTCTCTGGGAAGCTCCTCAAGGCAGTGAATTAAATCCCAGACCTCCACCCTGATTTCGAGTTATCTTTTATCTCAAGCTCTAAATTTCCATGACCTGTCCAATACACTAGGTATACCAGGTCCAAAGACTTTCCTGGATTTTTCCGTTTAAATATTAAGAGGAATCTCAAATGTAAAATGTTCCAAACTGAAATAATGATTTATCATGCTCCAAACTCAATCTCCCTATCTGTTCACTTTCATTATTGGTGGTAATTCCCCTCTCCTCAATCAGCTAAACCAGAAATAGTAGTATTTTCTTTGATTCCTACTTCCAAACTTTGTTCTTTATGTGACTTAGTCACCAACTCTTGGTAATTCTTACTCTATCCTGTTTCTCCCATTGATTCGTGTGGTCATGTCCCTCCTCTGCTACTGAAATCTGTGTTTCTGCTCTGCTCACCCTGCCCCCAGCCTTGTCTCATTCCTTATTCTGCTGGTGAAGTCACAAATAGAATGATTAAAGTCTTTCAGTGTCCCCCGATTGCCTCAGGATAAAATTCCTTTTCCTTAGCATAGCATGAAAGGCTTTTCTGATCTGATTCCTGTCTCTGTTCCACAGGATATCTCTTGTTCTACTCACCCATTCCCTTCACATTAATGCCTTGACAACGCTAAACTTCTTGGGTTGTTGCAGCAAACCAAGCTGTGTAACGCCTCTGTGCTTTGTTTGTGTTCTCCACTGTAAAGCCTTCTCTTCAGTCCACCTAGAAGATATCTAATCCTTCCTCAAAGGCTATTCAGGCTTCATCTTCTTGTGGGTCTGTCCCACACACAGAATCCCTAAGACAATCTAATCTTATTGTCCCACTATGTCATTTTCTTATGTCTTGTTTACTTCTCGGTCCACTGTAATCTGGCTTGTGCTTTCACTATTCCTCTGAAACTACTCTTGCCCAAACCCAAAATGACGTTCAATTTGTCAAATCCAATGGGCCCTTTTTGGAGCTTAGCTTACTTGGCACAACTGCTGTTTGATACTGTGAATTATGTCCTTGTCTGGGAGATCTTTCTACACGAATTGGGTTGTTAGACCTCCCATGCTCCTGATTTCCCTCTCTCTCTCTGACCAATCCTCTGTCTAATTTCCCTCTGTTTACTCTCTTTAATTTGTAGTGTTTCTTGGGTTACATTCTTAGCCTACCAACTTACTTATCTCTGTGATCTTACCCACTTTTATAAATCTTAGACTTATAAACCAACAGCCTATTAAACTTTTTCATCCAAAAGCCCAAAAAGAATTTCCAATCCAACATTCTCAAAACTGAACTCATCTTTGCCCTCTAAGACCTGATTTGCTCTTCTGTTCCTTTAGTTTGTGAAACAAAATTCTGTCTAATAATCTGAAATAGAAACTCAAGATTTTTCTTGATTTCTCACATTTTCAGAATCCCTAATCAATCACAAAGTCTTATGGATTTTTCCCCAAATATTTGTTGACTCTGTTGTGCCATTCTATTCTGTATTGCTTCTTTTTAGACTACTATGCAGACTTATAATTGGATATGTGCTCTTCCTATACTTGTTCAATCCCTCCTCCCCATAGCTGCCAGAGTAATATCTTCCCAGCATATAATTGTCTATGTAACTCCCTTGCTGATATGGTTTGGCTCTGTGTCCCCACCCAAATCTCATCTCGAATTGTAATCCCCACATGTCAGATGAGGGGCCTGGTGGGAGGTGACTGGATCATAGGGGCGAATTTATCCCTCGCTGTTCTCATGATAGTGAGTGAGTTCTCATGAGATCTGAAGGTTTAAAAACATGACACTACCCCCTTTGCTCTCTCTCCTGCTACCACGTAAAATGTGCCTTGTTTCCCTGTTGCCTTCTGCCATGATTATAAGTTTCCTGAGGCCTCCCCAGCCATGTGGAACTGTGAGTCAATTAAACCTCTTTTCCTTATAAGTTACTCAGTCTCAGGTAGTATCTTTATAGCAGTGTGAAAATGGACTAATCCACTGCCTAAGCCTTTTCAAGAATTTCCTCTTACCTACAAGACTGAAGTCCATGCTTACTAACAGCTCCAATATAACTTGATCCCTATCATGCTTTATGTTTTCTCTTTTTACCATCTACTTTGCACTTAATCAGCATCCACACTGACCCACTTATAATTATCATGCCCAACATGATGTTCCTTGCTTTTATGTTTTTGCTAAGTATCAATACTTCTCCCTGGAATGCTAATTCTCACATGTGTAAAATTTCTGTTTATCCTGGAAGAGTGAAAGTTTCTCTGCCTCTCACTTTTACTTCAACTCCTATGACATATAACTACAGATTGAGTTATTTTATTCGCTTCTTTGCTCCATGTTCTTTTCCTCCATAGGAGACTCATTTCAGGCCCATCTCTTCTCTCCTAAGATCTGGCTTCTGAAATTATCCCTTGCTATTGTCCACCTCCATTAGATATTTCCCTTCAGCTTCCAAATGTGTTCTTCCTTTTCAAGTGTTTTTAAAGTCTTTCCTTGATTCTACTCTCATCTCTTTTCTTTCTTTTATCATCCACAAAAGAAAGAAGAGTAGGCTACATCTGCTGCTTCAATTATGTCACCTTCTACTTCTTCAGTCTATTGTAATGTCATTTCAAATAGCAGCACATAATTGAAATTGCTGTCTCTAAGTAACCAATACTCTGCTGACTTTAAAGTCAAGGATTGTATTGTCCTTATCCTATACAATCCCTCTGAAGTAATTGTGCTTAATGCACATTTCTCTTCTCTGAAAATCTTTTTAATGTTGTTAATCTACAGTGCACCATTTTACTTTTCCTCCTGTATCTACTAACATTCCTTCTCCTACTTTTCCACTTATTCCTCTTCTGTTTTCCTCATATGCAGGAATGTCCTAAAGGAACAATCCACTTTCCTTTTCTCATTTTTTTTCTTATGTTGTAGCTTCAATCATCTCTTCTTTATCGATAGAACCCAAATGCATATTTTAAAACTTATCTCTTTTCCTCTTCTACATTTCAGATCTATCTATCTATCTATCTATCTATCTATCTATCTATCTATCTATTTTTTTTGAGACATAGTCTTGCTCTGTCACTAAGGCTGGAGTGCAGTGGCATGAACTCAACTCACTGCAATCTCTTCGGCCTGGGTTCAAGCAATTCTCCTGCCTCAGCCTCCTGAGTAGCTGGGATTACAGGCACCTGCCACCATGCCTGGCTATTTTTTTGTAGTTTTTAGAAGAGGTGGAGTTTCACCATCTTGGCCAGGCTGGTCTTGAACTCCTGACCTCGTGATCCACCTGTCTCAGCCTCCCAAAGTGCTGGGATTACAGGAGTGAGCCACCACACCCAGCCCAGATCTATATTTCTAATGACCTGTTGGACATCTCTTGAATTGAGAAAGTATGAAAAGGGACTTAATAAATCCTTATCTTGTTCCTTTCTTGAATGACCTATTCTCTTGTGTCCCCCATATTGATCATGTTTTGGAGCCTTAAACTCATCTTAAAATAGTCTTTTTTCCTCATCTTCCATACCCAGGTGATCTCTCAGTACTTCCAATCCTATCTCCATATAGCCGTTTCCTCTTTTTTGTTCCTGTTGTCATGACACTGGTCCACAATCTCTCTTTTAAGGTTTTTAACTAGATGCCTCATTGGTGTCTCTTGTCTCCAGTCCATTCTCTATGTTGCCATCATTACTCTTTCTAAAAGCTTAGGTCTGTCTACACCATTTTCCTACACACAAATCTGCTTTCTTCTCAGATTGCTAATAAAATAAGATTAAAATATGTTTTAAAAATTGTAAAACCCTCCTTAGTTCATGGATTAGCATTATCATATTTTGGATCAATCTCTTTTTCCAGACTTCATTTTTCCAACCATACCTCAAAATTATTAAAACACTAGTTGTAGAGAAATCTGCACTCCCATGTTTATTGCAGCATCATTCACAATAGCTAAAATATGGAATCAACCTCAGTGCCCATTAATGGATTAATGGATAAAGAAAATGTGATACATACACACAATGGAATATTATTCAGCCATTAAGAAGAACGAAATCCTGTCATTTGCAGCAACACAGATGGAACTGGAGGCCATTATGTTACATGAAATAAGTCAAGCCAGAAAGACAAAGATTGTTCTCATTCATATGTGGGAGCCAAAAAGTGGATCTTATGGTGGTGAAAATAGAGAATAGATTGGTGGTTACCAGAGAGTATGGGGAAATGGGGAAAAGCCTAACAGTTCTGGAAGTTGACCTGCACAACTCCATGTTATCTATTTAGAAATAATGATTAAGCACTTGCTCTAAGCTGGATTCTATGCTATGTACCAAAGATATAAAGATGAATAAGATGAAAACTTCTCGTAATTTTCACAGTCCTAGTGCAGAAAAATAATAAAATATAGTGTGTTAGATGCTATGCTAGAGGAAATACAGGATTCTGAAGTATATACAATAAGGCACCTTGCCTCATGCTTATAATAATTAAACACTTGCTCTATGCTGGATTCTAGGCTATGTACCAAAGATATAAAGAATAATAAGACAAAAACTGTGGAGGTTGCAGTGAGCTAAGACCATGACACTGCACTCCGTCTCAAAAAAAAAAAAAAAAATCCTATTTCTATTGGGAAGAATTATTCTGGTTGCAGTGTGAAGGATAAAATGGAAAGGCAGGACCAGAGGAACTGAAAATGTTTAGAAACTGTTGCTAAAATTCTTAAAAGCAGATTCTTTGTTACATGAACAGAGAAATGTGAACTGACTTAGAAAACAGGCATACAAAATGATTTCATGATTGCTTTATTGTCAATGATACAAAATTAAGTAGAATGGATGATGGCCGGTGCCAATGGGTAGGGGTTATACTGCCTGGAGCTCAGAAAAGAGATCAGGAATGAAGATGCAGATTTGAGATTCATTAGCATATAGGTTTAGCTGTAGTTATGGAAGGAGATGAGATCACTCAGAGAGGGTCTGTAGAGTGAGTACAGTATCTAAGACAGGACCTGCAGAAATGCCAATATTTTAAGCATTGTCAAAAGAAGAGGACTAGGTGGTCCTAGGAAACTCAGAGAAGCCATTGAAATTAGAAAAAGTTGGAAATGTCAAATGCAGCCAATGGTAGAAATGGGAGTTACATTTTAAGAAATTGGAGTTAGTCTTGAGGATATAATTTGTGAGTTTGGTGAGAGCACTTTCAGTGGAAGGGTGAGATGGAAGCTACGTTGCTTTCTTCATTTACCTATTGTTAGGTCCACCCCTTGGATGGGCCACCTTGGCAGCAGCCCTACCCTTGCCTTTGGCACTGGATGTAGGGAGTTACAGAGACCACGGGCCACTACACTTTACTCCTCTCTTGGAGCATTATTACAAGGCAACTTTGACATTTCTGCCTCTATTGATGTGCAAAGTATCCTATAAAAGATGGCAGCAGCAAGGCTTCCTTTCAAGTGCGATTATCTTGGGCTCCCTGCCATTGAGGGTTGGCACAGACCCTCTTCTATCTCCACTTTGTTGAAGTTCTATTCATTTTCAAGAGGCAGGTCAAATGTTACTTCCTCCTAAAAACATCCTCACTTCAACAGAGAATTATCATTCTTCTGGGTTCTCAGAACGATAAATGCTTTTATAAATTCAAATTTATTTGTATAAATTCAAAAAGCATTTAAAACATTTTTGCTTCACAGTTACTTACGTAGCTCTGTCTTCCCCTGTTTGTATCCATGATTTTATCTGGTGAGATGAGGTGTTTAATCCTTGTTTATGGAATTGAAGTGTTTACGTGCCATGGTTTGCCTGATCACAATAAATTATTTTGAAAGTTCAGACTTAGTTTTTCAAGAGGGAGAACTACATTTTCACAGGGGAAAAAAAATCTATGAGACAGGTGAAATCACTTTTGCTCCGTTTCATAGTATGAATACCTCTTCAGGTATAGCTCTGAAGTTGGACCTCTAGTCTTTGTATGTGAGAAAGACCTAGTGAATACTTTCTTGAATAGGGGGGAGCAAGTTAGACTCAATACTTAATATTTTGTGACTATAGTCTGTGGGCAGCATTCTGAAAAATGCACAGTAATCTTGGGTCTGCCTGTAAATTAGGTCTGCTTTAGACAGTCAGCTATATCGATAAAACAAATAAGTGACTTGCTATTAGGGGTGATGGTCTACTTTGCAATCTTCACCTTCAAGGACATATTGGAGCTGAGTAAGTCATAAAATTTTGGTCCTAAGGAAATAAATTCTAAGCTTGTGACTAAATGAGGTTTATGTTTCCTGCTGATATTATGCCTTTTAAAAATGTAATTTTATTTGTATGGTCTCAAACCTGGAAGAGTCATGTTTGATACTTTCAGCTGATTATTGCCAATGCGATGTTGAATTTGTGACATGTTTTCTCTGTAGTAGGGAAATATTTGAAATATGTATCAATTCTCAAGTCTCAAATGAATTATCAGGGTCCTTGAATGTAATGAAATCTGAATACCAGTGAGAAATATGTGACTTTACAAAGTAGGCTTAGCCTTAAAGAAATCATGAATTTCTGAACTTTTTTCTTTCTTTCCAAAATACTGCCTTTCTATGAGCAAACTGATACTTGGCAGAAGAATTGATGAAAATAAGTAATACTGGAAAGTGCTAAGAACTCTTGAAAGTGCCCATGCTTTAATTGTTATTTGACCCCATTCCTCTTCCCACCAGACAGAGCATATAGTAAATGACGTATATCAAATGCGTAGCTGTAATTCATCAATTAGGTAGACTTATAATGCTGCATTTTCAAACTCAATGAAAATGCCCAAGCTGATCAATATCTCAGTCAGTAGAATCGGTGCTAATATAATAGAGTGTTTTTTTTTTCTTTGAGTATATTTATGGAAGCAGAGTAAGGAGTAAACTTTATTTCTTATGATGGTGGGGGTAGGGTATCCTCACAGATGCAAAAGGAGACATGAACAGAATTTATATTCTGTATTTTAGAGTGTGTGTGCATGCGTGTGAATGAGAAAGAGAGTTATTAAAATGGTTTAAATATCCTCAAGTGTTACACAAGGAGGAGAGTGTCGTTGAAAAACAAATACTTGTTTTCTTGTTAGAATTATAATCATGTATTTTAATGAATGAGTTCTCTGTCATTAATGTCTTTAGGCTAATATTAAGCAAAACTGTAATGAAGTGAAATCAGTTTTTCAAGCTAACAGTGAAATTTTGCTTATATCTTTTTACAATAGAAAGTAGCAATAGATATTTTGGCATTTGAAAACAGTTCATTGAGAGTTCTCCATGAATAAATAATATTTTTTTCCTTTGTCTAAATTCACTGCCAAAATATTTGGGACTGGACACCTGGGGCACCTGATTCCTCTTTGAGTGCAGGCCTCCTTCTCAATTCATGTAGTGTTGACCCAATAAATTCTGTCTGTTACTGTCAGAACCCACATCCATCCAAAGTCAAAGAGAAAAACCTTGATGTTTGTGTCTACAGCTTCACTTCCTGCTTCATGGACCCCACTCTGAGGTGCCCTCTTAAAGCTCCATTCTTTCATGAGGCTGAGGCATTCCTGATTTCCTGTACCACCCTTCTCTGTACTTCAGATCAATTTCAGTCAGTTAGGGCTCATTGTGATTTTTATTTACGGGTACCTTTCTAACATTTCTGCATTTTTTCCAGGCTCTGATAGGTATGTGTATAGCTCTATCCCTATTAGAGGATTTCCAGGCATCAGTGTCTAGGGGAGAAAGCAACAGTCTCTTCCTGGCCCGTAGAAGTCATGGGCCCACGCTTTAACCACACAAGCCTGTCTTCACTCCCAGGCCTATGATGGACGTTCAAGTCCCTGTGACCTAAAACCACCAGCAGCTCTTTTCTTCTTTAACTTTTGGTCCTTTCATAGTCCAGATTTCTTCAAAGAACTTTAATAGCTTCTCTGATCTGTGGCCTATACATTACATAAACATCTTTCTCTACATGTACAGATATAAACCCTTTTATATATTTCTTGGAAAGAGCAATCCATTTTTACTTTATTTGTTCCCATTATTCAAACTTAGATGTGTTCTATGGGACAAACCAACCACTAGAGCCAATGTGGACTGAATAATAGGGTCTTTTCTCCTGTTTTAAAATATGTGCACACCATTTTTATGGGCTTCACCTCTGTTACCATTGGGCACCCAATTCTGCTGAAGCCACAGTTATTTTGCAAGTCAGCGAGGACTTCTCCAGCACTGGGTTGGAGTTACATTGGTAACTTTGCTCTAAATTCCCCCTTTAATGGAAAAAAATATGGATAGAAGGCAGAGAAGCATAAATCTTGCAAGTTGCTTTTCCGTGACCAGCCAGAACCAGCCCTAAATGAAGACACTGTATGCTGCTGGCGGCTGTAATCTCTTCATTCCTATTTCAATAAGTGTCCGACAGCCAGAGAAGCATTAGAAGGTAAAAGGGGATCAACCAGTTGTTAATCCAGTTGTGACTTTGGTTTGGGGTTCATTTCTTCAAACAGCCAAGTTGTGTGTTGTTCTGTGATTGAGTGCTTTTGTCCTGACAGAACTTTTCATTTTGTACCTTTCACCATTGTTTTTGGCCACGGACCAAGCCTCACATCTTCTGGTCACAGAATTCCTTTCTGCAGACTCCAGTGTAGGCCAAGGCCTCCGGGTAACATGAGACGCCTCCATTTCCCAGTAGACAGCACATTAAAGTGAGGTCTGTTGACCAGCTGCAGAGACAGGTGTTATTCTCTTTTAATTCACACCACCCCCATTTATTTGTCCTAAGAATTCCTCTTACAGTGTTGTTCACAAATGCTGAAGGAATTGGGCAGATTTTATAGGTGGTGGAGTCTGGGATTAAGGTGCTTCACCTGCTTGGTAGTTTAGCTTCATGAACAATACTTCCAGATTTAGCACACATTCTTTTTGTTGTTGTTTTTGTTTGCCCTCTATTGATGGGCAAGAAGAGGCACAGTGCCGCTCAAAAGTCCACCACACAATGTGTTTACCAACTCAGATTCCATCTTCGCTCTTTGAAGAAGGCTGACTCATGCTGCTTTCTGAGAAACTGGAGAAGAAAAGTAAATGCTATGATCATTGTCCCTTTTTCATCCATATAGCAGAGCCATGAAAACCTGCACTGATTGAGTCCTATCAGATTTAAAGTTGGTAGGCCTAATCCAGATCATTTTTTATAGCTCTATTATGTAGATGGAACAGGATCAAATATCACAGTGTTTACTGCAGACTTTGCTGTTGTTTCAAATATGACTTTGAAGAGTCCTATGATTTTCATTGGAGAAGGAGCTTACAGGATGCGTGAGAGTCCAAGATGTGGTCTATCTGGTAGAGATCACCATGTTCCACTCTTACCTCTCCTAACTGGGCAACTCTCCTTCTAAGTTGCATGAGTTTGTTTGTCTTCCTGATCTGAAATTTAGCCGTAAAAAGGCCTCTTTGAGTGGCCTCAACATTGTTTCAGAAACAACCTCCAACCCTCTGGGTCTATTTGCATAGGCTTGGCTTATTGCTTTTTCTATGCCTGAATGTGCTTCCATCTTTCCTTCTTCAAGGCCCAGCTTCTTAAATGCCTGCTCAGATAGGAGCTTCAGTGATATGCAGAGGCATCAGTGACATCTGTTCAAGGGCCTTTCTTTTCTTTCCATTATTTTTCATTTAAATCCATTATCCTGTAAACTCCGAGAGGACAGGAAAAGTGTCTTCTGACCCAACCTTGTGATACCTCTGTCAGCAGTAACTATTTATTAAATAAATGAGAATATAATTTTCCAGCTCTGGAGATATGTCTTGCATTTAGTTTGACACAGTCACAAGTGCAAAAGGCTGATTTCATTATTTTATTACAGTGTCTCTCTTTCAGGATAGTTGACTGGCAGGATTTGAGGTGGATAGCAATATTTATTAGACCAAAGGCTATTTAATGCAAATTTCTATGTCATTAGCACAATATATTAATTTATTTGATTTAGGTAATGTGTAAGTAAATGCTATATATCCAGAGAAACTATGATATTAACAAAGTGACTATGAGTTCATATAATTTCTTTGTAACATTAAGAATTGTCTCTTTTAAGATGTTTGGATGTGACATAGGCAAAACAGGAGATAATATCCAGCTCCCTATCTTCCAGAATTCCCAGAAGCTGATTTTTAAAGAAAATCAGCACGTTCTTCATTTAAATGCCTGAAGGCTGTTGCATCTATGGACTCTTCCTCCCTTCCTTCAGGCAGGAAATCAGATGAGCAGACTTCATAAGTGGCCTCCTACCTTACCATTACTTGTGACTCTCTGAAGAGACCTGGGCCATTGCTATGTTTGCAAATCCAGTTCTGCCCAACACAAACTACATTCCAACCGTAAACATGATAAGGCATGCAATATTCATTTGATGTTCTTCCAGGCCTTGGTGTCTTTGCATGTGACATTTCCTCTGCCCGAGCTGCTTCCTGGCCTCTTCTTTTCCCTGTCGTCACCCAGTGAATCACAACTTTTCTTGTAGCCCTAAAAATCAAGCACCTTCTTATTTGAGATAACTTCCCACCTTTTCTAAGCAGAGCTGGCTACTTCCTTCCTACTTGGTTTCTTGCCCACACCCCATTTTATAATGCGTCGTGTGATCTTTCTTCTAATCTTTGTTGGCTTTGGAGTGTTTGTTTTATACATAGGCCATGAGTTCCTTGAAGGTGAGAACTGTATCTTACTCACCTTTGTGCATCTAAGGCTTTCTTCACACCTTTCCCTCCCAAACTTCCTCCCCTGCTCTGTCTTGCAGAGTCCAAGACTCTGTAGGTGCTCAACTAATTTTGGTTAAATGAATGATTGAATAAATATGTGAGAAGTGAAGAAAATCATACTGATAATTGGTCTTGAAAGGTTTGGGAGGATAAAGACAGCCTCTAAACTCTGGGAAGGGGTCAACGAATGAAGGATAAAGAAGGGTCCAAACTTTAGGGACTCATTCTCTTGGACATAGTACAAATTGGTTACAATGGACTCATCAGACCTTTCATGTAATTTTTTCTTTCCCATCTATTTATTACTACTGTGTTCAGAAGAGGCACAAGATAAGTAGACAGTGTGGACAATTACTAGTATGACATCCTCCCCACTTCCCAGCAACTGGTCATCATGAACAGTTTTATGCAATGTTTTATATCTGCAAGTAAAATAAGTTTTACCTCTGCTTCAAAATAAAATCAGGCTTAATACACTGCTGCACCAAGATAAATATTAAAGAGTATTGTATTTGTCTTACTGTATGGAAAGTGGTGATTTTTGATCATGTGGTCTTTCTGGGCTGATCTGTTTCATTCCTTCTGTTCTCAACCTCTGTGCATATTTACTGAGCTGTGGGCAAACAGTCTGGTAAGATTCTGAGTACTTTTTAAAATCCTCAAAACAACCAATTAAGAAAGATGCTATTAAATCCCAGTTTTACAGGGGAAGAAACTGAGGCTCAGAGAGGTTAAGTATCTTACCCAAAGGGCACACAGCTGTTAAGAGGCAAAACTGAAATTAGAGCCCATTCAGTCTGGGTTGAGTCTGTGCTTTTAACTACCATGATAAACGGTCTCTTCTTCAGAAGTTGACCCTGTACTGTGTGAAGAAAAATTTATTTACAGGGATGAAAACTGGGCAGCTGGTTCAAAGGATCCCTTGGAACTACTCCATAGAAGGATAAAGAGTAGAGACAAATAACAAGCTCACTTGTAGTTTTAGACCCTGGTAAACTTTTGGATGCTCCTGCAATTTCATACTTCAAATGAAATAACTGAATATTTCCTGAAGTAAGTAACCAGCTCTATAACTTGGCAGAAATCTCTGACTCCACTTAACTCACGCAGAGGGCCATGACATGCAGCCTAAGTGCCCAGGAATTTTAAATCAAGATGTATCTATGTAGTGAAACTTTGTGTGCGTGTGAGTGTGTGTGTGTGTGTGTGTGTGTGTGTGTGTGGTTGTTTTACCCTTTGCTTCCTGCTTGGAAAAAAAAAGGTAAATATTTAAAGTTATCTACAAATTGTATTTTTTCCCTAGAATGCAAGAGTCACAGAGATAAACGTTAGCTGTCAGAAAAGCTGCAAATCATCTGAGATGAAGGTGGTGCTTTTTTATTACAGTATCTGAGAAGAAAAGCTTTCAGAGTGAAATTCAGTAATCCCTCGCTTCTGATTCCATGTCTACTGAGATGTTCAAATTTGAGTGCGGCCCTTGGTAAAGCACTGATTGCTGAAAGGTAGCTCTGTCCCATGGGAGGATTTGGAATGAGATCTAGTAGAAATTTTCATTCAAGTTGAATAGAAAACAGAAAAGTGAGTGTTCTATGGAAAGCAGAAGTCTGGCAATGATGGATTTGCCCTGTGAATGAAAGTCTAGGAATGTGTGTCCTTCCCACAGTTGGTTTATTAAGAAAGTCCTGCAAGTTAATATCACAGTATGTGTTTGAATACAGGTATAAATTTCTTGAGAGTCCACAAATCAACTATCAGTGGAAATCCTGATACCCACCAAATGATGTTTTTACATCTATGTATTCATCAATCTAATAATTTTCTAAGAGATAGCAGTGTGTCTATTCTATTGAGTAGAATACTATTGTTTTTCTTTTTTTTTTTTTTCTTTTTTCTTTTTTTGAGATGAATTCTCTCTCTGTCACCTAGGCTGGAGTGCAGTGGCACAATCCCGGCTCACTGCAACCTCTGCCTCCTGGGTTCAAGTGATTGTCCTACCTCAGACTCCCAAGTAGCTGGGAATACAGGCATGCATCACCACACCCAGCTAATTTTTGTATTTTTAGCAGAGACAGGGTTTCACCATGTTGGCCAGGCTGGTCTTGAGCTCAGGTGATCCTGACCTCAGGTGATCCGCCCTCCTCCGCCTCCCAAAGTGTTGGGATTACAGGCGTGAGCCACCGTGCCCAGGCTGTTTATCTTTTATTTGTAAATTTAGATATTTCTGAAGACAATATTAATTTACAGGGAAGTCATTATCCTTCTTCCTAGAATATGCCTGCATAAATCTATGGCATGAAATGCACACATTTCCGACAGGATTCTTTTAATAATACTCTCTCATTTTACAATATTCCCTGACACCATAGCATGACTGGATGAATTATTCTCCAGACATAGCCTAATTTCCAATAGTCATATTTCTTAAATATTTTTGAAATTATTTTTAATAGAAATTTGTAAGATTATCAAATTCAGTATTTTATTGATGGACAAAATTTTACCTGAATTGTCTTAAAAGTGCCACTTTTTATTTCTAAAAGCAACAGAAAATGAAAGGCATTCATTTTATAACTCCCTAGTGTGGATCCTTCTCCTGTTAACAAACTCAAATTTTTAGGAAGCTTCAATTCTTCCAATTCCACTTTAATGCCATTTTTTCTCTCATTCTGTTTTCGGAGGCAATGAAGAACAGCTGGTCACCATTCTCTGCAATAATAACCTTCATATAGTTGAAACCCAAATGGTTTTGGACATGGTACTTACAAAAACATCTCCTTGCAAATGATGTAGCCTATTTGGTATTTCCCCTGTAAACAGCTAGATTCCTTATAGCCAACCCTTCCAGCAACTATCAAATTTTAGCTCTGTTTAGTATAATGCAAGCATTTTCTGCTTTGTCTATTCAGGAATGTCTTCCTAGGAGGTTTCACAATAAAATTTATTGTGTTTCATTTATGACGTACAATGTAAGAAGAATGGAATGCTTTTCTGTTAGGATTTGCATTGATAATGAAAGGTTACTATAGTGCTGGTCTGCTTTGACCAAATTTGCCAAATTCTGAAGAGAATGCCAATTAGAAGGCTGTAATGCTTTTCACTGAAACAGACTGAGGCCAATACCTGGTGGTGGGGACCTGTCATTGTTGGCCAGACTCTATTTTTAATTGGGAGAGAAGGCAAATGCTAGATCAAACAGTGTTTACTAAGTGATACCAATAATTCCAAGTCATAGCCACACCCCAAAAAGCTGAGGAAGTGACTAAGTCCTTCTGAGGTCGTCTTTTCTATTAGTAGCAATGTAGCCAAAAGTCTGAAAACGCTCACATTTTGCTCTCTTTAGGAAAAGACAACATTGATTTTAGAGGTTTTTGTTATGGAGGCCAGGGGGATTTTTCCAGTGCAGCACAGAGAAATCTGGGTTTGGATTGGGAAGCCAGACATTTCTTGGCTTACATTTCCTACTTGAATGGGATTCGTTTGCCCCCTCCTCACCTCTCCCCAACCCCCAGGCAGCTAGAAGCCCCACCTCCTTGCTTGGACCATATGGGGAAGCTGGCTCGGTGGCTGTTATTCTACTGACTCCAAGTTCACGCAGCTGTTCATCCCCTGCTTAATGTACTGGTAATTACAGCAATGTGCTCTTCTCTTTCCAATCATGTAACTTTTACTAATGGAAAATGATTTGTTTTTAACAACTTCCATGCATTTCTTTCTCGTTTTAATAAGAAAGGGTGTCTTGTGGCATTGAGCTATTGAATTCTCTATAAAAAACAAAAGTCTCTATATGAGTTTCCAGCTCCATAGGAGGGCTCTGTGGGATTGGCCAAAGGTGGTGGGGAGACTTAAGTGAGTGTAACTAACTTGATATGAATAGGTCAGTTGGGAAACAAAGCAAGCTCATCGCCTTCTGATCATGGAGGTGGTGAAATAACATTTTTTAAAAATGTGAAACCGGGAAGGATCAGAAGTATGAATTGAGTTCTGCTTTCATGATCCAAACTCTATGTACTCTCAGAGAATTTTTAAAACAAATATCTGAAGAGGTTTTCACTTATTTTCATTCAATGTTTCAGAGCATGTAAATGTTCTCCTTTGATGAGAAATGTTGATGATTTGGGTTGGGTGGGGGTTGAAATGATTATAGCAAGTGCGTCTTTTGCTGTAGCCATGCTAAGCTACCAGGCACAGATCAAACAGGCATGTGGTCACATGATCGTTTTATTTGCAGATAAAATACAGACACCTTGGAATTTCCTTCCTTATATCCCCTAAATGGCACTGGAAATCACTCTAAAAGGATAATTTTTAAAGCAAAACTTTTCCAACTCATTAGAGGATTTCAGTTTTAGACTTTTATTTTAAATAAGTGGTTGAGTAGCAGTTGTAACAAAGAATGCCAAGTCACACCCTTGTGTGTGGATGGAAATACTGCTACACAACACACATAGCTAATTTTATCAGAAGGATGATAGCAAAAGGAATGTCTTCTCTACATGAAAACTCAAAAGTCAAGAGCATTGACGAGATGACAAACCATGATTGCGAAGCCTATTTGCCACATCTTGACATTTTAAAGATTCATATAATTCAAGATTTAGCTAAAATTGTAAAATACATATCCTGAGCTCAAAATTCTTTGATGTTAACATGTATCCATATCTTTTAAAGACATTAATTTTATTCCTTGTGCATTTCTTTTCTTCTATTCGTGGTTAATAATGACATGGCAGCCGGAAATCACCTATCTTCTCCTCAGCCCTTCTTATCTAGCTCCCTCCAGAAGTCTTGTTTTTTCTTAGAGATTTCTTTGGAAATGTTATTAAGCTAGAGTGAAGTAATTTTTAAAAACACACATTGAAACTTAGAACTGAATAATTTTTAAATATTTGTAATAACTTTAGCAAAACCATTGCTTTCCTCAAGAACCACAAGACCACACCAGCAGCAAAGAGGCACTATTGTTCCCCTGGAGTCTTGAGAAGCTCCTCGTGTGACAAACTCCAGCAAAGGGGGTCTGTGCTTCGCTCCTCCATAAATGCAACACCAAGTCTAGATCTGATTTTGCCCTCTAGGAATTCTTGTGCCTTGCTTTATGCAAAGCAAAAATTATGTTTAATATTTTAAAACTAGCTTCAGGAATTAGGATCTTCAGAGTTAGTGGTCTGACTCTAGTCATGTGCATGTCTTACATCATCTTCTATTTTTTCAGATGGTTGCATCAGTAGCTTTGGGAATATTTTATTTTTAAAGTTTTAAGTCATTCTGATATCCACGAGACCATCAAAAATATAACTATGATCTAATGAATGCCCAAATAAGTGGTTGCATAAATAACAACTACTTATCATGTTCACTTTCCCCGTTATTCATTTATTCATTCAGTATTAATTGAACAACTCGTATGTGCCAGGCATATTCCAGGGACCAAGGATTCAGTAGTGAATACAAAATCGTAGCTTTATAAAGGTAGTAGTTCAGTAAGAGGAGATAAACAAATAAAATATATAAGTAAAAAAAAGTTAAATAGCAATGAGCTCTAAGGATAAAAAGCACTGTAAAGGGACAGAATATGATGACAGAGTTTCAATTTTACATGGAGTAAAAGAGAAGACCTCAATATGTGACTTTTGAGCACACAAGGGAAGGAAGTAAGATAAAAGCTTTGTAGATATTTGAGGGAAAAACTGTCCAAGCAAAGAGTACAGCAAGAGCAAAGGTCCTAGGGATCGTGAATGTAGAGTGTTCAAGAGTACCAAGGAGGTCAGTGTGCCCGGAGTACAGATAGTAGGAGATAAGTTTAGAGAAGTGAAGGAAGCCAGATCTTACAAAGCCATAGTTTATTATAAGGACTTTGGCTTTTACTTTGAGATGGGGGAGGCTGCTAGGGATTTTTGAACAGAAAAATGACAGAATCTTGTATAACTTTTAACAAAATAATCCTGGCTGTTATGTTGAGAGTTGATTTAAGGGCGGCAAGGGAAGAAGCAGGGAGACAGTTTAGAAGGCTATTATAATAAGCCAGGCAACGGGACAAAGGGTAAAGGTGGAGAGAGTAGATATAAATGGACTTCCTATTATATAGCAGGCACTATGTTAGGCTTTGTTGATACATCAGGGGGAAAACAGAGGCTCTGTTCCCAGGGCCTTTGCATTCTACTGAGAGGAGCCAGGCAATCAACAAATAAGCCAGTGCATACATAAAATATCAGGTGATGATAAGTTATATGGAGAGAAACCCTAACCTGTTCCAAAGTTCATTATGGCAAACACCTAGAAACAAACACAGTCCTATATAGTGGGGGCTGGAGAAGAAAAGTGTGGCATATTCAAAGAGAGACTATTACGTAGCAATGAAAATGAATGACTTTAACTACATGCAACATTGCAGATGGATCATAGCAATATAATAGGAATACAAAATAAGTTATTATATATTTAAAACATTACATTTTTCATAAAGCCAAACACACGCAACCCAAACTAATACTTTTAAAGAAATACAAATAGATGTGTGAACATATATCAAATGAAGTCAGGAACATTGTTAATACAAGATTTGGGGTAGTAGTTGTCTTGAATGAGGAGTGGCAAAGAAATTCTTGGGATACTCACATGGGTTTCTGTGAGTGTTCTAGCTTCATGTTGGGTGTTGGGTTATTGGATTTAATTATATTATTTGCAGGGAAGGAAGAATGGAAGGAAGGAAGGAAGGGAGGGAGGGAGGAAAGAAGGAAGGAAGGAAGGGAGGGAGGAAAGAAGGAAGGAAGGGAGGGAGGAGGGAGTGAGGAAGGGAGAGAGGGAGGGAGGAAAGAAGGAAAAAAGGAAGGAAGGGAGGGTGGGAATTTTACAGGGTTAACCACTATGGATAATAATTCATCTAATTGTGTTTCCCTGTGGTGTAGGGTTGGGAAAAGTTATGGAGTATTTGCTTTTATATATATAAATTTGCCAGGGAAATCCTGTCTAAGGAAATGACATTTGAGCAGAAGCATGAATGGATTGGAGAAGTGGTTGGAGGAACAAGGAGAAACTCCTGGCTGGAGTGGAGTGAGCAAAAAGAAAGCAGCAGGAGGTGAAGTCAGGGAGAGCAGGAACAGGTCATCTTGACCTTTATAAGCTGTGAGGAACTCTGACTTATACTCCAGTGGACACTAAAAACAACTGAGAGGTTCTGACCAGAGGAGTAACATTATCTGCTGTAAATGTTAAAAGGATTGTTCCTGCTGCAGTGTGGGAATACACCAGGGTTTCTCTGCACAACTGACATTTTGGACTGGATGATTCCTTGTTGTAACAGAGATTCCTCTGCATTGTAGGATGTTTACCAGCACCCCTGGCTTCTCCCTAATAAAGCTATAATGTCACCCCCTACCCCCTAGTTATGACAACAAAAACTGTCTCCAGACATTGCCAAATGGGGGGCAAAGTCATTCTGCTTGAGCACCACTGGAATGTGCTAAAGGTGGCAAAAGACAGAATCAGGGAGAGGGGGTAGGAGGATGTTGCTGCATCCACCAGAAACAATGGCTGGGACTAGGGCAGAAAGGCTCTCTTTTCTAAACACACGTATTCATAGCTTGGGTCTGTAGCCCCATGGCTGGAATCTCTACAATTTGAGGATATTCAGAAATTCCCAACGATGAGTTGTTAAATATTCATTTACACTCATATATTTCCCAAGTGCTATAGAAATGGGGTACATTTGAGCATGAAATAATCCATATGGTTATTCCTTAAGGACTAGATCCAAATTGTCCACTTCTTTACCTCTTGGCTTTGTCCAAGCTGACAACTGATTCTTTGATTTGCATCCAGGTGAGTTCCTTGAAGCCCTGAACCGAGGACTTCTTGTGTACTTTAACATTTGTTATATCTGAAGATATTCTGATTGGCAACATTTTTAACATAGAGAACTGTTTAAAGAAAATACCGCCAGCACACAACTCATCCACAAATTGCTGTTTTTGAAAAAGATGGAGAGGCTGTGACTGAGATCATCAGAGAACCAGCCCGGCACCCCAAACATAATAGGGCAAAGGAGTCAGATGAGAATTTTGTTCAGTATGAGACACTGGACAACAAGACAGGACCCTTGACCTCAGAAATGCAGGAATTCAGGAATATTATAGAACATGAAGTAGCAGAGCCGTGGAGGAGAATTTATAGCACTAATCTTGAGCACTTTCCCCCGAGGACTCTGCGCTGTTTTCACAAAGGCCTCTCGGAATGCCAGGCTGTGAAAGGTAGAAATGTAAACACGGGGACAGGAGTGTCCTTCAGTCTAAAGAGTGAGCCACGCAGGTTTCTAGTTGCCAGCATTCCAGTAGTGGTACTGGGAAATGGTTTTATAGGATAAACAAATCACCCAAATGCAGAAAATGCAATTCCACTGAAGCAAATCCAACTTCCTTTCCTGACGGAGAATGTAATTAAATCCTGCTTCAGGAGGACGGTTTATATCCTCTGCTGCTGGGGGTCTCGGCTCATGCTCATCGCTGGTGTTTACAAGATGACATTACCTGCCTCCTGTGACATGCTGAGGCAGCCCTGACTTTGAAGATGGGGCGGTGGTGCATGTGAGGGAAGGGGGATGAGTGAGGCTGTGTTTCATTTGCAGAGCTTGGCTGTTCATCTCTCACATTCACATCTGACACCAGAAGCCCACACCATGCTTGGCTTTTCCAAAACAGTGATTCTAATGTAACACCCTAATAAGCTGTGTTAACTCACCTTTCAGAAGGAGGCTGGGGGGACATACATCACAACAAGTTGAGAGGAAGGGGTGATTGTAACAATATTAAATATAATTATCACCAGCAGAAGTTCTATGAGATGAAGTGAATGAATCACAGCTCATGATGTCTTCAAAATACAATTAAAAGTGCAATTTTACTTTATTTATTTAGTTATTCCTTGTATTTTAAAAGTTGAGTCACTGGCAGTAATCTCATCATGTCCTAAATTAAAAAAATCTAAGAGGTTCATGAATTTGCTACTCATTTTTGGTCCTGCAGTCACTTTGTAACACACAATCTCTATTTGGAACATAGAATGTCCTGTCCAAGATATTAATCAAAACTCAAGCTTGTTGTGATATCAACTATCACATCTTCTCCCTTCTCAGTTTGGATCTGCTTCTCCCTGGAAATAGACAAAGGGAAAGGGCTGTGGGAGTAGAGCTTGAGAGGCACCTGATTTCCTTTCTATCTTTTACACTGTGATCCTTATCCTCCCTCTAACAGCAGCTCACCAGACAGTGTCTGTCATTCAGATCCTGGCAGCGGGGAGACAGAGGAAAAGCCTTATTTGAACTGGACCTTCCTTATCAGGCTTCTCATTTTCAGGGTTCAACAGATGGCTAAGGTTGATGTTTCTGCTCGAGAGTCATCTTCATGGATTTGCAGAAGACCCCACTCCTGAAATCCCTTTCACCTGGGCCGATGCATCTAATTATGATGGTAGATTGAAAGCTTTTCAGCTCCCAGGGACACAGCATTCATTTCCATCTTCTCCTGTGGGGATCCCTGGCCCATCTAGTTGGATTTCTTAGAAGGACTTAAGGGCTCTACATTGGTTCTCTCTCCCACATAAAACAAGGAAGGGAGCATATTTGCTCCTTTATTCCAGCACTCTGAAGTGCAGGCAGGCCCTCCCCAAGGCAGTGACCCCTACCCCTCTACCTGAAGCCACTATGCCTTTGGCAGTCATGAGTCAAGCTGAGCCCATATTTCCCACACATTCCATGGCCCTCTGAATCATTACGTAGTCACTCCTCACTAGACTTGGGATGGAATGGGGTACCACTACCTGTGGAAGAAGAATGACACCATGGCCAGTAACAGCTCTCTCCCAAGGCATCTCTCCACTGTGCTCTCTTTCCCTCTCCTCTGTAAATACTTTTATAGCCTTGAAAAAAAGGAGGAGACATAAGAATTATGCAATAGTTTTTTTTTAACCTTTGTAAAATCTGTTTATAGTAAACTCTCTCATACACATCTTGTTATCTGATGTTAATTATTGGAACCTCATTCAAAGCTATGTTAGAAAGAGCCCCATTTAAGCTTCTCTTAAATTTATAAAAGAAAATTGTTCATAAATTAAATTATAAGGAAAAGAAAGTTGATTTTCTATATTCTTCCATGTTTGATCTTTCCACATGGTCATGGAAACCACCTCACGCCTCTTAATTTTTTAGTTCTTTTGACAGAAAACACAGAAACTATGGTTCCCAACACCATAGGGCAGTACTACCACAGTCTCCACCACCTCAAGCAATAGACTTTCCAACCTCTTCTCTCCATTAAACTTCTCTATTACCAGACTCTTACTAAATTATCTTACTAAAGATAGTTTTTGAATGTCTCTCTTGTGCTAAGAATTGTAGAGTTCTGGTGGCAGAAGATGACAGAGAGTTTTTTTTCTTTTTGTCCTAGAAGAATTTATAGTTTATTCTAGTTCTTTCCATTGGAATCTGAAACAATATACAAAAACAGTGCAATAGTTTTTTTCAATACATTTTGATCAATGTGGAAATACATTTTTGTAACAGTTGAGGATTCATACTGTATATTATAACGTTGGTCAGAATAACTGAGTCTGATGATTGAGTTGGGAGACGCATGGTGGGGCACGGAAGAATGTGCCCCTTTAGGTCAGAGGTAAGCTGGTGCCACCAAAAGGAACTTTGTTTATCACAATCCACTAGAACTTTTAATTTCTTTGTGTTTGTATTTTCTTTCATAGGACAAGGTCAGGGAAATAAGCATTTCTACTCAAACTCCCAAATAGTACTGAAAGAATACCAAATGAATAGGACTATAATGGTATATTTTAAACATTTTTTTCAAAAGAATTGGCATTTACCTTTTAACTCCTTCAATGTCACCCTAAGCTCTAGTGCTAGTAACTCAGAAAATTTAACAACCACTGATCCATTCACTATTAAAGAAAATGTTATAAACTCATTTGGACTGAGGTGTTAATTGTTATTTTTAAGGTTAATGGTTATTAGTTGTTCTTGATCTTCTAGGATAACATTTGCATTTTAGGCTTTAAAAAAAATCCCAAATGTCCTTAAACCTGAAGGACTTGGTTAGATAAATATTTTGGGGAATGATGGCAAAGCCTGCTGTGGCAATTTTTTGATAGGGTGAATACCAGTACTGGCTGATCCTCCCACTCAAGAAACACACTTAAATCCAGTGTTGGCTTTGGGAATGCTGAGAAAACATTGGCTTTGGGAATAGAGAAAGAAAACATCAGTAGAAAAATGAAAAACAGAAGTGATTTGAAGGACAGCTTTAGGCTTCACCATATTCTGTACCCATTAAATAACTCCCCATTTTTCCCTACTCCCAGTCCCTGACAACCACCATTTTAATTTCTATTTTTATGAATTTGACTAATCTAGATAACTTCATGTAATTAAAATCATACAACTTTTACCTTTTTGTGATTGTCTTATTTTATTTAGCATAATGTCATTAAGATATATCCATGTTTAACCCATGCCAGAATTTTCTTCCTTTTTAAGGCTGAATAGTATTTCGTTATGTGTATACACCACATTTTGTTTATTCATTCAGCTATGGATAGAAACTTGGGTTGCTTTTATTTTTCGCTATTGTAGACAGTGCTGCCGTGAGCATGGGTATGCAAATATCTCTTCAGGATCCTGCTTTCAATTCTTCTGGATAAATATAAAGAAGTGAGATTGCTGGATCACATGACAATTCTACTTTTTATTTTTTGAGGAACTTCCATACTGTTTTTCACAGTGTCTGCACAATTTTACATTCCCACCAACAGTGTACAAAGGTGTCAATTTCTCTGCATCCTCACCAGCACTGGTTATTTTCTGGGTTTTTTTTTTTTTCTTTTTGATAGTTGCCATTTTCATGGGTGGGAGTGATATCTCATTGTGGTTTAGATTTGCATTTCTCTAATGATTAATGATGTTGAGTATCTTTTCATATGTTTGTTGATCATTTGCATATCCTCTTTGGAGAAATGTTTATTCTTTTGCCCATTTTAAAATCAAGTTTCAATGCTTCCTGCTATTTATTTTAAATGTGCTTTACAAGTTAGAACTTGTGAATTTTGACCAGCATGATGTAATGCCACTCAGCATGGCTTTTCAGGCTGGTGTCGGGCTGGTAGAAGGATGAGTTAGAATGAGCAAGGCCAAAACTCAGAGTTCAGACAGGGGCAGGGGAAGATAGATAGTCCAGAGAGAATCATTCCTTTCTTCCTTCATGCAAACACACGTGCAAATAGCAAGGATTTGTTCCATGCTGCCATGTGCTAGGCACTGAGCTAGAGATATGAAAAGGGACACAAAGTGGGACAGGATACCTTTGGGGTTTGGAAGGTAGAATCTGCACTTAGACTGCTTGGGTGTGAATTTTAGCTGCAGTATCTGCAGCGTGTGGACATATTTTGACTGGGTTACATCATAAAGAGCTTTTATCTCATGCTAAGGGCTTACTTGTAAAGCTGTAAGACTGGGACCCATTGAAGGGTTTTAGGTATTACAAGCTTCAAAGAAAAACAAATGAAATAATCTAAACTTTTAAGGAAACTATCATAGAAAGACAGATTTAGAAAACAGAAAGGGGAATAAAATCCCCCTAAAAGCAAGGGCTGTAATGGACACAATTAAATGCTAGGGTCTTGGTTCTATAGTTCTATAGTTGACTAGTTATATGACCTGACAAAGTCATTTTAACTCTCTGGCCCAAGGTTTTCTTATATATAAAACAGGGATAATGCCTTACAAAACTTAAAAAAAATAATTAACTAAGAAGATGTACTCAAAAGTGTATTGCAAGGGTTTCTTTTTTAATTTTTCTTTCTTTTTTTTTTTTTTTTTTTTTTGGCACACAGGAGCAGTATGCTGTGTTTTAAAGGACATTTTAAAAATTGGCTTGGTTTCCTCTACTCACACCATTTTAGCCCCCGCATTTGGGGCTATTTCACCCTCATTTGCAAGCTTAGACCCGAGCCAGGGTCTGAGATTCATCAGGCTCCAACCCATGCCAGTTTAGTTTTTTTCTGATGTTTTTCTTTTTTTTCCCCCCAGAAATTTGGCTATTATACTTTAAAAAAAAAAAAAAATCTTGCTTAGACTGTTTGCTCCCCTATTTTCTTCTTCCCTTTCCCCTCAGCATCATGTATTGGAAAAAAGGTGAAAGTCTGGATTAATGAATCCAAAAATTAATGTTACCTTGTATTTTTACCTGTATTGTTACTTGTATTTTTCTAAGGCACCATAATCACACTACAAAGAGGTGAAGACACACAACACTACAGTGAAGGATAGAATGCTAGTTCCAGTTTGATTTTCATTATTTTTCAAGATTTTCTTTGGCGCTGAGTATTCTGTTGAAAATTTTTTTACACTGAAATATCAGGAGATAGAGTTTTAGGAGAATACACAACCAGGTGTATGCCCTGGACAGTCTATCTCAGAAACACAAATGTTTTGTTCTTTCCAGAAGGGAAAGAAGAGAGCAGCAACTGGCCACCTGGCACTCCTGCAACTCCTCTCTGATCAGGAAGGAAACTGCCTGGGCTCCTGTGGAAAATTAGCTTATTCTCATGGCTTTGGAATATGTTTCTCCATTCATTAAGAATATCTTTCTATCAGAATGGGCTAGGGGAGAAGCAAGAGAGAAATTTACTTTTTGATCTAGAGATCAAAAACTGAAAAGCCTTTGTTTGTTTGTTTGTTTTTATAAGAAAGAATAGCAGAACAGAATTAGAATGTAGATTTGAAGAAACATAAGGAAAAATAAATCCATGATTATGTGAATTGATTAATGTATTGTGTGTTTCTTTGACTATTTTAATTATTAATATATAAATATAAATCAGGCTGCGGAAGACTAGGAGGAAGATTATGTGCTTCCTGATCAAATTATAGCCCCAGCACATGGCACAGTGGCTATAGTAGATATTCAATAAACACTTGTTAAATGAAAGAAGGTAAGGAGAAGGAAGAAAGGAATGAAATACATAGGGAAGGCGAAAAGGAGGGAGTGATCAAAGAAGGCAAGAAGGAACATATACAACTGACGTGTGATTTCTCTGTTGAAACTGACAAGGGTACAATTGCATTATTTACCTTGTTCAATAAAATAAATCTGAAGATTTTCACAAACAATGTTGTGGAGTGAGCATTCCATATTCTTATCTATAATAAACAACAGGGATGAAGTGAACATTTGAGGGAGAACCTTGGTAATGAATTATTAGATAAATTATTTCATGCAGTTTCCATTCACTTTTCAAAAACAAAGAGATTGGATTAGAATCATCCATTCACATTGACATTCATCAATAAAGTTATAGATGACTCAGCAATTATCTAACCCAAAGCCTTAATTGAAGATGCAGCTGTCTGGAAATATTCTCCCCCGCTACTTCCAAAATACCTCCTTTAAATTTGAATTGTGGAATGTTTCTTTATTGGAAAAATAAGAGCTAACATTTATTCAGTGTTGACAATGTGGTGTGAACACCTATTCTAATCACATAGACACACACACATAAAATCCTTTAATTTTCACTAGAACTCAAGATATGATAGATATTATCATAGAGCCCAGTTTTACAGATGAAGAAACTGAAGAATGGAGAGGTTAAGTAACCTGCTTAGTAGAAGCAGAATTCAAGTTCAGACCAACTGACTCCAGAGGCTGTGCTTATATCTACTGTGTCTCATTGTACTTTCTGCTTATATTTTAAGTCTTTATGTGCATGGTTTGTTTTTGCTTCTAGTACAGTGGTTCTCAACTAGGGGATTGTTAGCAAATCTGGAGATATTTTTGAGGTGCAAGAAATGTGGTGGAACATTCTAGAATGCACAGGACAGTGTACCACAACAAAGAATTATCTAGCCAGAGGTTGAGAAACCTTGTTGCAGAGTATTAGACACTAAAGGACAAGAATTATGCCTTACTTACATTTGTATAGCATTTGGAACAGAGTTGGCTGAAAATTAATATTTGTCCATGAAAAACTTAAGTTACCTAGTCTGTTAAAAGGAAGGAGTTTTACATAATAATCAATAAGGTACTACTGAACTCTAACTCAGCAAATTAATGTCTGTGTCCTGGAAACATACAGTTTACCTATTGAGGCCAAGGTACTGGTTTTTCCTGCCTCTTAACTGTATGATGCTATGTTATGAAATTATATAGATTAAAAGCAAAAGAGTATAGGTGAGTATCATTAGAAAAAAAGGTAAGTAAGCATACAAAATATAGTTTTTATTTAATGAATATGAGAAACAGATGGAAAAGTGATATTACTCACCTTAAGAATTTACCAGCTGCAAGGAAAGTATAATTTATACAAAATTTTGGAATGAATGAGTTTTATACCTAACATCATTAGGCTAATGGCACTACAAATCATAACAAAAAGATAAAATTTTAGTTTAACAAAGCTTATTATGAATTGTTCTTGTAAAATTCTTTGTGCTTATATGGCACAAGACAGACTATGGTTCCTTAGTCTACCTCAATCCGGGGCTCAAATTTTTTGGAGTCTAACTTGTCAACAGAGAACCCTTCCCCAGCTCAAAGACAATAGCATCTCCCCTCCTTTTTGTTGACTTTCTGCAGGTAAGGTGCCCTGCTTTGTTGCTCCATGAGAATACTAAAATAAAAGTGCTACATAAAGGATAATTGTTGCAAACTGATAGTGTCTCTCTTTCATGGACTTTCAGAAAACAGGAGCTAAAATACACCTTTGAGCTAGCTCCATAAGGGAGAGAAAGTAGAAAAATGCTCTGACGCAACAATAAGGTACCATCTGATTTAATAGGAGTCAGGGTTCTCGGTAGCCTTCAGCGTCCTGCCGGGACACTTCATGAAACTGAAGAGACTCTCAGGTTCAGAATGTCTTTCTTTTAAAAAATTTAACAGTAGTGTTATCTCAAAAGTCTTGTAGCCTGCTCCATTTTTATGGTATTTTGAATGGAATTCTTCCTATTTTCCTGGAATCTATCAGCCTCAAACCTGTGGGCAAAGTGAGCTGGAAAGTCAGACATTCCACAAACAGGAAACAAACATCTCCAAGCTATTATAACCCAGCCCCAGTGGAGATAAGCAAAACAGCAAAACACCAGCAGAGAGAAGTTTGCTATGAAGTAATAATCACCACAAAAAAAAAATGCAAAAACAAAAACCCCATATTATTAGGAATTGAAGAGCTTGGGATTTTGTTATACTAAGCTAAGATAATCAAATAATGTATTATGCCCTGTCGCTGAAATTCTGAAAATGCTGAGGGCAAAGTAGTCTCTGATCCTGTGGACTGATTGATCCTTCAAAGGACCCTGTGAGGCTGTCATGGGACTTACCTGGACAGCTTTTGCAGTAACCGCTGAATGAAACCACTGAAGCGCCTCTCTAAGGATCTGTAACTCTCTAGTTACAAGGGAGAGTTTCACCTTCAAGCGTCACTGAAAACACAGATTGAATCCCAAGCCCAGGTGGTTGGCTTTTCTTTCAAACTCCCAGGCATGGCATTTTTGTGGGAGTGTACCATTCAGAGTGATTCATTTGTTATATTTCATTATGTTCAGGTCTGTGATTTTTTTTTTTAAATAGTGCTTTTTTCAGATTTTTTGATGGTAGCTCTTTTAAGAGAATTGTTAGCTGGGCACGGTGGCTCATGCCTGTAATCCCAGCACTTTGGGAGGCTGAGGTGGGAGGATCACTTGAGGTCAGGAGTTCGAGACCAGCCTGACCAACACGGTGAAACCCCATTTCTACTAAACAGACCAAAATTAGCTGGGCCTGGTGGTGGGTGCTTGTAATCCCAGCTACTCAGGAGGCTGAGGCAGGAGTATCGCTTGAACCCAGGAGGCAGAGGTTGTGATGAGCTGATACCGTGTCACTGCACTCCAGTCTGGGTGACAGAGTGAGACCCCATTTAAAAAAAAAAAATTGTTGACTATTCCTAGATAGGGACAAAAATTAAATGAAAAATGGCAATACCAATAGACAATAATGCAGCTGTGTAGGGTCACAGTGTCTGTGATTTGTTTCTAATATCGTTATTTTTATGACAATTTTTTTTCTTTTTTTTTTTGAGACAGTCTCCCTCTGTCGCCCATTCAGTGGCATGATCTCAGCTCACTGCAACCTCTGCCCACAAGATTCAAGCAATTCACCTGCCTCAGCCTCCCAAGTATCTCAGCTAATTGTTGTATTTTTAGTAGAGAGGGGGTTTTACCATGTTGTCCAGGTTGGTCTCGACCCCCTGACCTCAAGTGATCTGCCCGCCTCGGCCTCCCAAAGTGCTGGGATTACAGATGTGAGCCACCATGCCTGGCCAATTTTTATGTTAATTCTTAAATTTATTCCTAATGGTGCTTTTTTTCTCAAGGATTTACATGACCTATTGTCTTTAATTATGATTCATTTTATAACCAAAAAATATCTCAAATAAGTTAATGGTCACCATCTTCACTGTCCCGGCCTTAGTACAAAATATACCATCTCTCCTACCCAAGCTACTGCAACAGACTCCGAAACCCTATGTCCACACTGTCTCTTGCCAATCTATTACCCTTGAGGCAGCTATCATGTTTGATTATCTGAGACACTTGTTTTAAACCCTTTATTTTTAAAGACGTTTATTTTCTTTAAGAAGAAATCTAAATTTTTAAGATATGACTGACAATGTTTATCAAGACCTGCCCCTTCTCCAGCCTCATGTTGCATCAACCCCTCATACATCCCCCACCATACCTACAGACTCAGCTCAGCCACTGTGGCCATCTTTCAATTCTTCCAGTTCTCCAAATAGCCTTTGACATGCTCTTGCCTCTATCTAGGATACCCTCCTCCCTGCTCTCTGGCAAACTCACACTTATCTTTCATGTTACAACTTACATGCAACTTCTTCTTAAAAAAAAAAAAAATCTCCCTTAGCTAACTCATCTAAACTGTCTGCACCTCATTATTATCTTCCAAAATACTTTGTATCCCAAGTGCTCCCCAGTGCTTGGTGCATTATGAATACACAGTAAATATTTGTTAAATAAGTTTAAAAATGGTCAAATGTATAAATATGGGACATTATTTTTAATAATGCTGATGGTAAAATTAATGCATTTTTGCACCAGCAGTATAGTGAAAGGTAAAATCTTTTAAATGATTTTTCAACTACCAGGCATTTTAGTCTTTCAGCTTAAAAAATATAATCACAAATTACAAGCTATCAAAGCAATTTCAAACAATCAGCTGGGGGACTTGTCTGCACAAAGCCTATTATGTTTGAGCCCTAGTGCCTCTCTGGATGGAAAAGGATGGAGTGTGTTGGGAGAAGTGTCTGATACTGTGGTGTGGCCATATGGGGCTTGTATGAGACTAGTTGGACACTGAATGTGAGGAGAAAGTGTAGGTTGGGCAGACCTAGCTGTACATAGACAGACATGGGACCAGAAACTATGTGGAAGCCCAAGATTAAACATAAGTATTGTAGCAGAGAATGCCTGTGTTGAGTAAACAAAGACAAAAGGCTAGACAGTATTCAGCAGGTCTGGTTTCCAAGGGTAAAATAAAAGAAGCAGGAGCATTAGCAGGAATGTAGGTCCTCTGCTGCAACCTTGCAACTAGCAGGACCAGCATCAGACTCCAAGGAAGAAACCCTAAACTTTGAGCTACGGAATTTTTGAGCACACGTCCCTTTCCTGATGTGATCAGAAGTTGAGATCAACATTAGATCATTTGGCAGAACTTTGGTTCCAGCCTAATTCCATTGGCTCAGCATGCATGGTTGCAGCAGACCCAGCTCCTACTGTGCTATGATCAGTGGGCTGGAAATAAGCCCAGTGGATATAATTCACATGATATAGTGGATGGATAACTGAATTCATCAGCTCAGAATTCTTCCGGGATTGAGTGTCTTAAACACTTGACTATAGATGGTACCCATGGCACTTTATGAGTGGCTAATCTGCAAGGAATCACTCTTAGACAAAGTACTCCTTCTCTATCAAGTCTTGCCCATCAATAGCCATGCTTTTTTCCCTTGTTCCCTGACACACAATCAGACTTTGTTTCCCAGGCTCCTTGAGGTTAGTTGTGGCTACATTATTGAGTTTTGGCCAAAAGAATGCGGGTAATGGAATATAGATACCATTTCTAGATCTGATTTCCACAAATTCCTGGGTACCCTTTCATCTTTCCCAATATCTGTTGACTGTAGGAGATCTGATGGAATATGCTAAGGCCTTAAAAGGTACAGGAGCCATACAGTTGAAGAATCCTGGCCTTGAAATGACTATACAAAGCTAAGCTCCTTGCTAATACACATTAGATTTGGTATGAGCAAGAAATCAACCTGTGATTTGTTAAATCACTGAGATTTGAGGGATTGTCTATACAGCAGCTAATGTTACATACTCTGAATAATAAGCATATAAAGTAAGAGGCTGGTAGTTGAAGATAAGTAGAGAGCTAAATAGCACATGAAATGCATGAAAGATCAAGGCCCACTTGGCAGATGGGCAGATTCTACTGGACAAAAAAGTGCTATGTCAATGGGTTATTTTTGAGTTTTGTTCACTAAATTATAAAATCAGAGATATATATTTTGCCATTGGAACTCTACTTACTGTATCCTGATCTATTTAATGGATTTGCATGGTAAAGCACCCCTTGCCTTTTCTCTTTCCTTTCCCCACTACCTTGCCAAATATTTTACACATCCCAAAGTCAGTCAACATTAACATTTGCAAATGCTCCTGAGTGAGTACATTCAGCTAACATTGATGAAGCTCCTACTCTGTGCTGTCACTGCTAAGTGCTGAGGCTGAAAATGCAGTAAGACTTGTCTTTATTTAAGGCATCGAGAATCTAGTGTAGGATACAGCTGTTTAAATAACACGAACACTGTGTGCTGTAATTGAGAAGCATACAAGACAACAAAAAAGAACAGCCATCTAGTTAATATCAATTACATCATTAATTTTTTTTTAACATAGAACTTACAACTTTGAATTTATGTTTGTTTTGTTTATTTTATTTTCCCTGACCTTTTTCATTCCATATCCTTAGTGTATTGCCTGGTGATACTCAATAAATATTTGTCGAATAAATAAATGAAAATGGGTCAGTGAACTCTGTTCTTATTCATCTGAAAGAGGAGATCTAACATCAGGTTAGGAATTTGGACTTTATCCTGTAAATGGTGGGGGTTCAAAAGAGTTGTGATTCAGACAGTGAAATGATAAGAGTTTTATTTTGAAAATTTACTCTGAGATCTGAATGGAAGAGATTGCAGACAGTCAAGCTGTAGGCACGATAATTAGAGAATGATCATAATAGATTAGAAAGAAGACTAAACAATGACAGTATCAATGAGAAGAGAGGGAAGTGTAAAGTAATGAGAGTGACTGAGAAATTTAAAAAAATGACAGGGCTAGAGTATCTATTGGATATGGTGAAAAATGTTGGGGAAAGGAGGTAAATGAACCCCAGGTTTTTTGCTTGGATAATTACAGAGACAGGAATTCTGTTTGACAAACATTTTGGAGAAAACAAAATAATCGGTCCAACTTGGACAGTTTGGGCTAAACATAATGGTAGAACATATAGTTTGAGTTGGCAAGAGGCAGGAAAATATACGGACTTGGAACTGAGAAATTAGATAAGAACTAGAGGTAAAAGTTTGTGAATCATCTAAACATAGGTGGTAGTGAAGGATGAAGCAAGGATAAGATCGGCCAGAAAGGGTAAGAATCTTGATCAGAGAAAGACAACAGGTCAAAATCACTAAGGTGCTTTTTAAA
Source organism: Homo sapiens (assembly GCF_000001405.40). Classification (NCBI taxonomy): domain Eukaryota; kingdom Metazoa; phylum Chordata; class Mammalia; order Primates; family Hominidae; genus Homo; species Homo sapiens. Next base: position 226,168,128 of record NC_000002.12, on the reverse strand, counting down.
ATTAGACAAAATCTCCCACCTCCAACTTAGCTTTGCAAATATATGAGCTTCTGTTGCTGTTGCATACTGGGGCCCTCAGTGTACCTGGCTTGAAATACACTTGAGAACCACTGGGCTGAGAATGATACGTGGAGACCAAGAAGAGAACCCTGGCAAAAAACAAAACAATTTTAAGAGTTAGCACACAAAGAGGGGCTCGGGAAGAATATTGGTACCATTGTAAAATGTAAGAGAATACACACAAGCAAGACAAAACCCAGAAAAATGTCCTTAAATCTGTAGGTATTGAAAGTTTCAAGAACCAACAGTGATCAACAGTGTTAACTACTGGTACATCAAGCAACACAAACACTTCAAGGTCCCTATTAAATTTGACAAGTGGCAGGCTCTTTATGATCTTGGTGACAGCATCCAGATTTTATGGTGAACTTACAAGTGAACAGAAAGTGAGGAGCTAGAAAAAACAAATGTTTTTAACTCTTTTTAAAAGGTTGAACTGTGGAAAATGTTAGTGATAAGGCAGTGAAGATCCAAGCATGATGAAAGTATTATTTCATCCTGTTTTTTTCAGGTGAGGCTGAAAGAGATGAAGTTCAGATGAAATAATTTTTTTTTTTAAGATCCATGGGAAAGGGTGATCAGGGATGAGACTGGAGAGTCAAGCCACAGGATAATGGCCCCATGCACATAAAGCCTCACCAAAAAGTCTGGGAACACAATGAAGGATTTTAAAATAGATGTTGAAGAGATCACATTTTTATTTAAGACAAACTACTCTGAAGTATTATGGCGATTGAATTAACTAAAGACGAATGAGAGAAAACTAGCTATAATGCTGTTCTAGTAATATCAGTGAAAAGCGATGAACTACGTCAGTTACGTTAGAGAAGGGTGGCAACTGAAATGAACAAATACTTGGGAATGAAAATCAAAATGAACTTTCGATGGACTGGAGTTAGAAAGTGATGGAGGGAGACATGGTTAGAGAGTTCCCAGGTTTCTAACTTGAGTGATAGGATTGATATGTTACTGTTAATGAAAATAAGAAATAATGGAGGAGAAGCCAAACTGGAGGAAATATCATTGATTCAGGGTGAGATATGTTGAAATTGTGGTTCAAAACATCTTTGCAAGTGGATATTCAAGAAGATATGTGGTAGGAGCTCAATAGAGAGTGCTGGAATAGTTATGTATATTGGAGATTGCTTGATAAATTGTCCTGTAATAAATCAGGGCTGTAGATAAGATACATCTAGAGTGAAAAGAAAAGCAGATATCGGATCACACATATGGGAAATTTATTTGAAGGGCAGTCAAAGGAAGAGGCATCCATAAAGAAGACTGGAATACTATGATCAGAGAGTTAGGAAAAAAAAAGAAAAAGAAAAAACTAAGAGATACAAGAACCACAGAGTTTAAGACTCAGTGTACCTGACAGTCAGTTGGTAGCCAACGAGTGTTAAGTTCACTTCACTTGGTGATATAAAGTGGGACTGAAAAGGACCAATAAGACCAGGAAGATCAAGTTAGAGATGAGTTCAGAAATGTCCATTTGGCACAATTGATTACTGGATATCTTACTGATCAAGTTTTTAAGTCGTGATCCAGATGGAAATAAAATTTAGTGGGGTTAAGGTAGAAAGGACTGTGTGGAAAATTCAAGACAAAATGTGTCAGTCTTTCTGGACATTGTCTAAGGTGCTATTTACTCCTGAAATATTTCAAAAGACTGATAGTAAATATTTAGGACTTAGAGTGTTCTTAATAATATGCATATCATGTCTTCTACATTTCTCTAAAGACTGTTTCATAAGTAGGTTAGTGGAAAGTGGAACAGATTCTAACACAAGTCTAGCATGATGGTCTCACGTCACTTTGCTTTATCACAAACTGATGATCGCCAGATCACTTTGGAGACATGTCTGAATATATTTTATCAAATAATGATAGCTATCATTTATAGAGGGCTTACACTTTGCCACACATCATAGCCAGTATTTTAAATAGATTATCTGTTTCATTTAATTATCACATCACTTAACCAGTGAATACTAATATGATCATTATATCATAAATGATGAAATTAGTTGCAGAAAAATAATGTGCCCACAGGGGTCCATCTAAGTGGTAGAGAGGTTTTGCCAAGAAGTCTGATAATTGCACCTGCGATCTTACTCATTGTACCTCACTTTCTTCTGCAATTTGCACATTCTTTTTTTTCTTTTTTCTTTTCTTTTCTTTTTTTTTTTTTTTTTTACACAAGCAGCATGTTATAAGCGGCAGTTTTAAAATTTAGCACAAAGGTAGTGCTTTGCAATCAATATTTTTTCACGAAACCAAAAATAGTCAAGTTAGGAAGAGAAAGAAAATGTGCTGTTCCTGCACCTTTAATTTTAGTACTCAATACAAGACAATCAAGAAAAATCAAGCAACTTATTTTGCCAAGACAAGGTAAGATTCCAAAAATCTTTCGTATTGTGGCTGGCAAAATTTGTTTGTGCATCCATTGTGAATATTTGTGGTCAGAATTTTTGAAAGCAAGTAATTTTATGCACCAGGGCTGATCGCTAGTTGTTCAGATTAGTAATTTTTCCAAAATTAAATTCTACCAATCTATGCAAACAACTACAGCTTGTTTGAAACGCCATAGCGTCTTTATGGCAGTTTTAGCTTAAGTTCCAAAATTCCATTCTTACCTTTCCTAAGATGACATTGTTTAATATTTTGACATGCTTATTGAATAGGAAGGGGTTTATCAAGAGACTGTGCCTCTCAGTATTCACTGAAAAATATTTAAATAGCATCTTCTAAATACTTATCACTCAGTTGTATTGATAACGGTCAAATAATTAGACAAGACTAGAGTAATCCCACTGATATACATTTCACAATTCCACATAATTACCTTCAGGCATTTCATAAAATTCCACTGCTCAGTTGATTGCTAATCCTGATAAATCCTTTGCGGGAAACAAAAATAAATAAATAAATAAGAAAAGAAGAAGAAGAAAAAGAGGGAATTAAAATGTCCTTGGAAAGTGTAGGCTTTTATTCTTTGTCTCCCCAGTTGCTACTTCACTCCATCATTTGCTTGATCTATCTATCTATCTATCTATCTATCTATCTATCTATCTATCCATCCATCCATCCATCTATGCATCCATCCATCTATTAATATCATCTATGTATCAAATGCTTCCAAATACATAATATACATGATACAGTCAGAGAAAGCAGAAAGTTTAAAGATTGAGTGTGATTATAGACATATCTATCTATTCAGAAACAAAATGGATTCAGAATCATTACAACTCTCACTGTGTAGTGGAATTGATTAGTTGCAGACGGTTTATGACAGATTCAAGTGAAGGTGGCAGGTTTCCATCAATCACTACCTCTGTCAGCTACAGCTGACAGACTCTACTGTGTTTCCAGGAATGGAGCTGCCACTGATTGCTCACACTTCTGAATATGGAGTCATAACCATCATCTCACATCCTAGACTCAATATTAAGAGAGTACTAGACTTTCTTGCTCCTGAAAGGGCTACTAGAATTTCCAGGCCAGAGATGAAATGTGCTTACTTAATCTTTCTAGGCTTGATTAATTTCTTCCTCTTCCAGAAAGCCTCTCCTTATTTCCTGTAGCAGGGACAATCCTGAGTGGTTCTTGAAGTCCTTTTCATTTTCTTTCTGGGCACACAAGAGGACTAGGTTCTGCAGTCTGATTGCCTTAGAGAAACTGAATTCCGGCCAATAAGATGTGTAGGGAATGTAGATTAATCATTTTTTTTTTTAAACAGAGTCTCACTCTGTCACCCAGGCTAGAGTGCAGTGGCACGATCTCAGCTCACTGCAACCTCTGCCTCCTGGGTTCAAGAAATTCTCTTGCCTCAGCCTCCTGAGTAGCTGGGATTACAGGTGTCTGCCACCATGCTCAGCTAATTTTGTACTTTTAGTAGAGATGAGGTTTCGCCATGTTGGCCAGGCTGGTCTCGAGCTCCTGACCTCAGAAAATCTACCCATCTCTGCCTCCCAAAGTGCTGGGATTACAGGTGTGAGCCACCACGCCTGGCCAATCAATTCTTTTACACCACAAAGTGTTAAAAAAATATATTCTTTTTTATCTTAAATAAAATGCTAAGGTCTTTGATAAAAATAATAATATGCTGTTTCTTGGCCTATTATTATTTTTAAAAAGAGATAGTTGGCCCAATCTGTGAGTCAAGGTATTTTTAGCCTTTTAAAAATATGGACATACTTATAGTAACTTATTTCATATTTTTTCTACTAAAATGATATTTCAGACCCAAATATACAAATTGTATTCTCAAAGCTTTTTTTTTTTTTTTTAAATGATGTCCTAAAGATGGCAACAAAAGAAACTGGGGACTACTAGAGAGGAGAGATTGGGAGGGGGACAAAGGTTGAAAAACTAACCATTGGGTGCTATGCTCAGTACATGGGTAATGGGATTAATTGTGCCCCAAACCTCAGCATTATGTAATATATCCAGATAACAAACCTGCACATGTACCACTTGAATCTAAAATAAAAGTAGAAATTATTAAAAAAAAATAGATGTCCATAGCTGGAATGATAGGAAAGATACAGAACACCAAGTTGGGACAGAGGACCAGAGCATGAATGTTACTTAAGTCCGAAATAAAGAAAAGGTTCTCTTGTGTTGTTGTTTTGCTTAGACAAAGGGAACTCTAGGGAAAAAAGGATCATGACAATTAAAGAGACCCCAAAGAGCAGATGCAAACTGAATTTTACCATAAGTCAATCAACTGGGCCTAGGTTGATCTTAGAGCTCATTAAACTCCTTTTCTGGGATCAGCTTATGGAAGGCCAATCCTGTGGCCACCATTCCCCTTTGAGAGCCCATCACGCAGCATTCTGATGGCCTGGTGTTGTGTTGCAGAGGCATGTTGGAGGGTGACTGGTGGCAAAATGCAGTACACAGATGATTAACAATTGTTTGCCATGGACTGGCCTCATGTTGAAGGTGGTTAAGGGATAGGCATACATGAAACATGGTCAAAAGCTTCCACCAAACTTCTTTTAGTTTCTCTTCTCTCAGCCTCACCTAATGTATAATATTTTAAAGCTTTCTTTGTGAAAAATAAAAATGAATTAGCAGTAGAAAAATCATGAACAGTATTTGGTGAAAGTTCTAAATGTGGTTAAGAATAATTTAATTCAAATAGTAAATTTCCTGGTCTTACATTTCTTCTTCCTTATTCTGACAAAAACAAACAAACAAACAAACAAACAACAACAACAACAACAAAAACCCTCAACTTTCCTTTGGGAACCCATTCTTCTCATTTTTTTTAGCCAGTTATTGGCTGGGATGGCAGTGATGGCCAGGGTGGGGCATAGCACCCAGGCTTGGCCAATGAGAATTCCCAATCCCCCTTGTAGTCTCATGTCTCCCACGTGGTTCTAATCATAGTGAATCTGTGTTTCTGTGCTGTATGTACTGGGAATGGATGCTCTCTTATTCTGTTGGACTTAAATTTCAGAGAATGAATATAGAAAGCTACTGCTAGCTTCTTCCCATCACATGTAGCCTAAAGAGGTAGACAACACCACAGAGAGATGGGTAGAGACAAGCTAAACCAAAAGAAGGAGAGAAAATTCGTTGTAATTGGCATCATTTTAAAACAGGGATTTCTCAATCATATGTGCCAATAAATTATCTTTTTCTTTCAGTTTGAGATTATTTTCTTGCAAGTGATTGAATAAATAGCTGAATAAATACTGTATATTTCTCATTTTGAAGAAACAACTATACTACTGTACTGAAGCTTTTATTGACATTCTAACAGTATGTATTTGGGAAATTTATCAGGAACATTTTTATTAGGTGTGTTTCAAGGGAGAAATTAAGTAAAATAAATAAACACTTCTTTGGAGTGCCAGTTTTGGTATATATTAAATTCTGGTATCTATTCTCAGCAAAATACATATCAACAGGTAAGTCAGTACATACCCAAGGGAATATTTCATAGTTTTTCCTGTTTTGAAAATAAGTATTTGGCTGGTCAAAGGGAAACTGAATAAAAGAATTAGAAGGCCCGGCACAGTGGCTCATGCCTGTAATCCCAGCACTTTGGGAGGCTGAGGTGCGTGGATCACTTGAGGTCAGGAGTTCAAGACCAGGCTGGCCAACATGGTGAAACCCTGTCTCTACTAAAAATACAAAAATTAGCCAGATGTGATGACATACACATGTAATCCTAGCTACGGGGGAGGCTGAGGCATGAGAATTGCTTGAACCTGGGAGGTGGATGTTGCAGTGAGCCAAGATCATGCCACTGCACTCCGTGCTGGGCAACTGAGTGAGACCCCATCTCAAAAAACTCAAAAAAGAGTTAAAATAAATCACTGTCTATTGTGCCAAAGAGCTGTTGAAGTCATCATTCTTAGAAGAATAGACAGATGGTATTTCAAGGCTTGATTTATAGCAATCATATTTAATCACAACTTAATGGTCCATAAATATATGTGCTGTTATCAGTGGAACTGTTTCAGAAAACAGACATAATCTTAACTTTCTTTGTAAAGGATCAGCTAGTAAACATGTTAGGCTTTGCAGGTCATACAGTCTTTGTTGTAACTATTCAACTCCGCCACTGTTTTGTGAATGCAGCAATAGGCAATATGCAAATGATTGACCATGACTGTGTTCTAAAAACACTTTATTTATGGACACTGAGAGCTTAATTTCATGTTTCATGCCTTTCATGAAGTGCTATTTTCTTTTAAATTTCGGTTGATTTTTTTTAACCATATTAAAATATAGAAAACATTCTTAGCTCTCACACTAAAATGGGTGGTCTGCCCTTTTGGCTGATTTGGCCCAAGTGCTGTAATTTGCCCACTCCTGTTATCTTAAAGGCAAGTCCAGCCTTCCATGATCCTCAGTCTCTCGGTAAACCAAAAAGTTATTTTCCCATATCTAACTTTTACTTTTTGGTAATCGGTGAATCATTTGAAAATGGTCTATTTATAGTATTAAAATTCAGGTTTAGCTTTCAATTCTACATGTTTGATGACTCAAAAAGAGGTGTTCTTGTTTTCTTTTTAAATATTACCACGAGAAAGTAAATGAGAAGTGTCAGTTGATAAGTGTTTTTTGTTTTTGTTTTTTATGAGATGGATTCTCGCCCTATCGCCCAGGCTGGAGGGCTATGGTGCAATCTCAGCTCACTGCAACCTCCGCCTCCTGGGTTCAAATGATTCTCCTGCCTCAGCCTCCCAAGTAGCTTGGATTACAGGTGCCTGCCACCACACCCAGCTAATTTTTGTATTTTCAGTAGAGATGATGTTTCACCATGTTGGTCAGACTGGTCTCGAACTCTGGACCTCAGGTGATCCACCTGCCTCAGCCTCCCAAAGTGCTGGGATTACAGGGATGAGCCACCATATCCAGCCTGATAAGTTTTTAAATTAGAAAAAAATTTATTTAATAATAGAATCATACTAGAGGATGGGTACCAAGAATTTTCTCTTGTTTTTCCGTGTTTTAGGAATATGCATAAGGAAAAGAATTAACCCAAATATTGAAAGATGTACAAAAATATGAGGGATGTCATGAGGATATTAATTACTAATGTTGGTTGATATGTATTTGAGAAAGGCACAAAACAATGGAAACTTTTTTTTTGCATGAGCTCAAAAGTGGGGTATAATTTTGGCAAGTGTTTGATTGACAAGGGGCTATTTTGTTGATGGCAGCTTCTTTTATTATGATATCAAGAAAATATAGATTAGTGGCATGTTTTGAACAGCATAATCTGCCTTAAATAGGGTCGTTGGGAATAGGTTTACCAACAGAATTTCTCAAATAGGCTTTTCTGTCTCCTGTCTTTCAGCGGGTAGAGAAGGGACTATGTTACAAACTTTAACCTCTAAAGCAATAACTGCAGTGATAAACAAGGGTAGAGTTTAAATTTCAAAAGATTTACTGCTTGGAAAAAAAAGAAACAAAACGAAAACAAATCGCTTTTGAAGCTGACAAACAGACATATCTCCTCCCTAAGTTAAATTTACCTTTGGATTTAAAAACAGAAAATGTCAGGCAAAGCACAACTGAACTTCCAATCAAAGAAGCTATTGTTTTACAAGCTGGGAAGCCTGCATTCTTGACATTCCTCTCTAAAATACACAAGACCCCTGAGACACCTTTTTGCTCCTTCCAACCTTGCATGAATTTTAAATAAAACTGAAATCTCTTTAAAGCATAGGCTTAGGATATTTACATGTAAACAGATAATATTCCAAGATTTATGTCCTGTAGATGCAGGTATGATTGGAAATAAGATTTTTATTTACATTTATACTAGAAATGATAAGAAATGGATCATCATATTTTCCCAGACTAGAAGTTACCCACAATTCCAAAAAAATAAAGAGAAATATGATGTATTGTTAACTTCAGAAAAAGACTGATGATTTGTTTAAGTTCCTTATAGATTCTGGATATTAGACCTTTGTCAGATGCATAGTTTGCAAATATTTTCTCTAATTCTGTAGGTTGTCTGTTTACTCTGTTGATAGTTTCTTTTGTTGTACAGAAGCCCTTTCATTTAATTGGTTCCCATTTGTTGTTTTTTTTGTTTCTGTTGCAACTGCTTTTGGAGACTTTCTCGTGAAATCTTTGCCAAGATCTATGTCCAGAATGGTATTTCCTAGGTTTTCCTCTAGGGTTTTTATTGTTTTTGTTCTTATATTTAAGTCTTTAATACATCTTGGATTGATTTTTTGCATATAGTGAAAGGAAGGGGTACAGTTTTAATCTTCTACATGTGGCTAACCAGTTACCCCAGCATTATTTATTGAATAGGGAGTCTTTTCCCTATTGCTTGCTATTGTTGACTTTCTCAAAAATCAGATGGTTGTAGGTGTGCAGTTTTATTTCTGGGTTCTCTAACCCATTTCATTGGTCTATGTGTCTGTTTTTGTATTAGTACCATGCTGTTTTTGTATTAGTACCATGCTGTTTTGGTACTAATACATGCAGCCTTGTATTACAGTTTAAAGCCAAGTAGGGTGATGCCTCCCGCTTTGATCTTTTTGCTTAGAATTGCTTTGGCTATTCGGGCTCTTTTTAGGTTCCATATGAATTTTAAAATAGATTTTTCTAACTCTGTAAAAAATGATGTTAGTAGTTTGATAGGAATCATATTGAATCTGTACATCACTTTGGGCAATACAGCTATTTTAACAATATTGATTCTTCCTGTCCATAAGCATGGAATGTTTTTCCATCTGTTTGTGTCATCTCTGATTTCTTTCAGCAGCATTTTGTAATTCACATTGTAGGGATCTTTCACCTTGCTGATTAGCTGAATTCCCAGGTATTTTATTCTTTTTGTAGTTATTGTGAATGGGATTACATTCTTGATTTGGCTTGGATGTTACTGCTGTATAGAAATATTACTGATCTTTTACATTGATTTTGTGTCCTGAAACTTTACTGAAGTTTATCAGTCTGCAGGAGCCTTTGGGCAGAGACTATGGGGTTTTCTAGGTATAGAATCATATCATATGTGAAGAGAGATAGTTTGGCTTCCTCTTTTCCTATTTGGATACCTTTTATCTCTTTCTCTTGCCTGATTACTCTGACTAGGACTTTCAGTACTATGTTAAGTAGGAGTGGTGACAGTGGGCATTGTTATTCTTGTTGTAGTGCTCAAGGAGAATGCGTCCAGCTTTTGCCTGTTCAGTATGATGTTGGCTGTGCATTTGTCATAGACAGCTCTTATTATTCTGAAGTATGTTCCTTCAATGCCCAGTCTGTTGAAGGTTTTTAACATGAAGGGATGTTGAGTTTTATTAAAAGCCTTTTCTCAGAGAACTTAAAGCAGAATAACCATTCAATCCAGCAATCCCATTACCCAAAGGAATATAAATTACTCTACCAAAAAGACACATGCATTTATATGTTCATCACAGCACTATTCACAGTAGCAAAGACATGGAATCAACCAAGATGCCCAACAACAGTGAACTGGGTAAAGAAAATGTGGTTCACAGTCATAAAAAAAAGAGGAAAATCAGTCCTTTGCAGCAACATGGATGCAGCCGGAGGTCATTATCCTAAGTGAATTATCGCTGGAATGGAAAACCAATGCATATTCTCTCTTACAAGTGAGAGCTACACATTGAGTGCACATGGACACAAAGAGAGGAATGAGAGATACCAGGGTCTACTTGAGGGTAGAGGCTAAGGGGAGTCTGAGAGTCAAAAAACTGCCTGTCAGTTACTGTGTTCACAACATGAGTGATGAAATAATTTGTATACCAAACCTCAGCAACATGCAATTTACCCATGCAACAAACCTACACACATACCCCCCTGAACCAAAAAGTTGAAAAAGAAAAAAATAAATTGTATAAAAATGGAATATGGCAATTGTAAATAAGTGGTACTGCAAAAAGCAATAGAAATTAGAAAGGAATCAATGTGGACTGTGCATTTAAATAAAACATAGCTGAAGCAATGGGTTTGAGCCAGACCAGATGGGTAGGCAGGGTTTATATTGCAAGGGAATGAACTGAGGAGGCTTTCTGGACAAGAACAAACCTGGGAATGAACACTAGGAACTGACTGGGGATCTGGGATAAAGCAAACTAAACACAGAAGAAGTTTTGTACAGCTGAGAAAAAAGACAAAAATCAGTATAAGCTTCATTAGGAATGTATAGGATTCGTGGAGTGTAACCATAATGCCACTTAATTTTGTATTCTGTCTCTTTAAAATTCATTGAAGGGATTTCTTTCTCTGCCTGAGCTATATCTTGGGGCATGAGATGACTATGCAAATAAGTACCATGGATTCTTAAGTCACCAAACAGAATCTTCGTTCAGAAATTAGAATGTCCAAATGCATTTAATATGCAAAACTCCAAACTTGATTAAAGTTAAATTTTCTCAACTCCTCCAGTTGGAGCCTGCCTCAAACAAGAAGCCAGGAATGGAGATGTGGTCCTCATTACCTCCATCTCTCTCTCTCCCCATCATACTGAGACTGGGTTCTGATCCACCCTAGCAGCAGGAGTGTGGCGGAACTGAGGGCAAAAATAAAGGTGAAAGGAAGATATCCCTTGACCAGCATTGCTGTATGACGGTGTTGCACTCTCTGGGCCTGGCAAGTGTTTCAAGCTGCCTCTTGCTTTGTAAATGCCTACCTGGTTTGTGCAGAGGTTTCCATGAAAAAAAAAAAAAGACTGTGCTGCAATGATGCAGACTACCACCTTCCATTCACCCCTCGTGACTGCCCACCCCTCACAGACTGTCCCTGTTGAATCTCATTACACATCTAGTTGTTCATGACCTAGGATATTTATTCTGGGGTGAGCGTGTGGTGGGATTGCTCACCAGTAACTCAGAGATTACTATAAGGGAAGTAAAATCCAGTTCTTAACCTTTCTCTCCTGAGCCAAGGTTTCTACAGACTGATAGGAGGCCTAGGAAGGGTCTTAGGTCTATTTTGAGCCTCCATCCTTGACTAACTTATATATTTAGACATATTTAAAAACATAATATGTCATAATAATATTTGACATATTTAAAAACACATCTTAAGATGATTTTAAATGTCATTGTATTTAGATGCCATTGTTGCATCTAGACTTTTGGTAATAGGAAAAACCATCTTTGAAATTGACTGGGTTCATCACAGTGATCTGAATGTGTCTATACTTGTGTACTGAGATCACACACACACAAACCCTGAAGGAATGAGGGGAGTGATTTTGCCTAATGAATATAAATTTAGAATAAGGCAAACATTCTTAAGCTCTTTGTGCTATGGACTTTGCAGTATGGTAAAGCCTATAGACCTCCTTCTGAGGAAAAAAAAAGTTTTTCAAATGCATAAAATAAAATGCACATGATCCTAAAGGAAATAAATTATATTGAAGTATAGTTATAAAATAATTAAAAAGTGATATAGTAATGTCTGTTTCTCTTTTTTCCTTCTTTTTTTTGTTTTGCCTTCACTTGGCATGAACAAAATGTGTTTCTTTATTATATAATAAGAGTTAGTGTCAGGGCCAAGAACATTATATTTTAGAAGTATTGGTCCATGAAAATGGTATTCCATAATATCTCCTACAATTGAAATGTGATATGTGATATGACATACATGATTTCCGTTGGTGACACAGTTGGAGGTGTTGCAAATACTGCTGCAGTTTGTTTCATAAATTCCTAGTTAAGTAAAGTGCCACATGTCAGAGAACAGGGAAAACAAAGGTTTCTGAATTCCATCCTGGATAAAAAGCAATCTGCTTGCATATTGTCACTGCCTGTTTCAGTGAAATATTGCTAGTCTCTCCACTGAGGAGGTTTAGTCCATAGTATTTAATGAAAGATTTACCCATTCCTTGAATCTTGTTTACTGATTCCTCCCATCCCTTCTTTTCTTCCGGTAGATTGTCACAGTCTGTTTACAATGCTCAGTTCAGCCTGGCTTCCCTCATCAGCAAGGCGTGGTCCCTAGCTATTGAAAAATATTACTATTTCACAGGACAGCAGTTTTTTGTTTTATTTCTCCTAGCACTTTCCTGTGCATTGGGGCACTCATCTACACTGGATATGACTTTTGAAAGAACAGGAAGGGATCTATCAGGACCAACAGTTTTCCTTTTGCCTAATAAGATAATGATGGCACCAAAAATAAAATCCCTCCCTTCCCTCTGGAAATGCAGGCCTCCTGATGGGATTTCTACTTTGCCTCTCCAGCAGTGTGAAATGACCCAGGGAAAGACTTAATAAGTAGATGTCAGCCCCAGTGTAAGCAGAAAAAAAAAATGATGAATGGACCACTAGGCAACCCTATCCCAGCACAGTTTGGCCGTGGACTTTGCATTAGATTCTGTAGTTTTTCTGTCTTAAATATCATCAGGGATTCTCAAGTAGTTTCAGCCTGAGGCTATTACTCCTAATAATTGAGACTGATGAAAGGTCGTGGTATTTTTACAGTTTAGTTGTGGCACGCTATATATCACTTTGCTTCCGTCAAAGAAAATATTATACACTTCATTGGGAAAAGGTTTGATCCTGAGTTTTTCCTCTGCAAGTTGTCTACAATGTATTTACTTGGGTTTACCTACAAACTTTACATTTAAAATGCTCCAGAAAATTGCCTGGTACCAGAATGAGATCATTCAGGTAGAAAGCAAATGTTTCAGGATCATTAGGAAATTAATTACATGAAATGATTGACACGTTCCAGCTAGAGAGGAAGTGTTTCATACAGCCGTGCTTGTTTGAATACAACACTACAGATCCCTTGTGAAAAGCTGCTTACCGTGCTAAAATAGGAAAAGTGACTTAGGAGGAAAATCAACAGTGTTAGAAAATTGTCTAGTCAGGGAGTTTCAGCTCTGTGGTGATTAATTTTCTTTTCCTAGTTATGCCTAGTTATTGGTGGTTTCTGAGTTTCTATATAAAGGCTGGCACCCCAGCCATAAGTGCCTTGGAAATTTGTTGTTGTTGTTTTTTTTTTAATCAGGGAAACATTTTATTATTTGGCGGTTGGGGGGGGGGGAATGGGAGTGTACAAATTGAGGTGACTAGTAATAAAAAGAACAAGTTATTTATGATAAAGGAAATAGCACATATTAAAACCCAGAAAATCTGTCTGAAGTATTCAGAGGAAAATTCACAGTGTCAAATTCTGTATAAGTTGAATGACCCATACAGAAAAATAGAAAACATGTAAAGTAAGCTTGTAACCGAAGAATCCTCTCAAAGTCTTAAGGAGGACAACAAGAAAAAGTAACAATAAAAAGTAAAAATAAATATAGGTTTTTTTAAAAAAAGATATACTGGGTTTAATATATCTTAAAATTATTTACTTATGAAAACTTTTGCAAATATTATACATTTCAATTTTTAAGAAAGGTTTTAAGTAGAAAAAAAATCTGAATAACCAGACATAGAATGCTATAAAAGTTTCCAGTACCTGCTGCTGTAATGGTGAATTTGAATGGACTGCACACTTTATTCTTCTGAATCAATGCTAGAGAGACTACAGAAGCTCAAGGAAAGTATAGGTTAAGGAAAATAACAATAATTAAGAAAATAAATCAAGCTGAGATTGAAGACTACCAAGAAGCAGTCTCTGTGTGGAGAGGGCTGTGGTATGTCTGCAGCAGGAGCACAGGATAATAGGAGGCAGATAAAGGTGAGTAGTGTGGGGGAAAGCTGTTTTAGTTTTGTTTTTCCCTTTCTGTGTCACCTTGGCATAACCAGTTTCTTTGCCACGAAAAATATAGGACAGCCCAGGCCACAGAAGCTATCAAACGGTAGGTTTGCAGATGATGGTGGGTCTGGACTGCTGCTGCTCTCTAGCCTTACTTTTTTGTGTACTCTTCCTCCAACCCCCTCAATAAACTAAACAGGAAATTGCTTATTTAAAGTAGTTTAAAAGTGAATCTTTGACTAGGAGACTTATATAGTGGTTAACATGATGCTGTGGGGCCTGGGTTTCTCAGCCCTGGGGCATGTCCCTTCCCCTCTTTATAAACACAATGGAGAGACGCAGGCAAGGGCCTAGCCTTTGGGTCTACCCCAAAACATGTTATCAGGAATACCAAAATTAATAGACACCTGTGGAGTACACTCATTAAAGAAACAAATATTCAGATGTATATACATATATATGTGTGTGTGTGTGTGTGTGTGTGTGTATATATATATATATATACACACACACATGTAAAATAGAACGGAATTTTGGGACAAACCAAGAAATATAATAAATATGCACAAAGAGCTAAGAGAAAATAGACAGATACATGTGTGTATGTGTGTGTAATCTCCCTCTGACTTTATTAGGAATAAAATATAATACTTAAAACAAAGAACACATAGAAGGGATAAACACCAGGATGGATACAGCTAAAGAAAAAGCTGGGAATTAGACAGCTGAAAAGTCACATGGAAAAACTCCACAGGAACAGAAACTGATGAAGAAAAATAAAATAATAAGCCAGGCTAGAAGATGGAGAAAGAGACCATCCCGGCTAAAACGGTGAAACCCCGTCTCTACTAAAAATACAAAAAATTAGCCGGGCGTAGTGGCGGGCGCCTGTAGTCCCAGCTGCTTGGGAGGCTGAGGCAGGAGAATGGCGTGAACCCGGGAGGCGGAGCTTGCAGTGAGCCGAGGTCCCGCCACTGCACTCCAGCCTGGGCGACAGAGCGAGACTCCGTCTCAAAAAAAAAAAAAAAAAAAAAAAAAAAAAAAAAGAAGATGGAGAAAGAATCAACATATAGTAATGGGAGTCTCAGAAGACAAGGAAAAAAACAGAAAAGAGAACATGTCTTTAGAAATAATGAATATACAGTTTAAAAATTTCAAAAAGATTACATACCTTGCATTAAAAAGGCTCTTAGAGTATCAATTTGGAGAGAATTAAAAACCTACATCTTGACATATTGCAGCAATATTTTAAAACATTGGAGGGAAATATATTATTCTAAAAGTCTCTATAGAGGAAGAATAAATCATGGCAAAATAATAATCAGATTGATGCCAAATTTTTCAGTACCAATGCTGGATATAAAATAGAAACATAGAAATATTTTTAAATTATGAAGAAAAATAAATTCTACCACACTTTTATTTCAAGCCAAATTATTATTTAAATATGTGTGTAATCTGTTATAATAGCATAAAATACCTCAGAATGTTTACTACACAGTCTAAGAGGAAATATTGAGATTAAAAAAAAGAAATCAATGAGTAGCGGATGCCATAACATATGGGAAATATGTTTGAATAACTTGGTAAAGATTATTGTGGTTTAATACTCCTATAATAGATAGCCAAAAACATTGAGATAATTTCGAAAGAACAAATCCTCCAAATAGTCCTGAACCAGATTGAATGATGGACTTATTCACCAAATTTCTGAATAATTGGTATTTATAAATATAACATACTTTTTTCAATAACCTAGAGAAATATTTCAATGGACCTATCAATTTATCTTATAAATAAAAGTTTAAAATAAAATTTAATAAATAGACTAAAATAAAAGGTGACAACTAATCTCTATTTTAAATATTGGTATAAATATTATATTTAAAATATTGGTATAAATATTACATTTAAAATATTGAATTTAATATTTTGAAATAGGAATAGCAAAGAGAATTTATGACAGGAATGTAACTATGAAGTTATATTTGGTTATATAAAACTATAGTTTATTTAAATAGGCTAATTAAGGAAAAAATCTTAAGTGTCACTGGAAAGATAACTGATATAATTCTACTCGTATTTGTTATTAAAAATAAAACCTTTAAAATAACTATAAAAATGGTTAAGTATTAGTTTATTATTTGAACTAGGAGCCAGGAGACTTCTAGTTGGGATAATGTAATTTCAGATATTTAAGGACCCCATCTGCACCAGACGTATAGCATAATGGTAAAATATAAAAAGAAGAAATGACTATGCATATGAACCACAAGTAAAAGTTAAATATTTCTGTGGATGAAAAAAGATAAAATGAACTTAAAGCTTCAAGTATGCAGGGATTCTGAAATGATACATGTGGCATTACCAGAATAAATATTGTTCACTGAGGCAGTCTCTTTACTGAAAACTGAGGGCTGAGGAAGCTCATCTCCTTGAAAAGAGGTTGAAAAAAAACAAGCTAAGTCTAACTAGAGCCTGAAGCTACACTGTAGTTATAATTATAAACCAGGGACGTCAAAGGAGCAGGCATCACCTAGCAACCAAGACTTGGGTCAAGCTGCCCTCTGGTTTCATGAGTTGATCAACATTGTTCTCAGTATCACTGTGGGAAAGGTCTCAATAGCTAGCATAAGATCTAGCCCCAGACTGCTATCCAACTTCAGGCAACTGTGAAAAATTGTTAAAGGAAAAAAATAAAAGGGTGGGGTGAAAGTATGTAGGAAGAAAAGGAGAACTAAAATTTCCATTTAATATCAGCCTGCAACCTAAGCTATTAAAACACAGAAAGTAAACTAATGCTAAGACAGACAACCAACAATTTGAAGGTTAATTCACCCCAAGGAAAACGAAAATAATAGAATGTGCAAAAATGATTTTAAAATGAGTGTGCTTTAAATCATGTAATGAATAAAGAACTTAGAATGCAGTAAATGAACAAGAATTTATGAAGCAAACATGGGTAGATATAAGATATCCAGGCATTATTAAAATGAGAAAGACTGGAAATTTAAAAAAAATCTTAATTTAAAATAAAATCTCAATATATGGAATACTCTCAAGATAGCAGCAAGGAGATTTGGTGAACTGAAAAATAGTAACAAAGAATTCATCTAGAAGGTGGGGCACAGAAATAAAGTAGGATTTCTCATCAACACTTTTGTCACTTAGGGCTAAATAATTATTTGTTGTGGGGAGTGTCCTGTACATTGCAGAGTTTTAGCAGCATCTATAACCTCTACCCACTACATGCCCATAGCACCCCCTCCCCAGTTGCGACAACCAAAACTGGATTGTCCAATGTCCAGGTGACTACCCCTCGCCCAGTTAGAACCACTGAAATAAAGAGATAAAAGTACTCAAAAAGCAGTTAAAAGACATGGAATTAAGATGGGAAACCACAACAAAGTTTTAGAAGTTGCTCCACCAGAAGATTCTAGAAGAAATGGCAGAAGAGGAATATTGGCAGACATTTTCTGTAATTGAAGAAAAAGTAAGCCCTTAGATTAAAATAGATTCCATCTAGAGAAGAATAAATACAAATAAATCTAAACTTCACACCAGACTAAACTATAGATCATTGAGCATACACAAATAATAGTAATGTTATTAAAAAGCATAACGGATTTCCTAAAAAACTATTACAATCAGATGCAGCAAGCTTCTCATTAACAAAGTTTTCCAAATGACAAAGAGACTATAATCCACAAATTCTATGTAGTGCTAAACTGTTAATTAGAGAAGATAGATAGATAGATAGACAGATAGTTTTTTTTTTTTTTTTTTTTTCAGGCATATAAAGAGTAGAAAGTCACTACCTACTGGTCTTTTCTGTTTTTCTTTTTTTTTTTTTTTTGAGACGGATTCTCACTGCAAGCTCTGCCTCCTGGGTTTTACACCATTCTCCTGCCTCAGCCTCCCGAGTAGCTGGGACTACAGGCACCCGCCACCATGCCCGGCTAATTTTTTGTATTTTTAGTAGAGATGGGGTTTCACTGTGTTAGCCAGGATGGTCTGGATCTCCTGACCTCGTGATCCGCCCGCCTCTGCCTCCCAAAGTTCTGGGATTATAGGCGTGAGCCACCGCACCCGGCCCCTATTGGTCCTTTCTAACGTAAATACCAAAAAGAAAAATCAGAGAAAAGGAGGTAAGCAAAGATATTGTAAACCATATTTATAAATATCACCAATGATGTTAAAATAATTCATCTTGATCAATTTTGCATTTAGCCTTCTGACAATAATAACAGAAATAAAGTTTTTAAGAGAATGTGTAAAAGGAGCAGTCTGAGAAACATTAAGGAAAAGGATCAAAATACTGAATAGATTTTGTTGGAATAATTTGAGTTAAGTGTGTATTTAAAATTGATAGTGAAACTAAATACTAAAAAATATAATTTTATCTCGAAACAAAAAAGAAATAAAAGAAATATTATTAATAAAATAGATACTAGGGAGGTAGAAAATGAAAGAGGTAGTAAAAAGAAAACACACCATAAAATGGTGAGAATAATTTCAAAGTACTAGTTATCACACTAAATATTGTCCTAATCTATTGAAGGGCAAAGATTATCTGGATTAAATACATTAAACAGTAGTCAGCTTTGTACTTAATGGTCAACCACTAGCCGTGTTCTTCTAAAAGAGAAAAGGTTATCAATACTAAAGCTACTATTTAATATTGTTTATATACTAGTGGTATTAATATATTTGCTACGTTTGGACATCCCAACTCAAAGATTGATAATATATCTACATAAAAAACTAAATGATTGTATAACTTAAAAGAATCACAAAGTTTTGTTGTTGTTGTTGTTGTTGTTTACTTGTTTGTTTGCTTGCTTGTTTGTTTTTTGAGATGGAGTCTTGCTCTCTAGACCAGGCTGGAAAGTGCAGTGGAACAATCTCGGCTCACTGCAACCTCTGCCTCCTGGTTCAAGCAATTCTCCTGCCTCAGCCTCCCAAGTAGCTGGGACTACAGGCACGTGCCACCACGCCTGGCTAATTTTTGTATTTTTAGTAGAGACAGGCTTTCACTATGTTGGCCAAGCTGGTCTCGAACTCCTGACCTCATGATCTGCCCGCCTCAGCCTCCCAAAGTGTTGGGATTACAGGTGTGAGCCACCGCACCCGGCTACAAAGTTTTTAATATATAAACCTATTCCTTATATTTGGTTTGTATCCTGAATTCCAACCTGTTACACTGTCTACACAAAAAAAGGTGGGAATAGATTCTCTCTCCCATTCTGCTAGGTTCCTTTTTTCCCGTCCTGTTTTATGATGAAAATTTGCAAACATGTAGAAAAGTTGAGAGAATTTCAGAAGGGACACCCATATGCCCACTAACTAGTCTCTACAATTAATGTTTTGCTATACTTGTTTTTATTACACATCTATCTCTCCTTCCTTTTCTGAAAATGTATTTGAAAATAAGTTGTAGACTTTAGTACATGTTATAAATACTTCAGCATACGTATCATTAGAATTCAATATTTATTTATGGGTTTTCTTCTTTTCAAGTAATATGTACATACAATAAAATACTCAAATCATGCGACCACTTGATTACCTGAGAAAACAACCTGCTATTAATAAACAAAACATGACCGTCACTCCAGAAAGTTCCTTCATGTTCCTTCCCAATAAATCTTTACCCCCATTTCCACAGAAGCATTCATTGTTCTGATTGTTTTACACCATGAATTAGTTTTGCCTAATCTAGAAGTTTATACAGGTAGAATCATAGTGTATGTTAGTGTGTAAGACTTCTTTTGCTCCATATAAGGCTTTGGCAATTCATCCATGTTATTGTATATATCAGTAATTTATTATTTTTATTGCTGTCTAATATCCCACTGTAAAAGCATATTTTATTTATCCAATGTCCTATTGTTGGGTATCTAGGCTGTTTCTTTTTGGGGATTATTACAAATAAGGCTCCAATAAATGATTTTGTACAAGCCTGTTTGTGGAAATACATTTCTTTGGAATCACCAAGTCTTACACTACAGGTTGATCCACTTTTTTTAAGATGCTAAGGGAGCTTTTTCTAAAATTGCAGGATTTTCACTGCCATCAACAATATGTGAAAGTTCTGGTGGCCACAAGTCTTCATCAACCTTTAACATTATTTCTCTTTTGATTTTAGCTACTTCAGTGGATATTTGATATCTCATTGGGGTTTCAATTTGAATTTTCCTAATATCTAATAATATTCAGTGCTTTTTCATGTGCTTATTGGTTGTTTATAAATTAGCCTCTTTTGTGCATATGTTCAAATCTTTTTTCCATTTTTTTCTTTTTATGATTGCCTTATAAACTTTATTATTTTTTGTTTCTGAAAATGTATGCTAGTTACCAGTCCTAAGTCAGGTGTGTAAACTTCAAGTATGTCTCAGTCTACAGCTTGCCTGTTCATTTACTTGATGTCTTTAGATGAACCAAAGTTGTTAATTTTTTAAAAATACAATTTATATGTATTTTTATTTCATTGATATTGTTTTCTATGATTTTTAAAGAAACTTTTCTCTATTTGGAATCCACAAAAATATACTATTTTTAAAAACTTATAGTTTTAGCTATTATGTTGAGATGGATTCGAGAATCCATCTCAAATTAATGTTTGTACATGGTGTGAGATAGGGGTCAAAGTTTACTTTTTAATTTGCATAGCGTATTGTTCCAGGATCATTTGTTTAAAAGCTTTTCCTTTTCTCGTAGGATTGTTGTGTCCCTGTGGTGAATATCAAATGATCATATAATGTGAATATATTTCTGGGCTCTCTATTTTATTTCATTGATGTATTTGTTGATTCTTTGCCAGCGCTACACTGTTTTTATTATGGTGGCCTTATAGTAAGTCTTGAAATAGGGCTGTATAAAAGACTTTTGAGTTAATTGTTAGTTAAAATACATACAGTATATAAAAAACATAATGAAGGGACCATGTTCATTTAATGTATTTCTTACAAATTAAAACTGATAGGGAAATAAAATGAACTAAAGGCATTAACAGATAAATCAGAGAAAAATACATCACACACACCCAAAACACACACACATGACCATCTTACTTTCAATAAAAAATGAGCTACTACTTCACATATTCAAAAATGGCCATGTTTTTAAGTGAGTATATTCAGTCTTGATTAGAATGTATATATAGCTAATTGGAACAATAATTTGGTGTTATTTACCTGGATGCAACATTGCAATGTGTATATGAAGATTGAAAAAATTAGAAAGACTTGTCTTTTGACCCAGCAACTCCATTTTCTGTACTCATTTCCAGTGAGGGAGAGAGAAATTCATATATAAGAATTTTCATTGAATTTTTTATAATTTAGAAAATAAGGAACAATCTAAAGTAGAGGAATGATTTTGTTAGAAATAGTACATCAGGCCGGGCGCGGTGATGCCTGTAATCCCAGCACTTTGGGAGGCCGAGGCAGGTGGATCACAAGGTCAAGAGATCAAGACCATCCTGGCCACACATGGTGAAACCCCATCTCTACTAAAAATACAAAAATTAGCTGGACGTGGTGGTGCGCGCCTGTGGTCCCAGCTACTCGGCAGGCTGAGGCAGGAGAATTGCTTGAACCCAGGAGGCAGAGGTTGCAGTGAGCCGAGATCGCACCACTGCACTCCAGCCTGGTGACAGAGTGAGATTCCGTCTCAAAATGGTACAACAACTAATGTCAAATATCATTCTGCCATTAAAATATCAGGCTTTAGAGAAATATTATAGACCTAAGAAAATGAAATAAGCAGGATTAAAAATGTATGGTTAATATAATCCTAACTTTCTCAAATAAGAAAATTTATACACAGAAAAGAAAAGTTACCATAAAAGAAATTATTTCAGGAATTTAACCATTACTTATTTGATATTGGCTACTTCTGGACAGTAAGATGCAATATGAATTTTATCATCTACTTTATGGTTTTCTGTTTCTCTTGCATTTCATAATGAATATTTATTTTTACGATTAAATATAAACATTCTTTAAAAGCTTAATTGGTGGCCGAGTGCAGTGACTTATGCCTGTAATCTCAGCACTTTGGGAGGCCGAGGTGGGTGGATCACGAGGTCAGGAGATTGAGACCATCCTGGCCAACATGGTGAAATCCCCGTCTCTACTAAATATACAAAAATTAGCTGGGCTTGGTGGCACATACCTGTAATCCCAGCTACTTGGGAGGCTGAGGCAGGAGAATCGCTTGAACCAGGGAGTCGGAGGTTGCAGTGAGCTGAGACGGTGCCAGTGTATTCCAGCCTGGGCAACAGAGTGAGACTCTGTCTCAAAAAAAAAAAAAAAAAAAGTCTAATTGGTTTAAGAAGTAACAAACTACAGTGGGAACACCGTCTTAGTTCAGGTTACTGTAACAAATTATCATAGACCAGATGGGTATAAACGGAAGAAATTTATTTCTCACAGTTTTGCAGTGTGAAAGTCCAAGGTCAGAGTACTGGCATGCTCAGGTTCTGGTGAGGGCTCTTTTTCCAAATTGGAGACTAATGAGTTGTCGTAACCTCACGTGGTGGAAGGAACCAGCTAGCTCTCTGGTCTCTTCCTATAAAGGTACTAATGCGATTCATGAGGGCTCCAGCCTCATGTCCTGGTTATCTTCCAACAGCTCCCAATCCAAATACAGTCATAATGAGATGAGGGGTTCAACACACAAATTTTGGGGGCACACTAACATTCACTATATTGCAAACATATGTCCTCAGAAAATCTCTGAAAACAGAGCAAGTCATAACTTATGGATGAAAGAATAGAGGTGTACCAGAAAGAGAAAGGTCCCGCACTAGAAAGCTAAGCAAGGGAGAGCACAGTTTGACACGTAGGATCTTGCCTCTTTGTCTTGGCTATTTCTGCTGTTCAACACTGCATCTTTGGATAATTTCCAAATAACCAGACCATTCAACTAACCTGGATGATCCTGTAAGACAACAGAGTTAGCAGTTCTTCACACTCCTTGCTATTCCATGCATCTGCACAGAGAAGCAGAAGCCAATAACCTCCTGAACTTATGCATTTGTTTCATCTTAATGTAATAATTTTAGTGCCCTTTGAACCAGTGGCATACAGTCAGAATATGTATGTTTATTTAATGCTGACTGTATATCAGTTACATTGTGAGATCTTTGGGGGTTCACAGATGAAGGTGGCATGAGTAGAATCAGCATCCACTCTAGCTGCTTCCAGCATAACCAGGGTGAGGTGCTCCAGCAGGCCCTGGAGCTGTTTCCAGTGTGCCAGGTCTGCTCTAAGAGAATCAGTCCACTGGCCGAATCTGAAACTTTGGCAGCTTCCTGGTGCCAAGAGTAATGTAGCATTGTGTATGTCACTGGAGAGTGTAAGAAACAATGTTTAATTCAGTTATAAATTATTCTAGCAATAAGCATTCGCTTATAATGACCTGTAACCAAAGCAAACTTTTTTTTCTCAACCTGTTTTTTTGTTGTTGTTGTTGTTTGTTTGTTTTTTCAGCCATTAATATGATACCTTGGTTAGATAATCCAGATTCAGTCAGGTTAGTGACCTGGGCATATAATTGGGAGAACTGAAGATGCATGATTGTGATGGTTGATACTGAGTGTCAACTTGATTGGATTGAAGGATACAAAGTACTGATCCTGGGTGTGTCTGTGAGGGTGTTGCCAAAGGAGATTAACATTTGAGTCAGTGGGCTGGGAAAGGCAGACGCACCCTCAGTCTGAGTGGGCATAATCTAATTGGCTGCCAGTACAGCTAGAATATAAGCAGGCAGAAGAATGTGAAAAGAGAGACTGGCCTAGCCTTCTTTCTCCCATGCTGGATGCTTCCTGCCCTCAAACATCTGACTCCAAGTTCTTCAGTTTTGGAACTTGGACTGGCTCTCCTTGCTCCTCAGCCTGCGGATGGCCTATTGTGGGACCCTGTGATTATGTGAGTTAATAGTAAATAAACTCATATATATATATATATATATATGTGTGTGTGTGTGTGTGTATATATATGTGTATATATGTGTGTATATATATGTATATATATGTGTATATATATGTATATATATATGTGTGTGTGTATATATATATATATATATATATGTATGTATTCCATTAATTCTGTCCCTCTAGAGAACTCTGACTAATACAATGATTAAATATATAATTGACTTCTTTAGAACTGGGCTAATTTTGATCAGGTGTTTTCTGTGTTTTAAAAATCCAGTTAACACACACTAACAGCTACTTGGGAGGCTGAAGCAGGAGGACTGTTTGAGCCAGGAGTTCAAGGCTTCAGTGAGCTATAATTGCTCCACTGTACTCTGGCTTTGGTGACAGAGCAAGACCCTTTCTCTAAATAAATAAAATAAAATAAATAAAAATGTATGTGATTATTATGCATTGCATTCCTATATCAAAACATCTCAATAAATATGTACACCTACTATGTCCCCACAACAATAAAAAAATTAAAAATTTAAAAAATTCAATTAACACATCTGTTTTATAAACATAAGCATGGACAAAATCTATAAAAATAAGTAAATATTCTGGAGAGTCATGCACAGATGTAGCAGTTCACATGGGAACAGGAAACAAATTCCAATTTATCTAACTTCCTCTCACCCCGTGGAAGGTGCTAAACCATAGTCAGAGCTCTGGGCTGTGAAGAGAAAATTGATTTCAGTTTTCGAATTCAAAAGAAGAAAAATAATTTGATCTTAATTTTAGTGACTGGATGAAAATAAGGCAATACAAAGTATAAAATACTAGTGAGGCCTCATTTATAATTTGACAGACAACCTGTAGGGAAACACATTGCTCCTTTTGATTCTCAAATGCAAAAAAGGATACACTGGGTGCCTTGAGTTGGTCAAATTATCTCATGCAAAGTGTCATGTATTAAGCCACAGTGGTTTAAACACTAAGGCTCCACTCACCATCTGAAGAACCTGGAGGTATCTTCTTCTTTGGAATGTTCATGTGCTCACATGGTTCCGGGATATTGGCAAAATCAAAAGGAGTAACCTTCAACACTGACATTCTTTTATATTTTCATCTTATTTTTACGCTGGGGTGGACTTGTTCATTCCTCTTCCACCCCCAGTCAGAGTGAAGCTCTCCCAGTTTTGCAGACAGAGTCTCTCTCCCACTTGGTCATACCATCTGTTTCCACATTGCAGTTTACTCTACATGAATACCAGGTAGCAGACAGGATTTTGCCCAATAGCAAGTACAGCAAAAAGTCTTTCACAGGCTCCTCACAATCTGTGAACATATGATCAGTCTAGGATAACACATTGTACTAAAAATATACCAGAGAAATGTTCATGTGGTAATAAACAAGGAACCTGAATCAAGGAGGAAACATGCCATGAGCTTCTGAAGTGTATATTTCTCTGTGTACCAGAATGATGATGGTCTGTCAATGGGAGATGACTGGATCAACTAATGTTTGTTTCTTTATTGCAAGTGTTAATGTACATTTAACAGTGTGGACATAGTGTGTTTGGTCTAAAACCCAAACTGTGAGTTAAATGAGAGACAGTCTACAAGTATTTATCATGAGGTGGTTGGTTTGATAAACAGAAATATATGTAATTTCCATGATAATTTCTGAAACTGCACAGTGACATGATAAGGAATATCTCAGCAAGTCTGAGAGCACAAATTTAAAAGAAAAAAGATGGTGTCCTATATTTTATGCTGCATCATTCTTTCCTTATTAGCTATATCATCATTTTAATAGAACTTGACAATACTCCCCAAATGTTAGATATCTATATTATAGAGACCTTATGAAGACTGATTGTCAGCTCATGCAGAAAAGACTTGTGCGGACTTTTAGTATCTCATTTTATTACTGGATTCTGGAAACTGATTTTCTGTGCTTCGAATTTGTAACTTGCTTTAATTTATCTGATAGTCATAATACATTTTTATTATTTAGCTAAGTTGAACTTTATCTCATATTGTACCTGTTCCTCACCTCTCTTATTTTCATTTCTATTTGCTAGGGGAGGATGGGAATGGGAAGTCAGATGTCTTCTTAGATTGGGCAAATGATTATGTCTGGGATTGAATTGCACAATATAGATGTGGATCTAAATTCTGCATCTGCATTTGGTACAACCATTTTGGTTCTCATACTAATCATAAATGTTTAGAACTCCAGGTGGTATCTGCTCCCCTTGGTGCTTGAAAGCAATGGGAGGTAGTAGCGATAACAACACGCTAAACATCAGAAGGCTGGTGTTCACACTTGGGCCTTCCCTTCTGTGACTATATGGCTTTGAACCACTGATTTAAAGTCTATATGCCTCATCTATAAAATTTGGAAAACAATACACATGCCACTGTGCTGTGCTCCAATAAAACGCCTGGTCCATAACATCCCTTTTTTGTATCTGTATAATCAGTTGACACAAATAACATATTCCTCACTGTCTTCCAGTTCACTGTTTTACGTATGGATCTAACACAGTGTGATGGGTTCATGGTTCCAGAGGCCTGATTAAATTTGGCCTCATTTACTAGCTGGGTGATGAGAACCTGTCAGTTGAATTGTTGTGAGGATTAAACATATATTAAAATAGTATCTAACATATAATAAGTGGCTTATTAAGATTGTTGTTTTTACCATGTATAAATGAAGATTTGGAAGTATTGCTTCCACAGGACTGGTCACTTTGTTTCTTCAGATCATCCTCAAGCATTGATTGTGCAAAAAGAAATCTTTCTCTAGCTCCCATGGGTAAAGATTTCAACCAGTCCTCTGTTGTCTCTGCATGCTGCTCACGTATTCATTCCATCACATTTCATTGTGAATATCAATTGTCAGGTCTGTTTTCTCCACTGGACTTTCAGCTACTCAAAGACAAGGGCATACATATTCTTTTATTTCTCTCAGTGTCATTGGATCCAGGTTTTGCTGGCAAACAAATACCTGATAAATGCTAGTTTGATATAATCGTGATTGAATGGAAGAAACTGATTTATTCTTTTATGTTTCCCCTATAAAAGTATGTTCTTAATCTGTGATCCATGGATGTGCCTGGGCTGGTGGGTGTTTGTGAGCCATCTCACGTTGTTTGCAAAATTTGTTACCTTATACATTTGTCTAGGAAAAGGGTCCAAAGTTTCATCAGCTTCCTGGGGCAGCCTGTGGCCTTGAATAGAT
The DNA here is from genome assembly GCF_000001405.40 of Homo sapiens. Lineage (NCBI taxonomy): Eukaryota > Metazoa > Chordata > Mammalia > Primates > Hominidae > Homo > Homo sapiens. The sequence continues at coordinate 226,140,727 of NC_000002.12, read as the reverse complement.
TAGGAACCATTCATAGAGAAGTTCCTTATATTCTTTCTAAGAACATCATTGTCTAAAAATCATGAAGCTTTTAAAATAATAATTGACTCAGTTCACTTTGCCATTTGCCTTAGACATTTGCCACTCTCTGTACTTGCTTCTTCAGTTTAATTCAATGTCTGCTGCCTAAAAAAATGCAAGCAGCTGCTGTGAAAATTATATATGCAATATCTGTCCATGAGAATGTAATATGGTCAATCAGATTCCTTTAACAAGTGATTTGGTTCTCATGTCAGCATATTGCCATATCTTGAAAATTGAGTGATAATCAATCATTATTATATCTGGAAGATAAAATTGACTTCAGCCCGTGAAGCCCAAGTGTCACCTAATGTTTCTCCTGTCCCCCATCCTGCCTACTGAGAAAGAAGTAGCAGAGAGGCAAATAACAAAGCAGAAGTTTGACTGATTTCTAGCATATGCAATATTTTAATTATTTCTTATTTAAATACAATTAGCCTTCAAAAAGCTACCCAAACCTGTGGAGAAAATGAGAAATATTTGGATCTGTTAACCAATGAGCAATTATAAGATTTCTATCAATTATGTTGTAGCCACTAGAATGAAATCTGAGTTGATGTAACAAGGAGACCCAAAGATCATGGTTCAGCAAAACAGAAGTTTATTTTGTGTCTCTTCATGGCACAGAGCAGGAAGGTGGCTTCTATTTCAGGAAGCCATGCTTTGGACAGAAAGGCAGTTCTGTCATCTCCAATGTAGCTTCCAAGGGAACTCTCTTGTTCTCATTTTCAGCTAGCAGAAAGACAAGTGAAGAGTGGTTTCAGAGCAAGTGTTTTCTAAGGAAGTAAGGCAGAAGCTACACATTTGACTTCTGCTCATATCCCATTGATGAGAATTTAGTTGCATGGCCACACCTCACTACCAAGAGGCAGGAAGATGTGGTGTGCCTAAGCAACTCAGCACCCAGATATACACTAGTACTCTGGAAAAAGCAGAACAGATTTTAGTTGGACAAATAACAGTCTATGTTGGACATACAGAATTAGAATTTAGACACATGCATCAAAAACGAGTTCTTCTTACCTCTTCCTTCTGGAAGGAACAGTATTCATTCCATTTTGAATGCTATGACCAAAAGTATTCATCTTTTGGTCCAAACTCAAAATGGTTTTACTGTCCCAGAAGAATGTGAAAGACAGAAAGTAACAGAGCATAGGTTTGGGCTTCAGCAGGATAGACAAAAAAGAATGGTCAGGACCCAGAGATAAGAAAGCTCCATTTGACAAGATAGAGGATCCAGAAAGATCCAGGTGTGAGATAGTAGAGAGGATAAGAAAGGGCTCTGATGACAAGAAGTAGAGACAAAGCAATGGAGTTTCATGTACATGTCTGTACCTCCCTCAAACTCTGGGAAGAGCACGCTTGGAGCTGGTCATGGGAACCAGAGCAACAGGTAGAAAGTTCTGGAAGAAAATGCCTGGCTCCTAGAACCCTGATACGTGGTCACGAAGAATAAAGCAAAGGTCTATTCACTAGAATCAGGATGAAAAGAGCGACTTAGCTACAAAAGAGATGAATAAAGAGTGGCTCAGCTAAACATGTAGATTGTTGTTATTTATTATTCTTAGGAGTTTAATAAGGTCTCATGGACTAGAGCAAGTTAAACCTGCAGGTGTCATTGAAATACACCCAGCTATGGTTTTGAGGTGCTAGGAGCAGCCAAGGAGTTAAACCATCTTAGCTTCTTGAATATAATGGAACGAAACTCCTAGTCATATTATCTCCTTAAATAAAACTGAATAAAACTCTAATCTCTTGATTATTTTTAAGAATGAACAGCTGCTTTTTAGATAGGAAGCCAAAGACTATATAAATTAGAAAAAGAATCAAAGTCAAAAAGATTTTTAAGGAGAGAGAAGAAAATGACAGTTAAGTGATTAGAACCCTGTTATAAAAATCAGTAAGGGGTACAGAGTGTCACTCAGGGAAGATGAAAAAGTTCTGGCAATGGTTTGTAGTAGTGGTTGCACAAAATATATACATATTTAATGCCACTGAATTGTATGCCTAAAAATGGTGAAAATACCCGGGTGCGGTGGCTCACGTCTGTAATCCCAGCACTTTGGGAGGCCAACGCGGGTGGATCACCTGAGGTCAGGAGTTCGAGACCAGCCTGGCCAACATGATGAAACCCTGTCTCTACTAAAAAAGTACAAAATTAGCCAGGCATGGTGGCACATGCCTGTAATCCCATCTATACGGGAGGCTAAGGCAGGAGAATCATTTGAACCCGGGAGGCAGAGGTTGCAGTGAGCCAAGATTGCGCCATTGCACTCCAGCATGGGCAACAAGAGCAAAACTCCATCTCAAGAAAAAAGGAAAAAAAAAAGTTAAAATGATAAATTCTAATTCTCTTTTACTAGAATAAAAACAATGTTTTAAAATTAAGAATTGAAAAAAATTAAAATAATGAATAGAGTGTAAAGCAATTATGGTATTTAAAAATTTGCATATGTCAATTATTAAGTGAAAAGAACACAGCTTTCAATGGGCCTATATGTTGAATATAAATATTTTACCATTTTCTCCTGTCTTAGACCATTTACTGGATCTTGAAATTTTCATTGTTAAAGTTAAGGTAAAAAAAAAAAAAGTAATATGAAGCAAAAATACATAAATTTAATTAAAGAAAATAAATATGTGAGACTGTGACATACAGGAGAGCAACAAGAAAACCCAGCCTCAGCCACATGTTCCAGAAGAGCCTCCAATCTGTGCAGGCTCCTGAACTGGCCACCCTGATCACCCACTACTTTCTACCAGGCGGGCTCTTTTCCCAGTTCTATTTTAGAAAAGAATTAGATGTCTAGACACCTTCTTACATTCCTGTTACCAAAACAAGTTGAGAGATGTTTACATATTTTTAAATGCTAGAGACTACAGATAGAGAGCCTTCTCTGCCCACACCTGTGGTCAGTGGGCAACCTGGAACATGATCCCTCATCACTGCTCCCTGCTACTCATAACCTTGTGTACTGATCTTTGTTTGAGCATGAATTGGACCTGTGACTCGCTCCAAATTAAAACAATGCAGCAATATTGATGACATCATCAACCTTAAAAGATGAGATTTGGGAAATATGACTAAGTATAAAGTTTATTTGAGTGCAGAGCTTAAGAGTAGCCACCTGGGAAACACAGACTCCAAAAGAATGGGTCAGCATTCCAAGGTGGGGAAAGTAAGGTTTCATTTATATAGGCGAAGACAGAGAAGCTTAACAAGGTTGCAGCATTTTTCAAAACAGGTTAGTACATGTGTTATAGTGATTTGATTGGTTACATTCGGAGGAAAACTGCCTTAACTTTCTGTAGGGAGGGGTAATGGTTTTGATGGGTCTTATCTCTGGTGCCGTTCAGCCTTTCCTAATCATTTACAGGGCAAGAATGAGGAAGAGATATGATCTATAATCAGAAAAGCAGAACTTGCAGCTTCATGCTTTGTGACTCAGGCCACATAGCCACATTCCTCTTAAGGTTTAAAATAATTTAAAGTTCCAACAGCTTTAAGTTTGAATTATTTAATTTCACAGGATGAAACTAACAAGAATAGGCTACAAAATATGGTGAATTCTACCTTGAGTTTCCTTTCTCACTCTCTTGATGGCTCATTACAGTGGAAGCCAGCTGCCAAGTTGTGAGTTTCCCAGTGGAAAGACCTTAGTGGCCAGGCACCTGTATCTACCACCAACCGCCAGTGAGGAAGTGAGGCCTGCAAGTGGCCAGGAAAGTGAGCTTGTAAGTGGATCCTCCCTGCAGTGTCTGTTGATGTCTATGAAAGACCGTGAGCCACGGGCATCCGGTTGAGCCACATCAACACTCTTGACTCATAGAAAACATGAGATACAAAGTATTTGTTGTTTTAAGTCATGAAATTTTGGGAAATTATTTTTCACAGCAACAAACAACAAATATACACCTGGGTAGTGCATAACGGTGATTCCTAAGCAAAGCAGGATGAGAAACACCTTGCTTATCAAAAAGGTGCTAAGCAAAGATGGCTGGCAGTTCACCAAAAATCCATGGTGACCTTCCACAGTGTAGAATTGTTGCTGGAAGCAGCTGCCAGGACAAAGACTAGGATTTCCAGCTCCATCTTCACCTCTTCATTATTATTATTTTTTAAGATGGGATCTCACTCTGTTGCTCAGGCTGGAGTGCAGTGGCATGGTCATAGCTCACTGCAGCATCAAACTCCTAAGCTCAAGTGATCCTTTAGCCTAGCCTGAAGAGCTGGGACTCCAGGCATGTGCCACCATGCCCAGGTAATTTTCAAAAACGGTTTTGTAGAGATAGGGTCTTGCTATATTGCCCAGGCTGGTCTCAAATTCCCGGCCTCAAGCCATCCTCCTGCCTCAGCCTCCCAAAGTGCTGGGATTACAGGAGTGAACCACTATGTCCGGCCCATCTATTCACTTCTAGGTGCCATGTGACTGGTTTTCACTTACAATAACATGTGTGGGAATGATTGTGGCACTTCCAGGCCTAGGGGTTAAGCCACAGATGGGCCAGTCCTGCCCTCTTTTTTTTTTTTCCATGCCATGCTGGGTCCTGAATGACCAGAAAGAACAGTCCTGACTCACTCATAGAGGACAGGAGCATTTGCTCTGAACTATTGTGAACAGAACATCTATTCTGGGCAAGAAATTAACTTTTCATGGGTTAAGCCAGTGAAATATTGGGGGTTGGGTGTTTAGTTACAGCAGCTAGTGTCACTCTAAATAATACAGAAATTCAGGAGCATAGCTTGAAACACTGAGATGAGACACTCCTCATGGAGAGTGAGTGCACACATACTTAGCAATGTCTAGATGCCAAAGTCAGAAGTTTTTATATTTCAGAGCAAAGTCTTCCAGGTAGCTGTGGTCTCTAGGGCAAGGCACAGGGAGAAGATAATATGATATGGATTAGGGTTGGTCATATCCAGTATCATCACGTGCAGGAGGGAGAGGAGAAATGAAAAGCCTTGTGTGTGTGTTTTTTTTTCATCTCTGTTTCCTTACTACAAAACTCTTGTTAAGTATAGTAAATTGTAGGTGGTTTAGTATTTGAAACTAACTCACAGAAGACCAAAAGGAGAGAGAGGAGAGAGAGAGGTGGCAGGAAGAGAGAGAGAGAGAGAGAGAGACAGAGAGAGAGAAATTTTTTAGGGAGAAAGAAAAGTGAAGAAATGGAAAAGGAAAAGGGAGAAAAGGTCATACAGTTTTAGTAAATATTATTCTATTTTAGCAAGATTGAGCATTTTGTAAACTGTTTCTGGAAAACTGTAATTGGAGTTCTTAAATTGGGGTTCAAAAAAGGAGATCTGAAAATCTCAATATTTTCTACCAAATGTCGATATTTATACACACAGATTTTTTTTTCTGGAATTGATGATCCCCCTCCCCCAAGTTTAAGAACCATTTCTCTAAAGTGACTTTGGCCATATTATTTAGGGCATTTTGATTTAATCTTATTCTTGCCAACTTTTTGCCTCCTTAAAAGTTATTACCAAAGGAAAATTTTATAAAAGCCATATGAAGAATGTGTATTTAAAAGCAGGTTGTATGTGTTTGAACAATGCTTGTTCTGTCTGCCTCTACATTGCTTTCTTAGATTATAAACAGAAACCATGCCTTTTCCCCAGAAAAATTACTTTATCAGAATACCTAAAACCAGGTTCCTTGCAGGATAGAGCATAATAAATGCTATTGTTTCCTGCTGATGAAGTGTCTAACCCAGTTCACACACAAGTCAATGAAAATACTGAAAATAAAACTTATATTTTCTATTCCACTGCCTAGTTAATAAACGTTGACATGCATAATTATTTTAGATGTAGGAAGACAAAACAATAAATAAGAGGAAAATACTGATAAGATGTTGTTGATTTAAATAAAGGAGCTGATCTCATGTGAAGGATGTATTGCACATAAAAGCAAGAGGCAAATGTGATGGCCCTTTTATTCCTGCATACTGTGGCTTATTTAAAAGGAAGTTAATGGTAGAGTATTAAGTCTTGTTTCCTGTGCATGTCATGTTTTAATGGTGTTTATTTCTTTTTTGTTTGTTTGTTTTTCTTTTCTTTTTTCTTTTTTTTTTTTTTTTTTGTGGCAGACAGGGTCTTACTCTGTCACCCAGGCTGGAGTGCGGTGGTGCAATCTTGGCTCACTGCAACCTCTGCCTTTCAGGTTCAAGCCATCCTCCCACCTCAGCTTCCACACTCAGCTAATTTTTGTATTTTTTTGATAGAGAAAGGTTTTTACCATGTTGATCCAGGCTGGTCTCAAACCCCTGACCTCAGGTGATCAGTCCTCCTCGGCCTCCCAAAGTGCTGAGGTTACACGTGTGAGCCACTGCACCCTGCCTAATGGTGCTATTTCTAATCTAGGTTTTGTACCACTAACCTGGATGTCTTCTACCTTGCCCAAGTTTGTCTGAGGAGCCCCAGAACAAATAGGACTATTGGTATTATTTCAGTACTAGATAAATTAAAATGTCCTCCTGGAGATGCTCAATGAACATTTGTTTGTCATTATCGAGTAACAAATATAAAATTAATGAATATTATTACTTCATGGATTCTTGAAGAATGTAACAAAAAAGGAAATGTACATCCGGATGAGGATTTAAGGTAAAATCTATGAAAATAAATTAGTTACTCATCACTTTATATTAGCAGATTAAAAAAAATGTAGCTGTCCTATAAATGAAGTGGTTTTTCCACTCACCTGTTTTGGGTGGACCATTTTTATGAAGTTGATTGTCTTGGTGATAAGACAGCATTAGAGAGAGACCATGAAGTGCTAGATTTTGAGTTCTGATCTATCTACATCTAGAAGATGATTTCAAATGTTAGCAACAAGAAATTAGATTGAACGTGATGCCAGTAGCTCTTCAGGAATCTACCTGCAAAACGTAGCATGTAGAGGACAGAGATGGGAAGATGGAGAAACGAGGATGATGTTTCTTTTTTCCTGCCTCCTCTCAGTGACTAGGCTTGACCACTAATAGGAGCACACTAAAGAGAGAGATCTGAATTACACAGGAAGCTTTATGAAATGCAGAGAACCAGCAGCTCAGCTCTGAGTGTAGATAGCAAAACAGAACACAACTGGAGAAAAACACATCCCATTTCTGACAAGAGCTCCCCATGATTCAAGTGGTACAAAGAGGGCTGGAGAGGAGGCAGTGCCCCTTGATATCTGGCATATTTGCCGTCTGGGGATGCCCTGGAAGGCCACATCCTTGGTAGAGTAGCAGTGTGCCCAGTGAGGTCACCTCCAGCCATGACCCCACAAGGCACAGCCCTCAAGTGGCTTGCAGACAGAAAACATCCAGGAGAATGCCAGCTGAGAAGAGAAAGGGGGATTTTTCCAAAGCATCCATGAAACATCCCAGAGAATAGGAAAAACAGGGCGAAAAGGATCTCAGGTGAGGTTCTGTGAGGGTCTTCAGGATGAGGATGAGGACCCTCACAGAAGGCTCCTGACACCACAGAGTTTGTGCTTTTTTGCAACAAGGGAGTTGGGCTCTGAAACTGCCTCACTAATTTAAGTCAGCCATTGTCTCAAGGCCTCCGGGCATTTGGTGAGCAGGCAAAAGAGCTCAGCTAGCCCAAGGATATAGTACTCTGAAGAAAACTGCAGGTGTTACACCTTAGAAACAAAGCTCTCAGAAGTTGGGGGTGGACACACAGAAACAGTAAAAGAAACTTCAGAGGATCAAGATAGAACCCAACCAACACTTGCTATGCCACCTTAGCCAGAAATAGCTGGGGCTAACTTTGCAGAAAATAGCATGGGTGCTGAGGGCCCGCAGTTCAGCAAATGGAGGCTAATAAGTTTACGTAACTGCAATGTCAGCATATACATGACCTCATTTATATTTGCAGGATGGTGAAGCCTTGGTGGGTTACATATGAATAAAAAAATTCAGAATTGGAAGGGATCTTGTAGATCATCTAGTGAGAACTCTTTCTTCCCATTCTGTAGCAAAGATACTGAAGTACCAAGAAAGATAAGTGATTTGCCAAAGAGAAGATAGCTAATGTGAAAGTGAATGCAAATGGAATCACTTGTGTTAAAAACAGACAAATAGGGCCAAGGAAGGCCATGAAAAAGGTTTCTCATGCGTGAATGCCTGATAACAAGGCTACCACAAAAGACTCTGCAAACACCACAACCTTGCACAAAGGCCATTGCAACCTTACAAACACACAAACAAAAAAAACAAAACTCACCAGGTCATTTGCCCAACAATTGCCTGTCCAACATCAAACTGACATCATACTTGTTGCTGATCCTTATAGCCAAGGATAATTTTCTCAAAAGAGCTACGTAACTTTTTTTTTAAGAAAAAACTTTGTCTTCCTTTACCTCCTTGAATACACATACAGTTTACTATGGAATGGGTATTTTCATTGCAATAACCATTACTGAATAAATATCATTCTGTTTTAGAGAGTCTCTCTCTGTCTGTTATTTAGGTTAACACTAACTAGTGGCAAAGCCAGGATTAAAATTCAAGTTTTCTGATCTCAAATTATGTTTTCTCTAATTATCCAAGACACATCATAATACAGAAAAATTTTGTAATTTGAGGATTTGCAATGCCTACCCTGAAAACATGTCAAGTATGTTGTGCTCCTTTCCGTGTCTTATGACAGAGTGTTGGCACTGTGATTTTATTACATTTACATTTAATCTACTCTTGTTCATATTATTACATTACTTTATGTTATCCTGAACACAAACTATTTTAATATCCATCTGTATTTACTAGTGACTTTCCAGGTAACATAATAGGAAAATGCAAAGCTCAAATTGCTGGTGTTGCTGAATGGGGGTGATAAAGAATACCACGTTTCCTTGTCTTCGCAGGGCTAGATTTACTGGAATCAATCTATTTCCTTTTTGAGAAATTGGGCAGCTGATCTCTGACTCCCTGGCCCATTGTTTTCTTGGGCTCTGATAGAGATTATTGCATAGTTTATTAAGCTTACTTCCCCCAAAAGCTGAATGTGATGTAATAGTGCCATCTGTCACCTTTTGTAGAAGGCAGAGAGGAAAAGCAATGCCTTAGGAAGCCTGAGGTTGATTATAACAGGTCCTGAAATACAGCTGTGGCTTCAGGTATTAAGGCCAATGGGCTGCTCTGTGCGGTGCAAAACGATGACAGAGCCTGGAGTGTTCTGGGCCATGGCCAGGGAGGAAAGGCCAGCAGAATAGCAAAAATAAACCTGCTGAGTGACCCTGAAATACCTGGTGCAGAGCCACATTCCTCTCAAGGTGAGCCTGGCTTTTCCTTGCCCTGGTTATCACATGGCCAGGGAGGGTGCTCTCTGTGGTGTCAAGACTATTCTTAGGCCTGATTCAAAGGGAACATATGAGGTCACAGAAAGTAGGTTTGGATACAGGACCAAATCTGCCATTGAATTCCAAATCTGTCACAGATTCTAAGATGTTATCATTTAACTATGCCATGCCTCAGCTTACCCATTTGATAGTGTAGAGTACAAGAATACGATGAAAATATGTGCCAGAACATTACACACAAACACATCTCTCTATATAGACTTCATACATATATAGCTTGCTTAAGACTGGGATCAATGAGGATATCAGAAATTTAGAAAACCTAGTCTCCTTGGGATAGCACTAATACTTCAATTTTTTTCTCCATAGATTATTTTGTCTTTCTTTTATTTCTTCCTTCCCTGGCCATGCTCTATTTTGGTGTGTGCTGAGTGCTGCATTCATTTTCTTATTTTATTTATCAAAATGTTTTCAGTAAATACATGTAGGATTTCTGTATTAAAGTATTACAAAATAAATTCCATCTCTTATAATCATCTTGAATCAACAAAAGGTTAGATTCTTGGCATATTTTATTATGACAAGTAATTCTATAATACAGTTTACATTTCATGGAAATAATTAAAATTAAATAAAATATTGGGGATGGAAGTGATTATGTTTGGTTATATAAATAATCCAGTTTTGTAGCACTCTTTGATTCTGTCTTATAACAGAGAAATGACACAACATTGTAACTGAATCAAAATGTCTATTGTACATATTGAAATAATGGGATTTTTTTAAATAAAAAAGATATAGCTAGAAGGAAATGGAGATAGATACATATTTAAGAAGTAAAACTGAAGAGAAGATTGAGAAAGTGGCTAGAAGGATGCAATTTGTTAGCTCACAGGACTAGCCAAGAAGACTTGAGTTTGTCTGTTTCAGAGACATAGGGGAGGAGACCATTCTCTGTAGTATTTTGGTGAGAATACCTTGGACAGCGAACATCAATGTAGCGCAACTCATTATCAGCAAGAGAGCCAACTGGAGGGTTTTCAGAGGCCTCCTGGGGATGTCAGCATGGTTTATGACAAGTTTCAAAGAAACTGAGAGGGTCCCACTTACTTGGTATTTTTTGTGGGCCCAACACTTAAGCTCTAATTTCTGCCATTTTAAGTAACATTTTCTAAACAAATAAACAACAAAAAATAAACAGTCCTTATATACTTTTCCTTTTGATTTGGCTCTAGAAATTTATTTGATTCCTAACCTATTGTCTTTGATAGTTTTACATATTGAGAATCTTTGTTACAATTAATATTAGATATATCATGTGATATAACAATGTAATGTGAAAATTAAAATTAAAAATATAAATAAAAATTACTAAGTAAAAACTGAGCAGATGCTATTTGCCTCCACCAAAGGCCACTTTCGTTTTTTCCCTAATTTTAATTTAGTTTGCACATCTACTCTTACTTCAACTGATTCACAGCCTAGCATTTGAAGTAGATTGTTATTGGTCTAGGACAACATTATTCCAACTATGAATCACAATAATTAGTAAATCCTAAAATCAAATCAGTGGGTCATATTATTGTGCCTCAAATTACATAGAATAGGAAATATCAGGTTACATACAGATTAGAGACAGGCTAAGAAAAATCTCATAAAAACTTAAAAAATTATGTATACATATGTACTTGGTGTCAATGTAAAAACAATTCTATCGTGGGTCACAATCAAAGAGTTTGGAAATCTTTGGTGTGAATCAGTCATCATGGCCTTGTTTCCCTTGTGATTGGATTATTTGTAGATGTGCAACAAAATTGCAAACACTGAGCTTTGATGAGAAGTTTGCTGAGTGTCATCCAGAAAAGTTTATTTATGGATTGTAGGAATCACTGAGTAAGTGATAGTCCCATTTCTTCCTCCGTATGTTTTCAAAAATGGATATAATAACCCAGAACTGCCGCAGAATCTTGCAAACACAAGATGAGCTGACCTATGGAAGGGTCAACTTCCTGATATGAGAAAACTGAGAGACAGAATGAATCTGGATTCTTAATGATATCATTGAGAAGCCAAGTGCACTCTGGTGCATCCTTACCTCTGAACTTCTTGTTGTAAGATAATACATGTTTGGGACTATGTAAGCCACTTGGCTTTGGGTTTCAGTTTTCTGCAGCTTAAAGCATCCTAAGTGATGTAACTACTATCTTATGTGTTGGTGCAGACTTGAAGACTAGGGCTAGCTTATTTAATAAATTATATATTAAGTGATTATTAAGTGTGGGGGTTTAAGTGCTAAGCATATAGCTGTGAAGAAAATAAATAATGCCTCTGCTCTCAACAGTTTAGATTCTAGTGATGTAGACAAGTAATAGATAGTAAACAAATAAATGCAGTTAGATTATAATTAATCCTCTGAAGGAAATAAATAGAATGACATGATAGAGTGATTTATTTGGTTAACAGGTGCTTCTTCAAACAGGATGATTACTAGTGACCTCTCTGAGGAGGAAGAGGCATTGGAGCTGAGACTTAAAAGAGAAGTTAGTCAAGGAAAGAACCATTGAGAAGTTCATCCCAGAAAGACGGACAACAAAAGTTATAGACTGTCTTGCAAGTGTAGTATAGTCACACGCTCTTTATATTTTTAAATGTTCAATTCTGGGAAGTTTGCAACCATGGTAAATGTTTTCCATTGATTTATTGGTATGAACTATAATATCGCCTGGAATGTGCACTCTAGATGCTAGAACTTAATGGATTTTCTCTCAGTAGACTGATTATCCCATACTTTATTGGATGATCCCTTAGTAGAAAGGGGTCCTGTTTTCCTGGCAGTCAGCTCAGCACCTGGACATTGGAAGCACTCACTGTGGGTTAAATAAATGGATGAGTGAATGAAAACTTGCAGGGATTTTATGCATTTGATAATGGCTAAAGGTAACGGAAAACTCAGTGTCCCTGAGAAGGTTATTCAGGTATGAGAAGGTTTACTCATACCCAAAGGTACGCTTATGCTATTTACCTCTTATGATTCTTCTCTGAAGTGCATTACTGCATAGAAAAATAGTTTGGTAAAACCCATATCAAATGTTCAAATACTAATGAGAGTTATCATTGGATTAGCAGATGTCTCCGACTATTTATAGGAATTTAATATTATCTTATTTTCTGATTTTATAAAATTACAATGCATCATTATGAAAAGGTAAAGACTATTAATTCTGTATTAGCACAGGATCTTGTGTACGGAGTAACTTGCTAATCCCTGGTAACTATTTTTGGAAAAGCTTCTGATTCTCGCTTCTCCTGTTCTATGTCTGAATATCTTTCCACTGTTTACTTAATGTCCAGCTCTGAGATGACAATGACCAAGTTTACTGTGGTCTTATATTGGCTTGTATCCCTCACTAAATTATCATCTACCTTTCAATACAAGATGTAGGTCTTATTGTATTGTTACCCCAGTGTATAACATAGGGTCAAGATTTGCTGAGGTTTCAATAAATCAAAATGAAAAAGGGTGACAATCAAATTTGCTCTAGAATCAAATTGTTTTATTTTTACACTATTGACCAAACCTCTCTATATGCTCTGTTCTTTCTCACCTCCAATACACCATTCATCACTCCTTAGCAAGATTGTATAATGTAATAGGGTTTTAGAGCTGCCAGTTGGAATTTTAGCTGTGACATTTGTTAACCATGTGATATTTAGCAATTTCCTTAACTTCTTTGAGTCATAAGATAATTTGAAGAGGTCATTTAAAAACCTAGGGTGGGAGATGGAAGAGAATTAAAAAAACTAACGTTGGGTACTAGGCTTAGTACCTGGGTGACAAAATCATCTGCACAACAAACTCCTGTGACATGAGTTTACCTGTATAGCAAAGCTGCACATGTACCCTGAGCCTAAATAAAGTTTTTATAGAAACCCCAAAACCATCCAGGCGCGGTGGCTCATGCCTATAGTCCCAGAACTTTGGGAGGCCAAGGCAGGCGGATCACCTGAGGTCAGGAGTTTGAGACCAGCCTGGCCAACATGGTCTCTACTAAAAATATAAAAATTAGCCAGGCGTGGTGGTGGGAGCCTATAATCCCAGCTACTTGGGAGGCTGAGGCAGGAGAATCACTTGAACCTGGGAGGCAGAGGTTGCAGTGAGTGGAGACCTCGCTATTGCACTCCAACCTGGGTGACAAGAGCAAAATTCCATCTCAAGAGAAAAAATAATAATAATACTTACCAAAGTGAAAGACAAAATTGGCTACGTCATCAGATTATTGCATTTCTTACTTTAAACACTTCATAATTCTCATGTATATCTATGTTTTCCTATTCTTCATTTTCTAAGTCAAAACTCATGATAAGCTTCCAAAGTCTTCTATGCTGTTTTAATCCCACCCAAATGAAAATATTCTATATTGGAAGCTCTGCCCTAGTTCAGTTCTGCCTGAGACCAAATGGTGAATCTACCTAATTTTAGGATGTAATTAGTAGGTCTGCCTTGACAATTGACCAAAGTTATGTTCTCTAATCTGACCTTCATCGGTAATAAAAATGGGGTTTTGATATCTTTTTTTTAAACTCTTCAGATGTGAGGAGAGTAAAAGTGTTAATAAGTATTAAATACTTTTTGAAGACTGTAATAATAACAGACATTTATTGAGTGCTTACTGTTTACCCAGAGTGGCGATACATGTTTTAGATACATCATATACCCAGAGATAATAATTATTTGGAATTCTGTTAAAAAAGAAACAGAGGTTGGGTGTGGTGGCTCACACCTGTAATCCCAGCACTTTGGAAGGCTGAGGTGGGAGGATTGCTTGAGTCTTGGAGTCAAGACCAGCCTGAGTAACATAACAAAAGCCCTGTCTCTGTAAGAAATAAAAAAATTAGCCAGGTGTGGTTGTGCACACTTGTGGTCCCAGCTACTCGGGAGGCTGAGGTAGGAGGATTGCTTGAGCCTGAGAGTTCAATGCTGCAGTGAGCTGTGATCACACCACTGTACATTCATCCTGGGTGACAGAGCAAGATCCTGTCATAAAATAAAATAAAATAAAATAAAATAAAATAAAATAAAATAAAATAAAATAAAAAAAAACAGATTTCCCTGTTCATATTTAGAAATATAAATGGGATTTTCTAGGAGATTTATCTAATAGTCTGTTTATTTAGCCATATGCTAGAGGAGCTTTATTTTCAGAGAAGGTTTTGGAAGCACTGAATTATTATATTTAATATTTACACCAGGAAGGATTAAATAAAACTTCTTTTAAGAAAAAAACAATTGAAGCTGTATCAAGAACTATAAAGGGTCTGAGATTTTACTCCATTTCCAAGCTAATAATTTAGTCTTCCAGAGATTCATAGATGCTGGCAGAAAACACAAACTCCTGTGTCAGAGACAAAGGAAAGTGTATCAGTCACAGAAATAGCAGTAGCAAGAGTGTCAGAATTTTCTTCTGTGAGTTCCTTAAGCCCTCATTCACATACAGTAATAAGATACAATACAGCCATGTAATGCCTACACAAGTAGTGGGTTATGTGACAAAAGAACCCGAGCTTTGCTCCAGAGGAAAACAGTAGTTCTATCTTTCTAGGCTGTTTTCTCTGTAAACATCTTTGGAAAGATAGCCTGGAACAGAAGCAGTCCGTGTCTCTGCTCAAAAAATGTGTAGGAACACAAAAACACCCTTAAGGAATTGTTTCTCAATAAGCTGGACTATGATACTTCGAACAAGAGGAATTGCTTAAATAAAGGTCCAGAGAGAGGAAAATAGAAAAACAACACAGCAAATTCTTCAGTTTTGCAGGAGGCTGGGAACAGATATGAATCACGTTTACATTCAATGTATTGAATAATTCTTGTAAAGCGATTCTGATCACTGAATTTGATTTCTACTGCTATGGCTTCCAATCAAGGATAAGTTACCATAGAAGTAAGGCCAAGGCTAACTACCTTAAAAGTGCATGACCGAAAATGGATTATCTCTATGTTCAAGTTTAAGAGATATGCAGTTGTTTAGCAATTGCCTGGCAATTCCCATATACAACATGCTTGAGCAAGTTTTATCAGGCAAGTTTCGGAAATAAAGTGATGAGTGAAGGGAATCAGAAAATAGTTAAGACCAATAACAAGAGAAATATGTAATTGTAAAGTTTACCACATTAAATTTATTAACTTTGGAAAATATTTGTTTTCAAACAACTCCACTAAAAGGGAAGAGTGGATCTTATGAAATTTCTCTCTTTTTTTCCTCCAACTGGGAGACAAAATGACAGATAAATCAATTGGCCTTTTTTATATCTAATTCTCTGAAGTCTCTTACTTAGAAACTTAAATGCTTCCAGTTTTGTTTCACTGGTAACTTGCTTTTTCATCTCTGTTTACTTCACTTTTTCTTATCTTGCCACTATCCTGTGCCAAAAGTATTACAAATACACATTAATATATACCATCTGGAATATTTTTCTCAAGAAGAGAAAAGAAAAATATGAGGGCTGATGAATTTGACCCAGGGCCCCAGTCCAACATCTGTAACACCCTCTCTCTCCAACAATGCCTGCGGGACATAGCAAGTCTCTTTTAGATCTAATCTGAGCGTCATTCACCCCCTGCCTTTCCCATAATGAAAGGGCTACTCAGACACAGAGGGGTTTCCTAGGTATTTCAGGAAGTGGGGAGATTTCCACCAGACCTTTGAAGTGAAGTAGTTTGGAACTGAGGAAAAGCTTTGTCACAATCCATGAAATGGGAAGGAGATGTAGGAAGAGTAAACAGACACTGCTCTGCCACAAAAGAATAACATGGGCTGCTTTCTTCTAGCACTAGCAAAGGCTTGAATATAGTTGGAGATCTTCCATGAAGGGAATTTGGGATGCAAACACACGGTTTTACCTATTTAATTGTCTTTGAATCATACAGTTTTCTCAATGTCTGTTATAAGTATAATTTTATTGCAAGGTTCAGATTAAGATTCAAGTTTGTGTATTCCTGAGAATGATAAAAGCAGTAGTATTGAGAGGAACTCTATAGATTAAACAGAGTAGCCAAGGAAACATTATGTCAATAAAGGAATTGGCATGATAGAGATGAAAATCTCTCTCCAAATCTGATAATAGACTACTAGACTAACATATATTTTATTCCTCAAGGAAAACTATGTTACAACCAACATTTGTATAATTTTCCATTTTTTTTTATCATTTAGCAAATTGCTAAATATATTATCTTCTGTGAGTAAGCTTCAAAAATAAGATTAAATGTGATAATTTCCTGTAAAATAAAGTCTCTATTTTTTCCCACATGTTTACTGGAATATAGTTTCATAGAATATTTGAATACATACATTATTATAATAGAGTTAGGCTGGAAAAATTTGCACTTCTAAAGTCTGTGTTCCCCTGAACAATGGCTGACAGATAAGGAGGGATTGATTTAAAGTATGAAAATATGGATTTAATCTGTTGAACCAGGCCCTACCCATTTTACCTGTCTTGAATTAGAATTTTACTTTTGGCAGAAAGACCCCCCCTTTTATATGCTAGAATGCTTTCAAAAGCAATCAAGAATTCCATTACTGAGGAAGCAAGCACTAAAGTAATTGCTGCTTCTCATTTGGGAAAAACTTAGGTTCAAGTCATACACAGTCCCCTCTTGAAAAGTTTGAGAAGTGGTTGAGTTAACAAAACAAGTCAAGGTGAAAGAGAGGACTCATATCAAGACAAAACAGTATTTCTCGAAAAGAAAGAGGAGGATAATATCCTCAATTAGTTTATTTCCTGCTCTTACAATTGTGTAATTAATCTGGTCTAGCAGTTGGCATGATTCAAAGTACCGCAGAGAAACATCAGGAAGCTTTTTTTCCATTTAAATTTTATTGTGTGGCTGGCTCCTCCCTGGGAAAAAAGCCTGTTCACATGAGTTAGCCATTCCACTGACATTTGAATTTGCGAGGGAAAAGCCAAGTGTCTCTAGCATGCAGTAAAAGAAATGTGCTGAGGCCATAAATATCCTCCTGCTGATGCATGATTTAGATAGAGTTGTTTATTTAGGTAGAATGGTCATTTCTCTCCTTCTACTCCTCCTTCCTCTCTTTTCTGTTCTCCTCCTTTTCCTCCTTGCTCTTCCTCTTCTTTTTTTTGTACAGAAACCTGTTGAGACAATATGAATGCCGCTGGAGGCCATTATCCTAAGCGAATTAACATAGGATCAGAAAACCAAATACCGCATGTTCTCACTTATAAGTAAAAGCCAAACATTGGGTACTCATGGACATAAAGATGCCAACAATAGGCACTAGTGGGAAGGGAGGACAGTGGTAAGGATTGAGAAACTAATTATTGAGTACTGTGCACACTACCTGGATGACCGGATCAGTCATATCCCAAACCTCAGTATCACACAATACACCCATGTTACACACCTGCATATGCACTCCCTGAATCTAAAATAAAAGTTGAAATTATATAGAAAAGGAACCTGCTGAGAACTAGGTAACCAAAATAATGATGACTGTGATGATTAATACTGAGTGTCAATGTGATTGGATTGAAGGATGCAAAGTATTGATCCTGGGTATGTCTGTGAGGGTGTTGCCAAAGAGATTAACATTTGAGTCAGTAGGCTGGGAAAGGCAGGCCCACCCTCAATCTGGGTGGGCACAATCTAATCAGTTGCCAGTGTGGCCAGAAAAAAAAGCAGGCAGAAGAAAGTGGAAAAGACTAGACTGGCTTAGCCTCCAAGCCTACATCTTTCTCCTGAGCTGGATGCTTCCTGACCTCAAACATCAGACTCCAAGTTCTTCAGCTTTGAGACTTGGACTGGCTTCCTTGCTCCTCAGCTTGCAGATGGTCTATTGTGGGACTTGTGATCGCGTGAGTTAATGCTCCTTAATAAACTCCTCTCTCTCTCTTTTTCTCTCTATCTATCTATCAAGATAGATATAGATATATATCCTATTAGTTCTGTCCCTCTAGAGAACCCTGATTAAAACAATGACTGAATCAGAAAATGCCAGTCTGATTTGATACTGATAGTGAGAAGCTGCACAGAGATGGTATAAATGTTAAATCACACCAACTTCCTCCTCTTCTTCTTTCCCTTCTACTTCCTGTCTTCAGTTTCTTATTTTGCAACAGCCCTGAGTGTAAGATGTGCAGAGATTACTCAAAGAAGAGAGAAAAAAATGTGTCTAGGGGAATCCAATTGTTTAAATTTAATTCTGATTCTATTACCTAGTAGCAGTGTGACATGGGACAAGGCTTTTAACATCTCAACCCTGTAGGCACTGAATAATAATCTCATCATATTGTGGAAGATTTAAATAAGGTAGTATAAATTAAGCTGGAAACAGGAATTACATGTTAATTTTTTATCATTATAGCCATATTTTTTCTGCTCTATTTTTGTGTTTTTATCCTGCGTTTTCATTGTTTTTATACCATGAACTTGGACTACTTCATAGGTTTCTGCAATTTAATGGCTAAACATATTATAAAGGTCAGGAAAATAGCTTTACAAATATTGTCATATCTTTTAGAGTAAGAGGGAGGATTTATTTTGAAGTTGGCATGATGTAGTCACATTTCCTCCCTAATTTAAATTTCCATATTATATATAAATCTGAAATCTCTTTTGTTGTCTAGCAATTATAACAATATGATAGATCAGAATATATATCAGGAAGCAGACAAGCCATAAATATGTTCAATGTTTTCAAAGATGACAATTTTAAATGTGAACACTGTGGATGAGATGAAATGGAAGGAAATATGAGGCTATTAAGATGGAAGAAACCAGGAAACATTTGGATTTAATTCCATCTTGGATCCATTCCACCAAAGTTCAACATAATGCAAGGCTGAAGCAAATGATTGCTCTCCTTTGCCCTTATTCTTTTAGTCTTCTTTGTACTTTTGCACTGCAGAATTCTGTTAATGCCACATAGTTTTTAAAGGATCATATTTCAGACCAGTTAGTAATATTACTTATTTTTTTAAAGGTCGAAAAAAAAGAGAGAAAAATAAACCTAATTTCAGGCTCTAGACGAATCTGGAGGGGGTTGTTTAAAGTGTTCAAACACAAGACAGCGTTAGAGTTGTGCGGCCAAGATGAATTTTGAGGAACTAACCCTAAACAGGAAAAATGCTTTTGTAAAACACTTAATAATGATTCTTTCATGAAAAGTCCTTTGATCCAGAATAATTACAGGAAACCAGTGGAACCAATGAGGGGCTACTACTGGGGACACAAATCTAGTTGGTAATTGTTCCAGACAGTGTATCATCAACTTGTATTTTATTTAAAACTATTATTTTGCTTATTAAAAAAAGTTGAGAAGTGAATTTGATGATGGATAGAACAACACTGCATACACATCCTTATCCATCAGCTGAGTCCCATAGTTTGCATATGCAAAATAAATATCACTTCAAATCTGTAGCTAATTTTTTTTTTTTTTTTTTTTTTTTTTAGTTTTGTGGGGAGATTAAAACCACAACAAGAAAGAATAACCTGCAACATGAGTGGATACTATGGTTGCAAAAGTTATTTAATATCCATATTTCACAAATATTCAGCAAAAGATTTCTTAACAAAATTGAATGACTTTCAAATGGACTTATTTTGAATGTTTTAAAAACTATCAATTTTACCTGAAAACAACCAATTATTAGCTGATTTTAATAATTGATCTAGAGATTATATTTACAAAAAAAATATTATGGAGCCATTACATAGCATTCAAAGTCATATCACTTCACCATTAACTGAGATATAACAATTTGGGGCAACATAACATTTAATATTCTTGAAATTACCTAAATAAGACCATTTGTAATCAATAATACATTTAAATTTTCACCCTGTTGAAACGGTGGCCAAATACATGATGATTGGATGCAAAGTGCTGTGAGTTCCATAAGACAAGCATTTATCCAATATGATAAACATCAGTATAATAAAGGTATCAGGAAATTTCTAGAAGTAATCGATGATCTGTTACTCTTTGGATGAACATTGACTTGTGTTTAGGTATTAGGAATATGTGTGTGTGTGCATATACATATGTATGTGTATGTGCGTTAACGCTACACAAGATAAAGATTGTTGAATGCAAGTATAAGATTTAAAATGTTTAATTTGCATTGCTTTGTCTGCTATACATATATATTTTTAGATGAGCAAAGCTTAGACAAATTGATTTTTGTTCATATTAATAAATAACATAGCATAAGTATACTTATTTTTTCTAGTTTTATCAAAAGTTTTTCAATTTAGAAACAATTTAATGACAAAACTAAAATATTGAAACTGGACTTCAGAACAAAATCTAATCTTTTAATCAAAAGCAAACAACTAGTTTTGGCTTGAAATGTAAGACATAATGTGTATTTAACCATGCTTATTTAGGTAGAATGTCTTATCTGATCCCAAGTCTACCCCTGATTTTTCTGTGAGCTCCCAAGTTCCTATTTCCATTGCAAACTCTCATTTTCTATAAAAATGTGAACTAACCTAAATGGTTTTTCCATAGACAAAGGCCGTAAAGTCACAAAACACTGTGCCATATAGTAATTTTTAACATTTTATTGGTGTAATCAATAGCAACCTGTATTATGACTTCTTTTTCTCTTGAACAAAGAATTTTTGAGTCCCAATCAACTGAATCTTTGTGATTTTCCAGCCAAATACTTTTAAAAATACCAATTAGCCAATCTTAAAAATTGACATATAGCTGCCATTAACACAGACCTTTTTGTTGTGGGATTTTACAGATATAATATGACACTGAATCCCTGAATGTTTGACCATTAGGAAAGCATAACATTTTCATAACGTTTTTATCCACTTATTTGTCGACTAATCTAATTGATTATTCTCCTGTAGCATTTTATCCTGTTTATGAAACTCTTTCCTTAGCCACCTTTATTTTGCAAGTGCATGTCATAAATTATAAAATCAATGGCATAGCTTGTCTGGCACCCGTAAAATTGATAGCTTCCCTTTCTTTTATTAGCATAATCTGCCAATTTATTATGAAAGAGTGAATGGCATGCTTGTGATTAGAACTGGTCATGACAGGTCACTTGAAAACATATTGATGGTGTATGAGACATGCTTTTTAATTAAAATGTAGGTCTGAGCTGGCTAGGCAAACACCAGTTTCTCCTTACTCATCACATTTATTGAGTCATGTATTTGCTTATTTATAATATTTTAAATTAACAATGATGAGTCAGATTAGCATACAGAAGACATGCCCCAGAGAAAAACAGAAAAAAAGCGTGCTATTTTACTTAGGACAAGCAAAAGCATACTGCCTGTAAAAATACTGTAAGAAGGTGAGAACATTAAAAATGATAACTCGAGATGTATAAAGTTTTACCAGATTTGCCAGTCACTTTTAAACCTACCCCTGTGTATTTGCTTAATATCCACTCAATTGTCTTAAGCAAGAACAACTCCCCCACTTTCACCCACTTTCTTTCACAAAGTTATAACTTAGGCAAGAGAGTCCCAACTCCAATTGCACAATATCCTCAGGGTTACTGTGAGCTCAAAGGATGTTGTGAAATCCTCGAGGCAAAATTAATCGTGATGTGACTTAATTTTTTAAAGTGAAATGTGTACCATAAAGTACCCCTAAGAGGAGGCTTAGTGGATGATGAGGGAGGTAATGAATACAGCAAACGATTACAGGGTGTCAGAACAGCAGGACTGGGGTGGCTGGCAGTGACTACTACTTTCATCCCACAGACATCTGCGGGTGAGGGCAGCAGATGAAAAGCCGTGCATCTTCTCTGTAATTTGTATTGCCACAGCATTCCATCTTGGCCACACGATTCAGTCACACGTACTTTTGTTGATTCAGAAGAATTTCCAAAGGACAAGCTTGCACTGTTCTTGCCATGAAAGAGAGTTCTGCTACTTTTTGATGAAATTGAGAGTTAGGGTCTGGCTTTATGTTTGTTTGTTTTTGCTTGTTTGTTTTGGAATACAATCTATGATTTCTAAGCACCCCCTTTTACTTTTATTTTTACTACTAAACAAGACAAAAATATGGATCCAGTCTAAATAGGACAAATGAGAAGCAGGGGGCAAGTGTGTTTTGCCCCTGGTAGTATCTCTGACTTCTTTTAGATTTTGTGAAGTGATTGTGACATAAAAAGAATTCAAAACAATGTTTTTAAATAGAGTAGAATGCACTCAAAGTCCAGGTGTGATAGGGTAAGCATGCTATTATTTTTTGGAGATAAGTTTTGAAATGATGAATAATCAATTATAGCTATTTAATGGAGGTAATAAGTGGATCAGGTTGCTACCTTAAGCTGACATATTAATCTTTTTCAAAATCCTGCTGTGTTTCATACTTGTTATTGCCCTCAGCTCAATGTACTCTACATAGTCCAAATATAAGACATTCTAGTATAGTGGAATCTGATAGTATACAAAGCTCAATTCAGGAAGAACAGATAAGATGTGCTTGTGCCAGTCTATTCCATCCCTCCTGCAGCATTGCTACTTAACTTCTCCAGGCCCAGCGAATTCCTAGCTTGATCATAGAATTCCATTGGTAGCTTTGCATGGTTTTCAACAGTTGTCTAGGCTGCTTATTTTCCCTCACTTTCCAAATTCATCTGATCTGAGCATATATGGCTTATGCATTATAGTTTACATACTATGGTTTATGACTAAGGATGTAACGATTTTTGACTTTGTTTTATTGCACTTGAGCTATATCAAATTAAACTGGCCTTCTTGTTAATTTATCATTGGTAAAATATTTCATATGCATTTTTTTGTTAATCCTGTACTTCAAACCTACGAATAGCTTGCTTAATTGTATTTTATGAACTGAACTGCAATGACCTCATACTTTGGCTTTACCTTTGTAATAAATTGACATTAGTAAAAAAATGTTAGTAAGTAATGTGGAATATTGCTAATATCATTGGGCTTGACATTTGCTTGGAAGGAAAACTAGGAGACACATCTTTTGAAAGACAAATCCATATACAATACATTCTGTAATATTTTTCTCATACCTCCATAAATTTCCCCTTGTGGATTTTAGTCTTCTCTGTCTGATATCAGCCAACACGCTGTCTTGATGTAAGACTGTGTAGCATGGAAGAAAATGAACTTCGGCATCAAAAGGACGTGGTTTTGATTGTAGGTTCTGTCCAAACTTTTGATAAGTTATTTAACTTCTTCAAACTTCAGCTGCCTTACCTGTGAGGTGGAGATTTGATATTTACATTTTAAGGCTGTTTTAATGTCAAATGAAATAATATTTGTCTAACAACAAGGAAGGTACACAGAATCAGTAGTAGCACTAGCCCTACTATTCTATTGAAGAATCTATAGAATCATGACAAATGATCTTGATGGATCTTTTCACCATTTATGGGCCTTAAAACTTTAATGCATTCATTCATTCAATAATAATTTATTGAACAACTAACTTGGAAACATAACTACAGAAGATGAGAAGATGAGAATCAGTAACTAAGACTGATATGTTCTACTTTCTATCAGTATGACTAGTAAGAAAGGAAAATTTTAATTTTTTATTCATTTTATAAATAGTTGCATAATACTTATTATATACACTGAGCACTGTTCCAAGTACTTCACAAATATTACCTAATTTAAATCTTATAATAACGCTATAGGTAATACATTATACTTATTTACATTCAAGGAATTGACACATAGAAGTTTAGTAACATATCCAAAGCTATATATTGCTAGTAGGTGATGGGAGCAGAAATGCAGGAATGAGCCCTGCTAAACTGGCTTCTGAGTTCATCCTCTTAGCCACTTAACCATGGTGCTTCTCCGGAAGTAATTGAATAGGATTAATTCTAATTGTAATAAGTGATATAAAGGAGATACACAGAATGCTGTAAAATGAGAATAACAATATCTGCCAACAAATGACTTTTTGAGAGCTCATTGTGTTCCATGCTCTGTGGAGTCCACGATGCCTTTAATTTCCTTTACTGAGCTCCTCTCACCACTAAAATACATTATGATTTGGAAATTTAACAAATGTTTTTCTAACAGCGATCTGCTAGTTCTTCTGCAAAAAATAAAAAAAGAAAGTGGCCCAAGCAATTACTTTAAAATATTATTATGCAAATGTTACATTAATTTAGAAAAAAACATGGCTGAATTGCATTGCCATTCTTCCAAAGCAAAATCTCATTTGATAAAAACAGTTTCTTTGCAAGTGAATGGTACAACACCTTTAAATACAGTTAACAACAACAAAAAAGTATTCAGGCCTGCTGTGACCATTGCTGACAATGAATGCAGTAGCAAGTCCTTACATCAGCCTGATGAAGTAAATACCAAGAGAGAAATGTTGTTCTAGATTAAATCACAAAAAGAGTAGCCAAGACTGTCCTTTTTATTACCTGTTTGTTTAAGGCTTATCTGGCTGTTGATATGCAACAAATGGCCTCTCGCAGGAACAAAATATATATCTTTGCCAGAAAGTTCTTGATAAAAAAAAAAAAAAAGTGCCTGATTCACTGCTATATGTCCTACTCTTTAAACAGGACCAGACAGATAGTAAGTTCTCAATAACTACCATTAGAATATTGAATTTTGAGTAGATGTCTTTTTGGTTACATCAATACTAGTCAACCAAGGAAGTCTAAATGGGACTGACATAATGTGGGTGAAAGTTACCCATTACATCTAGATTCTAGTCCAGCCTTTACCACCAATTTAGCTTGTGATCTGAGGTGAACGACTTTATCTCCCTATTTCTGTCCTTTCTCAGCTATGAAAGACCTAATACACTTCTAAAAGTGAACAGGCACACATCCCTTTGATAACCTGTTCTCAGTTTTAGCTTGCCAGAAGTTTATAACTTTATTTTTTACTACAATTAATATCTTTTTCTTGTGGTAGTGGGAGGAGAAACATAATGATGTACATGCAAAACCAAATATGCCAAAAGAATGCATGTATTTTCCCTCTGGAAGGAGTGCATGAAAGTTAGGCATGGTGAGTAACCCCGACTGATTAACTCTACCACTGATTAGAACACTGACTCACCATATGACTAACCACACATCAGATATTTATCTTGGGCCAACCCTGGTTGACTCATAATCTATGGTTTAAGATGAAGATCGGAGCTACTTTTGATCTTCTTCTTGCAAGCATTACAAAGAAGATAATACCCTGTGTACTAGCAGAGCCAACTTTACTGCCACAGAGGATGTACCCAACTCCCATTATTCTAATTCACTGGAGAACAGGTTACAGCAATAGCAACAGAGTCTGAAATAATCACTTTCAAATTTGTACTTGGGGCTGGAGAAGCTGATAGAAGTTATACCCCATTGTGTAGCTTTGAAAAAATAAGTATCTGAAAGCATGTGTAGACTTTTAAAAATAATCACATCCCTGTAACATTAGACACAGAAAACCAATATCAAAAATAAACCATGTATTTATCCACTTTATAAACATTTTTCCCTTCTGATTTCTATATGGTTATAGATTGTAATCTTTAAAGGCAGAGATTGAGCACAGTTTGATATGAAGGATATTGATCAGGGACCAACACCTGGGGAAGGGAGGGGTCAGCAGTAAGAGTAGGCAAAGAGAGAAGTCAAACATTGAGGCAAGCCCAACAAAGCCTTGGCCGAGTGTGCAGGGAGTTTTGGAGTGCGTATGGCTTAACAGGCTTGTTCCCCAGGAGTCAGAATGACTGCACTTTAGTACCCGCCAGAGGTCAGTCACTGGATGTGGGCTACTATGGAAAGGACGTGACCTTAGCCAGATCGCTCACTGAGGAGGCACCTAAAGGAGCTGACAGCTAGACCAGGCATGTGGTCAGCAGCAGCAGTAGAGGCAACAGTCCATTTCTGAAGAGGATCTGGGTAACAAAACTCCTTGTCTATCACTCATATCACATAGTGAGTAATTTTTAAAGAGAAAAATGCAGAATATGGCCAAATTTCTATGAGACAAACATAACTGCTTGATAATAAAATTGCTGTTCTATGATTTAATATGATTGTCCAACTGGGATGCTAGCGTAAAGCTTACTTTCTGCAACATACAAATATCTTGAGGCCATGGACTATATCACTGAACTGTATTTTTTTTTCAAAACTATATTAAGAAATCATTCAACACATCTAGTAATTGGCTGGCTCTTGTGATTCAGTTTTTTCAGAATAAAGATATGGTCATATGCCTTGAATGGTCAGAATTTACTATAGAGGGAAAGCTTAATGTGTCTACGTAATGTAACTATATATACATGTGTAAATATATAAATATATAAATATTTATATATAAATATATAAATATATAAATATATAAATATTTAAATATATAGATATATATGCATGTATGTGAATATATATACAAATTGTGAGCTCTCACTCACAAATTATGAGCTGTAAGTCACAAAGGATGCATGATGGTTAATTTTATGTGTCAATTTGACTGAACCATGGGCTGCTCAGATATTTGGTCAAACATTATTCTGTATGTGTGAGGATTTTTGGATGAAATCAACATTTGAATCAGTCAGTACACTGAGTAAAACGGATTGCTCTCCCCAGTGTGGGTGGCCCTCCTCCAATCAGTTGAAGGCTTGAATACAACAAAAAGCCTGCCCCCTCCCACAAATAAGAAGAAACTTTTCCTGCCTGACTGCATGAGCTGGGACATCAGTCTTTACTCATCTTTAGACTCAAACCAAAATGTTGGCTGTCCTAGTCTCCAGCCTCTGCCAACTTTTGGATTTTAGACTGGAATTATACAATCATCTCTCCCGCGTCTCCAATAGATTTTGGGAGTCTCAGCCTCCATAATCTTATAAGCTCATTCCTTATAATAAATATTTTTGAGAGGATATGTCAATAAATATCACAATCAAAATACATAAATTCACCACCTGCACTTCTCTATTTAATTCTTTTTTTATTATTATTATACTTTAAGTTTTAGGGTACATGTGCACAACGTGCAGGTTAGTTACATATGTATACATGTGCCATGTTGGTGTGCTGCACCCATTAACTCATCATTTAACATTAGGTATATCTGCTAATGCTATCCCTCCCCTCTCCCCCTACCCCACAACAGGCCCTGGAGTGTGATGTTCCCCTTCTTGTGTCCACGTGTTCTCATTGTTCAGTTCCCACCTATGAGTGAGAACATGCGGTGTTTGGTTTTTTGTCCTTGCAATAGTTTGCTGAGAATGATGGTTTCCAGTTTCATCCATGTCCCTACAAAGGACATGAACTCATAATTTTTTTATGGCTGCATAGTATTCCATGGTGTATATGTGCCACATTTTCTTAATCCAGTCTATCATTGTTGGACATTTGGCTTGTTTCCAAGTCTTTGCTATTGTGAATATTGCCGCAATAAACATACGTGTGCATGTGTCTTTATAGCAGCATGATTTATAATCCTTTCGGTATATACCCAGTAATGGGATGGCTGGGTCAAATGGTATTTCTAGTTCTAGATCCCTGAGGATTCGCCACACTGACTTCCACAATGGTTGAACTAGTTTACAGTCCCACCAACAGTGTGAAAGTGTTCCTATTTCTCCACATCCTCTCCAGCACCTGTTGTTTCCTGACTTTTTAATGATTGCCATTCTAACTGGTGTGAGATGGTATCTCATTGTGGTTTTGATTTGCATTTCTCTGATGGCCAGTGATGATGAGCATTTTTTCATGTGTCTTTTGGCTGCATAAATGTCTTCTCTTGAGAAGTGTCTGTTCATATCCTTTGCCCACTTTTTGATGGGGTTGTTTGTTTTTTTCTTGTAAATTTCTTTGGGTTCATTGTAGATTCTGGATATTAGCCCTTTGTCAGGTGAGTATATTGCAAAAATTTTCTCCCATTCTGTAGGTTGCCTGTTCACTCTGATGGTAGTTTCTTTTGCTGTGCAGAAGCTCTTTACTTTAATTAGATCCCATTTGTCAATTTTGGCTTTTGTTGCCATTGCTTTTGGTGTTTTGGACATGAAGTCCTTGCCCATGCCTATGTCCTGAATGGTATTGCCTAGGTTTTCTTCTAGGGTTTTTATGGTTTCAGATCTAACATTTAAGTCTTTAATCCATCTTGAATTAATTTTTGTATAAGGTGTAAGGAAGGGATCCAGTTTCAGCTTCCTACACATGGCTAGCCAGTTTTCCCAGCACCGTTTATTAAACAGGGAATCCTTTCCCCATTGCTTGTTTTTGTCAGGTTTGTCATTGATCAGATAGTTGTAGATATGTGGCATTATTTCTGAGGGCTCTGTTCTGTTCCATTGGTCTATATCTCTGTTTTGGTACCAGTACCATGCTGTTTTGGTTACTGTAGCCTTGTAGTATAGTTTGAAGTCGGGTAGGGTGATGCCTCCAGCTTTGTTCTTTTGGCTTAGAATTGACTTGGCAATGTGGGCTCTTTTTTGGTTCCATATGAACTTTAAAGTAGTTTTTTCCAATTCTGTGAAGGAAGTCATTGGTAGCTTGATGGGGATGGCATTGAATCTGTAAAATATCTTGGGCAGTATGGCCATTTTCATGACATTGATTCTTCCTACCCATGAGCATGGAAAGTTCTTCCATTTGTTTGTATCCTCTTTTATTTCATTGAGCAGTGGTTTGTAGTTCTCCTTGAAGAGGTCCTTCACATCCCTTGTAAGTTGGATTCGTAAGTATTTTATTCTCTTTGAAGCAATTGTGAATGGGAGTTCACTCATGATTTGGCTCTCTGTTTGTCTGTTATTGGTGTATAAGAATACTTGTGATTTTTGCACATTGATTTTGTATCCTGAGACTTTGCTGAAGTTGCCTATCAGCTTAAGGAGATTTTGGGCTGGGACAGTGGGGTTTTGTAGATATACAATCATGTCATCTGCAAACAGGGACAATTTGACTTCCTCTTTTCCTAATTGAATACCCTTTATTTCCTTCTCCTGCCTAATTGCCCTGGCCAGAACTTCCAACACTATGTTGAATAGGAGTGGTGAGAGAGGGCATCCCTGTCTTGTGCCAGTTTTCAAAGGGAATGCTTCCAGTTTTTGCCCATTCAGTATGATATTGGCTGTGGGTTTGTCATAGATAGCTCTTATTATTTTGAGATACGTCCCATCAATAGCTAATTTATTGAGAGTTTTTAGCATGAAGCGTTGTTGAATTTTGTCAAAGGCCTTTTCTGCATCTATTGAGATAATCATGTGGTTTTTGTCATTGGTTCTGTTTATATGCTGGATTACGTTTATTGATTCGTGTATGTTGAACCAGCCTTGCATCCCAGGGATGAAGTCCACTTGATCATGGTGGATAAGCTTTTTGATGTGCTGTTGGATTCAGTTTGCCAGTATTTTATTGAAGATTTTTGGATCGATGTTCATCAGGGATATTGGTCTAAAATTCTCTTTTTTTGTTGTGTCTCTGCCAGGCTTTGGTATCAGGATGATGCTGGCCTCATAAAATGAGTTAGGGAGGATTCCCTCTTTTTCTATTGATTGGAAGAGTTTCAGAAGGAATGGTGCCAGCTCCTCCTTGTACCTCTGGTAGAATTCGGCTGTGAATCCATCTGGTCCTGGACTTTTTTTGATTGGTAAGCTATTAATTATTGCCTCAGTTTCAGAGCCTGTTATTGGTCTATTCAGAGATTCAACTTCTTTCTGGTTTAGTCTTGGGAGGGTGTGTGTGTCGAGGAATTTATCCATTTCTTCTAGATTTTCTAGTTTATTTACGTAGAGGTGTTTATAGTATTCTCTGATGGTAGTTTGCATTTCTGTGGGATCGGTGGTGATATCCCCTTTATCATTTTTTATTGCGTCTATTTGATTTTTCTCTCTTTTCTTCTTTATTAGTCTTGCTAGTGGTCTATCAATTTTGTTG
The DNA here is from genome assembly GCF_000001405.40 of Homo sapiens. Taxonomy (NCBI): domain Eukaryota; kingdom Metazoa; phylum Chordata; class Mammalia; order Primates; family Hominidae; genus Homo; species Homo sapiens. The sequence goes on along the minus strand of NC_000002.12, from coordinate 226,110,479 downwards.
ATCTTTTCAAAAAACCAGCTCCTGGATTCATTGATTTTTTGAAGGGTTTTTTGTGTCTCTAGTTCCTTCAGTTCTGCTCTGATCTTAGTTATTTCTTGCCTTCTGCTAGCTTTTGAATGTGTTTGCTCTTGCTTCTCTAGTTCTTTTAATTGTGATGTTAGAGTGTCAAGTTTAGACCTTTCCTGCTTTCTCTTGTGGGCATTTAGTGCTATAAATTTCCCTCTACACAGTGCTTTGAATGTGTCCCAGAGATTCTGGTATGTTGTGTCTTTGTTCTCGTTGGTTTCAAAGAACATCTTTATTTTTGCCTTCATTTCGTTATGTACTCAGTAGTCATTCAGGAGCAGGTTCTTCAGTTTCCATGTAGTTGAGCGGTTTTGATCAACTACATGGAACTCTTAATCCTGAGTTCTAGTTTGATTGCACTGTGGTCTGAGAGACAGTTTGTTGTAATTTCTGTTCTTTTACATTTACTGAGGAGTGCTTTACTTCCAACTATGTGGTCAATTTTGGAATAAGTGCGGTGTGCTGCTGAGAAGAATGTATATTCTGTTGATTTGGGGTGGAGAGTTCTGTAGATGTCTATTAGGTCCACTTGGTGCAGAGCTGAGTTCAATTCCTGGATATCCTTGTTAACTTTCTGTCTCATTGATCTGTCTAATGTTGACAGTGGGGTGTTAAAGTCTCCCATTATTATTGTGTGGGAGTCTAAGTCTCTTTGTAGGTCTCTAAGGACTTGCTTTATGAATCTGGGTGCTCCTGTGTTGGGTGCATATATATTTAGGATACTTAGCTCTTCTTGTTGAATGGATCCCTTTACCATTATGTAATGGCCTTCTTTGTCTCTTTTGATCTTTGTTGGTTTACAGTCTGTTTTATCAGAGACTAGGATTGCAACCCCTGCCTTTTTTTGTTTTCCATTTGCTTGGTAGATCTTCCTCCATCCCTTTATTTTGAGCCTATGTGTGTCTCTGCATGTTAGATGGGTTTCCTGAATACAGCACACTGATGGGGCTTGACTCTTTATCCAATTTGCCAGTCTGTGTCTTTTAATTGGAGCACTTAGCCCATTTACATTTAAGGTTAATATTGTTATGTGTGAATTTGATCCTGTCATTATGATGTTAGCTGGCTATTTTGCTCGTTAGTTGATGCAGTTTCTTCCTAGCCTTGACGGTCTTTACAATTTGGCTTGTTTTGCAGTGGCTGGTACTGGTTGTTCCTTTCCATGTTTAGTGCTTCCTTCAGGAGCTCTTTTAGGGCAGGCCTGGTGGTGACAAAATCTCTCAGCATTTGCTTGTCAGTAAAGTATTTTATTTCTCCTTCACTTATGAAGCTTAGTTTGGCTGGATATGAAATTCTGGGTTGAAAATTATTTTCTTTAAGAATGTTGAATATTGGCCCCTACTCTCTTCTGGCTTGTAGAGTTTCTGCCGAGAGATCAGCTGTTAGTCTGATGGGCTTCCCTTTGTGGGTAACCTGACCTTTCTCCCTGGCTGCCCTTTATATTTTTTCCTTCATTTCAACTTTGGTGAATCTGACAATTATGTGTCTTGGAGTTGCTCTCCTCAAGGAGTATCTTTGTGGCGGTCTCTGTATTTCCTGAATTTGAATGTTGGCCTGCCTTGCTAGATTGGTGGGGAAGTTCTCCTGGATAATATCCTGCAGAGTGTTTTCCAACTTGGTTCCATTCTCCCCATCACTTTCAGGTACACCAATCGACGTAGATTTGGTCTTTTCTTGGATAGCCCCATATTTCTTGGAGGCTTTGTTCGTTTATTTTTATTCTTTATCCTCTAAACTTCTCTTCTCACTTCATTTCATTCATTTGAGCTTCCGTCACTGATACCCTTTCTTCCAGTTGATCGAATCGTCTACTGAGGCTTGTGCATTCATCTCGTAGTTCTCGTGCCTTGGTTTTCAGCTCCATCAGGTCCTTTAAGGACTTCTCTGCATTGGTTCTTCTAGTTAGCTATTCCTCTAATTTCTTTTCAAGGTTTTTAACTTCTTTGCCATGGGTTTGAACTTCCTCCTTTAGCTCAGAGTAGTTTGATCGTCTGAAGCCTTCTTCTCTCAACTCGTCAAAGTCATTCTCCATCCAGCTTTGTTCCATTGCTGGTGAGGAGCTGCGTTCCTTTGGAGGAGGAGAGGCACTCTGATTTTTAGAGTTTCCAGTTTTTCTGTTCTGTTTTTCCCCCATCTTTGTGGTTTTATCTACCTTTGGTCTTTGAAGATGGTGATGTGCAGATGGGGTTTTGGTGTGGATGTCCTTTCTATTTGTTAGTTTTCCTTCTAATAGTCAGGACCCTTAGCTGCAGGTCTGTTGGAGTTTGCTGGAGGTCCACTCCAGACCCTGTTTGCCTGGGTATCAGCAGCAGAGGCTGCAGAACAGCGGATATTGGAGAGCAGCAAATGTTGCTGCCTGATCGTTCCTCTGGAATTTTTGTCTCAGAGGATTACCCGGCCATGTGAGGTGTCAGTCTGCCCCTACTGGGGCTGCCTCCCAGTTAGGCTACTTGGGGGTCAGGGACCCACTTCAAGAGGCAGTCTGTCCATTCTCAGTTCTCCAGCTGTGTGCTGGGAGAACCACTACTCTCTTCAAAGCTGTCAGACAGGGACATTTAAGTCTGCAGAGGATTCTGCTGCCTTTTGTTTGGCTATTCCCTACCCCCAGAGGTGGAGTCTACAGAGGCTGGCAGGCCTCCTTGAGCTGCAGTGGGCTCCACCCAGTTAGAGCTTCCCAGCAGCTTTGTTTACTTACTCAAGCCTCAGCAATGGCAGGCGCCCCTCCCACAGCCTTGCTGCCACCTTGCAGTTTGATCTCAGACTGCTGTGCTAGCGATGAGCGAGGCTCCGTGGGCATAGGACCCTCTGAGCCAGGCACGGGATATAATCTCCTGGTGTGCCGTTTGCTAAGACCGTTGGAAAAGCGCAGTAATGGGTGGGAGTGACCCGATTTTCCAGGTGCCATCTGTCACCCCTTTCTTTGACTAGGAAAGGCAATTCCCTGACCCCTTGTGCTTCCCAGGTGAGGTGATGCCTTGCCCTGCTTTGGCTCAGTCCTGCACCCCGTTCCTGACACTCCCCAGTAAGATGAGCCCAGTACCTCAGTTGGAAATGCAGAAATCACCCATCTTCTGCCTCGCTCATGCTGGGAGCTGTAGACTGGAGCTGTTCTTATTTGGCCATCTTGGCTCCACCCCACCCCCCCATTTAATTCTTATATGTAATAAACTTTGATTTTCTTAGTAACATGCCAATATACAGAAAGTTTCAGATCTAAGACATATAAATAATATCAGAATAGAAATTAGAAAAGAAAAATAAATGTAATTAGGAGTTCTGATATTTGTTACATGATTTTTTCTTATATATTTTACTTTGGGGTTGAAACTAAGAAAAAAAAATGCCCTGATAATTTGTAATTACAAGCTAAGATTCATGCAGAAACTCAGCCACATTCTTACTACTTGGGTAATTTAAGAATAAGCTTAAAGGAGTCTCAGTCTGTGAATACAACCCAGGTTACTGGAAGAGGCAAATATATATCACTCTGGAAGATTCCCCTTTATTCCAGTCTTCTAAGAATTCTTATAGATAATGTGTCAAGAAAAATGAGCAGGTTACAGCTAAGAACCCACAAAACAGTTAAGGAAAAAGGCATCATAGAGAGAGCAGAAGAAATATCACATAGAGCTAACATTGATTTGTGAAGTTTCAGATATTTAACTATTAGACACAGTTTGCAAATTATCTAGTATTTGACATTTTAAAGAAATTATGTTAGATATTTAAAATGGGAAAATGGGAAAAATTCATTACCAAGTGACAAATAGAACTTCTGTAGATGACAACTATAATATTTGCAATTTAAAAACTCAATGAATAGATTTATAGTAGATTAGACACTGTTGAAGAGAAAATTAATGAACTGGAATGAATATATAAATAAATTATCCAAAATATAGCAATTCTACACTTAGATTTAGATGTGGATACACAGACATAGATATCTGTGGCTCTTAAAATAAGTAATAGAATATTTGACAAATAAATTAAGAGACAAGGTAGATTTTGTAAGATATTTGAGCTAAATCTAATCAAGGTTCCAAGGAACAGGGAAACAGATACATAAAATATTTGAATTTATGTAAATTCTCCTAAACACTTATGAACTATCTCTGCAGAAAATCTACAGCATCCCATGTTCCTCATTTTTTAAGTACAATTAGTCTTTATTTTTTATTTCTGCATTTATGTCATCACTATCATTCCATGCAGCCCCTTCACCACACATTAGATGGTGGACTTTTTGTTGTTAGAGTTTGTATTGTTTTCATGTTGGCATTCCCATTCATCCCCAATACAGTGCTATATACTTAGGGCAGTAAATAATTATTTTCTTAATTTAATTTAAGTTTTGTAGGATGGATCACCGCAGTCTGATCTATGTCTACACAATTCAGTACAATCACTTGTTCTCAGTATTTCTGTAAGGAAGGAGACACTGTGGGCATAGGAAGACCAATGATGTTACAGCATAAGCTTTGAGATATCTGACTCTTTATGGTTGCTTAAATATATCTCATTAGTCCATGTTTATTCCGTTTTAGTTACCTACAATGTAAAATGTATTGCATTCTTTCAGAAATGTGTATTTTTAATATTCTAGTGGTTTGGAGGTTATTAAAGTAATTAATTGAGCTGAGTTAATAGCATAAAACATTTAAGGACATTTCTCAGAAAAAAAGAAAAAGATACATATATTTATATGTAGTAGATGGTGTTTAAGATGTAATTCAGAACAAATTTCATGGCTATATTACAAATCTCTAAATATAGTTGCTAAATGAAATATTTCAAGCATCAAGAGAATAATCAACCAATTTATCAAATTCTAGCATTTTTAAATATTAACCTTATATTTTTTTAAGCCAACGGATGTCATAGGTATATTAGAAGACTGTCATTTGCCTACCTCCATCAAATGAGATCACTTTAATAGAAACTCTGACCCTGATTTAACTACAGGAACATAAACAGTACTACTATAATATAACAGAAGTATAAAACATTATAAAAAATGACAGTAGGTCAAAAAAATCCCCTTCAGGTTAAGGAGAGTTAGATATTTATTTAATACACTGAAAAAGCCCATTGCTTGATTGTTGACTGCTCACATGTTTTTATTTCACTATTTAAACTCCAGACATTCATTTTTAGGGGAACTCATCTATAATTTGAGTTGAAATTATAAGAATGTGGGGATTAATAAAATGCTTGTAGAGTTGGCTGCAAACATACCACCTGATTTTATATAATTAGAGATGACAGACACTGAGGCTCAATGAATAATACGCTTTCTATCTGTATCAAATAGGGTGTGAAAAATAGGTAGAATAATACTAGTGGAAAAAATACATGTAATTTATTAAACAAAAAATAGGGTTGTGTTAGTCTTATTTTTCAACAGCTAAGTCATTGCTTTCATCCTGGTTTATCATACATCATAAAAAACACTGCACTTTCTGAAAATCCTAACTGAATATCACTGTATTAGTCAGGGTTCTCTAGAGGGACAGAAGTAATGGGATATATATATATATATATATATATATATATATATTTTTTTTTTTTTTTTATTAAGGAGTTTATTAAGGAGAATTAAACTCACATGATCACAAGATCCCACAATAGGCCATCTGCAAGCTGAGGAGCAAAGAAGCCAGTCCAAGTCCCAAAGCTGAGGAACTTGGAGTCCGTTGTTCAAGGGCAGGAAGCATCCAGCACGGAAGAAAGATGTAGGCTGGGAAGCTAGGCCAGTCTAGTCTTTTCACATTCTTCTGCCTGCTTTTATCCTAGCTGAGCTGGCGGCTGATTAGATTGTGTCCACCCAGATTAAGGGTGGGTATGCCTTTCCCAACCCACTGACTCAAATGTTAATCTCCTTTGGCAACACCCTCACAGACAGGCTCAAGATCAATACTTTGCATCCTTCAATCAAATAAAGTTGACCCACAGTATTAACCACCACAATCACAATATATGGGAATGAAGATAATTAAAAATTCAATGTATTCCCTGAATGCTAAAGCTATTCAACTAATAAGTGATTGAAAATTATAAAAATGGCTGGGTGTGGTGGCTCAAGCCTGTAATCTCAGCACTTTGGAAGGCCAAGGCAGGCAGATTGCTGGAGGTCAGGAATTCGAGACCAGCCTGGCCAACATAGTGAAATTCCGTCTCTACTAAAAATACAAAAACTAGCTGGGCATGGTGGCCCATGCCTGTAATCCCAGCTACTCGGGAGGCTAAGGCAGGAGAATCACTTGAACCTGGGAGGTGGAGGTTGCAGTGAGCTGAAATCACACCACTGCACTCCAGCCTGGGTGGCAGAGCGAGACTCCCTCTCAAAACAAAACAAAACAAAACAAAAAAAACAAAACAAAAAAAAAAACTGGAAAACCAGCTAACGTGCTTCTTTTGTTAAACCACTTTATTGAGGTTTGATTGGCATGCAAAAAGCTATACATATTTACATTTGGAGATAAGGATACGCTCATGAAACCACTACCACAATCTATGCCATAAACATATCTATATGTTTCCATATGGTTTCCTCCCACTGTATTTATTTCAGCTTGTTTATTGTGATAACACAACATAAAATCTCCCCCTTAGCAAAATTTTAAGCATACAATACAGTATTGTTAACTATAGGCACTATACTGTACCATAAATCTCTAGAACTTACTCATACTATATAAATAAAACTTTGTATCGTTTAACTAATACCTTCCCATTTCCTCTTCTTCCCAGTCAATGGCAACCACCATTCTTCTCTCAGCAGCTATGAGTTTGACTATTTTAGATTTCTCATATAAATGTATCATGTAGTATTCATCCTTCTGTGTCTGGCTTATTTCATTTAGTATAATCTCCACCAAGTTCATCCATATCGCAAATGGCAGGATTTCCTTCTTTTTTGTGGCTTCATGTTTTATTGTAGGTATATGTCACATTATCTTAAATTTATCATGTACTATTCGTCCTTCTGTGTCTGGCTTATTTCACTTAGCATAATCTCCACCAGGTTTATTCATATTTCAAATGACAGGATTTCCTTCTGCTTTGTGGCTTAATATTTTATTCTAGGTATATGTTATATTTTCTCTATTCATTCACCCATCAATGGACATTTAAGTTGCTTCCATAGTTTGGCTACAGCAAATACTGCTGCAATGGATGTAGGAGTGCACATATCTCTTCGAGGTCTTGATTTCATTTCCTTTGGATATATGCACAGAGGTGGGATTGTTACAAATATGGTAGTTCCATTTTTAGTTTTTTGAGGAACGTCCATACTGTTTTCTATAGTAGCTACACAAGTTAATATTCTCACCAGCTGTGTACATGGGTTCCCTTTTCTCCAAATTCTTGACAATACTTGCTATCTCTTTGCAGATGACATGGTCTTATTCACAGAAAACCCTTAAAACTGCACAAAAAATCCCTGATAGAGCTAATAAACAAGTTTAACAAAATTGCAGAATAAAAAAACCAATATACAAAATCAGTTGTTTCTATACAATACCAATTAGCTATCTGAAAAAGCAATTAAGAACACAATCTATTTATAATAATACTAACAATAAATAAATAAATAAATAAATAACTCAGGAATAAACTCAACCAAGGAGGTGAGAGACTTGTACATTGAAAGCTATAAAAAACTGACAAGATAAATTAAATTTGTGAAGACACAAATAAATGGAAAGACATTTGTGTTCATTGATTGGAAGAATTAATATTGCTTTAATGTCTATACTACCCAAAGAGTTAAATATTTAATATAATCGCTACCATAATCCCAATGGCATTTTTACAGAAAAAAAAAATCCTAAAATTTATATGAAGCCAGAAAAGACCACAAACAGCCCAATAAAGGAGCTAGAAAAAGAAAGCTGGTGGCATCACCATTCCTAATTTCAAAATATATTACAAAACTACAGTAATCAAAACAGTATTGTACTGGCATAAAATCAAACATCTAGATCAATGGAACAACATAGGCAGCCCTACAATAACCCAAGCATAGACTGTTCACTGAGTTTTAAAAAGGATATCAAGACTACTCAATGGGAAAAGGATAGTCTCCTTAATGAATGCTGCTGAAAAATCTGGATATTCACATGCCAAAAAAAAAAAAAAAAAGAAAGAAATTGGGCCCTTATCTTACACCATACACAAAAACCAATTCAAAATAGGTGAAAGACCTAATCATAAAATCTGAAGAGATAAAACTTCTAGGAAAAAACAAAGCAAAAGAGCTTATTGACATTGGCTTTTGCAATAATTTTTACCAAAAGCAAAAGCAAGAAAAGCAGAAACCAACAAATGGGATTCTATAAAAATCAAAAGCTCTGAACAACAAAAGAAATAACAAAATGAAAAGGCAATCTATAAAATATGAGATAATATTTGCAAACCATGTATTCGATAAAGAGTTAATATCCAAAGAGTATAAGGAACTCCTATAACTCAATAGCAATAAAACTAAATAACCCAATTTTTAAAAAATGGGCAAAGGGACTGAAAAGACATTTTACCGAGCACAACATACAAATGGCCAACAGATATATGAAAAAGATGCTCAACAATACTAGTCATCTGTGAAATGCAAATCAAAACCACAATGAGATATTTATCACCTCACACCTGTTAGGATGGCTATTATATATATATATATATATATATACACACTTATATATATATATATACACATTAATATATATATATACACACACACATATATATATCAAAAGTTCAAAATAAAATTAATGCAGAATAAATAAGAATTTTTGTATGTAGCAGAAATACATTTTGAGCAAATATGTGCAAAACTCAGAAATACACAATTATGGCTCATTTCTATAAATACTAAAAGTATTTACATTATATAGATTTTCCTTCTTTTTCAGGAGTTTTGACAAACAAGTAACAGATTTATGATACATAAGGTCTAAATTAGAGAAAGCTAAATGAACCTCATACTGAACCCCAGAATTCAGTGTATTTGTCTACTCTGCCATTGCAGCACTGGACCAAGATAGACAAATCTGTAAGTTTGCTAAGATAAGACATATAGCCTGGAAGAAGAGGGGAGAATGCATGCCACTTTCTGGTAGGTATTTTGTGCCATAAGGAATAAGGGTCTTGCCCAGTTCCTCTCTCAAATTCATCTATCAGGTAATTCATTGGCTTTCTTTAACATCTTATAAAAACATAATTTAGAAGTTGATTATCTGAATGAATAAAATGAAGTAGACATAAGTATTTTCTAGATCAGTGCTTTCCAATAAAAATGTAATACTTGATGCATACTTAAATTTATATTTTTTAGTAGGCAAATTAAAAAGAAAACTAAAAAGAAAAACATGAAATTGATGTAATAATATATTTTACTTAACCCAATATATCAAAAAAATCCCTTCTATTCAGGTGTATTCAAGTATATCTAAAATATTCATTACAACATGCAATCAATATGAAAAATTTATTAACAGGCTACTTTGTATTCTTTCTTTTTATACTAAGTTTTCAAATTTGGGTGTGTATTTTACACTTACAGAACTTCTCAGTTTGGACAAGCCACATTTTAAGTGCTCAGTCACCATATGTAGCCAGTAGCTGCCATATTGGATAGCACAGATGTAGGTTAGCAAGTCAAGCAGGCCCTATTGTTAGTAGTAGTATTAATATTTTCCTTTCTTCCTTTCTTTTCTTTCCAGCCTCAGTTAGAAGAAGAATATAGGTGCAAGAAAGCATCAGTGTAGTTCATTAGAAACCAAAAGTAGTCAAATTCAAAATCTTCTTAAAGTTTAATAAAATTTGTATAAACCAATCCACCCAATAAAGAAGGGATGCTGTAAATGAGAGGTATTATATGAATAAATTAACATTCACATTTTGGATTATGTGAATTAATATACAAAAATTAAGAGATATGTTAAATATGTCTCTACCAACACAAAGTAATTGGGTGGAAAAGTATATTTAATCATCTCTGTGTTTAATCTATAAAACATATAAAACTGATTTTTCTTTTTGTTGAAATAACTTGCCAATTGATTATTATTCAATCCATTTATTTATATCAGAAGCTATTTTAAATGGTATATGCAAAGTATTATAGCTATTATTCAAATATTCCTCTGAATATTTTGAGCAGCAAATTTTAGTGCTAAAATTACACAAATGAAATATAGTAATACAACACAAAAAGTGTGTATTCATGTCATCTAATTCATTATTCTATCATAACATGAATTCAATTTGTCTTTACTATCACTTTTGAGATTCAGCTCATTTATCATTTTTAAATGATGGAAACATCTATAATGTCATAATAAGTATGCTATCTGAAAAATTTTTTCTTACTTTACAATTGTTTTCTATGGATATTACTGGTTATCCTAAGTAATTTTAAGAGTACTGTCTTGAAAACAGTTTCTTCTAGATTTAGCATTATCTTACAGTATATGTTTTAGAAAAAATACTAATTCATGAAGTCAGGAATCATAAGACAAAATATGAAAATATGAAAGAAACATTTTCTTTCATTAGTACTAATTTTATGGTTGATAAATTAAAAATTTACAAGAATTGATAAAAACCTATGTCAAATTTCACAGTGACAATACTAAATATAGTATCCTAGACCATGCTATGAATTCAAAATATCATGAACCTTGACTTGCTTATCTTTGTTTTTTTTAATGGTTTCTGATGAGGCAATGCCAGTACATTTTGGTTGTTAGGGTTCCTCTTCATTACAGAATCTAAGATTTAACTTTTATCTTGTTTATAAATATTTGGTTTTGTAGTGACTCCTCACATGACCTCTTTAGTTATAGAATTCATATGTTAGTTGGAACTTAATTACCAGATTAGCATTTAGAATGCTTTTACAATGCACCAGTTATGCAAGCACTAGAAAATACAGACTTACTTTTTTTCAAATGTATTCTTAAAGATTCACTGGCAGTGTTATGGATGAATTGTGTGTTCTCTCAGTCCACATGTTGAAGCTCTAATTCCCCATGTGGCTCTATTTGGAGATAGGGCCCTGAAAGAGGTAATTAAAGTTAAATGAGGTCATAAGGGTGGGGCCTTAATCCAATACATCTGGTGTCCTTATAAGAGGAAGAGACACCAGGATGTGCATGCACAGATAAAAGGTCATGTGAGGTTGCAGCCTGAAGGCCAACATGTGCAAACCAAGGAGATAGGCCTCAGGAGAAACCCAATCTGTGGAGACTTTGATCTTAGACGTCTATCCTCCAGAACTGTGAGAAAATACATGTCTGTTAAGTCACCCAGTCTATGGTATTTTGTTATGTCAGCCCTAGCTAACTAATACAGACAGATAATCTCCCAGATCCAAACAGTCTTGTTTCCACACACTAGTACAGCTCTTTCTATATGAGTAGTCATTCTGCATTGTGGCATTTTGTTGTATTTATGGTAGCATTTATAAACAGTGAAATTCACCCATTTTAGGTGTACAGTTTGATAAAATTTGGTAACTATATATAATTGTTTAATCATCATCACAAAAAGATACAGGATGGCTTACTCTGCATGCATCTTTATAGCTAGAACCTTTGTACCACCAATCTCAGCATCGGACAAAACCTGATGTTCTTTCTATCACACTGTATTTGCCTTTCCTAGCATATCATACATATGTAACCATACAATATGTTGTCTTATTGATTGATTGATTGTGTTTGTCTTCTACTTAAGATAATTTTTGAGTTCATCCATGTTGTTGTACATATTAATATTTTTTCCTTTCATTGTGAAATAGCATCCTATAGTATGGATTTACCTCAATTTGTTTATCCATTCATCAGTTGATGGCCATTTGAGTTGCTTTTACTTCAGACTCTTATGAATAATATTGCTAAGAAAATGTGCATAGATTTTTTTGGTGGAATTGTTGGGTAAATACCTATGAATGGAATTGATGACTCATATGGTAATATGTACCATTTTGCATTTCTATCAGCAATAGTGAGATTTACAATTGCTTCACATTCTCACCAGCACTTGGTATGGTCAGAATTTCTAAAATCAACCATTCTAGTGGGTATGCAGTGATATCGCATTTTGATTTCACTTTGCCTTTTTCTGATAACTTGCAATGTTTAACACCTTTCCTTGTGCTTATTGACACAGACACTTCATTTGATAAATGTGTATTCAAATCATTTGCCCTTTTTTCTGTGGTTTGTTTTCTTATTATTTAAAGAATTCTATGTATTTTCTGTGAGGAAAAGCCCTTTCCTGTATGTCTTGCAAAAATATTTTTGCCAGACTGTGGCTTGTCTTATGCTTTTTAAACTATATTTTTTGAAGAGCAAAATGTGTAATGAGGAGAAATTTGGGTCCAATTTTATTTTTTTTCCACTAAGAGTTTGTACTTGTGTCCAGATTGAAAATTGTTTGCCTAATTGTCACAAATATTTTTCTCCTTTTTTCATCTAGAAGTTGAAACTTTAGCTCATTTAGAGTTGATTTTTTGTATGATGTAAGGCAAGGGCTGGAAATAATTTTTTTTATGAAGATATACAGTTGTTCTAGCACCAAAAGACTCACTTTGTCCCCATTTAATTGCCTTGGCAATTTTTAAAAACATCATTTGACCATGAGCATTGGTTTCTTTTTGGACTCTTTATCATGTTTTACTAATTTCTATGTGTATCTACACACCAATTCCAAACTGCCTTTAATACTGTAGAGTTACAATAAGCTTTCAATCAGGCAGGTTTTCAGTTTGTTTCAAATTATTTTATATATTCCTGCTTCTTAAAATTTAAATATATTTTTAAAAACAGTTTATCAATTTCTTTAATGAATTGTGTTAGAATTTAGTTATGAATGTTTTTAAAATAAAAAATAGAGATGCAAACGTAAAAAAGTAAAAAAGAAACAATAATTGATTGCACTGAAGCTATAAATCTATTTCAGTAGAATTGTTCTTAAGATTAAGTCACCAGTCCATGAACAAAGTATATATCTTACTTTAAGTCTTCTCCAATTTCCTTTTGCTTTGTAGAGTATGCAGCTTTTGCACAAATATTGTTATATTTATTCCTAATATTTAATTTTTGATGCTCTTTTAAATATAACTGGTTTTCAAATTGTATCTTTTATTTATTAATTGTTAGTATATGGAATTATAATTATTACCCTTAATGGCAAAAACCGCAATTATTTTTGCACCAATCTAATACTTTTTACAGCAACCTAGTGTCCTATAACCTTGCTAAATTCACTTATTCATTTACTTTTTTTTGTAGAGTCCTCAAGATTTTTACAAATATAATAATGTCTACACAGGAGAGTTTTAATCATTTTTACAATCTATATTAATTTTAGTTTTCCTTGCTTTGTTGCACTGGTTAATATGCTGAGTAAAATGTTAAATAGAAGTAATGAATGTAGACATCTTTGCATGTTTCTGATCTTAGCTAGAAACAATGGGCCTTTAACCATTGAGCGTGATATCATCTGTAGGCATTTCACAGATGCCCTTAATCAAATTGAGGATGTTTTCTTCTTTTTCTACTGCTTAAAAATATTTTATCATGTAAGAATGTTGAATTTTTATGAACAACTTTAATGCATCCATTGAAATGTGGTTTGCTTTCATTATTTATTGATAGGGTGACTTTTTTTAAGACTTCAACTTTTATGTTCAATACCACGGATAAATGTGCAGTTTTGTTACATGGGTATATTATACCCAGGTAATAAGAATAGTATACAATAAACCATCTCAGGTTTGTTTTTATTTACAGTGAAAGGTAAGGGTGTTTCATTCCTCTGCATATGGTTAGCCAGTTATCCCAGGACCATTTGTTGCATAGCATATTCTTTCTCCATTGCTTGGTTTAATTGACCTTGTCAAAGATCTGATGGTAGTAGATGCGTGGCTTTATTTCTGAGTTTTCTATTTTTTCCATTGGTCTATATGTCTTTTTTTTTTTCCCCCAGCACCATGCTGTTTTGGTTACTGTAACCTTATAGTATAGTTTAAAGTCAGGTAGTGTGATGCCTCCAGCTTCATTCTTTTTACTTAGGATTGCTTTGGCTATTTGAGGTCTCTTTGGTTAGAAGTGAATTGTAGAATAGTTTTTTTTTTTAATTCTGTAAAGAATGACATTGGTAGTTTGATAGGAATAGCATTGAATCTGTGAATTTCTTTGAGCAGTGTGGCCATTTTGACAATAGGGATTCTTCCAATCCATGACTATGGCATGTTTTCCCATTTTTTGTGTTTCATTTCTGATTTCTTTCAGAAGTGTTTTGTAGTAGTTCTCCTCATAGAGATCTTTCACCTCCTTGATTAGACATATGCCTACGTATTTAACTTTCCTTGTGGCTATTGCAATTGGTATTGTGTTCTTGATTTGAAGATCAGCCTAGATATTACTGGTGTATAGAAGTGATATTGATTTTTGCACATTGATTTTGTTTCCTAAAAACTTGCTGATATCATTTAATAGTTCTAGCAGTCTTTTGGTGGAGTCTTTAGTGTTTTCTAAGCATAGAATCATATTGTCAGTGAAGAAAGATAATTTGACATCTTTTCCTATTTGGATGACTTTTATTTCTTCATCTTTTCTGATTGCTTTGGCTAAGACCTCCAGCACTATGTTGAATAGCAGCAGTGAGAGTAGCCATTCTTGTTTTATTCCAGTGCTCAAGGAGAGTGGTTTCAGCTTTTGCCTCTTCAGTATGCTGTTAGCTGTGGGGTTTGTCATAGATGTCTGATTATTTTGGGGTATATTCCTTCAATGTCTAGTCTGTTGAGGGTTTTTATCATGAGATGTTGAATTTTATAAAAAGTTTTCTGTGCATCTATTCAGATGGTTATATGGTGTGTGCTTTTAAATTTATGTAATTAATCACATTTATTGATTTGCATAAGTTGAACCAGACATACATCCTAGGAATAAAGCTTACTTGATCATAGTGAATTATCTTTTTGATGTGCTGCTGAATTCAATTTGCTAGTGGTATTTTGTTGTGGACTTTTGAGTCTATGTTCATTGGGGATATCAGGCTGAAGTTTTCTATTTTTCACTTTGTTTCTGCCAGATTTTTGTAGAAGGCTGATGTTGGCTTCAAAGAATGAATTAGGGAGGAATGCCTCATCATCAATTTTTTGGAATAGTTTTAGTAGGATTGATAGAGGTTCTTCTTTATATGTCTTGTAGAATTTAGTTGGAATCCATCTGGTCCAGTGCGTTTATTTAGTTGGTAAGTTTTGTATTACTTAATCAATATCAGAGCTCAATATTGTTCTATTCAGGGTATCAATCTCTTTCTGATTTAATCTTGGGAGATTGTGTCTTTCCAGAAATTTATCCATTTCCTCTAGATGTTCTAGTTTGTTTGCAGAGTTGTTAACAGTATTCTTTGCTGATCTTTTGATTTCTGTGGGACCTGTTATAATGTCATCTTTGTAATTTCTGATTGTACTTATTTTAATCTTCATTTTTTTCTTTTTTAATCTAGCTGGCAGTCAGGTAATAATCCTGTTTGTTTGTTTGTTTATTTATTTATTTTTGAAGAACCCACTCCTGGTTTCACTGATCTTTTGTATGGGCTTTTCATCCCAATTTTATTCAGTTCTTCTCTAATTTTAGTTATTTCTTTTCTTTCACTAGCTCTGGTTTTTTTTTCTTCTAGTTTCTTTAGGTGCAAAGTTAGAGTGTTAATTTGAGATCTTTCTCACTTCCTGATGAAGGTGTTTAGGGCTATAAACATTTCTCTCAACACTGCTTCAACTGTATCCCAGAGATTTTGTTTAGTTGCGTCACTATTTTCATTGATTTCAAAGAATTTCTTGATAACTGCCTTAATCTTGATGTTCACCCATGAATTATTTAGGAGCAAGTTGTTTAATTTCCATGTGTTTATGTAGTTTTTGAGGGATCTTCTTGATACTAATTTCTATTTTTATTGCATTTTGGTCCAAGACTGTGCTTGGTATTGTTTCATTTTTTTTTAATTTATTGAGACTTGCTGTATGGTCATGCATGTGTTTGATCTGAGAATATGTTCCATGTGCAGAAGAGAAGAATGTATATTCTGTGGCTGCTGGGTGAAGTGCTCTGTAGAGGTCTATAAGGCCCACTTAGTCAAGTGTTGAGTTTACGGCCAGAGTATTTTTTGTTAGTTTTCTGCCTTGATGATCTGTCTCATGATGTGAGTGGGATTTAGAAATATCCCTCTATTATTGTCTGGTGGTCTAAGTCTTTTTATAGACCAAGAAGAACTTGTTTTATGAAACTGGGTCCTCCAGTGTTAGGTGCATGTATGTTTAGGATAGTTAAGACTTCTTGCTGGACTATACCCTTTATCATTATGTAATGTATTTCATTGTCTTTCTTAGTTTTTTATTGGTTTAGGTCTGTTTTATCTGATATAAGAATAGTGACTCCTCCTCTTTTTGTTTTCTGTCTGCATGGTAGATCTTTTCTTCATCCCTTTACTTTGGGTGTCATTACATATGAGATGGGTCTTTTCACAACAGTAGATGGTTGGGTCTTGTCTTTTTATCCAGCTTGCCACTTTACGTCTTTTAAGTGAAGTGGGACATTTAGCTCATTTACCATCAGGGTTAGAATTGATGTGTGAGATTTTAATCCTGTCATCATGTTGTTACTGGTCGTTATGTATACTTTATTGTGTAGTTGCATTATGGTGCATATGTGCTATGTGCTTAAGTGTATTTTTATGTTAGCAGGTGTCATTCTTTCAATTCTGTGCTTAGCACTCCCTTACAGACCTCTTGTAAGGCTGGTCTAGTTGAAATAAATTACCTCAGCATTTACTTGTCTGAGAAGGATTGTATTTCTCCTTCACTTATGAAGCTTAATTTGGTGGGATATGAAATTCTTGTTTGAAACTTCTTTTCTTTAAGAATGCTGAAAATAGGCCCCAATCTTTTCTGACTTGAAAGGTTTCTGCTGAGAGGTCTGCTGCTAGCCTGATGGTGTTCTCTCTGCACGTGATTTGACCCTTCTCTCAAGCTGCCTTTAAGATTTTCCCTTTTGCATTGACCTTGGTAAATCTGATGACTATGTGCCTTGGTGATGGTCACCTTGTATAGTATCTAGTTTGGCTTATCTGTATTTCTTTTACTTGCATGTTAACCTCTCTAGTGAGATTAGGATATTTTCATGGACTATATTTTCCAAGTTGCTTATTTTCTCTCCTTCTCTCTCAGGAATGCCAATGAGCTGTAGATGTCATCTCTTTACCTAATATCACATTTCTTAGAGGTTTTGTTCATTTTAAGAAATTAGTTTTTCTTTATTTTTGTCTGACTGAGTTGACTGAAAGAACCAGTCTGCAAGCTCTGAGATTCTTTCTTCATCTTGGTCTATTCTACTATAATACTTCCAATTGAATTATGAAATTCTTATAGTGAGTTTTTCAGCTCTAGAAGTTTAGTTTGATTCTTTCTTAAAGTGATTATTTTGCTTTTCAGCCTTTGGATTGTTTTACTGGATTCCTTGGATTCCACATATTGTGTTTCAACTTTCTTCCGAATGAGAGAAAGCTTCCTTGGCATCTACATTCTGAATTCTTTATCATTTCATTCATTTTATACTGGTGAAGAATCAGTGCTAGGTAGCTAGTAGATTGGAGGTAAGAGGGTACTTTGGCTTTTTGAATTGTGAGAGTTCTTGTGCTGATTCTTTCTCATCTGGGAGAGTTGGTGCTCCTTTAACTGTGGTATAAGTTGAGTACAGTCAGTTGGCTTTGTTTCTGGGTGCCTTCAGAGTGCCAGTTCTCTGTACAGAATCTTTATGTGTGGATGAATTATTGCACTTGGTTTCACAGGTATAGATAATAGCAGAATAATTTCTGGTGATGACGTTTGGGTTGCAATCCAGTAAGTGATGCTTAAGAATAATGGCTGGTAGCTAGGTCAATACTCAGCCACGGCTTGTTTGTACTTCACATTCATAGGCATGCTATGTGGTGAGGCAGGCAGAGAGATGGTCCCCTCACCAAGTCTGCTCCTGGGCCTTGGGGGAGCCACCTACAATTACTGGTACTACACTCACATATTTTTGTTAAGTGTTTCAGGCCATAGGGTTCCCCTTGGGCAGAGGCTGTGGCAGGGATATAAACCATAGTCTTTCAGGACTGGCTCTGTGGAGGGAGGCATGCCCCACTTGTGCACTGGCTCAGAAACCCAAATGTCTAACCCCTGTCAGTGCTCTGAGAGTGGAGGATTCTCCTCTGCTCAAGTACTGGACATGGGTCTTGGCTGTTACTACTGAGATGTGTGCCACAGCCATGGGGAGGAGGTGCCAGGATGTCTTGCAGCTTGACATTGGGCTCCAACTGTACTAGGGGATCCAATCTGCTCCAGGGAAGTACTCCAGTGGAGCAACACACTCAGGCTGGGATGCAAAGGCTGCGCTGTGCACCTACTTTTGCAGGGCAGCTAGGCATAGCTCCTGGTAGGGGGTGGAAAGCAGGAGGTTTTGTAGAACAGCTGTGCCCCAGTCCCATGGGCAAGCCTCTCTCCTGGCTTTGAGGTCAGCTGGAGCCAGAGCCTCCTGCAGCAGATGAAGAGCACTGGGGAAATGGGGTTGTATGGCTGCTCTCAGCCAGAGATGCACAGCATACAAAAGTGCCCAGGTTCCCTGCTGTCCGAAGGCCTGTCTCTTTCTGCTCCCTGGGGAGATCCCGCTGCCAGCTGACATGTCCATAGGGGACACAGGGTCCCCTGTAGCTATTGTAGGATCCCAGAGGTCTGTGGTGAGAGTGAGCTGACTCTCAGTTCCTGCACTCACCCCTTTCCCAGGAGCCATTTGGGGCAGGGAACTAGCTGTAGCATCTGGATATCCCATGTATAGTTCCCAGCTACCTTTCTCTTCAGCCTCAGCTTCAGCATTGCTTCTCCATCTACTCTCAGCATTTTCTCTCTGAAGACCTGCCCAAATGATGGTGGTTTATTTGATAATTTGGTCTCTCTCAGAGGGAGTGACACTTCTTGCTTGTGTCTAGTTGTCCATCTTGTTATCTACCAATATGACAACAGTTATTGACTGATAGTTAAGTGTTAAATTGACCTTGAATTCCTGAGATAAAAGGAACTCGGTCATGAAGTGTTTTCTTTTCTATGTATTGTTGGATTTGATTGGCTAATATTTTGTTAGTGATTTCTGCATCTCTATACATGACAGGTATCCTTGGTCTATTTCCTTTTCTACTAATGTTGTTGTTTTCCTTTTCTACTAAAGTAAGTTGTCTGGTTTTAATATCAGATAATACTAACCTCATTAAATTTGTTATGAAGTGTTTTCTCCTCCATGTTCTAAAATAGTTGGTGTAGGATTGGTATTATTAGTTCCTTAAATGATTGATAGAATTCATGAGTGAATTTGGAGTTTTTTATGAGTTTTTTGTTGTCATTGTTATTAATTCAATACATAATTGATAAAGTAAATCATGTTTGTTATTTCTTCTGTTACCAGTTTTGGTGATTTTCACCTTTCAATAAATTTCTGCATGTTTTCTAAGTTACAAATTCATTGAAATAAAGTTATTTATAACGTTCCTCTGTTATCTTTTTAATATTTTGGTATCTGCAATGATTTTTCTCGTTCAATTTTGATAATGATAATGTGTTTTCTATTTAATTATTTTGTCATTAGTCTGATAAGGGTTTTATCAATTTTACTGATACTTTTCAAAGTGTCAGTTTTTGGTTTTATTGATTTTTCTGAACTGGGTTTAAAAAAAAAAATGTTTCGGCTGGGTGTGGTAGCTTATGCCTGTAATCCCAATACTTTGAGAGACCAAGGCGGGTGGCTCACCTAAGGTCAAGAGTTCCAGACCAGCCTGGCCAACATAGTGAAACCCCGTCTCTACTAAAAACACAAAAATTAGCTGGGTGTGGTGGTGGTGGGCACCTGTAATCCCAGCTACTCAGGAGGCTGAGACAGGAGAATCACTTGAACCCACGAGGTGAAGGTTCCAGTGAGCCAAGATCACGCCATTGCACTCCGGCCTGGGCGACAAGAGTGAAACTGTTTCAAAAAAAAAAAAAATTGTATCATGACGTCTGCTATTTTTATCTTCTTCCTTTTACTTTTTGTGTTTAATTACTCCTATTTTTCTGGTTTCTTACGGTGAAAGACAAAAGTAAGAGAAGGAGGAATAGAGGAACAAGAACAGATAGGACAATGAGAAAACAACCAACCAACATGTTAGTCTTAAACCAAAGATATCAATATTACATAAAATGTAATTTAATAAAATATTCAAATAAAAGACAGAGATCTTCAGCTGAATTTTAAAAATTAGAGCTCAACTATATGCTCTTTAAAATAATATCCCTCACATATAAAGACACAAACTGATTAAAAGAAAATGGTGAGAAATGTGTGTTAGGTAAACAGTAATTAGAGAATGTTGATTTTACTAAATTAATACCAAAGTGGATTTTAAGACAAAGAACATTTCTAGATATAAAAGGGACATTTTATAATGATATAAGGGTAAATTTGTCAATAACACATAAATTCCCAAGTTTCTTGCCATCAGAAGGCCTGTCTCTGCCTTTATTCCAAAGACAGACTTTGGAATAAAATCAAGAATCTTAAATCTGTACAGAAACAATAATAGAACTTTACGATATATGAGTAAACATTGGGCAAAACAAAAGGGGAAATAGTCAAATCTACAATCATATTTGGGGGTTTGGGGGTTTTCATATGTTTTCCTCAGAAATTGATGGAACAAATAGACAAGAAATCAATACAAATATAAAATATGCAAACAATTCTAGCAACTAAGGTATATTTAAAGACTACTACACACACAGAACATATCATCCTTTCAAGTGCATGTGAGACATTCACTAAGAGAAATGATACACTATTTTAAAAAAACCCACAAAATAAATCTTTATATATCTAAAAAGAATGAAATCATACAGGGATCAAAAAAGCATTACATTTGAAATCAAGAACATTGTAATATCTTAAAATTTTCCCACAGGCCACAGAAGTCACAAGAAAATAATTTAAAAATCATGTTTTAATGTGAATGGTAATAATAAAGTAACATGTCAAAATTTATCAGATGCATGTAAAGCTGAACTTAAGAAAAATTTATAGTTTTAAATGCCACTGTTTAAAAAGTATAATGGCTTAAAATAAATAATCTAAATTATGGCTGAAGAAGTAATTAAAAAGAGTCAAATCAAAGTCTAAGTAAATAGAAGAGATAAAAATATAAAAATAAAAACAATTATTTTAAAAATCTTACAATAAAGAAAATCAACAAAGTCACATGCCAATTCTTTGAAAAAAATAAGCGAATATATTAGCAAGACTGAGTTGAGAGAGAGAGAGACAGAGAGAGAGAAAGAAAGAGATCTTGAAATAAGATCAATAATTTTTAGTTTGGTTCATAATTGTGAAACAACTCTGCAAAATATTGATGCTACTTTGCCTGATCATTAAATGACTCTTCTATACACTGCATGTTGTTCATGGAGCTTAACTTCAGAATACAATGAAAATTCATTCTTCTTTCCTGTTTTTATGGTGTGAAAATCTATCACCAGTCTTAGATATTTTCTAAAATTTTTAGAATAGTGGTATTATTTTTCTGTTGTCTCAACTCCCAACAATTATTTTTAAAGTTAGTTATGCAAAATTATAAAAATAAATCATCCGTACAGAATTATCCTTATGATGGCAGCAACAGCCTATCTTAAGTGGCAGCTGCAAGGTTGCTGGCTGCATTGGGGGGGTGGGGGCATGGCCAGGGTTGTGCCGTTTGTGGAGCTGGCGGTAGCTGGAAACAGGCAACAGCCCTGCCCACTACTGAGTTTGTGAGTCAGGAGCCCACTCTCCTGGGTGCAGCTGCAGCCACCCGACCTTAGCTCCAGACCCCAGCATCCTTGCACTCTCAGGGGTTCAGGAAGCTCCCTGCCCCTGCAGGCTTAAAGTGCCTGGTCCTGCTCCCTGGCCTTTCCCCACTCCAGGTGCCCACTCCAGGGCAGAGCAAAGTTGTGGCCAAGCCCAGGCACTGTCACAACCCAGCCAGGTGTGTGTGCACTCAGGGCAGCACTGACTCACCAGCCTCCTGTTGCCTCAGCCCCCTCGGACTTTGGTGCCAAGGAGCATAGGAAGGGGGATGGGGTAAAGGCAGCTCAGCACTGACCTATGGGAGCTTCTTGGTGTGGGGCGAGTCCCTGGTGAAACCTCACTTTCAAGCCAAGGATAGCCTGAAGCCTGAAAGCTGGGCTGCCAGTTCTGGGCAAAGTCCACCATTGAGAGTGAGAAATTCATTGATAACCATTTGACCAATTGGATGGTGCTTTTTCCAGGCCTGCCCTGTGGCTGCCCATTGACCAATCAGCATGCACTTCTCCATTCAGAGCAGACGAAAAGCCCAGACTCAATCAGTCTCACACACTCATCAGGACTACTTGGCTATGGAAAGGAGATAGCCACTATGGGTCTCCTCTCCATTAAGAGTTGGACACTTGTCCAGATGACCTGCCTACAGAAAGAAGCTACCCACTATGGGTCTCCTCTCCTCTGAAAGCTGGACACTCATTGGAACAACCTGCCTGCAGAAAGAAGCTGCCCACTTCAGGGCTCCTGAGAGCTGTTCTGTCGCTCAATAAATCTCCTCTCCACCTTGTTCACCCTCCAGTTGTCTGCATACGTCATTCTTCCTGGAAATGGGACAAGAACTTAGGACACACCAAATGGCAAGACTGAAAGAGCTGTAACACAAACAGGGCTGAAACATGCTCCTTCACTCACTAAGTGGTGGGCAATAAGTAGGAGAGAAGAGCTGTGTCACTTTGGGGAGCCCAAAGTTAAGGGCTCCCCAAGCCAGGGCTGTGCCACCCTCTTTTGGGGTCTATGGTTTCCAGTGTCTCTAAGCTTCTGGGCACCACTGTATTCCCTAGTGCCTGAAGCAGTACAGCTTGTGGTACACCTGGTCTAGCCACAGCCTCACGTGGAACCACTGCCTGTGCTGGAACCTGGAGATGACTGCCCTATTGCAGCCAGCATGCTGGGCTGTGCACAGTTGCTGTACCCTGTGCTCACTTGCTCACACACCCCTCACCACTCTGCTCCTGGCTTATCCTTGGCAGGTATGGGATCCAGGCCAGTAGTATGAGCCAGTTGCAGCCTGCTGGCTCAAATGGGTGGAATGAGCCCAGCAGGCGCAAGCAAAACACAAGCAGAGTTGCCGCCAGCCACAGAGGTTTCTGACTGGCAAAGTGACACCCCAAGGAACCCATGACAGTTAAGCAATAAAACTAAAAATATATCACTTTTTTGCAATACCTGAGGATAGAAGAATGTATACTGTAAATTCTTATTTTGTGTATGTATAAGCTGCATGCTTCATATACTATCTTTTAGGAGATATATTAGAATATCTTACATTAAGTATAAATTATTATTAATGTAGTTTTAGAATGGCATATTTGTGATTAAATCATAAGATTTTATGCATCAGGTTTGAATATTTCTTAACTGACTTTTGTGTTTCATTATAGATGTGTTAAGTTATTGCTGAGAATTTCCCTTTTGAATGCTATGCTGATAGGATGTTTCAGTGTTGTGAATTCTGTATTCTAGTGCTGATGCCTCCATCCCCAAAACCTGCCATTTCACTTTAAATACTGTAAAACAGGTTACCTACTCTCGTACGTAACTCAGAAGCACCTAATAGTATGGCTGATATTCTGTTGAAATAAACAACATAACAACTTGTATCGTTTGGAAATTCAGATACTGATATTCTTTGCCCTTTAGCACTTCTGTCTCATCCACTCAATTTCTCTTCAACATTCTCCCTCAACTTTTCAAATTATAAATCACAACAAATCAATGAAAACAGCATTGCTTATATAGCAGCAGTCCTTTAGGCATAATCAGCATTCAGTTACCAATTCATATAAAATGACAGGCCCAGGGAGGAACTGAGACCTACCACAACACCATGATAAAGGCAGAAGCCATCTGAGAGATATGAAAACGGCCAGAGGGTGTGAAATTAATGGAGAGGAAACAAAACACATATTGAAATCAGATAAGGGCTTGTTTGAAATACTATTTTGTAAACCATGTTCTAACAGCCACCATGGGGTCCTTTGTAACTCTTCACACTTAACTCCAACTGCCACTGCTCTCTGTTGACTAAACTCCCATCCACACTGACTGCTTTCAGTTTCTCAAAAGAGGCAAGCTCTTCCTGCCCTGGGACCTTCACTTAAACTGTTCTTCATACGTGTGATTCTCTCCTTAACATCTTTACATGATGTCTTTTTCCTGTCTTAGCCTCAACTTAAATGCCATGTCTTCAAGATATTTTATCCCAGTACCTAATATAAAATAGTGGCCACCAATATTATTTTCATAATTCCTTTTTTTCCTCATGTATAGAACTTATCACATTTGAGATCAAGTATTTGTTTGTTTCTCTAATTTGAGTTTGAGTAAATTAAACTGCCAGTATCACTATATACTTAGCTGTACCCAACTTTATATGGTTTGGCTGTGTCCCCACCCAAATCTCATCTTGAATTTTAGCTCCTATAGTTCCCATGTGTTATGGGAGGGACCCAGTGGGAGATAATCAAATCATGGGAGCAGTTCCCCCATACTGTTCTCATGGTAATCAATAAGTCTCACAAGATCTGATGGTTTTATAAGGGGAAACACTTTTTGCTGGTTCTCACCCTCTCTTTTTGCCTGCTGCCATCCATGTAAGACATGACTTGCTCCTCCTTGCCTTCTACCATGATTCTGAGGCCTCCCCAACCACAAGGAACTGTAAGTCCATCAAACACTTTTTTCTGTATAAATTACCCAGTCTTGGGTATGTCTTTATCAGTGGCATGAAAACAGACTAATACAGTAAAGTGGTACCAGTAGAGTGGGGTGCTGCTGAAAAGATACCTGAAAATGTGGCAGCAACTTTGGGACTGGGTAACAGGCAGACGTTGGAACAGTTTGGAGGGCTCAGAAGAAGATGAGAAAATGTAGGAAAGTTTGGAACTCCCTAGAGACTTGTTGAATGGCTATGACCAAAATGCTGATAATGATATGGACAATTAAATCCAGGTTGAGGTGGACTCAGATGGATGTAAGGAACTTGTTGGGAACTGGAGCAAAGGTGACTCTTGTTAAACATTTTAGCAAAGAGACTGGTGGCATTTTGCCCCTCCCCTAGAAATTTGTGGAACTTTGAACTTGAGAAAGATGATTTAGGGCATCTGGTGGAAGAAATTTCTAAGCAGCAAAGCATTCAGGATGTGACTTTGGTGCTGTTAAAGATATTCTGTTTTAAAAGGGAAACAGAGCAAAAAAGTTTGGAAAATTTGCAGCCTGACAATGAGATAGAAAATAAAATCCCATTTTCTGAGGAGAAATTCAAGCCAGCTGCAAAAATTTGCATAAGTAATGAAGACCCAAGTGTTAATCACCAAGACAATGGGGAAAACGCCTCCAGGGCATGTCATAGAACTTTGCAGAAGCCCCTCTCATTACAGGCCCAGAGGCCTAGGAGGAAAAAGTGGTTTCATGGGCTGGACCCAGGGTCCTTGTGCTGTGTGCCCCCTAGGGACTTGGTGCCCCCTGTCCCAACACTCCAGCCATACTTGAAAGGGATCAACATATAGCTCAGGCCTTGGCTTCAGAGGGTGCAAGCCCCAAGCCTTGGCAACTTCCATGTGGCATTGTGCCTTCAAGTGCACAGAAGTCAAGAATTTGGGTTTAGGAACTTCCACCTAGATTTCTGAGGATGTATGGAAATGCCTGGATGCCCAGGCAGAAGTTTGCTGCAGGTGCAGGGCACTCATGGAGAACCTCTGCTAGGGCAGTGCAGAAGGGAAATGTGGGGTTGAAGCCCCCATACAGAGTCCTTACTAGGGCACTGCCTACTGGGGCTCTTCCCTGTGAGAAGAGGGCCACCATTCTCCAGACCCCAGAATGGTAGATCCACAGGCAGCTTGCACTGTGCACCAGGAAAAGCCACAGACATTCAATGCCAGCCTGTGAAATCAGCCAGGTGGGGGATATTCCCTGCAAAGCCACAGGGGCAGAGCCGCCCAAGACCATGAGAACCCACATTTTGCATCAGCATGACCTGAATCTGAGACACAAAGTCAAAGGAGATTATTTGGTATGTTCTGGATTTTGAACTTGTATGGGGACTGTAGCCCCTTCATTTTGGCCAATTACTGTCTTTGGAACAGGTATATTTACCCAATGCCTATACCACCATTGTATCTAGGAAGTAAGTAACTTGCTTTTGATTTTACAGGCACACAGGCAGAAGAGACTTGCCTTGTTTCAGATGAAACTTTGGACTGTGGACTTTTGAGTTAATGCTGAAATGAATTAAGACTTTCGGGGGCTGGGCATGGTGGCTCATGCCTGTAATCCCAGCACTTTGGGAGGCTGAGGCAGGCAGATCATGAGGTCAGGAGATCGAGACCATCCTGGCTAACATGGTGAAACCCTGTCTGTAATAAAAATACAAAAAATTAGCCAGGCATGGTGGCGTGTGCCTGTAGTCCCAGCTATTCGAGAGGCTGAGGCAGGAGAATGGTGTGAACCTGGGAGGCAGAGGTTGCAGTGAGCTGAGATCACGCCACTGCACTCCAGGCTGGGTGACAGAGCAAGACTCCATCTCAAAAAAAAAAAAAAAAAAAAAAAAAAAGACTTTGGGGGACTGTTGAAAAGGCTTGATTGATTTTGAAATGTGATTTGGGAGGGGCCAGGGTGGAATGATATGGTTTGGCTGTTTCTCCACCCAAATCTCATCTTTAATTGTAACTCTCATAATTCCCATGGATTGTGGGAGGGACCCTGTGGGAGATAATTGAACAACTGGGGTGGTTTCTCCCATTCTCTTCTGGTGGTAGTGAATAAGTCTCACAAAATCTGATGGTTTTATAAAGGAAAACCTCTTTTGCTTGGTTCTCATTCTCTCTCTTTGCCTGCTGCCATCTATGTAAGATGCGTCTTGCTCCTCCTTGCTTTCCACCATAATTGTGAAGCCTTCACAGCTATGTGGAACTGTAAGTCCATTAAACCCTTTTTCCTGTATAAATTACCCAGTCTTGGGTATGTCTTTATCAGCAGCATGAAAATAGACTAATACACCAACCCATATATGGCTCAACTTTCCTTGATCACTTAGTGATATGCTCTATTTTATTTTATTGATTATTTTACAATTCATAAGTCAGAAGGAGTTTTCTTTTAAGGAAAACCATTCACAAGCTTACCATCTAGGCATAACAACATTTTATGACATTATTAAGGAGAAAAAAATAGGCAGAATCCAAATGCCATCACTAGATAAATGTATGAAATAATCGTGACATATCCATATATAAGACAATTAAAATGAAATATACGTGTACTGTCACCATGTATATCCATGTGAATACTCTAAAAATGTTTTGTTTTCTGACATCTTTACTACTACAAGTTTTAATTTCAAAATTGTGCCAATCTAGTACAACTGAAATGGTATCTAATTTTTAAATTTAGTGCTATCTTGATTACTAGTGAAGTTGAGCATCTTTTTAGAAGGTCTTTTCTATGAATTGTATCTTTACACACATTTTTTCATTTTATTGATTTGTAGACATCCACTATGTTTTCTGATTATTAATATTTTAATCAATTTTATGTAGCAATAATTTTCCCCTTTTCATGTGCCTGCATTAAACTATCTTAATCTCCAAAATTTGTTTTCAGTGAGATATGGAAAAATAACCTCTGTCTCATGTATTCCCAGTTCTTTGGTATCAACATTTTTCTGAGTATTTGGTTTTCTTTCTGTTTTATTAATGTTAATCTCTAAGTCTTTGCTTCTAAATTTTGGAAGCTCTATTGAAATTTGTCTTCCATATTTTAGTTTTCTGTAACATCAGATTTGATGTTTTCTGTCTTTACCTCCCATATTTAATTTTGATCCTATGATTTTAGTTTTCTTTTTCTCTCTTTTATAATTTTATTATTCTTTCTTTTCACCTTTTCATCTCATATTGTTATCTTTTCATACACTTCTTTCATTCAACTAAACTTTCTTATGACATTTTTTCTCTTTATTATCCACTACATTTTGCTGAAGTATATAGGAACTCTTCTGAAAAATTACTCTACATATTTTAGTTCAGTTTTTACAAGTATTTTTAGTGTAGTATCCCTTGTCTTATTCTATAGTGTGCCTTCTAGTTGATATATCACCTAGCATATATATATATGTATGTATGAATGTATATATGTATGTGAATGTGTATATATATATGTATATGTGTGTATATATGTATATGTATATATTTGTATATATATCCTCTTTAATGATCTGGACTAAGATTTTTATGAACAGACAGAATAAATCGGTCACCTGTGGCTCTGCTCTTTTTCACTAAGATGGTTAACCAGTCTCCTTCTGAAGTCTTTGAGTACTTGTGGGCCTCAGGCAGAACGCAGATCAATTGCTTGTATCCAGTAGATTTTCATGGAAGGTACCTTTGTTCTTTTGGGGTAGCTTTTTTCTTCCATTTCTGTTTTCTTTACTCATCTCTGAAACTCTAGACAGAGAAAATACCATGCAAAACCTTATTTTATTACCTGTTATTGTCCTGCTATTCACAACTCTTAACTTCTTGTCCCACTGTTTCCAAAGTCTGCAGTTTCAGCCTAGACATAGAAAAAGTGAGGTGGTGGAAAGTGAGAAAATAGGATCATGACTGCAGAGGCAAGAGTAATCAAAGGGGAGAAAAGAGTATATGCTTATTTTCTGCTTGCCATAAACACTTGGGCTTGGAGTCAAGGAACAGGGAAGACAGAGAAAGAAATACCTTCCCACTTTGAAACTTTTCTGAGTAAAGTATCATGGGGTTCATCCACATTCCCTGCCCAAACTTCTTGCCATATGGAGTAGTATCTTCTTGGGAGGTGGTAATATTAAAAAGCATAATTGAATTATATCTTATCTGATACTCAACTGTTCATGAAAACTATTTCTAGCCTAAAACTTCATTATATACTCAATCTTGTTATGTTTTTAGAAGTAACCTTATGGTATTTGTTAAAAAATTGCCTCTCACATGTTTTGGTAATAGACATAATGGCAGTCCACTTGGAAAGAACTTTTACCAGGTGCTTATTATTTTCTGCTTAACTTTTTCCTTGCTAGTTACATAGTAAATGTAACTGGAACTGTATTTTACTTTTTAGTGTGCTCATTTCAAAAGTACTACATTTGGCACAAAATAAGAGCTGTGTTAATGTTTGTTGAATGAACACACAAAAGAAATACATGAATTGAGAAGGGTAAGTAAAAAGTCACACATTTTCCCTGATAATCTATGCTTTAGTGTACAGAGCTGGCTTTAATTCCAATGGCCAACATTATTAATAGAATAAACAAACTGGTTCATGCTTTTCTTTGAAAACATTTCTCTTAACAACATGGATATTCAATCAATCATTTATTTCTTATTGGAGCAATCATGATTGAACATCTCCTTTGTGGCAGACTGTGTTCTATGTGTTGAAAACACAATAATGAATATGATGAACTAAGTTTCTGCTATCACATAGCCCACATTCTGGTGAGAAAACTGAGATAATAAATACCAAAAAGCACAAACAACTTGCAGATAATGGTATGCATTATGCAAAATTTAAAATGAATAATAGAGAAGAGCATCAGAGTTTAGAGATCCAGGCTACTACAGCTGAGGACAGCCTTTCTTCCTGGTAACTTTGAGCTGAAACTTGATAGTCAGTACAAGGTCCTGCAACCTTCATGTGAAAAATGTTGAAGTCAATGTAGTCATTTCCTTGGAATCAAAATGCACTTGATTACATTCCTACTCTTTCCTAAGGGATACATTTCCTGCCACAGCCTTCTTCCCCTTCAGTGTTGCACATATGAACACCCACACAGAAAGACCTATACATGCCTTCTTGGGAGTAATTACTGTGTTAGTCTTATTTAGTAATATAATGTTGATAACCTGATACTTCACATATTTTAATTATGTGTGTTTATGGCAGCATTTTTCTTAGGGAAATGTGTGGAAATTGCTATAAACTGTGTTACTCATAACTTTAGAGAACAATTAAAATCAGTTAGACGAGAAGGTGAAAATAGAGGAGGAAGATCTTTAAAATCAGCTTTCTATTTTCCTGCACTTGGCCCTTGAGAAGACAGTCTCTTAGTCTCATGGCCTCATATGGCATAATGCCATCTGTCTTTGATGGAGTTTCCAAATGATTTTGTGTATTAACACTTTGCAAAACAAATGACAGATAACAGTGCAAGACATTGCATGAAGGCACAGCTCCAATCATGATAACCCCCTTGAAGCATCAACTCCTGCTTATGCTATTTGTGGCTTCTTGCCTCCACCCCCACTCCAAACAGAGAACATACTGTGGTCAGCAAAATACAATAAGGAGGGAGCAAGAAGAATGAACCTAACTCCACTGGTTTGCTTCAAGACTTGAATGATGTAATTTACTGTCATGCTTCTCAATGTCAAGGCTCCCACAGATGACATGAAAGTGCACTAATGCACCTCTCCAGAATGCTGTGGTCATGAGATCACCCTATTCACTAAGACTCAAAGTCATCAACACACCCTCAGTTTCCTGGCCAATTCATTCATTGTATAATATGGATATAAATAATGTTTTATTTCAGATCCATTAGTCAGAACATTGGATTCAGGCCTTTGGAGCATATAATGAGTTTGTTTCTAACTATAGGAATTTGCTCCAACTATCTTCTTAAGAAAGGTCTATAAAACAGAAACTCAAAGCACAAAAAAAATTATTTTTTTAAAAAGAAAGGTCTAAAAGCTTATCCATAGTCTTGGTTATAACATATTAATCCCTTTTCCAAAGTGAGTTGTTCTCCCCAGTGGCCCCCAATGAAGCCATGATGTATTTAGGCTACAGTGAATCATTATATCTGGCTCATTTCCCTTGACTTTCTCTTCCAAGGTGGAACCATGCTGGAAAATGCATGAAAACCATTGTTTTTGCACTCAGTCAGGTTTTGCTCAGGCTTTTTTTTATCTCAAATAGATAAAGCTAATTCCCCCTTCATAGGATTGCTGTCAATGAACAATGCATATTCACATTTTAGAGAAGCCATTATCATTCCTAACAAGTTATCTAACATTTATTGAGCTTTTGAGAAATCCTAAGCTCTGTTCATACACCATTCTATTCAAGTCCCCTACAACCCTGTGAAATAGATTCTATGATTATCCCTATTTTCAGATGAAGGAATTTCCCACCTAGTTCATATGAAAGGGGGTCAGAATAAGAACATAGCCACTCTGATGCCAGAGCCTGGAGCAATTATCCTGTAAGGAAATTCAGATTAGTTTAGAGAAGACAGCAGGCCTGAGTGGGCCAAGTTGATGAAGGAAGAGGAGGAGGATGTGCCTCCAAAGTGTAGCAGTTAAGCCATCACATGGCAAGAATGTCACCAGTGTTCTTATTAATGAGAAAAATATGACTAATCATGAGTCCATTGCTTGACTGTGAGAATGGAATACAGGTATTAGGCCATGTTGAGGAAATAGGCTTAACTTTGGGAGAAAAGAATAAAACTGAAAATATAAACTGAGCATATGGGAAATGGGCAAAAAACAGAATCTGATCAGGGAAAGGAATAGGATTCAGCATCTGTCGGAGGAATACTAAGAACAGATTACACTATGATCAGGAGAACTGGACCTTGTCTTGGCTTAAGTATGCATTTTCTTGTAGGCTGCTGATTATAGAGTCCCTGGCTTTTAAGCCTGATGGTCAAAAGTTTAGGTTCTAGGAAGATAGCTTCCAGGTGTAATAGGGAACAAAACTAGACAGTGGCCTATAGTTAAGAGTCATAATTATTTGTAAATGGTGAAGAGCAAATAGGTTTATCTATTAATGTGCTAGGGCTGCTATAACAAAATATCAGACCAGATGGCTTACACAATGACAATATATTTTCTCACAATTCTGGAATCTGCAAGTCCAAAACAAAGTTATTGGCAGAGTTGGTTTATTCTGAGGCCTGTGCATGGCCACATTCTTCTTGTGTCTTCACATGGTCTTAACCTCTGAGCTTGTCTGTGTCTTAATCTCTTCTTCTAAGGACACCAGTCATCTTGGATTAGAACCCACCCTATTGACCTTATTTTAAGAAAATTATTGCTTTAAAGGCCCTCTCTGTAAAATACAGTCACATTCCCAGGTATTAGGACTCAACATATGAATCCTAGGAGACACAAACAACATTCATAACAACATCTGGTGCAAGTTTGTTGTTGAGTGGCTAAGAGAGGTATGTCTTGTATTGTTTCACAAACCCCAGAGACTCTTAAAGGATTAGGCTATATAAATAGCATTAACCATGTAATCATCTCTTCTATGTGTAAGAATTTCTAATCCCAAATTATTTAGTGTTATAACATCTTGTATCAAGATGGTCCCTAGTGCAATTTTAAATATCACCCAGGATGGAGGATGGCATATTTTTGAGATTATTCACTTTAAACATTTTTAGAACTATTGTAAAGCCACCTTTATAAATGCAATGAAAGCTATACCTGGGCATGCATGCTTTAGCAATTACAAGATTTCATTCTCTATCCTCCCGTGCTTAGATACTTCTGTTTGAGGACAGGGAAGTGGAACAGAAAGTAGAAAGGGCAAGAAAAAATATCAAAATGATAATTTATTTGTGTTGGTGGCCCTGAGGGTTTCTTCGGATAGGTAGATTCATGTAATAACATCTTCTTTCTACTCCTTCTGATAGGTAGATGCATGTAATAACATCGCTTGGAAGCTGCTCCTTAAAACTTGACTCTTTTTCAGTAATGAACAAGTAACATCCACCTTTCAGAAAAGATTTCTTAAGAAAAGAAAATAAACTCCCAGTGTTTGGGCTGGGAGGTGGGTGTGTCTCAAAACAAGTTCTGAAAAATATACTACACTTTGGTTTTTATCAATTCTAAGTATAACTTACCAGGCATTCTCTTCAGCTTATGTTTAAACCCATGTGTATCTCAATGGAAATCCAATCCATATGTTCCTGATTCATTTACACTTAGCTCATCAAAATATTGTTTTGCAAGAGCTATTTGAAGTCCAAAAAGGCTTTGAAAAGCTTTTTTTTCTTAGAAACAGGAAATCAGTTTTTGCCAACTGTAAACAAACACATTCCTCTACTCCCTGTGCCCATATTTTAATTGGAAATTTAGAAGACAGAAGGTTAGAGAGCTCTCTAAACCTGTCCAGAAACAAATTCATCCTCTATATGGCATGAACAGAGAAGTGTATTTACATTTGCTTTATATTCATTTTTAAGTGACCTTTTTCATGTAAATTTCCCTGTAATTGTATAAATACTTAAATTAAGATTTTCTATTTTACCTTAATTTTCATTAAATTCTTATCTCAGTATTCTCAAAATACATTATTTCTCCTAGGAAAATATTGTGCTTAAGCATTTGTCTGATAGAGTTTCAGATAAAATGATACCCACTTAAATTTTCTCCTAAATCTGTGAGTCAGTTTCAAAAACTAACCCTGCTTTGTGTGCTTGGCTTAGATAAATGGTCACATTCATGCCAGAGCTGGTCGTATCATTGTTCTTGGTCAAATTCTTTTGACATTCAGTCAAAGCATGATGAAGGTCTCCAAAATATTATAGAGTAAGATATTAATCTGGTAGATAAGGGGACCCAGGAAAATCACACTCAAATAAAGCACCCAGAACTATCAGCTTATTGTAAGAATTCCAAGTTAAACACATGATCTGTTATTATTCAGCATTTAGAAACACCTGAATCTCTGAGCTTCACTTATAATAATTTGGAAGGAGACCACTGTATGTCCATCCTGATGAGTATTTAATGTAAACCAAGAAGTAGATCCAGGGACTGGTCAAATAGGATAGTGACTCAAACCAGGTGTTGATAATGTAGATGAGCAGCCAGGAGCAAGAGTACCCAAGACCAAGTGCAGATTCTGACCCTGAAAAATATCCATAGTTAAAAGGATGAAGAACCTGAATCAGTAAAGGAAGTCAAAAGTAAGCAATCACATAAGGGCCGGAGTGGAATATCAAAAAGGTAGAAACAGAGGCTGAAATGAATCAACACAATTTAAGACTTTTGCCATGCACAGCCTAGAATGGCAAAAGAATACTATTCCCTTACAAGTGTAGGCCAGATGGCATGTGGATTACCGTGGTTTAAAGCACAGGAAGGCAATCCATGTAGATTGGATGCTACTAGTAGCTTCCTAAGTAAGCCAAATCTCTTCTTCCCTACCAGCCTCATAAGAACCTCCTATGCTGGATTAGGCAGGAGATACAGGGAAGGGAAATTGTATGATACTGGAATGCAACTCAACGTCCAAGCCACGGCTCAATTCAAAACCCAGTAACCAGCTATTTTAAGGATTATTTAGGAATTTAAATGGAAACATTCTAATGAAATGGAAACCCTATGCCATCCATAAGATTCAAATTCTACATTTTATTAACTTGACACTTGTATCATGTGATAAAAATAGCTGATGAATTAGGTTATACCTATCTCCTGCTGAGATTTCTATAAAGATTTCTACCTGTAGAAAAAAGATGTCCAAATTATGAATTGTTAGAGTGATGCAGAATTTTTCTTGGCCCCCTCACTGGACTCAGAGCAAGAGTGCCCCTCTCTGCTTGGCCTGCTGTGCTCCTTTATGGGAGGGAGCATGTGAGAGAGCAAATGCGGGACCCAGCTGGCTGCTCCAGGCACTGACACAGGAGCAAGCTCCATGCAGGGCCTGTGGTCAGACCAGGCATGTCGCCTTGAGGGGAACGTGGTGGTGTCCAGGTGAGGGTACCTGTGACTCCAAAGTCCCAGAGGGGGTGTTACAGTGCTCCTTTAGTTCTACTGTCCTTGGACGGCGGTGTGTTAGCAGCTCATTTGGCCCCTTGCCTCATCATGAGAGGTAGCTGCCCTCTACCAGTGATAGCAAAGGGCCAGTGTGACAGCCTTTCTGGGTACCCACACTCAGTGGGTCTTGAGCTCTTGTCCAGCATCTAAGAAGAATGAGGTCACATGGATGGTTGAAGGATGGTGAAGGTGGAGAATTTTCTTGAGCAGTAAAAATGGTTCTCAGTGTAGAGGGTTGGTGGAGAGAGGATGGGAAGCGCAGGTTGTCTTCCCCAGAGTCAGATTGTTCCTTCCCTGAAGTCAAGCCATCTCCTTTCCTGAAGTTAGGCCATATTCTCCTCTACTGACTGAGCCTGTGGTCTTTATAGGACAGGACGGGTAGAGCATGCTGACGGTTTGTGAGTGTGCACAAAAATTTAAAGCAAAGACACCACTCAAAGGTGGGAATGACAGTATAGAAAACCAATTAGGAAAGGGTAGGTATATGTAAAATAGGTGAAGAGGGGAGATCAATCAGAGGAAAGCATGCCAAACAGGAAGACAAATTCTTAATCTGTTCTGAGTATTTAAGTTTTGGCTTGGCTTTCAGGCTTTAAAACATCTTTGGACTAGAGGTGGGGTTTTACTGGGTACCCACCCCTATCTGCCTATGCATTTGGCTGCCTCCTGTCACTATCAATAGCATTATATATACATATTTTAGGTAAATATGTGAATCAAATGAAAGCTGTATTTAATCTACATTGCCAAAGTATCTAGAGAAAACAATGGTTCACAGAATAGTGACACATGAGGTAGGCATGGCCTCATGTTTGGATTCGGATCAAGCCAGGTCATTTGCTAACTCAAAGGATTGGAAAGACCTTAGAAGTCACGAAATTCAACGTGCTCTGATGCTTGACTGTCCCTCGCCCTTCTCCCCAACCCACATGATCTAGATCTGCTTTACCACTCTCCCTGAGACTGTAAACTATTCATATAGTTTCTCCTGAAGTACACCACTCGATTTTAGAGAACCAAATTCTTAGAAAGGCCTTTCTTGTTTTAACTAAATTATATCTCCCTATAAATATCTTGCTTTACTCCTGGGTCTGCCCTTTGGGTCCAACCAGAAAAACTCTCAAAACAGGGAATATTAGTTTTTATGTTTTTGGCTCTTTGCTTACAATTCAGCTTTTCAGACATTTGTAAATCCTGTCATAAACCTCTTTATTTAGCCCCAGTTTCTTCAATATTTACTCATGTTTTCTAATTGCTGCTAACTTCCCTCTCATCTGGGCCCTCTTCTCTGGCTAGACATGCTCTATTTTCTGATGTAGATTCCCTAACTTCCCATGATGCTCCCAAAATTTATACAACTTCCAACAATTTCTCCCACATCAATGGTTTTGAACTGGGCCAGAATTTCTTCTGATCTTAAAATCCTGTTCTTTGTACCAGGATTTCAGGTCTAATCCAATCTCTGCTGATTTCTAAAAGCAGCAATCTGTCAAGTTTTCACCACCACTTTCTGCTTTCCCTTTCTGTATCACAGGCCCAGTTTTAAACTTCTGTGACTTGTGACTCACATTGGCAATGTCAGGGAAAGACCTCTTCAAGACAACCTGTAAGCTACTTTTGAGACTCACATTACTGCTCAGGATAACACATCACCTTGATAGCAGAGACAAACTTTAATTTGTAATAGCCTTACATTGAACCGAGGCCAAAGTGAATAGTGATGCAATAGCTGTACCCCTAAATTACAGTATGTCCAAATGTGTTCATCCTCGATCAATGTGTTTTGGACAAGCTATAAATGTGTCAGAACATTTTCTCATTATCAGCTTGTCAACTAATCATATTCAACTTTTATTTTCTTATTTATGCAAAAATCCCAGATTGAAGTTCTATGTAATACATAGACAAGGCCAAACTTTATTAACTCCTCTCATATTCTAGTAAATGTCATCTGTGAATGCTCATAAATAACTTTTCAATTGTTTCCAATTCTTGTTTATTTTTCTTTTTTTATTCTCAGATCGAGCTCAGAGACTATTTTTCATGGAGGTCTGGTAATACGCCAAAGTTGGAAGCTATTGTTCAGCATATTTGGTTACTGTTGAGGGAAGGACATTTATAATGCTTTAATTTTACCCTTTACAAGTAAAATCAAAGCTTTGCTACTATGCTTTCTGTATCTCTTCTCTGCATTCCATCTATATACTTATTTTGTCAAGTTATTGACTATCACTTGCATGCAAATCATTAGGTTGGTCATCAGAAATTTTCCTTAGGAAGTGTCATGTTTCCTATCACAAACAATATCATGTTTGATTCCAAAGACTGTTGGCTCAAGTGGAAGAGTGACCTTAAGAGCAGTTTAGTATTGGTCTCACTGCAGATTCTGTTTTCTGTAAAATTTATAATTTATGATTGAAGGCTTCTATGAAACACACTTCTATTTTAAAATAAAATATCTTTTCTTAAAAGAATTCTTGAAACAGATTAATGGTGACTTCATAACACCCATGACTGGGGCCAAAATAAAGACAAATGTCTTACTTGAATAAAATTTGAACTGATCTTAAAAAATTATAGACAGAACTAAGACTCAATCTGGAAAGGATTTAAGAAGACTTGGTTTACATTTCAATAAAATGATCATTATTGGTGATGTTTATATCTACACTTCCTCTCTCTCTTTCTCTCCTTTTCCCTTTGTTTTTTAAGTTGGTTGTCTCCACCCCTTTCCAAGAAGCCAGCAAAACCATGAGTATATAAGGAAAAATATTAAAGCATACCATAGATGTTAAAAAAAATGCTATTTTGCATTTTAGACAAGATTCTATTCAAGTCCCTTGAAAACTTGCATTTTAAGTCTGGCTCCTCTCCAAAAAATTAGGGAAGATTAAAGGTGTGTGTGTGTGTGTGTGTGTGTGTGTGTGTGTGTTTATATATACTTATATATATTATATATAAATATATATACTGAGTATAAATATGGAGCTAAGGAAATATATATTTATATGTATATATTATTAAATATTTATATGCATATTTATAAATATATATATACTGAGTATAAAATATGGAGCTAAGGAGAGGATAAACTTGACAGTTATTAGAAATTGGTCTTTGACATCTGACCTTAAATTTCCTGCTTAAAACTGAAAATCTATGTGCTTGTTACAAAGCAAAAAAAAGTAGAGGTGTTTCCTTTATTTTAATATAAAAATTTATGTTCTGTTAGTGT
Source organism: Homo sapiens (assembly GCF_000001405.40). Lineage (NCBI taxonomy): Eukaryota > Metazoa > Chordata > Mammalia > Primates > Hominidae > Homo > Homo sapiens. The sequence continues at coordinate 226,072,182 of NC_000002.12, read as the reverse complement.
CTCTTGGATTTCCAACCTCTCTAGGGAAATACAGGTTTGGGATTCTTTTTGTTGGTTTCCAAAAAGGTACTATTTTTGATATTGCATTTTATATAAATCTTCAATATGTATCAAAGTTATTGTATCTCAAAATTGCATTGGTTCTATAAAATTTGCCCTGATTCCACTAAGTCTTACATTAAGAGAGCATCATTCAGATGTGCCAGTGTAGAAAGAAGCAAGTGAGCAGACTGATCTTAAATGGCTTAGATGAGAAAGAAAATTAAAGAGGGTGGGTTTTTGTTTAAAGACTGTGGATTGGAGATACGCATTTAGCCAAACTCCCTCTTCAAACCTCCTAAAATGACACTAAAGATACATTAACAATAAAAGGCATACACTTACAAGTATAAAAAGATGGGGTAGGAGATAGAATAAATTATTTGAATACCTGAAAGCAAAGGCCAGTGAAATAACAGACAGGGAAAGGTAATCCTAAATAAGCAGGAGGGAAAGGCTCTAAAGAGTCCCCAGATGATCAGATGACTCTGGAAATGGGAAGGAAGGTGTGGCTAAAAAATAATTGGGTCAAATCCTCTTAAGAGACAGGACGCCCAATCTCTCCCTGACCTCTTCCCCAACTCTGAGTGTTAATAATCATGTCTTTTACTTATGATAGAACAGTTCTGGCAAAGAGTCTCAGTTTCAAAAATTTATGTGATATGATTGGGCTCACCTGGATAATCCAGGTTAATCTCCCCAAGTTAAATTGTTTAATCTTAATCATATCTACAAACTACCTTTTCCCGTATAAAATAACACATTCTCAAGTTCTGAGGATTAGTACTTGGATATTTTGTTCTGGGGTTAAGGGAGTTTGCATAAGTCACAAAGCCACAAGGACTTAAGGAAGGTATTACTTTTAGAAGAATATGGCAGTAATCCCTAAAAAGAATCACATTTACCTAAAATCAGCTATAAGGAGAGGGGACTGACTCTGGAAAGTTGAAAGTAGTTCAGACATTGTGGGGTGATTGCTTGCATTGATTGGATATGGAAAGGGAACATCCAAATATAATGCACAGATTTCTGTGTTGGACACTGAATGGTGAAGCTATTCCTTTATAATCAGAATCATAAGAAAACAGAATAAGTTTTGGGAAGGATGAACATAGTTTAAGGTATGAATTGAGTGAGGAGTCAGGAAACTTTTAGGTAGAAGGCTCAAGGCAAAGACCTCAGCTGGATTTACACATTTGAGGATCATTAGCAATGGCATATGCGTCCGTGATACTAAATAAGATCAACAATGGAAAAGATCTGTGTCTAGAGAACAAATGGAAGAATTTAGAGCAGAACTCAGAGATATATACTATCTGTATTTAAATGACACACAGAGAAAAAAGGAGGTGGAAAAACCAAAGAGTAGATGAAGGTTGGATGAAAACCAGGAAGACATAGGAAGGCAAAGACGTCAGTGGATACTGAGGATTGCCTGTTCTCATGGGCTGTGTGTTATAGTACTGGGCATGCCATTTACCTTAGAAGGACAAGAAATTCAACTGCATGTATATGTAAACATATGCGATTGCGACAGATTTTTCCATAGCTGAGAAATAAGCACTTATTCATTGGTCCTGGAGGTTCTGAATTTTTAAAACTCATTTGTTTAAATTTTACATAGGAAGGGCCTTCTTGCTTCTTCCTGCTAATTTTCTGTATTAGTCCATTTCCACACTTCTATAAAGATACTACCTGAGACTGGGTAATTTATTTAATAAAAGAGGTTTAATTGACTCAGAGTTCTGCCTGACTGAAGAGGCCTCAGGAAACTTACAATCATGGTGGAAGGTGAAGGGGAAGCAAGGGATGTCATACATGGCAGCAGGAAAGAGAGAGAGAGAGGAAGTGTCACACTTTTAAACCATCAGATCTCATGAGAACTCACTTACTATCACGAGAACAGCATGGGAGAAGCTAACCCCATGATCTAATCATCTCCCACCAGGTCCCTCCTTTAACATGTAGGGATTACAATTTGAGATGAGATTTGGGTGGGGACACAGAACCAAACCATATCATATTCTAAACAGTTCTATAAAACGTTGTTTTCTTTTATACTCTTCTCCTGTATTTAAACCAGATACAGGAATTTGTGTTAGTGACATGAAAAGATGTTCAAATTTTATGAAGAATTTAGCTGTGAGATTTCAAATCTGTAGCCGGGAAGACATAGTGTAAAATTTCGATCTACTGACTTGTTTGATCTTCACTTTGTCTCTTTCAAATGAGCCACATTTAAAATTTCTCTCCTAAAAGTACATGCCAAATCACATCAGGAGGTACCCACTTACTTCTCCTATTTTTAAAACCAACTAGATCATTTTACCAGATATTAAACGCTTATTGGGAGCCAATATTGTGTTGAAAACCATGTTGACTGCTTCATTGAACTGAGTCTGTGGTTTTCCCTAAGGCTCCTGATACTGTTGTAGACATGATTCAACACTTCTTTTCAAGTGACTTTCATACAGGATTTAATATGAATATAGAAGTTAGCAAGGTAGTATGATCAAAAGCCTAATCACGTATTGCCATGTAACAATGAAATTTGCATTAAAAATATAGTGAAATCATTAAGGGCCTATGTTGAAACATTTCAAACAAAGATTTACTTCCCAAATTATGAGTAATAGTATTTCAAAAAATATGTGAATGCAGAAGCCTTGTTCTAGTAGTAAGTTGATGTGTGATTTCTAATTTTAGTAATTAAACTATTTTAAGTGGCAGACATAAAATGTGTTAGATTTTGTCAAAATACTGATCCTATCCAAAATAGTACTTTACTTTTTTAAAAATAAGAAAGCTTTGCATAGCTGAGACTCTTTTCTGTATAAAATTTACATTGATTCCTTCGAAAAATTAACAATCTTCATATTTAGACGTTAGAATGGATACTGAAATGGAAATTGCGGCTACAGATAAAGTAGCCACACTGGCATATATGCAATTGACTTGATATAGGCCAAAATGATCATGCACTTCTTTATATGTTCCTGTTGGAGGTATTCTTGCATTTATCATTGCATTGGAAGATCCTGCTAGGATTTTGATAACTGTTTTCTCAGTCACTATCACCAAGCTCTTGGTATCTTGCTATGCCATCAATATGGCACAAAGTCATAAATTCTTGTTACATTTGACCTTAAGAGCCTTTTTCATAATTTCAAAGTCACCCAAAATAAATGAATATCTGAACATTGCAATTTAGAACCTCTTCTAAAATGGGATTGTCTGCCTCTATGTGAGGAACTATCTCAATTTCCTTAAAACAAGAAGATTATCGTTTGGAGAGGGAAGTGAATATAAAGTTAGAAGTTGTAGGTGACCTAAGATGATAACCTTGAACATTTTTAACAGTGGAATTTCTGTTGCTGTCTCTTACAATCTTATGTGTATTTGTCTGCCACTTCCTCTATATTGTTAGTTATTTAAAGGTCCATGGCAGGGTACACCCTGGGTATTGCATTCTTAGGAGAGGTAGATATAGTAGGAGTTGAATAAATATATGTTTATTGATTGAATAATTGAACAATGGATACCTGAATAAATACAAGCAACATTATCAGTGGCGGCAAGATATGGTTTGGGGAAAGAGAAAGAAAAGATATGAGATAAATTATAGCAAATTAAGATAATGAATTTCATTTTAGGCATGCCAGTTATCATCTTTACTTATAAAACACTTTAATATTTACAAAGAATTCTCTCTTTGTGTATAGCATTATTTGATATTCTTAACAACCTGGTAAAGTAATTTGGGAAGATATTATTTCCTCATTTTAATCATAAAAACCTGAAGCCCACTAAAATAGTGGTATCTCCAAGTTCAAAAGGCCTAGGTAGCTGAGTCTCCACTGTTGTTATTAAATATAAATCCATGCTTCATAGTTTCTCACTGACTTTGAGGTAAGAGTGATTAGGTTTTAGGGCAGGTGAAGAAATTAAGTAATTTGCCAGGCACCATGGCTCATGCCTATAATCCCAGCATTCTGGGAGGCCGAGTCAGGTAGATGAAGTCAGGAGTTCGAGACCAGCCTGGCCAACATGGTGAAACCCCATCTCTACTAAAAATACAAAATTGGCCGGGCTTGGTGGTGCACGCCTGTAGTTCCAGCTTCTTGGGAGGCTGAGGCAGGAGAATCACTTGAACCTGCGAGACGGGGGTTGCAGTGAGCCAGGATCGCACCATTGCACTCCAGCTTGGGCAATAAGAGAGAAACTCCATCTCAAAAATAAATAAATAAATAAATAAATAAATAAGAAAAGAAAAAAGAAAAGAAAAGAAATTAAGTAACTTAACCTTAAAAAATAAATAAATAAAATGTCAAAAAAAAAAACTTGAAACAAGAAAATGTATAGAGCAGATTTCAGGTTTCATGCTTGGGGACTCAGTCATTTGAAGATGCTATAAAAACAGGAGAAAGGAAAGACAAAAGAGGGAAGGAGAAAAGGAATGTGAAGGAAAGAAAAAATAAAAGAGAGTGAAAATGTTAACAATGCCAGCAAAGAAAGTACAGTGGTCAGCAGAAAAGAAAGCAAAGAGTAACTGCACAAAGAATACTGTATTTTTAAAATAGATCTATGGAGTTAGAAACCATCAAATTTTGAAATTTTAACACAGTAATTCTCATGAGTGATGCAAGGTCAGAAATAACCAGGTTCATGCACATTTGTGTCTTTCCACAGTGTTAGGCTTTTATCAATGCTATTTCAATCACAAAAGCCGGGAGCTACATGGAGTTTCCAAAGAGGCAATTCTCCTTAGTAATTCCTGTTCACTCATTAGTCAGAGCCTATGGCACACAGGCTCAAGCCATTTCATAAGTCAGTTGATATTGCAAACCATACATAATAGTACACTTAATCAACATACAAACAAACGTTATGGATTAAACAGTCCATAAGGGAATGGGAAAAGGAACCAGTCCAGGGAGAGCGAAGTAGACAAAAAGAATCTTCTGGTCTGGGCCAGGTAGTCCATTGGTCTTGCAAGGAAGAATCTTTGATGTGGGCAGAGCTCTCAGCGGCAGATCCTGGTGCTTATCACAAGTAACGGCAAGACTATGTCAGTCTGTTCTTTTTATAGCCACAGAGTTGTCTAGTGAGGACTGATAGTGGAAGAGTGTGCTTGGTTATGTCCTTATCTGGTTGGATGCTGTCTTTATTTATTAACCAAAATATCTGGTCCCTGTTGTCAAAGTGCCTTATTAATGTAAGATGGAGTCTTTTCTTAAGATGGAGTCTTTTCTTAAGATGGAGTTACTTATGTCAAGGGTGCACTATACAATGGTGGTGAAGGTTAGGAAGAAGAGCAATATGTAAAAAAAAGATTTCTTCTTTAAGTTGGTGGCTTTATAGATTAGCATGTTTGGGAGATAATTGGGTTGAGTTTGAAACTTGGCCTTAGACCTTACTAGTTTTATAACCCAAAAGGAGTTGTTAAGCCTCTCTCTTCTTCAATTTCCTCCTTTGAAAAATGAGAATGATCACAGTAACTGCCTTAAACAGTTGTTATGAGTTTTAAAGAGGCTTATGCAAAACAGCCTTGCAAAGATCCTTGGCACGCAGTCAGCACTGTACCACTGGAAGCCTTGACTAGGAATTTTTACTATAAAGGATGCGTTATTTGATTGAGAACGAGGACTGCTATGGACTGAATTGTGTCCCATCCAAATTTATATGTTGAAGCCCTAACCCCAACATGATGGTATTTGGAGATGAAGATTTGGGGAGACAATTAGATTTAGATGAAGCCATGAAGGGGGGCTCATCCTCATAATGAGATTAGTGACTTTATAAGAAGAGGCCCTAGAGAGTTTACTTTCTCTTTCTCCCTTTTCACCTTGTGAGGACACAGCACCTACAACTTAGGAAGAACCCCCTCACTGAGGAATTGAATCTGTAGGCATCTAGATCTTGGACTTTCCAGCCTCCAGAACTGTGAGAAATAAATACCTATTGTTTAAGCACCTGGTCCCCGGTATTTTGTCGTGTCAGCCTGCGTCTGTGCAGACAGATACAAGAGCTTTGTGCAGATCTTTTTATTTATATTTAAAAGTAGAAGGGCAGAAACTAATGGGGAGAATGAACAGGAAAATACTTGTGAGACAGGTGATATGTCTAAATAGTCTTTTGTGGACTCCCATTTTCTAATTTGCAATTCACAAATTGTATTTTAACTCACACATAGGGCAGGCAACTAGTAGATTAGAAGTGGTCTTGTTTTGTTTTGCTTTGCTTTACTCTGTCTTGTTTTAGACATGGGCCTCTTGCATGTGTAACAAAACAATGCCCTATTTTTTATTATAAAATTGAATATTCATTACCTCTTTCTTGCTGCAATTATGATTTAGATTGGAGATGATGAAACAAAAGATAGAAGTTGGTGCCATATATCTCACCTTTCTTAATGCACAATAGAGATTTCTAATAGATGGCAGGAACTCTGATTTTGCAAATATGTTTATATCTGTTTTATGTTACTGAAATTGCAGAGTAAAGAGTGTCTTTGATTTAAAAGAGCAGAGAAAAGAAAATAAGAAATTAGCAAAGGAGGTAGAAAGAACAGAATGGAAGGCAGGAGGGAAATATCTATTCCTTTTCATGATTTCTTCTAAGCTCTCTTTACTATTTTTGCCACTTCTCTTGTCATCCACTTAACTAGTTCTGCCTCCAAGTACATGATGAAGTGAGAATCTATTAGGCTGGAAAATCCCAAGGCACAACTGGCTGTTCTGCATTCACAATGTGAGCTGACTGTTAGTTATGGCCTAGCTGAAAATGACAGCAATTCTCATAAAGGCTATGGCTTTTTGATATAAAGCCAAGAGTATGTTCCCCTGCACAGAGCTGCTTGCTTTCTCTGGCTACATCTCTCAAATAATTCTGGAAGCATAAAATTTAAGTTGACTTTTAGAAGTAAAGGTTGATGCTAGGTCACAGGATGCCTTGTGAATTGAACAGTGGTTTTATATACACACATACACACACACACAGACACACACACACATATATTATATATAGTATATAGGAACTATTATTAGCTTGGGGCAGTGGTGCACACGTATATTCCCAGCTACTCAGGAGGCTGAAGAGGAGGATTGTTTGGGCCCAAGAGTTCAAGGCTAGCCTCAGCAACATAGTAAGACCCTATCTCAATAAAAAGAACTATTATTGTTGCTAATAATAGTGAGGAGTAGCTATTGTTATTAATATAAAGAGTGATATGAGAACCGATTAGCTGTGTGAATATAGAATATGGACATTGTATTAGTTCATTCTCCCACTGCTATAAAAGGAATAGCTGAGACTGGGTAATATATAAAGAAAAGAGGTTTAATTCGCTCACTGTTCCACAGGCTGTACAGGAAGCATGGCAGCCTCTGCTTCTGAGGAGGCCTCAGGGAGTTTTACTCATGGCAGGAGGCAAAGTGGGAGCAGGAGCCTTACATGGCAGGAGCAAGACGGAGGTGGTAGGAGGTGCTACACCCTTTAAAATGACCAGATCTCATGAGCACTCATTCACTACCAATTGCCTACCACCAGAGCCCACCTTCAACACTGAGGATTATAATTTGACCTGAGAATTGGGGAAGGACACAGATCCAAACCATATCAAGCATGAAGATCAGTCACTCAGCCCTGAAAAGGGTAGGTAGAAGGTGGAATGGGCAGACACACACACACACACACGCGCGCGCACGTGTTTATATGTATATTACCATGTTCTATGGAGATGTCACACACACATCCATTATACAGAAGACTATATATATATGTGTGTGTCTGTGTGTGTGTGTGTGTGTTCTCCTGTATATGGATGCGTGTGTGTGGCATCTCCATAGAACATGGTAATCAGAACTCTTATTTCTTCAGCATAAGTTCTAAGTTAAGAGCTTTCTATCTCTTAATCCTTTTGCATTCTGTTAAGAAAATGGATTCACTGGCTGGAATTTACAAATTCTTTAGTGTGTTCCAATTGTGTACCCTCTTTCACCTCTTTTTTGATTCAAGTGAATCAGCATTTGAATTATTGCTAAAAGGAGACTAAGTGAGGATCGGGCATCCTGACAAGTGTGGACATGAAAGAGGTTGGGAAAGTACAAGGGAGTCAGGATATCACTTAATCATGGATAGAATGGGGGGATTAAGGGCTGAGTGATGGCAGGACGTTTATTTCAATTGCAGGCTTTAACCATCTGAGACTCTGGGCTGGGAAGTAGCTCCCAGAGATCAATCAGTCCATCCCTCTGCCTCTGGGCAGAACCACACCTAGGTAATTCCAGACAGATGAGATATACTTCCACTGGGATTGCTCCACAACTGAGGCCTTACCAAAAAATACTCCTGCACTTGAATTACAAATGACTCATGAGCTTCAGAGTCATGATGTTGCTGTCATTTATAGCTTAATTAGTACCCTTTAAACCACATCATATTTTACTACATTTCTCATTGTCAGTTATAACTAATGGAAATAGCCCAAGCCATAAATGATTTTATTATTTAAAATATTAAAAGGAATAAGCCAGACACACAATGTTGGTTTCACAAATTATAGTAGTAAGATTTGTTTCAAACAGAGACAAACTATATACAAATGCTCAAATGCTAAACCTAGCCCATACTACTTAAAATGATAGAGAAATGAATCAGTTCCATTTTTATTAGTAATTATTAGAAGTCATAATGAATGAATTTATTTTAAAAATTAAAATACATGAAAAATATTATAAGAAAAAGCGAGCGTCCCAGCATTATTGTTTATGCTAACAATGCTTTATAAAGGAAAATAAGATAGTCAAGCTTATCTATTTATCTATTACCTATATATCATCTATCCATCTATTTAATCTATCTTTCAATATACATTTACGTCCATTTTTAAAATTCTAGGTCAACTACTGCTTTTGCTTTTTTGTCCACATCCTCACTAGCATTTGGCCTTATTTATTACTTAAATAAACTTTGTTCTTTATGAGCAGTTTTAGGTTTACAGAAAAATTGAGCAGAGAATACAGAACACAGACATTTCTCACATACCCACTCACTCCTGACAGTAGCACTGTTAGCACCTTGGATTTACGCCATTTTACTATGTTTGTAGTGGTATCTCATGTTTGATGTTGATTGTCTTTCATAGGCTTATTTTCTATGTGTATATCTTCCTTGGTGAGGTGTCTTCTCAAATCTTTTGCCCATTTTGTAATTGGATTGTGTGTTTTCTCACTGACAACTGTAATATATAGGGCTTTGGTAGTATGGCCATACGGTACTGGGGGAGGAGAAGCCTTCTATACTCCTGTCATTAGGTCTGTCTTTTAGTCTTTTAGTATGCCTGTGCCTCCACACTGTAAACTGGATTGTGAACACACATACCCTCTCCCTCTCATTCCCTCACCTCCACCTTAGGTGGGATAGGTGGAAAGAGAGGGCTGGAGTTGGGTATTTCTCTTCCCCTTCCGCAAATCAGTTAGGCTTCAATAAAACCTCCGTAGATTAGCTCTGGTAAAGTAGTTTCTCTTAAGGGTAGACCCTGTCAAGAAAAGTAGAATGCCCTGATATATTTCAAAATGGCTACTTTTCCCTTTCCCTTACTGGAAGCAGGAGGGGATTTTTCTCAGATCTTCACTGTGAGAACCTAATAGGGTTTCTGGAGGTAAAACTCATACAAGTGTGTAGCCCCCAGAAGACTGGCCCCTCCTAGAGACTTTAACTCTCAGACTTATCAACACTGAGCTCCAGCAATTTGTCAACTATAGTTTAGGTTTTCCTTCCCCCTATTGGTTCCCTCAAAGGTTTCTGCTCAGTTAAGTTGTGATTCTTTGTATCTGCCTGTCTTTTCAATTTGGGAGGTACTGGTTTGACCTGTGAACTCAATTATCTGGCAGATGTAAGAAAAGTTGTCTATTTTCAGTAGGTTCAGTTTTTTCCTTGTTGTGAGGATTCCAGCGATGCCTTCTAAGCTTCTTACATGCTGGACTGGAAACCAGAAGTCACTGAAATATTTGTTTTTAATGCTTATGATAGAAATCCATCTTGGTCTTCCATTGGATTTATTAATAGTCTCTCACTCATATTTGCTGTTTTCATTTATCACAGAGCCTTTAAATCATGGTATTTTCTTGTCAACAATAATTATTTTGTTCTTAAATTTCATAAAGTAAATTCTATTGAAGTAAATTTCATAAAGAAAATCCTATTGTCATCGGCATGCATTTTTGTCAATCAATATTGTCAAAATATTTTAATAATATTAAGGCCTAACGGTATCTCAAGAAGATACAAATTTTCTCTGAGTATGTTTTAATATTTTCGGATTTATGTTAAATACATCTGTGCTATAAATCTACTTAGGATTGTAGAAACTCTCAAACCACAAATAAAACTAAAACAAACTACTAACAAACCTGAACTAGTGAATTTGTAAGCTTACAGTAAAATCATAATCATGATGTAGTGAAAAATGAGAGTATAAAAATATATTAATTTCCTGTTTGGTGTCTTTTTTTTATTTCTGTAATTGATCACTTAGATTGCTGTAGTTGCTAATTGAATTATATTTAAAAATATATACACTTTATTTAGATCAGTGGAAGCTGTGAGCTATGTAGATGATGACATTATCCACCTTGTTTTCTTTTTATGAATGATTTGTAAATTTCAGCAATCATATTTTTTGTCTAATTGTAGTCTATATATCACCACTTCCTCTTCAAACAGCATGTTTCTGTCTGTTGGAATTTCATACCTCTACACTTACTTACTCACTTCACCACTGAGGATAATAAATATGATGTAGAGCTTAAGGTTATTTTCCCTCCTGGTTTGCCTTTCCATTGGTAATAAAAAAGAAATAACAGTAACTTTTAAAAAAAAATTAAAAATCTACTTGTTCGTTAACTTAATGAATGAGAAAAAGATAGTAATTCTCTGTTTCTTGCCCCCTACTTTTCTGCAATTGATAATTCACTTTTAAATATCTGCTGATATAAAAACAACTTTTATTGAAATGGCTAACTTACAAAGCATTTCTTAAAATGATTGTGAGATACTACATTCATGTTCATATAAAGCAATCACTTCCATTTTTAAGTTATAGGTGTAAGGCTAGAGCCTAAAACATTACACAGGTACTATAGATGGATTTCTAGGTTGATACAAAATATTTAAATATATATTTTAAAAGTTGATGACACTGTCTTCAAACTTCTAATTTCCATTAATTGTCATGTGGAACAAGTTAACCAAGAGCTGAATGTATGGAGCAGCTGAAATTGTAGAAACATACATATGATATGGTAAGAGAAAAGATCCTGCCTTCCCACACGGAAGTCATTGAGAATCAGTGGGAATATCCTCAGCTGAAAAAAAAATCCATGTCCTAGAATTAACAAGAGTACACATGTTTTACAGTTTAAGAAAGAGCAGCTAACACATCTATGTAATTTGATTACTGGTGAAATAAAGTCTATGTGATTTTATTATTGGTGAAAGGCTATCCCCGTGCGTGTGTAGTATGTGTGATGTCAACACCTATGAGACAGATAACTAACTGATAGAGAAACTTAGGGATGTTGAAGATTTACAATTTGTATCATAAAGTTTTGCTGTGGAGGGAAGTGATATAAATAAACCCTTGATTGTGAAATATAACTGTAGTGCACAGATCACTTTGGTTCATGGGAGTTCAAAGGGTTTACTTCAAAAGAAAACTTTATTCTTGGTTTGAACAAATAAGTCTTTATATGAAGACACATTCAACCAAAGGCATTTGGCACTGCTAACTTTAGGTTATTTGGTTCCACACTGACTAAATTGTAAGTCAAATCTCCCCAGGAGCTATGCTTTGGACTTTTAGAAAAACAAAAGTATTCTGTCTACCTTGTTGATGGCACTTTTTGGGGGCCTGATCCACACACACACACACACACACACACACCAAGCACTCTACAGTTCATAAACATGACTCACGGTTCTCCCTGTTCCTCAGTTACCTTGTCAGTTGCCTGGTTCTCCTTTCTTTGCTATGCTTATATCTGAGCAGCTGCTGTGCCAATCTCATTTTTGATTCTTCGATGATAATAGCAATAAGAGTAAATGATTACTTAATGCTCACTACATGCCAGTCTCCTAAGTGCTTATATGTATTAACTCTTCTAATCCTTAAGACGAAAGAGACAAATACTATTATTGTCACTCTTTTACCAATGAGTAACCATCTGAGGCAGGTTCCATTATTGCCCCCATTATACAGATGTAGGTACTCTTAGTACCCCCATTTTACAGATCAGTACACTATAGCACAGGCAGGTTAAGTAAGTTTCACAAAAGTTACACAGACTGATAAGTAACAAAAGTAGGGTTTGAACCCAGGCATTCTCTGTCCTTAGCTTCTGCTCTAACTTCTACATGATGGAACCTCAATCTTGCTGCTGGCTTTTGAATGTTGTTGGGCGACAGAGCGAGACTCTGTCTCAAAAAAAAAGAAAAAGAAAGGAAGAAAAGAAAAATACCAGTTTGCCTTCTCTTCATTGATGCAATCATCAATGTGTACAAATATGTGTGTGTGTGTGCATGTGCGTGTGTATGTACGCACATGCCTGTACATGCCTGCATGTGCGTAAGGGTTAGAGGAGTTATGGGAGGGGTATAGGATTTTGGAAAGCTACCTTTTACAAATACCAAGAACTCTAATAAACAGTAGTTTAAGAGTGTCGAAGTATATCTGATTGCTATGGTTTGAATATTTGCCCCCTTTAAGTCAGGTTGAAATTTAATACCCAATGTGGCAGGATTGAGAAGTGGGGCCTTTAAGGGGTGGTTGTATCCCGAGGGCTCTGCTATCATGAATGGATTAACAAATTAATGGATTAATAGGTTATCTTGGGAGAGGAACTTGTGGCTTTATAAGAAGAGTAAGAGATACCTGAGCTAGCACATGAGCACGCTCAGCTTTCCCATCATGTGCTGCCTTTTACCACCTGGGGACTCTGCAAACAGCCCCCACCTGAAAGAAGACCCTCATCAGATGCAGCCCCTAGACCTTGGACTTAGCCACAATAACCATAAGAAATAAATTCCTTTTCTTTATCAATTACCTTGTTTCAGGGATTCTGTTATAAGAACAGAAAACGAACTAAGATGCCACGTCTTTCACAGCCCAGATTCAAGTACAACAAGAGCTTAATATTGTCTTAACGATGTTTTCAATGTTTCAGTCAGCATGATTATTGACATTGTTCTTTTCATGTGCTTTTAAGAACTATTTCTGTTTCTCAAATAGCTCCAAACTTGGGAGCAAAAGAAAGGGTCCTACAACTTAGTGCAGTCTTGCCATAGTGTTCATGTTCTTGGTTATCTTTATTCTTCTGCACCAGGTATTCCAGGTGTTACAGATGAAAGGTCAAATATGTGTGGTGGGTTAGAGGAAATGTGCAAAGAAGCTCATTTGACGTGTTTTCTCTAGCTCAGGAAGGAGTCCTGAATGATTCAGCTTAGCTCAACAGAAATCTCCACTGGACTAGAACTCATACCTAATGGTAGTCAGGGTAGTCATTTTCCAGGTGAATTCTGTAAATGTGATTTCCTCAGAGACCTCAAGTTTAGGGCAGGATAGGGAGGGTCCGGTCAGCTCTCTCGTTCTCTGGAGTTAGAGAACAAAGGGAATAGGTTGAGAGCTTAGTCTTCTGCAGCAGCTCCATGTTTAAATCCCGGCTCTGCCACAGTTGAGGTTTAGCTTATGCAGCTAAACACCCCTGTTTCCTTCAGGGCTCATATTTATATGTCATAAACTCCATGGCATGAACACAGAGGAATGAGAAGATCAGTTTTATGTATGGTAATGGTTTAATGAAGGACCTAACTGACTTATGCATCAAGGAAGAAATTTGCAATTATCCTGCCTTCACCTGAGTTGAAGATAAACACCTCCTTCTTCTTTTCTTCCCAGTTGAGCCAAAGCAAACTGACAGCATGACCTGGGGAGGAAGTTAGAGCACAAAGAGGAGACTAAGGAGCTGGGCAGGGTCAGACTGTATCTGGTGTGCTCAGTATAGGAAGTCAGAAAGCAACTGGCAAGTGTAACCAGCATGGGGAACAAGCAAGGTTCCCCGAGGGTAATTCAGTGCAAGTACATTGTTGTCTCTCACTGCTCCCTTTAAATCTCTTCATTGTAAAGAAGCTCTTCCTCTGCCCCTGATGGAAATTCAGGGATTACAAACTCAGGCAAGTGCATGCCTCTTACGCTCACTCTTATCTTATGTAATCAAAGATCCTATGGCTTCTTTCAGTGGCAAACAGTCTTAATTTAGTATTGAGACTGCTATTAGTTTTAATGGCAAAAATGCAATTATTTTTGCACCAACCTAATTGCAATTGCTCAATATAACATGTTAATTTATAATCCAATATTTATTGAAGGGAAAGATTTTCACTTCACCTATCCTGAGCTGGTAGCCTGTAGTCCTGCCTTTTCCAAAAGCTAAGCACCTTCTCTCTTTATTGCTCACCTCCTCACCACTCCTTGGCTGCTGTTGTGAATGGCTTCAAGATTAACAGTGGGGGAGGAGTTAAGGGGAGGGACAAGAGATAAAGAAGGTTCTTATGTAACTGATAATGAGAACATGCTTCATGCTCTGAGGTCTTGGCAGATTTTTAAAACTGTCTCCACCTATCATGGGAGCTTTCCTGAGTTTCTCAGCATTTCCACTGGAGTAGTCAACTGTGCTTTCTATGATACAGGTGTTGCAACTTTATCTCGTCCTCTGGACTCCCATTAGCCTCTGGTTTCTGACAGTCCTTTTACATCATGTCTCACTGTTGGTCCTATCATTCTTTAAGATGGTCTTTTTAGAGAATGTCAGGTGTCTCTGTCCTTGCATGGTCCATCTGTAGACAATAAGAAAAACTCCTGAATTATTGTAGAATTGTAGCTAACTCAAACATAGCTGAGCACTCTTTTTATGTCCTACAGTTTACAACTAATAGCTGTAGATTCTTGCCTTTAGACTCTTTCGGCTTTTGTCAGGCACACGTCCACTATATACCACCAAACTCCTGGCTATATTGAAGCTTATGTCTTGTAATGAGGGGCAAAGAGTTGGGTTGGAAGATGGACTCACAGCACTCTGCCAATTACCCAATAATTTCTTTGAAAAGGAAAGATCTGTTCTGATCATCATTGCCTTGATCATCTTATGTATTTCGTATAGAAGATATACATTTTATATTCTCACTGCTCTCGGTCACCTACTTTGAATTACTTATAAGCATGCCTGCCTTATCCCTTCTATTGTTGGCTTGGTTCAATTTAACATCCAGTTTCATGAGCTTGTTCCTTTTGTGAGCAGAAAAATAAAAAAAGAGAGAGAAGAGAAAGAAGGCATTGTTTTTCTTTGGAAGCACCCACAGCACTGGGAACAAATGTGATTCCCATCTCCTTTTCCCAAATGGAAGAGATGGTAAAGATTGAAGAAGAAGGAAGCTTCCTTATCACCACTTCTGGGCTGGGAATCCTTCCTAGGTAGAAAAATTCCAAGAGGAAAGGGCATCAAGCAGTTGCCAGACTGATGGTTTTCTACCCAGTAGCTACTTTTCTCCTTTCTAATAAATTTGATTTTGAAAGGGGCAGCAATAAGCCCCATTTAGAAAATAAACAAACATGCAAACAAACAAACTTGCATTTCTTAGACTTATTTGCATAATGGGTGAATAAAATCCACCTTGCACTTGTTGACTTGGATTTCTGAAAAAACAGTGCTTAAGAGC
Organism: Homo sapiens; assembly: GCF_000001405.40. Taxonomy (NCBI): domain Eukaryota; kingdom Metazoa; phylum Chordata; class Mammalia; order Primates; family Hominidae; genus Homo; species Homo sapiens. The sequence continues at coordinate 226,056,372 of NC_000002.12, read as the reverse complement.
CTATTCAGCCATTGGCACTTCCCTTCTGCCTCCTTCCAGCCTGGACTACTAACTTGCCACTAGGGTTGGAGCAGCCATCTTGAAACAATAATTTAACAACCAAAAGAATCATAGGGCTTTCCAGTTGATGTTCCCAAGTCTTAAATACCTGTTTCCAGACTTCTTGTTACAAAAGAAAAATGTCAACCCTCATTTGTTTAAGTATTTTTTGGTCTCTTTTACAGCCAAATATTTTTCTTAAATTATGTAGTAGCTGTGAGACTTTGGGCAGGTTTTATAATATCTGTGGACCTCTGTTTCCTTATTTGTAAAACGGAAATTTTACCCATCTCAGAAATATTTTGAAGATTAAAAAAATACCATGGATGGAGAGTGTTAAGCATAGTTCCTGGTGTACTATAGTGAATAAATATAAAATTACTACTTCTCTCCATATAAGTATGACTATTTCTCAAATCCAATTTAGATTCTAAATCAGGAAAATATAGGCTGTGGATGAGAAGAGTGGAGTACATTTTTAAAAATCACTGTAAGTACATTAGAGTTTTTTTCTTATTAACTCTTATTTGTAAACTTTGGGGAAAAAAATGAAGATGTACCCAAGTAAGTCAGCCAAATCCATTCCACATAATTCTGTATAACAAAAGCAGATTATTTGGATGAAAGAAGCTTATATCTTAAATTTTAGAAATTATGGGGGTTATTTGAATCCATTCTAATTCAAGAAGATTTTTTCATTATCATATTTACTTTTGTAAATGTAGATGTGATGTGATAAAATTATAATATTTCTAACTGAAAATCTCATCTTCCAACAAATGTACACTGCCACAGATGGTAACTGCCTTGGCTGTGGCCACATAGGTTAACATATATGCATGTGGATGTGTGTATATCCATGAATATATGCCTATAAAATTTTGGGTTGAAATGAGATCCCTTGTCTATTAATACTTAACACACGGTACTTCTGAAACAAGGCCCTAAAATCAAGGGAAGACGATGACTTGTTATTAACTCTCATGCTTACCAATTAACAACTCAAGCAAATGCTAGCTTTCTCCCCAGATTTAATCATTCCTTTCTTTCTTTTTTTTTTTTTTTTTAACTTTGCTTGGTTTCAGAATCCTCTAGGAGTCCTACCATGAAACCTTCATGTCCACGGCTTAATATTTTATACCATCTTGTTGTCAAACACTTTTTAAGGCTTACTTCTACAGAGTACCCTCTTCCTAACTACTGACTTTAGCATTGACCTGCATCTTGCTAGGCAATTGCTGTCCATAGTTGGAAAAGGTCGTAGTGAAAAAGATTATGTGCCATGGTCAAGAACTTGTAAAAATTTCCTTAATGCCTTCTTTTTCATCTTTAGGCCTACCAAGGATGTAGATACTTGATTCTTCCATAACATACACAAACAAATGGTTATAAGTCAGCTATTAAATCTTTTCATCAATATCATTCTTAAGGTCTTTATAATGGAAACTTAAATTTTCCATTGGCACCTAAGGTATCAAATAAATCATGATATCTGATTCTAGAGAGCTCTGGGCTTGAAAGGCCTTGGCAGGACTCATGTCACGGATGTGTAGTCTCACGCAGGGCCCTGCACTGGGCTTTAGTTTAATGCTCTGCTGTCATCATCTTGAAATTTTTAATTTGTGAACAAGGGCTCAGCATTTTCGTCTTGCACTGGGCCTTGCAAATTATGTAGCTGGTCCTGGGCTCAGTTTTTGACTACTTCTATTCAGTTGGAACCATAAGTTCTCTTACAATCAGTTGATTTTCAGAGGCTAAGTCTCTGGCAGTAAAGTTTCCCAATGGACTTTCTTTCTATTTTAGGATTCCAATATTACATTAGCAAACAAGTCCTTAGGGCTTTGGATTTATACCAGCGTTTTATAATTGACTTTGTCTTTTACAGTAAAAATAAAGTTTGTGCATCTGCCTATTATTTAAAACCACCTTCTGCATGGTAACAATTACTTTATTTTAAACAGATTCTCTTAATTTATATAAAGCATTTTTTCTCTTCTTTCCTCTACACATCTAAGAGTCATATTAATTGCAATTCCAATTTAAAATATACTAATCAGTGTTTCAAAGAAGATAAAAATACTGAATTTTTTCTTGCAATTTAATTAAATATCTTTGATTCAGACTCTAAGCGCAGTGTGTAAACTGAGATTGAATTTGGATTCTACAAGTGTATGTGTTCATGTATTACCTTAAGAGGGAAATAATTTGAGATGCAAAAATAACTGAAATGCTAAAAATAATATATTTTTATGGACAGAGAGCTAATATAGGATTGTTAGATATTAAGATAAATTGCAAGGTTCTATTTTCTCTCAATTGGTTCCTGAGTGAGATAGATTCATTCTTTGGAAAATGTACAGTATAAATCAATATCACTAATATTGTGCAAGTCCATAGTGGCTTTGATACTCTGGTTTTCTAAAGACTTTTAAGAAATTGATGCAATTTAATCTCTATAGAAGTATTTAAAAAAAAATAAAAGCTCCAGTGGATAGTGATTAATATGAAAGGGCAGTTGAAGGTAATGTGTCTTCCACTGAAACCCATCCCAAGCAAACAAGTAAAATAAGTAAACTGTAAGTAACATGTTACAAGTTCGTACTACATGGTCATTTTAAGGAACAATGCTTTGATTTATCCCAACAAGGTGTTTTATTTGTCTTTTGTTTGCTTTGTTTTGTTTATATGTAAAAGTTTCCAGCATTTCTTTTTTAAATTAATTCCAGTTTCTATCCTCTATCAACTGCATGCTAGTATCTCAAAAACAGTTTTTGTTTTTGACAAGTTTTCATTTTTGTTCTTTTTAGTTCTCTTTTGCTTCTCTCTTCTGTTTCCAATGAGCTTCACCCTTTTGGTGAGTTATCTCCTGACGACTTTCCATGCTTCAAGACTTAACATTTCCTCTCCCAGGGGGAGGTAAAAGGTGGGTGTTTTTCAGCCTTAACACCATGGCTCCCTTTGTTTTCTGTTTAGGAGCTTTATATTATCCATGAAGTTTATGCTGAATATCCAAACAGCATCCCTACGTGAAGCACAAGTTACGTTACCTTATTTTCTGTGGTCTCTAATTGACCTTACTTATGTGCTCCATCTCTAAAATGAGTTGCTTAATATTTGTGGAGTCATCAATTCTTTTGAGAGTCTGATAAAAAGCCATGGTTTCTTGCTCATTTCCAGATGCTGCATACAATTTCAGGAGTTCACAGGCCTATGAGGCCCATTCATGAACCAAATATTACAAACACCTGCTCTGATCTATTGATTTGTATTTTACAGATACTGCACTATGCATCGTTTTTCAAGTATGATCGACTTTGTGTCACTGGCCTTTGCTATCCACTCTGCCACCTTCTTTACCACATCCTTTCATTTTCAACTTTCATTTCTGATGTTCTTACCCAGAGGTCCTTTTATTCTTGGTATGTTCTTGCCCTATCGACTTCTCATAGTGAAATATAAAACAGGCATGCCCTCATTTAGCCAATATCGATTGAGTGCATTTTACATGCTAAGCATCATGAAGTGTGCAAAAGTAAAACTGAAAAGACTAGTTATATATTAATGATAATTGATAACTTTAATTACTAATATTGAGTGAATATATTTTATTTTCCAAAAACTATGCCAAATACATAATTATCATCCTTCATCCATTGTTTGTTTTTCTTCCTCCTCCTCTTCTTGTTTATCCTCTGTTTTTTCTCCTTCCTCTTCTTCCTCTTCCTTATCTTCCTCCTTCTCTCCCTCCTTCTACACATCATCACTTCTTTTTTTATTTAAACAGATAAGTTAACCTAAGTTTAAAGAGGGTAGATAACTAACTCAAGGTGTCAGCTACAAACTAACAGACCTTGGCTTCAAACTCAGTTTTCTCTAGCTTCAGAGCAGGCACTTTTAATGTCTTTATGCATCTCAGATAGTCTCTGGCTCTCGTTTAGCATAGTAGTGGAGAATATCTTTGGATGTGTGAATTTACCCATCCATCCACTCATCTACATTCACCTATAATTAATACAAAAGAGGAAGAAGAAAAATTCATAACATCCATATAAAATTATGTGAGCATTAGGAAAAGCCAGGAATTACTTGGACTTTTCTTCATGGAAGAAGTAGCATTTGAAACATGCCATAAATGATACTGAGACCAAATAGGAAATTGTATGGGAAAACTGTGAAGGCTGGGGAACTTGCAGAAGTGCATGCACAAGAAATGATTGGCAGTTTGACTTGGCTAGTGTAGAAAACGTGGAAAGTAGAATTAGAAGAAAAAATAAATATCAGAAAGAGTTATAGGCCAAATATCAGAGAACTCTGCATTCCAGGAATAGGGGTATGACCTAATTTTAACAATAGAAAATGAAAGAGGATTTTAAACAGAAAAAGGACATAATCAGAACTGTGTTTTTAGAAGATGACTCTGGCTGGCTGTGACCAGGAAGATGAGCAAAGGGTAAAGACTGAAGATGTGTGCTCATTCTTTTGACTGTGTTTTTTAGATTAAGACAAAAGTAATAAACTTTTCTATCGGAAGAGGCTTCGTATTGGGAGATCTATATAACTAATACTAAGAATAATTGAAGTTTCAACTACTTAAAAGGCTCAGTGTGTTTCATCCTTTTTTCTGACGGTAGTTATACATTCACTCATGTTAATCTTCTCCTTCTTCTTTTGTTTTGTATTAGCTCTTGTAAGAATTGCTTTCTAAGGCTATCTGTGTAGGGCCATCTTCACCACGGCATTTTTGATGACCTTTCTCTTCTACTCACTTTACCCCATCCATTGCTTTTCTTTTATTCTTATGGTTCTAGGTTCAGAGTTGTTGATACATGTTTTAACTTCCCTTGGAGACAATAATATGCTTATTTGTTGATTATTACCCTTGTAATCTGCTGAGCTTTGCCTCACATCAGCCCATCTTCCACCATATTTTTTCACCATCATATTGCATTTATCCTTCATATGTTGCAGATTTCTTTATAAACTGATCAACAGCCTGGAGACCCTGGCCTTTGCTGTAGCCTTCATGTGTGAGGGCTGGGATTGTGAGACAAAGCCTATGTGGGTAGGCCCAGGAGTTTATGTTTACTGACAACTGTGTTAGGATGAAGGCAATACCTGTCCTAGCAAGTAATGAAAGATGTTGGTGGATTGAAAAGCAGGATTCTATCAGGAATCAGATAGATCTTCAACAGAGATGGGACAAGGTCTGAAAACAAGTGAATATGTTTGCATGGCTCATGAGAAATAAGAAATATAATAATAACAAGTAGATAACAATAATAACCACACAATAAGCATGGTTAGGTGCTTAGTCATTTCCCAGGGCGGGGCTGTAATCTGTGGAGGGCTTCTTGTTTGCCGATGGGTGATCCTCGCTTAGAGTTGTGGTGTTAGGGTCATCATCCTAATTCTTTGACTGTATGTTACCGTCTCTTTCCTCTTTTGTGGGATTTAGGGACACCGCTAATCATTTGGATAAAACACCATGCTTGCATTATCTAAAGATCTTGTTGCATATTCTGAAGTTTCATAGGGTATGCATCCTTTTTGAAGACCCAGAAGAAAAAATTGTGATGAATCCAGATTTCTCTCATCCAAGTTCAACATGGTTATCTCCATGATGTATTGAAGGGTGTACTGTTACTTTTCTGATAAAACTTGATTTTCATTAAAAGATTGATTGCACTAATGTAATTCATTATTACTTCTTACTTATTTTTCTCTTTCAAATTGTTTTTTTGGCCTCTAATTCTCATATCGAGTAGAAGAAAAAAAGCAGATATACAGGAGATAGCTTGGGGTCTAAAAGGTAGGAAACAGGCCTTAAATGGAAACTATGATCCCTTCTTAGACTAAAATGATCAGAAATGTTCAGAAACTGGATGATTTTCCCATTTTCCTAAGCAATTCAAGGAACCAATGAATGTGTTGCTTGCATCAAATTGATAAATCATTTGGACTCCATTAATAGCTTTCCAATAAAAAGTAGGCAACGTCTTCCTCCCAACATGTTCCCCTCCTGCCTTCCTTTTCTCAACGTAGCAACCTTATTATTTCTGCATCCTGAGTATGACATTAATGAAAATGTGTTGGGTCTTACTGGATGACGTAGTGAGAGCCATATGTGTGAAAGGACAAGAGGATATTCTGACATCTTTTTTGTCTTAAACAAAAACTGCCTTCTTGCAGGTCACAAGCCTGACTTGACTTAAACGTATAAAAGAGGAAGTTAAAGATTACAGTTCATGTCGAGTATTTACATATTTTGATTTTATGTCTATCATTAAAGAATTAAAACTAATATAATAATAACAACTGTAAGAATAATAATAGGAAGAGGATGAGAAAGAAAGAAAACAAATTCCTACTAATTCAAAACACTCAAGTGTTAGTGATATAATACCTGTGAGAATTTTCTCAATTGGAATTATTCACCTATAAACATTGATTATTACTTTTCTTTGATTTTGTTGATTGTCAAATATCAGCTATTCTATATAGATAAGAAGGCTTTTAAATTTTAATTTATTAAACAGACATTTAAATAAATTGATTATATAACAATAGGTAAAGAATATTAGCCTGGGATAAAGAAATAAACAATTATACTTTTGAGTAGTATCTTCATTAATTTGCTTCAGCTCCACAATATTCCTGAATTATAATAACTTCAGAAATATATCACTGATAATTTTCAACTTTTTTATTAGTAGGATATATTATTCTCTTCTTTCTCATCTTCTATTATTCTTGCAATTATTATATTACTATTATGAGTTATTATAATAAAATTATTTACTACATGCCAAATAATTAAATTCTTGAATAAAAATAATTTCATATTACACACCTTAAACGTTTGAATGACTGGCATATTGCTATATATTTGTTCCCATCCCAACCTTTCCTAAGTGTATAATTTTCTCAACCAATTTAATATTAAATGATTGCTCTGAATTATTACCTTTGAGATACGTTACATAAAATTGGCTCAATAAAATATTCCTAAACCCTTCGTTTATTCTGAATACACATGATTTAAGGGCTGTTTGCTGTTTTCTGTCATTTCAGACAATGTGGTTATAGAAAACTCTTTGGGCTTTGGATTTTCTCCTTTACTAAATATATTTGATGGGGACTTCCAAGGGTAATTTAACTTCACACTGCCTTGGAGTATATTTTCATTTTTCCATACAAGTCACCTCTAAACAGTACCAACCCAACTCTTTTATGAAGTAAACTCTCATGGCAGTCAAGGTAGAACTTGTATGTTGCTCCCTCTCCCTACTTCTCTCCTAGCCACTTCACCCAGGCTAAGGGAAGGGGTTAGAAGATCGTGCACTACTGAGTTTAATTTATGCCAGTCCACCTAGTAAGTTGAAATATTTCCTCAAGGAAGTTTTCATTCAGTTGACATCCTGAAGGGTTAAGAAAACAGAACCCCATAGTATTACAGAGTTGTTGTTATGGATGTTGCTAAGGAAACCATAGCAGGAATGTTTAAGTGTCTTGTTTCTTTCCAAATCCACAGGAGTGTAGCTCGTTTGAGGTTTTGATATCCTCTCAGTTCTTGCCATCACTGCTCTGCCGTAGGGTTTCCAGCAGGGTCAGAATCCCTGGCTGCGAAGCAGTGCTGGCTCAGGGGCACAACATGCTCTCAGAGCAGCATTCAATTTTGCATCTTCTTTCTGAAACATGTTAAGGGCAATTCAAAATCAAATAGAAATTGATTTTATTAAAAAAAAAAAAAGGAAAAAAGTCCCTTTAATGTTTTCCCCCTAAATGCCCAATATAGAGTATTTTTAAACATGCACATTAGCATACTATCTGAATATTTGATCAAACATTTTTAAAAATGGATTCGTGTTGCAGAGATTAGAAGACTGAATGTATATGATAAATCAGAACATGTGTTGTTTTCAAAGGTGTTTTAAAGAGTGTGGGAGATGGAAGTGCTGTGATTTCTTTTGCTTTTATAGCTATGAACAATTTTTAATGTCACTTTATTTTTTGGAATTTTTTTTTTTTTTTTTTTGAGATGGAGTCTCACTCTGTCATCAGGCTGGAGTGCAGTGGTGTGATCTCGACTCACTGCAGCCTCAGCCTCCTGAGTTCAAGTGATTCCCCTGCCTCAGCATCCCGAGTTGCTGGGACTACAGGTACGTGCCACCAGGCCCAGCTAATTTTTGTATTTTTAGTAGAGACGGGGTTGCACCTTGTTGACCAAGATGATCTCGATCTCTTGACCTTGTGATCTGCCCACCTCGGCCTCCCAAAGTGCTGGGATTGCATGAAATTTTTATAATCAAATAAAATTGAAATTATGAAGAGTTCTGAAATAACATCCAAGAGTAGTAATTTTCTTAAGCTTGACTTAAAATATTTTCATAATTAGATTCTACAGGATGATTAGTACATCTTTTAAAAATGCTTACCCAAATATCATGAAGCCAAAGGAAACATAAACAATTTTCGTTCAAATTGTATAGGGAGAAAAAAATGTCTCTCTCTTTCTCTAACTCTGTTTCTCTGCTTTATTCAAAAATCATGAACATACATATGTATATTATAGTTCTATTTTATATATCCCAAACATTTAAAATTAGCTACATATACACAGAGTGGTAAAAACTTCTATTTTATTTCCATATCACAATTAACCAAGTGAGATCATACACTTTTGTTGTTATTAAATATGTGCAAAATAGCGAAGCAAATTTTCCCTCTAATCTGAGAAAGAAATATGATTATTTTAAATTATATAATTATCTGTTTATCCTACTGTATTTTAATATGACATGATATATTGTATATTATTTAGGTATATATTATAGAATATGTAAGATACATTTAAAATATATAACTGACATTTACTTTTCTCCCAATGTAATTTCTCTGTAATGGGGTTGGTTTATCATTTGCCATTTTCTCCTTTATTTAAGGCCTGGTAAAAATTTTTGAAGGAACACAAAATATTTAACCATATATGTGTGTTGTTGATTTATCTAAGTCACTGCAGCTAAAATATTGTTATTAGAATCTTTTGGGTAAATATTGGGTGCTTCCAACAATAAGGTAGTGAACACCACATGAATCCCTCTTATTTAATCTGTTCCTAAAGATAGATAAAAAAAAAATTGTTGGATAAAAAATTTTCAGGTAGTTACAGCTTATCTTCCATTATTTTTAATTGAAAAAATAATAATTTTCTCCTAACCCATCTAGAACCACCAACAAATTTCACTAAATACTTTAAATACATATGCAAATCCTCCACTGAAGATAAATGCTGTGATCATCAATTCCCCTATTATTTAACATTTAATGAAGTTGTGTGTAGTACATAAAGATGGGCAGGACATTATACTAATCACATTTATTCAGCACTGTAATGCTGATCCATCTGTAAATGAGCAATGAAATAAGATGCTAAACCTATAGACAAGTAATTGTGAACAAAAATAAATAGTGTAAAGGAAATAAATGAGTAGTTTTGGAGATTTTTGAGGTATCTTTTTGCTTTTTTCTAAAAACAATTTTCATGCAGGTTGAAAAGAGGCAGATTAACTACCAGCCAAAACCCAAGGCTAACTCAGTTCTTAACCTATCACTTTTATGGAATTGCTGAAAAGAGGTGCAATCAAAGGACTGTGTCTCTTGGTCTGGGTTCCCTTGAAAGCAGAGCCTGAGACACAGACTTGGGTGTAGGCAGGTCATTTGGGAGCTAATCCGAAGAAACAGAAGTGAGAAAGCATGCAAAATGAGAGAAGAAAGGAAGGCAATATTAGAGTCTGCTATGGAGGTCACTGCTTTTGGGAATGTTATTGAATTCTCCAGAGAAGCTTGCAAGAATTGTCTGCCTACAAATGAAAGGCAAGGGACTATCCACCAACTGTCAGTCTCTCTTGGTTGAGGACAGGCTGCCCAAAGGTTATTCACTACTCTGCATTTCCAGGCTGCAGGCCTTCCATGAGCCAACAGGCTCTAGCAGCTTCCAAGATGCTGGAAACCAAAAAGAACATGCAGTGAGACACTGAGCACAAAGTCAAGCTGCTGGCCACAGCTAGGCTAGCTACAGCTGAAATCAAGTGTCAAGGAGTGTTGAAACAACGTTTATTAGAAGCCCTGCCCACAGCTGCATTCTATTTAGGGGTTGAACACAAACTGCATGATTCTATAGACAGCTTTCTCGTATAATGCATTATTTTGATTTCAGTTGGCTTTTAATTTGAGAGCATAGGCATTCCTACAGCACTATGATAGTTCTGTTTTTGGAATGTGGTGGTTTTCAATCACTGGTCAACAGAAGGGTCTGCTCTACCCTGGGTCTATGGAAAAGCTCAAAGATCTCAGTTTCAAAGTTCTCTAAAATTGTCTTGTTAACAGCAGCATATCCATATGAGTCCGCAGCAATTCATCCTTACCTCCTCCGGGAAAAGAATTTGACCAAATGGCAGAAGTAAGTTTAAGGCAGAGAGTTAGACCAAGGCAAGTTTTAGAGCAGGAGTGAAAGCTTATTAAAAAGTTTTGGAGCAGGAACAAAAGAAAGTAAAATACACTTGGAAGAGGGCCAGGAGGGCTACTTGAGAGATTCAAGTGCCCTGTTGTGCCCTTAACTGGGTTTTTGTTTGTTTGTTTGTTTTTGAGACAGAGTTTCACTCTTGTCGCCCAGGCTGGAGTGCAATGGCACAATCTTGGCTCAGTTCAACCTCCGCCTGCCGTGTTCAAGCGATTCTCCTGCCTCATCCTCCCGAGTAGCTGAGATTGCAGTTGCCCGCCACCATGCCCAGATAGTTTTTGTATTTTTAGCAGAGACAGTGTTTCACCATGTTGGCCAGGCTGGTCTTGAACTACTGACCTCAGGAGATCCACCCACCTCGGCCTCCCAGAGTTCTGGGATTACAGGCCTGGGTCACCATGCCTGGCCGACTTGGGGTTTTATACATTGGCATGGTTCCGGGGTTTGCATTTATTCTCCCCTGATTCTTCCTGGGGGCAGGCTGTCCACATGCTTGGTGACCTGCCAGCACATGGGAGTGGCTGCATACGTAGTGTGTTTCCTGAGGTTGCGCACATGCTTGCTTGAGGCATTTTTCCCTTACCAGTTGCGCATTCCTACAGGAAGGTCATATAACAGTTAAATTCTGCCATTTTGCCCCTTAGTGCATGCTTGAATCGGCTCACCCAACTCCTGAGATGTTATCGGGAAGCTGCTGAACACCAGCTTCAGGTGTTTTCTATCTATTGAGAGACTGTCATTTGCTGGAGCTGGCTGCGATCAATTATTGTTTTAGAGAGACAGTTCAACAACTGCTCAACTATCACATGATGGTCTATTGACATTCCTGGAGATGGTGGGTGGTTCTCCTGCCCTGCTTATGTCTGCCTATCTACCTAACAGTTTCATTTCACCAATATTTCTTTTTACTGCAACGAATTAATGATGTCATATGTATGATTTTTGCTTCTTTACTGTCTTATAAATTTGACTTTACTAAATTCATTAATTAAAACTTTCATTTAACTTTCTCCTTTTTTGGGGTGCTATGAGCTCTTCTTAATTTTATAGTATGATGCATCGCTTTATCACCCACCAAGGTTTATAGTATAGAAACCAAATATTTATCCCAATTAGTATTTTTTTCCGAACTTGTATTTAATTTTCCCGTAGAAGGATCAGGATGTTTCCTGGTACCTTACATATCTATATAATTTTCAAAGAACAGTCTATGTAAATACAGAATATACTTGAGGTTTAGACAAAAATCCTCCTTTGACTTTATATGTATCATTAATATCCTCACTTTAATGACAGGTAAACATAATAGAGAATTCCATATGCACATAAGCTTTTGGAAAAATACATATCACTGCTGAAATAAAACTATAAGAATTCTAACTTTCCACAGATAACTAGAGATGTTATAAAAGACAGCCATAGTTTATCAAAATAAATTACAATTACATTTTTAAAGATGACTGGAAAATATGTAAAATATTACATGTTTAAGCCACACCTAATAAGTCAACTGGTGTCTTTTGCAAAATTTATATAATCTTCAGATTGGTTCCTGATAGGACCATTTCATAAAGGTATTTTTTTTCACCCAATTGGATCACATTTCAATTGAAATCTCATACTTACATCAAACATTAGCTGTGTAGTTTTAATGAGGAAATCCAAACTCTTCCATGGAATTAAATATGCCAAGCCCCAAATTCCCCATTTTTGCATTCTCCAATAATTTAATCTACCAGTTCAGAGTAAAAGAGAAACATATTTTTTAAAATAAAGTTAACAATCATTTTTATTGTTTTATTTTTCTGACCACCCTTTCAAACTCAAGAAGCCTTTAATACAAAATTCCCAAGTTTTTAATAAATGTTATATTTTACTTATACACATGTATATATATATATATATATATATGTTTGTGTGTGTGCTGTGTATCTATAGAGATACACTGCAAAAGATTAAAAATGAATCTTTTACTGAAAAAGAGTTTCCCACTGGGGCCGTGCTATTAGGCTACATTTTCAAAGCTTTTTCTTAAGTCCATATTTCTTACAGAAAGCTTAGCCTATGACTTTTTCTTATTACTCCCAAATTAAAATTCTCTTCTTGAGAGTAGAAAGTGCTTACAAAAAAACAAATTGGTTTAAAACATTCAAATTTAGATAATTTCAATTTCACACCCAAACTTTTGATGTCATCTTCTCTTTCTTGCTATAAATCACCAAACCACATTCAATCAAAATTTCAAACACTGAATCAGTAAATATACCATATATATACACGTGTGTGTGTGTGTGTGTGTGTGTGTGTGTGTGTACCCTAAGTTCTCTGACCGTCCTTTATTTGAATACATTGATAACAGTGTGTTTAATTTTTTTTTTTTTTTGAGTTAGAGTCTCACTCCTGTCACCCAGCCTGGAGTGCAATGGTGCAATCTCAGCTCACTGCAACCTCCGCTTCCAGGGTTCAAACAATTCTCCTTCCTCAGCCTCCCAAGTAGCTGGGATTACAGGTGCCCGCCACCACACCCGGCTAATTTTTGTATTTTTAGTAGAGACGGGGTTTCACCATGTTGGCAAGGCTGGTGTTGAACTCCTACCCGCCTTGGCTTCCCAAAGTGCTGGGATTGCAGGCATGAGCCACCATGCCCGGCCGTATTTAATTTCTAAGATGAAAAATCTTATCTGTTAAACAAAAAATTGCCTTATAATTTGGCTGCTAATAGTTTTATTTCAGCATCTAAGATTCTTAACTTACAATACAGTCCTTCTAATTCTCCTACCCTCTGGCCCTTCATAATTAGACTCAATCTGGGGAGATTTACTAGTATTTATGTTAGCTACATTACACAAAAATGAATACTGGAAAGTGAAGTAATTTCATTAAAACAGAGTTTAACTGCAAAGGGGACTTTGGTGCATTTCATTCACCACTGACCAGGATTTCTCGGGAGTCCTGACCTCAAGGCTCAGAGACTTGAGTGATGATACCCAGAGGGTGTAGTATTATATGCAGGCAGTCTGAGAGATGGCATCCTCCCACCCTCAGGGACAGGCGAGAACTAAAGCCCTGTGAACTCACCCCCTATACCCAAATGGTTTAAACTGAGGGGTAAAATATGAAGAATAATGAGGTTTACTCATTCTCATTTCCCCAGTTGTCAAGTGTTTTTTAATAGCTATACATTTCCCAAAATATTCTAGGGCTTTGGTTTAGAGTTTGAGACCAGTAACTTCGGTGAGGAGTGAGAGTTTGGTCTTAAGCTTTTGGGAATGTTTTACAGGTACCTGAGAAGTCTTTCCCCCCAAGCTAATTGCCCCCCTCTCCAGCAAATATTATAAATGAGGCTTTGGCATCTCAGATGGGCAGTTTAGGATTTTGTCTTAGTTGTATAAATCCCATTTTCCCAGGGACATCAAATTTTCATCTGGCCAAAATGTAATTTTTCATAGATGAGTTAAGGCATGATCACCCAGGAGCTATAAAGAAAAACTATAATTAACATTCTAGCACATAGTCTATGAATTTATCTACCTTAGCTCAATGAAAACATCTGTAAGCATTGAGAGAGGAATTGATTAAGTCTTGGAGGAGAATATACATACTAAAAATAATTTTACAGCTGAATTTATATAGAATGGCAGTTTGTAATGTCATGGGTCTAGGAAAATGCTTTTCCATCCATCAAAGAAGAATTTTAAGATGTTGTGTATGCCAGGGTCACAGTCATATTTTGACCTATGTTAAATCATGCCTATTGCTTTGTGTGTCACAATATCTTTATTTAGAAAGCAGCTCAGCATTCATTCTTCTTTTGAGGTTTTAGCTGTTTCATCCAAATAACTTCTGAAACCCTGGAGCCTCTTAACAAATTTAATATGAATTTATACAATTGTTTCCTGCTTTTAAATGCCATATGAAAGCAGTTCAGACTTCTAGTGAATTTCCAGACTTCTAACATCTAATAGAAGAGTGCTAAGCCTTTCTGGACATAGAACCAGTAGTGTGCTGGTTGTCTAAATTGTGAAGACATAGTGAAGGCATGTCAGTTGCACTGTGCATATAAATTTAGGGAGTTATGGTGGTTTACATCCTGAGTGAGTTGCATGGAGTGCTTTGAAAAGTAGTTCTTTCTTACAATAATCAGACTTATTTATAGCAGAAATTATGGCGCTGCCGACCAGAAGCTTGATGAACATAACTTAGAAAGAAATCTGTTATAATATTAGATATCCAAAGTAAACATTCTTAGAAACATGTTCAAGCAAGCTGGGGTCTTTTTACAGAAACAAAATGCTTTCCTCTGTGTTTAGTTTTCATAACTAGCTGCTTTCTTCCCAAAAAGTAAGAAAAAAACCTCAAATTACCTGGAAATTCTGTTCCTATCTATGTTTACCTCTGTGTCTAAAACTGGCAAAAGTTATTTTAAATGACCTATACTAGGGTCATGATGTCATCCATGCTCATATAAAGGTTTTGCTGCCTTGGGCTGTTGTAGGACTCTTCCAACATGAAAATCAAATGGCAGATGAAGTGTAAGGCACAGGAAAAGATGGTACCATTCTTATAGCTTTTGGATCCAAAGCTAAAGAACAGTATTAGCATTGGTAAGATTGGTGATCTCATTAAAAAGTTATTAACTGTATTAAGTTTTACAAGTTGTTAACAGCATTGTATATAGAAAATAATGGAGGTATTAAAGGTCCAAATGATGCAAATTAACAGAATGTAATGAGTAGCTTGTATATGAAGCTGTATTTAGTTCATAGCTTATACAGATACAGTGTAGCACACCATCTTCTATTTTAATATTTATTTATTGATCATTTTGGCAGATATTTATTGGATATCTATGTGCCGGGCACTGTTCTAAATGCAGAGAATATGCAAATTAATAGAATTGGCAAAATTCCAGTTCCAAGGAGTTTGCCTTCTGGTGAATTTAGACAGAAAATAAGTAAGTGAGCAAATAAACAGGTATTTATAGTCTGTGATGAGTGAATATAAGTGTTAGCAAATTGGGAGGCGTTAGGGAAAGCCTCTGTGAAAATGTAACATTTAAGGTGAGACTTGAAAGCCAAGAAGATGTCAGTCAGACAAACATTCAAGGGAAGAGCTTTCTGGAAGAGCCAACAACAAATGCAAAGGCCTAGAGGCAAGCATGTTCATGGACAGGAATTAGGCCAGAGTGACTGGGGCACAGTGAGCAGGAGGAAGGGAGTGTGAGATGGGGTGGCTGTGTTGGCAGGAGCCAGATCACACCCGTCCATCTGGGGCATGGTAAGGCATTTGATGTTATGCTGAGGGCAATGGAAAAGCCTTTGATGATTTTTAAGCTGGGAAAGGAGATGTAGAGTAACAAGATCTGACTGAGGTATTTAAAATATTACCCTGGCTTTTATAGGTACAGTGACTTGTTAGGGGAGAAAGAACTGAAGCAGAGATGCTAGGGGAGAGGATGGCTGTGAGTTGTAAAGATGGAGAGAGACAGACACAGGAGAGCAAGCTCTTAGGGGAGAGGATGGCTGTGAGTTGTAAAGATGGAGAGAGACAGATACAGGAGAGCAAGCTCTTAGGGGAGAGGAAAAAAGAAGGCTTCGCATGGCTTCCTTGGCTCATGCTCAGTGGTACTATTCACTGGGGTGAAGAATGTGCTTCCTCAGTGATCAGAGAACATTTTCAAAGCCCTCTGAATACAACAAAGCAAAAATCCTAGAGACTACTTGATATAAGATTTTAAAAACTCATTTTGAGTACTTATTGAGTCATGCTTGTTTTCTTATTTAAGGAGAAGGAAAGACTGCTAAAAAAAAATAAAAATGAAAAAGCCCAAAGAATGTCCTGAAGTCATAGTTCCAACAAGCTTCCCAAGTTTTTTAATTCAAGCAAGATTTACAGTGTGCTTTTATTAGTTTCTGATGGCTGATGTCACAAATTACCGTGATATTGGTGGCAGGAGTCTGAAATCAAGGTTATTCCCTTAGATCCAGTTTACAGAACAGATCCCAGTTTTTTGTTTTTTTTTTTTTTTTTTACTTTTCTCTGCTCCAGGTAGAGAATAACAGGAAGATTACCTCCTTGAGCTCACACACCACAATTAAGTATCTCTCTAACTTTGTTGTACAGAATTGCACTTCCTAAATTCACAGGACAACTTAACTGCAAAAATAAAGAGTGCTTTTTTATTTTTTGGGAAATGTATCCAGTCTCCTTATTTGAAGCCCACTGATAGTTAAAAAGTATGGTGAGAGAATAAACATACTTCCCTGTGATGGTCAGCTCTGTGTGTCCATTTGGCAAAGGTAAAGTACCCAGTGATTCAGCTAAATGCTAATCTAGATGTTGCTATTAAGGTGTTTTATAGAGGTGATTAAGGTCCATAATCAGGTGACTTATACAAAGATTATCCTAAATAATCTGGGTGGGCCTGATCTAAGCAGTTGAAAGGCCTTCAGAGCACAGCTGAGGCTTCCCTGAAGAAGAAGAAACTCTGCCTGTAAACAGTAGCTTCTGCCCCTGGCTGAGAATTCCAGATCATCCTTCCTGAAATCCTGCAACGCAGATTTCAGGCTTTCCCAGCCAGTCCCACAAGTTCATAAACCAATTCCTGGCAATAAATCTCTTAATATACATAAACTATTGGTTCCCTTTCTCTGATTGAATTCTTAATTATACATTCTCCATCTGGGAGTCAGAAAACAATCCAATAATTTAAACCGGCTTTTTAGGATTCTAAAATCCCATTGGCATTGCTCATAATTGATATAGATTCTCCTTCTGTGTCCACTGCCACCACTAACAGAAAAAGTTATTTTTGTTTTATTTAGTATTGTTTTGTTTTGTTTCAATCTGCAATGTGTTCTTGGTCTTGGAAGCACTAATGGTCTCCATCCATTTTGGCCCAAGCATCCACCCTACAGCTGCTGTCCTTTTATTTCATGCTGTGGTAGGCACTGCTAGAAAGCTCTGGCCAGGCTTTGATCTATTTGGGAACCATGTTCCTGCCAAACAGGAACTGAGGGTAGTTAGGGCAAGCTAAACACTGAAGCCTCCTCCTCCCAGCCATGCTACCCTGACTTTGATATAGCAATGCCCCATATGGCTGTGGGGGCAGACTACAAGATGGTCTTTCTTAGAACCCAAACTTTAGAAGGGAGAAAAGCCATAGTGGCCTTAGTGTTCCTCCCACACTCTTTCTGAACATGTCTAGGTTTTTGGCTACCTTATATTCTTTGGAATTGGATTTACCAAGGAAGTGGGGATGGAAATGAGGAGAGAACCTTATATTAGATCATTTTCCTTCTTCCTCTTCAATCCCCAGGGACTTGAAAGAATGGAGCTTTCCCTCTTGCTCTTCCTGTCTGGTATGCCCTTGAGTACACTCCAACAGTCTAGTTAGCCAAACATGGCATCCTTTTCATCCAGACCTGTCAGTGAACCTATTTTCTTGTTAAGTTTCTTAACTACCCTCTCTGTCCCTGGGATGATAACCCAAAGGATCACTCTGAGAAGGAGAAGCATGTAAGTGTTCAGTAATTTGAAGGAGAAATAAAAATGGATCACTTTAGTATTATAGGCATAAATCAGAAATATTGTGGGTTCGGTTCCAGACCACCACAATAAAGCAAGTCGCACAAATTTTTTGGCTTTCCAGTGCATATGAAAGTTACTTCTCATTCTACTGTAGCATATTAAGCATGCAATAGCATTATGTATTAAAAAAGTACACTTAAAAATACTTAATTTAAAAATATTTTACTGCTAAATATGATTATGAGACTTCAATAAGTCATGATCATTTTGCTGGTGGAGGGTCTTGCCCTGATGCTGATGGCTGCTGAATGATCAGGATGGTGGTTGCTGAAGGTTTGGGTGGCTATGGCAACTTCTTTAAGTGAAAAAAAAAAGGAAGTTTGCTGTAATGATGGACTGTTTTACAAAAGACATGTCTGCAATATGTGATGCTCTTTCACAGTATTTTACCCACAGTAGAGCTTCTTTCCAAATCGGTGTCAATCCTTTCAAACTGTGCCACTACTTTTTGAACTAAGTTAATGTAATATTCTGAATCCTTTGCTATCATTTCAACAGTGTTCACAGCATCATCACCAGAAGTTTTGCTCCCAAGAAATCACTTTCTTTCTCATCCATATGAAGCAACTCCTCATCCGTTTAAGTTTCATCATTAAATTGAAGCAATTCAGCCACATCTTCAGGCTCCACTTCTAATTCTAGTTTTCTTGCTATTTTCACCACATCTGCAGTTACTTCCTCCACTGAAGTCTTGAGCCCCTCAAAGTCATCCATGAGGGTTGGAATCAACTTCTTCCAAACTCCTGTTCATGTTGATATTTTGACCTCCTCCCATGAATAGCAACTGTTCTTAATGGCACTGAGAATGGTGAATTTTTCCAGAATATTTGTGCAGATCCATCAGAGGAATCACTGTCTATGGCAACTATAACCTTACAAAATGTATTTCTTATTATTAAGACTCAAAAGTTGAAATGACTTCTTGATCCGTGGGTTGCTGAATGAATGTCATGTTAACAGACACAAAAACATTACTCTCCTTCTACATCTTCATCAGAGCTCTTTGCTGACTAGGTACATTGACAAGGAACAGTAATATTTTGAAAGAAATTTTTGTTTTCCTGAGCAGTGGGTCTCAACAGTGGGCTTAAAATATTTATTAAAGTATGCTGTCAACAGATGTGCTGTCATCTAGGCTTTGTTGCTCCATTTATTTTTATTTATTTATTTGAGATGGAGTCTCACTCTGTTTCCCAGGCTGGAGTGCAGTGGCATAATCTTGGCTCACTGCAACCTCCAGCTCTAGGATTCAAGTGATTCTCCTGCCTCAGCCTCGTGAGTAGCTGGGACTACAGGTGCATGCCACCACACCAGGCTAATTTTTGTATTTTTAGTAGAGACGAAGTTTTACCATCTTGGCCAGGCTGGTCACGAACTCCTGACCTGAAGTGATCCACCCACCTTAGCCTCCCAAAATCCTGGAATTACAAGTGTGAGCCACTGCGCCCAGCCTGTGGTTCCATTTATAAAGCACAGACAGAACAGATTTAGCACAATTCTTAAAGGCCCTGGGATTTATAAAATGGCAAATGAGCACCAGTTTCAACTTAAAATCATTAGCTGCATTAGACCCTAACAAGAGAGTCAGTCTACTCTTTGAAGATTTGAAGCCAAGCATTTACTTCACCTCTCTAGCTATAAAAGTTCTAGATGGCATCTTGTTCTAATAGAAGATGTTTTTATATACATTGAAAATGTATTGTGTAGCCATAGCCACCTTCATCAATTATCTTGGGTAGATCTTCCAAATAATTTGTTGCTTGCTTCATCTTACACTTTTGTTATGAAGACAACTTTTCACCTTAAGCCTCATGAACCAACTTCTGCTAGCTTCCAACTCTTCTCCTGCAGCTTCCTTATCTCCTTCAGCCTCCACAGAATTGAAGAGAATTAGGGCCTTGCTCTAGATTAGGTTTTGTCTTAAGGGAATGTTGTGGCTGGTTTGATCATCTATCTAGACCACTCAAACTTTCTCCATATCAGCAATAAGGCTGTTTCATTTTCATATCATTTGTGTGTTCACTGGAGTAGCACTTTTAATTTCCTTCACAAACTTTTCCTTTGCATTAACAACTCAGCTAACTATTTGATGGCAGAGGCCTAGCTTTCAGCCTATCTCTGCTTTCAACATTCCTGTCGCACTAAGTTTAATTATTTCTAGCTATTGATTTAAAATGAGAGACATGAGACTCTTGCTTTCACTTGAACACTTGGAGGCCATTTTAGAATTGATTGACTCTTTTACAAAAGACCTGTCCGAATTTCAATATTGTTTGTCTCAGGGAATAGGGAGGCCTGAGAAGAAGAAGAGAAATTGTGGAATGGCTGGTTGATGCACCAGTGAAGACATACACATTTATCAAATAAGTGTACTGTCTTACATGAGTGCAGTTTGTGGCACCTCCAAACAATTACAATAGTAACATCAAAGATCACTAATCACAAATCACCATTAGAGATATAATGACGAAAACGTTTGAAATATTGTGAGAATTACCAAAATATGACAAAGACAGGAAGTGAGCACATGCTGTTAGAAAAACGGCACCAATAGACTTGCCTAGTGCAGGGTTGCCACAAACCTTCAATTTGTAAAAAATACATTATCCATGAAGCTCAATAAAATGAAGCACAATAAAACAAAGTATGCCTGTGTAACAATACTATCCCCACGGCATACTGCAGCTCACATTGATTTCTGCAGCTCACAGAATATATCAGTATGATATATTCTGTTGTCAATATTTTAGACCTATGATATGGTTTGGATCTGTGTCCCCACCAAATCTCATGCTGAAATGGAACCCCCAGTGTTGGAGGTGGGGCCTGGTGGGAGGTTCTGGGTCATGGAGGCAGATCTCTCATGGCTTGGTGCTTTCTTCACAATGGTGAGTGAGTTCTCTAGAGATCTGGTTATTTAAAATGTGTGTGTGACCCTCCTCTCTCTCTCTCTCTCTCTCTCTCTCTCTCTCTCTCTCTCTCACTCTCTCTCTCTTGCTCCTACTCTGGCCATGTGAATCATCTGCTCCTGCTTCACGTTCCATTATGAATAAAAGCTCCCCGAGGCTTCCTCAGAAGCCAAGCAAATGCCCATGCCATGCTTCCTGTACAGCCTGTAGGACCTCTTTTCTTTATAAATTACCCAGTCTCAGGTATTTCTTTATTGCAACATGAGAATGACCTAACACAACTTCTCTCTACCTCTTTCCATGTGGAGGAAAGGTCAGTGTTCCTACAAAGTCATGTCAGAACATGGACATCCATGTAAATGGCAGTATTTGAGTGAGAAAAATTAAGAAAAATCTTCAGATACAATATATCTTTCCTGGGGTAAAGAAGTGGTTTATGGCATCAAATTTAGACCTTTGATGTAGTTTTCAAACAAAGCTGTACATTCAGAAACTACATTGAAAGATGTTCATCATCAATGTCAAACTTTTGTCCTGTGACTGAGACACACTCAATGTAGCACAGCAGTTTACATTTTTATAATTATGAAATTTGTCTTAAGACTGCATAGATATATTGCATTATGCATGTTAAAATTGTTAAGGTATATTTCAGATATACTACTATTTCAAAACTCTTTTGGCACCTTAAAAAATATACCTGGAATCTCAAAAAATTCACTTGATCTTAGCCAAAAGGCCGAGAAGTGATTCTAAAATTTAAAAGTGGCTCAATCCTTTCTGGAACTCTGAGACGCTCTATCATCAGAAACCTTAAGATGATGAAGGTGTATTACTGGCTTTGTCCTCAAATCCAAGCTATAAATTACCAGTATTATTGTAGTTCAGTTATCTTTCCATTCTAATATAGTGATAGGCACATGGTAGGTTATTAAAAAATACATATTGAGTAAATAAAATATCTTAAGACTGTATTGGAAAGTTAGATATGGCAACAAAAGCACAAATGATAAAAGAAAAATAATTGATAAATTAAACTTAGTTAAAATAAAAACTTTGCTGCTTTGAAAGACACCATCAAGAAAATAACAAACTAACCCACAAACTGAGAGAAAACATTCATAAATCATATATCCAGTACAGGATTTGTGCCCAGAATATAAAAAGGATTCTAACAGGTGAGCAATAAAAACCAAATAACACAACTAAAAAAATGGTGGAAGGTTTTGAATATTTAGATATTTCTCCTTAGAAGATACACAAATGATTAATAAACACAGGTAAAGATGCACGTGATTGAACATAACAAAATGCAAATCAATACCACAATGTGATATTATTTCTCACTCACCAGAATGGCTATAATCAAAAAGACAGACAATAACAAGTGTTACTGTTTGGAGCAATTATAACTTTCATATGCTTTTGGTAAGAATGTAAAATTGTACAGCCACTTTGGAAAACAATTTGGCAGTTTCTGAAAAATGTAAGCATACCATATGATATAGCAATTCCACACTTAGTTAGGTATCTACCAAAAATAAATGAGAACATGTCTGCACAATGACTTATATGTGAATGTTCATTGCAGCATTAATCACCACGCCCAGAAATGGAAACATTTCTGTTCGTCAACTGATGTTCGTCAACTGATGAATCGATAAATAAAGTATGGTATAGCTATACAATGGAAAACTATTTGGCAATTAAAAGGAACAACATGGACGGACCTCAAAAACATTACTTAGGGCTGGGGCAGGAATGGATAGTGATCATAAATAATCACAATCTTTCTTTATAGAGTGATGAAAACATCTTAAAATGAAACTGTAGTAGTGGTGGCATAACGTAAATAATATATGAACCATTGAATTGAACACTTAAAGTAAGTGAATGTTATGGGATATGACTTATATCTCATTAAAACTCTATGTAAGTAAGCTGTTTGTAAGAACAGACAAGAACATTTATATCTTAAATATATAATGAGTAACTCACAGTATATTTCTTCAATTACTATGGGCATTGCCTTGGCAATTGGACATAACTTAAGAATTGGTCTGAACCAAATATTGTTTTCTATGTAAAATTTACAAGTCCCAAGGTCCATCATAGCATTGAATTTACATATCCAAATAAAATTAAATTTTTGGAGGAGACATTGGACTGATACAAGATATGCTGATCTATGCTTTGGATTTGTCAGTAGGTAGAATATTGACCACGTAAATTCAGTCATCTGTAGTTTTTAATAAAGTTTACTTGAAATGTCAAATAGTTTTAATAAAGTGTTTTCAATATAATTCACCAGTTATTAAATTATCAGACTACTATGGAAAGGAATATATTTAAAAGTGTTACTCAACACACATACACACATATCCTAGCCATAAATGTAAAACAAGTTTTCTTTAGCTTGTCAGTGTGCTGTGGATCTGATAGAGAAAAAATCAGCATAGCAAATGAAGATCGTTTGAACTTCATTTGTGTACATGCAGTGCATTCACTGCCTGGCATTTTTCTTTCTTCTTGACAGAAGCTTTACAGAATAAGAAAAAACGTGGCTTCTTATTAGTCTCTGTTTTTCTCCACTGGAACATGTAATGATAATTCTAAAATTCCTGGTCGCGGTTATACGAATACACCTGCACACAGCTTCTGAGATGTGCTTGCTCTCGCCCTGCTCCATCACCTAGCTGCTCGTGATGCAATTCAGGCTATCCTTAGAAGAAAACCCACTAACAGAGACCACCCCTGGGTGGCAAAACCTGGTGACTCCTGTTAGGATTTGTGGTTCTTTCGGACAGAAAAATGCTCCTTAAACTGAAATCCTCTAGTGTTCAACAAATACAGCTGCACCATCATTTTAGTATTCAGGATGCAAAGTAAGTATCTCCCTAAGCACACAAGTCTATTTGAGGAGCACACATGTACTCATAGACACATTTCTACAGTCATGATCCTCTGCTGCTGCCAGTGTCTCAAGCATCATTCCTTTCCTCTCAGGAGACAAGGGGGACCAGAGAGAGGGAGAGCTGAGATTTCATCCTTTCTCAGTCTTGGTATGCAGGCACAGGCACTATAAGAATGTGGTAGGTTGGCTAAAGCTATTTGTTTGCTAGATTTCTCAGAGTTCAATGAGATCATTTTTGTCATTTTCCCTGTGCTCCCCTGTATTTTCCAAAGATCTGCCAGCTTCCAACAACACTCTCTTTCTTCCCATTGGAAATGGAAACGAGTCCTCTGCAGGAATTTTCCACTTAACAGTTCCCCCTTCCCTAGCTGGGGCCTCAGCGCACCAGCCTGTAATGCTGTATTTCTTTCCACTGCAGTTTGACATTTTTGAGCCAGCACAATGAGTTGTATTCAGTCATTCTAAGTCCCCCTCCTTCTACATTATCTTTTTTTCTTTAATAATGCATACTTTCGAGCAATTTCAGAAAGAGAGCAAAGGCTTTTAAGCAACATTACATTTAATTAGTTATGTCACTGTCATCGAATCACCAGAATCCTTTGAGTCATCCCCGCCACCTTTTCCCCCACCCACACACCTCACCCCATAATTTTCCGGTCTCCCAGCCCCCTTCTCTGTCCTTCTGGTAAGTACATTAAAGACAAACCTCATGGTCCATATACTTTGCTTAAAATTGTTTGCCTTTGCAAATCATTTCCTTTAAATAATATTTACAAACTATATATCATTGCCTGACACGATGATAAGAGGGCACATAGATTGCTTATAATCTCAGCTGTAAACAAGAAACGGGGACGTGAGCTTGGAAATGTGTTCCATGCCCTGTCTGGACGCAGCCGCATTTGCAAACGCGCGCAGCTGAGCCGGAGCTGGGTCGCATCCGCAGCCTCTCTCACAAACACTGCAGCCAGAGACCAAAACGCTCAAGTCCAGGGAGTCTGCAGGGCAATCCCAAGTCCCCGAAGGGGGAAGGGAAGCGGAGGCATTGGGGAAGGGGGGTGTGGGTCAGCAAAAGCTTGCATCCAGAGGAAAACAATGCTCGCCTTCCCGAAAGCAAACGGCAGAACCTGCGAACACAGATGCCTGCGGGATCCGGGCTCCCGTGCGGCCGGGGAGAGGGCGGCGGGTGCAGGGGCAGGGCGGAGCCTCCCCTGTCTGGCCGGGTGGTAGCTTCTCAGACAGCGAGGGCCCAGGGGGTCACGCCAGCACAGTGGAGGGTGTCTCAAAAGGAACTGGGATTCTGCAGAGAGGGGAGGAGGGAGGAAGAGGGGGATTTGTTCAAGCTGGGAGGGTGGGCCTCAGGAAAAAAGAAGAAAAAGAAGAAATAGATTAATGCTTTGCAGGACACCTGGGGTATTTCTTTCAGTGGGTATTACTTCCACTTTTAGGCAGGAACAAGAGCTGGGAGGAAAACAGCAGCAAGGGCTGACAGCTCCAAGGTGATCAAAGGGGACTGCGTGAACGGCTTGCTCTGCCAGCCGTTTATTAGAAAGAGAGGGGTGCTCCTGGGCCACGCTGGCGGGGGAGAGGGATTAAGATCAAATAGAAAGAGATCGGCCTGACTCCTTTATGCAGGAGAAAAATGCGCGCATATATATTTATATATTTATATGTTTACATGTATATTTATATTCAAAGAATGCTGTCCACTACAAGATCCACTCCTTCCCATAGCCCCCCACCCCACCCCCCACACACAGGCGCGCGCTCCTCACACATGTAAAGGAAGGAAATTCCACCCTTTCTTTCCAAATGTTGTTACTTCTGCTTTCTCAGTGCTTGAAATATCACATGATGAATTATCCACTGGGGGACATTTTTATACTGAGGCACCACCCCCCCCCCCCCTTTGGGGAACGCTAACTTTGTGTGAGTCTGATTTACCTCAGAAATAACGTTTAACGCACTCCTGGGATTTGGAAAGAACCTCTCTTTCTATAGATAACAGGGCAAAGTGTTAAAATGCAGGTCACTGGTGCGAGAGATATCCTGTTGTAAAAACGGTGACCTCCAGAAGTTTTGGGAAGGATGGCAGCGGAGCCCTCTACATGTAGAAAGAACACAGATGTTGCTCTCGCAACAAATGCATGAGAATGGTAGGTAGGCAGCTGCCCAGCATATATAATGCAGTTTCTTCCCTTGTGAGATATGATCTTTATACCTAGAGATGCAATAAAGTTATTAAGGGGCCTGAATGGAATGAGAAAGACCTTGTCATATGATAATGACTTTATTTTGTCTAAGCATCAGTTACTCTCTCCTCTCTCTCTCACAAGACTTTTTATCAGCTACAGCTTTACAAGAAAAAAAAAACAGCAGCAACAAGCAAACTAAATTTTACGCAAATTCACAGTTTGAAATCTCCACACCCTAAATCTTACATTTAATCATAAAGTGTTAAATTTTAATGTATTCTTTTAACACAGCACTAGCATTTTGTCAAAGATAGGCATAGCCAGGAAGTTCAGAAGCTTTTCTTACAGTTAGAACAGGTGTGCTTTGTTTTTCCCTTAAGAAGTCTTTAACTTTACTGTTTTCTCCAATATTAGGGAGGTTTTTTAATATCTATTGTTTATTTTTCCAATTATATAAGAAAATATTTTTATCGTAGAATATTTACATAATGTAGGGCTATACACATTAAACAATGAAAATCTTTTATGAAGTCCCACTTTCCCAAATGATTCCCTTCCCCAGAAGTAAATTCATACTTCCCCACAATAGTATTCATCCAACCCTTATAAAATCCATCCAGCCCTTGTAAATATTTTTATATGCATAGATGTATATATGCAATCATATAAATTTTAGAAACCTACAAATTCACTCATACTATATGTTTTATTCTGTGAAGTGATTTTGTTCACTTACTACACCAAAGAGATCTTTTTTAAAAAATCAAGACCTATAAATCTATCTCATTTTTGACGGGTGCATAACGTTTCAGGATTTATTATTACATTATTGATACATAATGAGGGTATTTCCAGCTTTTTGTTATTATAAATAATACTGAAACTGACATTCTTAGGTATACATCTTTGACCATACATGCTAGTAATTTTATAGGCTAGATTGTACTGAAATCCATAAGTGAAAGGATATATGCATTTTAAATTTATGGATACTACCAAAGTTCTCTCACAAAGAGCAAAAACGATTTATATTCCACCAAGTTGTCTGTGACTAGACTATTGTTTTGCACAGTCTCTCAATCACTATTTGTTATCAATTAAAAAATGTTTTGTCAATATTTTGTAAAAAAAAAAAAACTTGTTTTCTCACTTGCCTTTTTAAATTACTACTGAGGTTGAACAAGTCTTACCTACACTGGACATTTGTGTTGTTTGTTTGTTTGTTCTGAGTTGCCTGTTTACGTATTTGCCCCATTTTTTCTTTGGATCTTTCTTTTTCTTCATGATTCTAAGAAATTCTTTACCTATAATGAACACCTTTGTTTCTTTTGCTTAGTGTAAATGTTTCTCTTAGCCTGTTGTTTATCTTTTAACTTGGAATGTGGAAACTTCATCATAGGGACATTTGAATTTTTGTGTAGCCAAATCTGTCAGCAATTTCTTTTATAGACTCCAGGTTGTGTCCTGATTAAAATTTAATAGAGAACATGTACTTATATCTTATATTCCAGATGGCAGATTAGCTGTCTAAAACTGTTTCTATTTCTTTAAGACCATTCTACATTAAAATAAGTGTACACTGTATCAATTAATCAGTAGGGAACTACATTCATTTGTTCTCTTTACCAAAACACTGAGGACATCTTCCCCTGTAGTAAACTAAGACTTTGCCTGTAGATAAACCCCAAAAATGTCTGTGGATTGTGGAGGGAACGAAAAGCATCAAAATAATGGCTTATTAAATGAATTAACCACAGAAATAGAAGACCAAATACTGCATGAGGGAGCTAAACATTGGGTACATATGGACAAAAGGATAGGAACAATAGACACGAGACTACTAAATGAGGGAGATGGGGGCAGGGAGGTAAGGGCTGAAAAACTACTTATTGTATACTACGCTCACTACCTGGGTGACAGAATTATTTGTACCCCAAACTTCAGCATCACACAATATACCCATGTAAAAAACCTGCACATGAACCCCCTGAATCTAAAATAAAAGTTTAAATTATTTTTAAAAAAGAAAAACAGCTTATTAAATAAAAGTCATCAGAACTCCTGGTTCCATTGGTTTTTAGAAACATGAATATACTCAAGATTGATTTTTTCAAAGGAATCTATGACATAGCCACTCTCAAAAGTTATAAATGTTGGCATCATTCTTCTCTCTCCTAAAGTAGTGACACACATCCTCTCTATAAAACTAGACACAAGGTGTCATTTGATGGAATAGGTAAGTGTTAACAACATGGCTTGCTACCTACCAGGCCTATGGCAGAAATGACCACAGAAACTATTCCCTGGGGAAATTTTTTTAAAATGAAGATTCCTAGCACCATCCCAGACATTCTGAAGAATAGTCTCAGGAATGGAGTGATATGTTTTGGCTGTGTCCCCATTCAAATCTCATCTTGAATTGTAGTTCTGCAATCCTCATGTGTCAAGTGGGGGGCCAGGTGGAGATAACTGAATCATAGGGGCAGTTTCCCCCATACTGTTCTCCAGGTAGTGAATAAGTCTCACGAGAGCTAATGGTTTCATAAAGGGGAGTTCCCCTGCACTAGCTCTCTTGTCTGCCACCATGCAAGATGAACCTTTGCTCCTCATTCGCCTTCTGACATGATTGTGAGGCCTCCCCAGCCATGTGGAACTGTGAGTCAATTAAACCTCTTTCTGTTATAAGTTACCCAGTCTCAGGTAGGCCTTTATTAGCAGCGTGAGAACAGACTAATACATGGGGGCTCTGAGATTTATAGTATTGGGCACTTGCTCATAGAGTAGCACTGGAAACCAACTTCTCCAGTTTATTTAGAACATGTAGTATTCTTTGGTTTCTCTTTGGCATGTTCTCTCTCCCCTCCTTACATAAAATAGATGAATGCATCTTATTGATTTTGCTTCTGAAGTGTCTTTCAATTCATATTATCCTTCCCATTCTATCTACTACTCTCCTATTTTAGGCCTCCATAGTCTCCTTATGAAAAACGGTCTCCTAACTTATTTTCTCAGTCTTTGTTGTTCCTCATCTTGGTATTTTCCAAAGCTTCTTGGCAGATTTATTCATGCTACCAGTACGTGAAAACCTACATCTGAATAGCCACACTCTTTTCACTCATTGAGTAACTTTGTGATTTTTATCTCAGCTGACTTTTCCATATCATCAACATCTATGCTGACCTCCTTTTTCTCCTCGAATTTGTCAGTGCCATGTCACGGCTCAAGCCCTCCGTATTAGTCTGTTCTCACACTGCTATTATAGCAAAGGCATACCCAAGACTTGGGCATTTATAAAGAAAAGAGGATTAATTGACTATTGACTCACAGTTCAGCATGGCTGGGTAGGCCGCAGGAAACCTACAATCATGGTGGAAGGGGAAGCAAACACATCCTTCTTCACATGGTGGCAGAAGAGAGAAGAACCAGTGCTCAGCAAAGGGGGAAGGACCTCATATAACCATCAGATCTCATGATAACTCACTCACTATCATAAGAACAAGATGGGGGAAACCACCCCCATGATTCAATTATCTCCACCTGGTCCTTCCCATAACATGTGGGGATTATGGAACTACAATTCAAGATAAAATTTGGATGGGGACACAGCCAAACCACATCACCCTCCATTTTACTTACCTGCTGTGAAGCCACTGTCATGTTTTTCTCTAGTGACTAACATGCCGTTCCCTTCATTATGGCTCTGACTTTTCAAGATTCAAGTCAAATGCTCTTTCTTCTGTAAATTTCTTCTGCTAATTTGCCCTTCCCTCTTCTGACAGTCTCATATTTTGAATTACTTTCTATTCTGTTATCATTATCAAAGACTCTATTACTGTCTTACATTGTTGTCTCCCACAGTAGGTTGTAAATTCCTCAAAAACAAGATCATTTCTAATTGAACATTTGGGTCATAATACCTAATAGTGTCTGTTACAAATGGTGGAAATGAAATAGATAACTTGAATATATCCAAACAGTCTATCTGAATGGTAACAAAGACTATGCTGTGTGATTCTTGGTTCCTATCACAGAAAGTCTAGAAATAGTTAAAACCAAGATTTTGATTCCATCTGTGTCAAGAATTATAAATAAGTAAGACTTACCAAAATAACAGCATGTCTACTGCTAAACAGCCAAACAAGATGAAGAAATAAATATATATATCCTCTAGAATTACGGAGACAAAATGATGGAATAAGTCAATTCTATTAAAGCTGACTTTTGTCATTTTTAATGTTATGATATTTAAATAATTCACTCTAATATTTCATTGAATGGAATTATATTACAATGTAAAAGGATTCGTAGGTAAAATCCCATTCCTTTATTCAGGTAATACAAATTCAGATTAGAGAAGTATAAGTTCATTTGTTTTCATGTCAAATCACATGATGTTCTAATAGGCATGAAATACTAGAATAAATGGCAGTATTTTAAGTGCCATAGAATATGGGCTGAAGTAGGAATCAGAGGATCTGAGGTTGAGTCCCTGATTGATTATGAGATCTGAATACCTTACATGCCTTTCCTCTCTCAATCTGAACTGTCTGATTGTAAAATGGAATGCTTTTTCTACTGTACAACTTTATAGACAAATGAGGTAATGTGTCTAAAATTGCTTCATAAACTATAAACAATGATGTAAATATTAATCGTCTATTTCAATTTAAGTCAGAAACTAAAGTCAAAGATGAGAAATGGGGCAAGCTCAAGCACTGTACACACCACCCCAGCTTCACTTGACTTTGCTAATTTTTTATAGCACTAAAGGTAATATAGATGCTCTTTGGCAATTTAGGGAACATCTCACCTGGCAAGTTAGAGTTACAGGTCCTTCCAAGAGTTTCATGAGGAACAACAGCAACCGAAAGGGTGTCAATTTGTGAGAAGAAATTAAAGGACCAATGGTCTAGACGTCTCAATGTCGAGCTTGATGCAGTCAAAGAACAGATGTCCTAAAGCAGAGGGCCTGTGAAGATCATAGATGACTATGTCAAGGAATAAAGAGTCTAGGACAGAGCTTTTCTAACTTCAATATGTGTACCACGCACCTCAAGATCTTATTAAAATTTTGTTTCTAAGTCTGTAGCCCTGTAAGGGGATGAATTTCTGAATTCTACAAAGTTCCGAGGTGATGCCAATGTCGCTGGCCTGTGGACCACTCTCTTTTTTTTTTTGAGATGGAGTCTGGCTCTGCGCCCAGGCTGGAGTGCAATGGCACCATCTCGTCTCATTGCAACCTCCACTTCCCGGGTTCAAGCGATTCTCTTGCCTCAGCCTCCCGAGGAGCTGGGACTACAGGTGCCTGCCACCATGCACAGCTTATTTTTGTATTTCTAGTAGAGACGGGGTAGTGTTGACCACATGTTCCACCCGCCTCAGCCTCCCAAAGTGCTGGGATTACAGGCGTGAGCCACCGCACCCGGCCTGGACCACTCTTTAAGTATGAAGAGACTAGAACATTTCATAAATTGTGCGTGTGGCTATGAAGTCACCTGGATGGGGCCAGGATGTGGGCTACAGAATAATACCATGAGGCATGTGCCGCCATCTTTGTGAGAAGGACTTCGTTAGCTGGTAGAAAGAAGGACGAGTAGAGGAGAACATTTCCAGTTAAGAGTTTCCAAGGAGGGAAGAAAAAAAGCTCCGGCAGTGAGGATAAAGGACAAGGCTGATCCATGTGAATTGCCATGTGCCAGTATGGTAGAGGAAAACATGTAGTTGTCACTAGAGCTGAAAGTTATATCCTCAGAGGTGAGTCAGATTTCAGTTTAAGCAAAGAAAAATTCAGCATATTCTGTGAAGGGTTTTGAGGACTTTGGAAAATTGCAAAGATAAGGTCAGGATGGTGGCAGCTAGGCCATGGAAGGAGAAGCACACAACAAAATGTTGATGAAAGTGTGGAAGAAGAAAGAGCAAACATAAAGGTTTACCTCTGTGAAAGGAAATTAAATTTTGGGACCCCAAACACATTTAGCCAAAGGGAAAACTCAAATTGGAAACTGGGTCATGCAAACCTGCTTCCCCCTTTTAGTTCCTGAATAACATGGCTGCAAGATGAAAAGCTACATGCCTCCCCCACATTTTGCCCACAAGGAAATTCCTAGTGAGCTGTTAAAATTTTCCCATGGCAATGGAAATTGATAGCTTATCTTTACAGGTGCAATTACTCCAGCCCACCAGAAACAAATGCATATCTGATCCTTCCCCTACCCTATTTTGTCTGTATTATCTTATGTAAAATGCAGATTCCCTGCATTTTTCCTCTGACCCTTTTGTTTATGTCATCTTATGTAAAAAAATACAGAGTCACTTACATGAAAACCATGTACTTCTCAATCTCCCACCCTTTCCCCTTTAAATTTAGAGCCCTCAAAATCATCTTTGGAGAAAGGCTTAGATCTGTCTCCTGGGCATGTCCTTAACTCTGGCAAATAAATCTCCTAAAATGATTGAGACTTGTCACATCATTTTCCTCAATTGACACCTCTTAAGAAATCACCTAACAAGATCAGTGTAGTGGATGCTGTGGTGTGTCTCCCAGACACACTCCATCCCTCGGCTACTAGGGTTTTGGAGGCTGACTTCCTCAGTTAAATGCTGCTCCAGGATTTTCCCTCGGTTGTTGAAAGCCACCTTGTGGTAGGCATGCCACCTTCTTGGGGGCGACCCCTATCAAATGACTGGCTGATATGTACGTACGTGAGCATGCTTGGGGAAGTGCATCACAAAGATACTATTCCTCCCACAAATCTCCCTGAAACTGGATTTATTTTCTTTACTATGAGAGATAACACTACTAATATCAGATAAACCTTTTTTCCTCATATTGTTTCAAGGTGGTCTATCACAGGTAAATAGACTTCCTGTGCAAGGTAAAAGTTTAAAAGTCTAAAATTAAGTGTATTCAATAATAATACCAATCTAAGACCAACATATTTATGTCTTTTTAACATAATTTCTACTGTATTCTTGAAAAATTATTTTTCATTTAAACAGCTATTTTTATAATTTATTTCACAAATATTTAATAAATTTTATCACTTGTATAACATATATTACATATACATCTATTTCCGAAGCAAAAAGCTGCCACACATCTACACATATAGACAGTTTTAATCTACTTTTACGTTAGATACCTCTTCAAGGATTTTTTTTTCCAAATAGCATTATTTTTCACTGTATTAAATTTATATAGCAGAGCATAAGCATATTCAAATAAACTAATCTGAATGCAAGTTTATGTCATTGTTTCTAAACATCATTCACTATTTTATCAATATTACAAAGATAATTGGTGACATTTCTTTTTTTTTTCTTTTTTTGAGACGGGATCTTGCTCTGTTGCCAGGCTGGAGTGCAGTGGCACGATCTCGGCTCAGTGCAACCTCCGCCTCCCGGGTTCAAGTGATTTCCCTGTCTCAGCCTCCTGAGTAGGTGGGACTACAAGCGTGTGCCAACACACCCGGCTAATTTTTAGCATTTTAGTAGATATGGGGTTTCACCATGTTGGCCAGGATGGTCTCAATCTCCTGATCTCGTGATTCGCCTGCCTCGGCCTCCCAAAATGCTGGGATTACAGGCATGAGCCACTGTGTCTGGCCTTAAATGGGTGATACTTCTTAGCACTTAATATAATGCCTCTTTTAATGCTCAATTTTGTTAAATGTCAATTTTAACATGTCTATCATGAGTAGGCATCTTAGGGCTTAAGGTAGGTTATAATCTCTGTTCCTGGAACAAAAGTACTCAAGGAGAGAAGAGTCATCTGTTGGTACCTACAAAGTGTTATACTTCTCAGTAGAATTCATAGATTTTTTGGTCAACTTTTATTTGCCTTTTATCCTGTCAAAATATGAACCTGTATGCCATCTGAACAGACATAATTATTATTTGAGAAAACAAACCCTTGAAATCTACATATGTTATTCAGAGAACAGAAGATATAGACAAAGACAGTAAAAACGGTTTGTTTCAACAGGTATGATGGTAAAATCTTGACCATACTTTATGTCAGGGGTCCCCAACTCCCGTGCCATGGACTGGTTGGTCCATGGCCTGTTAGAAACCGGGCTGCATAGCAAGAGGTGTGAGCAGCAGGGGAGTAAGCATTACTGCCTGAGCTCAGTCTCCTGTTAGCTCAGTGGTGGCATTAGATTTTCATAGAAACACCAATTCTTTCATGAGCTCACATGTGAGGAATCTAGGTTGCACACTCCTTATAAGAATCCAATGCCTGATGATCTGAGGTGGAGCAGTTTCATCCCAAAAGCATCCCCTGACTCCCTCTCCTCTACCATGGAAAAAATTGTCTTCCGTGAAACCAGTTCCTGGTGCGAAAAAGATTGGGGACCGCTGCCTGATGTTGATGTTCTATCTCCTCATCTTTGCTCTAATTGTAGGTCTCACCCACAGTTGTTCAGCATGTAAGTGCTACACATGTGGACAAGTGGTATTAAGTCATATGAGTCAGGGAAGTATAATGAACACCTATTCACTTTCTGGTCCAATAGCTACTGAGGAAACAGTGTGGTTAGACAGTTTGGGCAGACTCTAAAATCTGTGCAGTGCTTCGTCAGGTACCATGGAGCCTACTAGAGGATAAAATATAATCCTCTGCCCTTAAAGGATTTATAATCTATTGGGAAAGTAAAGTACAAAATATGAGCACTAAGGAACATTGTGGTAATAGGGTAGAGCTTTTTAATGAAGGTTGCCCAAGAAGTAGACCAGAGACAGTCTTAAATAATGAGAAGGGTCTGGCTAGGCAGAGGAATGAAGAAAGCTGAACTAAAGCACTATCCATTAGAAGTGTGAATATTTACTGTGTGCTTCCTAAGGTTCAGCCTCCTCACTTGATCTTACCTGGCTTTATTTAATCCCCCCAAAATCTATCCTGCTGTTAATAGTTTCATTTTACACAGAAAGAAACTCAGGTTTAGTGAGATTAAGTAACCTGCCTACTGCAGATACTGGGAAAGCCACGCTTTCAACTCAACCACCCTGATTCCAGAGATCTCATTACTCCATGCTGTCATCATGAGCCATGAGGCAACAGGGTGAGGGATAGTGTTGGTGATGAGAGCACCAATGCTACAAAACATGAAGTGAGGAGTTTTGAGTGGAGGCAGATTTGAAAGTTAGGCTGAGAAATTTAGTCTTACTGTGGTGATGTGGAGGGTGTCACTGAAGGTTTGAGAGCAGAGGACTAACATGGTAGAGACAGTATTTAAGGAATATTGATTGGGCAAAATTGTAGGAGATAGGCAGGGTTCTCCAACTAGCTGGCATCATTTTCAGAAAAAGGATGAAGCCCCTCACCACAATGATAATGGTAAGAATAGATTTCAGGGCACACATAGATCTTCTTTGCAAGTAAAACATACGAGAGAACTGTATCCCTACCAGTCAGTAGGTGAAGTAGTGGTATAGAATAAGGATTAATAAGGATTAATAACCATACCAGTATTTACTGATCATATATCAAATTCCAGGTACTATGGCAACTACCTGTAAAGCATTATTTATAATTATTCATGATGACTCTCTGAAGTAGGTTCTATTATTATAATACTCATTTACATATGAGGTTATATAGTATAAAGAGAGTTAATTAATCACTGGTAGACAGAATAGGCAGGATTAAACCTAGATTGTCTTGTTTTCTTGAATTGGCATTTCTTGACCTGGAAGGTAGAGCTTCTGAAGGCTTGTGATGTTGACAAGGCTCTGATGTCTCTCAGCTCCACTTTTCTCCCTTGGGAGAAAAGGTGGCATTTGTTTGCTTGCTTGC
Source organism: Homo sapiens (assembly GCF_000001405.40). Classification (NCBI taxonomy): domain Eukaryota; kingdom Metazoa; phylum Chordata; class Mammalia; order Primates; family Hominidae; genus Homo; species Homo sapiens. The sequence continues at coordinate 226,020,410 of NC_000002.12, read as the reverse complement.
TTGTGTGTTTGTTTTGTTTTGGGATGGGTGAGTCCAGAGTTGTATGAGTGTTACTGGGAATGATGCAATAGAAAGTAGGAGGTTGAGGAATCAGGATTGAGACAGTGTTTAATCAGCTTATTTTTAAGTCATTGTCATTTGTTAGCCTGGTTTTCATTTATGGTTTATCATTATTAGCTACACTATGGAAGAGAACTTTGGTAGTATTGGTAGTATTTATTTTTAACCCTAATTTACACTAGGCAAAATGTGCTGGATTTTTGAATACTGGATTTTTGTTAAGTAAAGATGCACATTTACTGAGTGTAAAAATAGTAACAAATCAAATAGTGATGAAAATTAATATAAGAAATAAAGACCAAAAGAGTTTGCACTGATTTCACTCAACCTGGAGGTGCACATCAGAATGCCACAATAAGCATCTAGTCAGAATTAAAGTTCATGCATATTAATTCTGTAGCCTTAAACCTGAGAAACCTGTTGGTAAATATTAAGTGGTTGATATGGTTTGGCTGTTTCCTAACCCAAATTTCATCTTGAATTGTAGTTCCCATAATCCTCACGTGTTATGGGAGGAATGCTGTGGGAGGTAATTGAATCATGGGGGCAGTTTCCCCCATGCTATTCTTGTGACAGTCAGTTCTCAGGAGATCTGATGGTTTTATAAGAGGCTTCCCCCTTCTCTTTGTTCTCATTCTGTCTCCTGCCACCTTATAAAGAGGTGCCTTCCACCATGATAGTAAGTTTCCTTTCCACCATGATTGTAAGTTTCCTGAGGCCTTCCCAGCCATGTAGAATTGTGAGTCAATTAAACCTCTTTCCTTTATAAATTACCCAGTTTGGGGCAGTTCTTTATGGCAGTGTGAAAACAAACTAATAATTCAGTACATTGGTACTGGGTAATGGGGTGCTGCTCTAAAGATACCCAAAAATATTGAAGCGACTTTGGAACTGGGTAACAGGTTGAAACAGTTTGAAGGGCTCAGAAGAAGACAGGAAAGTGTGGGAAAGTTTGGAACTCCCTAGAGACTTGTTGAATGGCTTTGACCAAAATGCTGATAGTGATATGGATAATGAAGTTCAGGCTGAGGTGGTCTCAGATGGAGATGGGGAACTTGTTGGGAACTGGAATAAAGGTGACTCTTGCTATGTTTTAGCAAAGAGACTGGTGACATTTTGTCCCTGACCTAGAGATCTGTGGAACTTTGAACTTGAGGGAGATGATTTAGGGTATCTGGTGAACAACATTTCAAAGCAGCAGAGGTGACTTGGTGTGCTGTTAAAAACATTCAGTTTTTTGTATTCATAAAGATATGGTTTGGAATTGGAACTTATGTCTAAAAGGGAAGTAGAGCATAAAAGTTTGGAAAATTAGCAGCCTGAGGATACAATAGAATATAAAAACCCATGTTTTTGAGAAGAAATTCAAGTTGGCTGCAGAAATTTGCATAAGTAATGAGGAGCCATATGTTAACTACCAAGAAAATGGGGAAAATGTCTCCAGGACATGTCAAAGACCCTTGTGGCAGCCCCTCCCATCACAGGCCTGGAGACCTAGGAGGAAAAAATGGTATTGTGGGCTGGGCCCGGGATCCCCATGCTGTGTGCAGCCTAGGGACTTAGTGCCCTGAGTCCTGGCTATTCCAGCCATGGCTAAAAGGAACAAAGGGATAGCTCAGGCCATGGCTTCAGAGGGTGCAAGCCCCAAGCCTTGGCAGCTTTCACGTGGTGTTAAGCCTGTGGCTGCATAGAAGTCAAGAACTGAGGTTTGGGAACCTATGCCTAGATTTCAGAGGATGTATGGAAATGATGGATCTCCAGGCAGAAGTCTGCTTCAGGGGCAGGGTCTTCATGGAGAACCTCTGCTAGGGTGGTGTGAAAGGAAAATGTGGGGTTGGAATCCCCACACAGCACCACCAGGGCACTGCCTAGTGGAGCTGTGAGGAGAAGGCCACCATTCTCCAGACCCCAAAATGGTAGATCCACCAACAGCTTGCACCGTGTGCCTGGAAAAGCCACAGACACTCAACACCAACTTGTTAAAGCAGACAGATGGAGGGCTGTACCCTGAAAAACCACAGGATCAGAGCTAGCCAAGGCCATGGAAGCTCACCTCTTGTATCAGCCTGAACTTAATGTGAGACATGAAGTCAAAGGAGACTATTTTGGAACTTTAAGATTTAATTACTGTCTTGTTGGATTTTGGACTTGCATGGGAACTGTAGCCCCTTAGTTTTGGCCAATCTCTCCCATTTGGAATGGGTGTATTTACCCAATGCCTGTACCTCCATTGTATCTAGGAAGTAACTAGCTTGCTTTTGATTTTACAGGCTCATAGGCAGAAGGGACTTGCTCTGTCTCAGATGAGAATTTGGACTTGGACTTTTGGGTTAATACTGGAATGACCTGAGACTTTGGAGGACTGTTGGAAAGGCATGATTGTGTTTTAAAATGTGAGGACATGAGATTTGGAAGGGGCAAGAGTTGAATGATATGTTTTGGCTGTTTCCCTATTCAAATCTCATCTTGAATTGTAGTCCCATAATCCTCACGTGTCATGGGAGGGACCCAGTGGGAGGTAATTGAATCATGGGGCTGATTTCCCCCACGCTATTCTCATGATAGTGAGTAAGTTCCCATGAAATCTCATGGTTTTATAAGGGGCATCCCCCTTCACTCAGTTCTTTCTCTCTCCTACCACCCTGTGAAGAGGTGACTTCCACCATGATTGTAAATTTCCTAAGGACTTCCCAGTCATGTAGAACTGTGAGTCAATTAAACCTCTTTCCTTTGTAAATTACCCAGTCTCAGGCAGTTCTTTATAGCAGTGTGAAAATGAACTAATACAGTGGTGTTTAGTAACTTACACTATATTTGGTAAATTTAGAAGAATTCTGTTGTTCCTCTTCCTTTCAAAGTAAAGAATTTTCAGGCCAGGCACAGTGGTGGACACCTGTAATTCCAGCCCTTTGAGAGGCCAAGGTGAGCGGATTGCTTGAGCCCAGGAGTTTGAGACCAGCCTGGTAACATGGTGAAACCCCGTCCCTACCAAGTGTGGTGAGTGATCCATTCCTGTAGTCCCAGCTACTAAGGGCGCTGAAGTGGGAGCATCACCTGAACTTGGAAGGTGGAGGCCACCCACAGTGAGCAGTGACTATGCCACTACACTCTAGCCTGGGTGACAAAGTGAGACCCTGTCTCAAAATAAAAGCATTTTCATGTCTTAGTTTACATGGATTTGCAGTGTGTATACATGTATATATGTGTGTGTGTGTATATAATTTTTCTTGACATAGGGTATGTTTTATATCTGAGTGTACTTTTTAAAATGAGAGAACAAAAAGATGTCCATATACCTTTAATAATTTTGATAAAGTATAACTAGACATTGAACATTGTAAATTATTAAAAATAAATCTCTGAGGGTCAATAGGAAAGACTTTCAAAATTAATTATTCCTTAGTTTAAATCAACTGTACATAAAAAGTTATGAGGTATGTTATGTGTCACAATTTTAAGATTTTAAAATCTTCTATTTTTCTAATTTTCTATTATTTCAGTGAATTCTGGGAACAGATTTTGTAAAAGTCGAAATTAGGTCATGAAGACATTTAATCTTACTGAGCAATACAGTCAATATACAAGATATATAGAAAGCATGAGAATCTAGAAAAAGTGTAAAGGAGACAATGGGTAGTAATGTTTACAATAATCCAATGTACAACCAAATGAATGATTAGCATATAAATCATGACAGGTATTCATACATACCATGAATAACAATGACACAGGAAGGGGATGGTCATGATGTATGAGACGTTAGTTATTTTAAATGGGACAACAGGAATGTTGTGTCTGATAACGTAACATTTGAGCAGAAACAGGAATGAAGGGAAGGCACAAGACATATTAATTTCTGGAGAAAGACTATCTGCAGAGGGTGTAGCAACTTCAATATTCCTGAAGCCGGTGTTTCTTTACTCCTGGTGTTTTCAGGGAGCAAGCCCAGAGCTTGTGGTTTTCGAGTAGAGTGAACAAGAAGAGTTGTAGGCGATGAGGTCAGAGATGAAGCTGAGAGTAGACCCTCAGAGGCAAGAGTAGGATTTTTTCTTTTATTTTTATGCGATGGAAAAATACTGGGGACTTTCAGGAGAGAAGGTATATTATCTGAGTTAGGTTTTAATACAATTATTCCAGTTCTAACATGGAAAATATAATGTAAGGGAAAGGGCAGAAGCAGGTAGAACAATCAGGAAGTTAATAAAATCATGAAATAATCCAGATGAGAGATAATGGCTGAAGTAGTAATGGCAGATGTAACAAGAAGTGATTAGGTCAGAATATATATTTGAAGCTAGATCAGCCAAATTTGCCCATTAGTTATCTGTATAATGGACTAGATTGTTCAGTCCATGAGGACAGAGATTTCTGTTTTGCTCACTGCTGAATCAAAAGCACCTCAACTAGTTCTTGGCATGCTAGGTGTTTAACAAATACCTTTAATGCAATAAATGAATCAACAATAGATATGAATAAGTGGCAAGAAAAGAATTATTTGTATTAATTTATGTAGTCAGAAAAATAATATAGCTGTTACTTGTGTAATTTATAAATGGAAGCTATAATCTATTATACTTATAACCTTACCTTAACATTAAAATAACTTCAAGGATTATTTTACTTGAGAATTTATATAGAAGTTTAAAGGACTAGTTGAGAAGAAATTTTAATCAATATTAAAAACCATACAGGTAACATTCTAAACAGTATATATATATATATTCACACCCCCACACTTATAGACATATGTATATGTATATGTAGACATATGTATATGTTTGTGTGTAAGTATTTACTCATCATTCACAACAGATACACAAGTGTAAGTTACCCATAAATCAATATTGATGATAATAACTTCTTGCTAATAGCTCTCAGGACAGTTTTCTGTTCTTACTCATTCTGGATTGAGATTTTGCCCTTTGATTTTTCCGTTTCTGATTCTTCTGCTGTTTTTTGTTTTTTGTTTTTTGTTTTTGTTTTTTTTTTTGCCTCTAATCATTTGAATAGAGACTTTTCTCTGTTGCACCTGCAAGGCTTCATTAATTGTATATTTTGTTTAAACCACTGATTTACTTTAAACAATATTTATTATTTTAAAAATATATTAAGGTAGAAATTTATTTAAAGAAGGCACATGGCTTGTGATAATATGTCTCTGAATATCTAGGAATATATCTTGGTTTACCTCTTGGTTCATGGAGAAGCGGGGTTTTAAGGCATATTTAGGGTGAAGAAAAAAACTGGGATTATCTGGAAGTTGGGTTTCTTGTTTCTTTGAAGCCTCTGCTTTATAGTTTGCCTTGGTTTCTGACATCGACAGCTTCTTCATCAACTACAAGAGAGTTAATATTATTTGTGGTCCTATTGGGCTTTTGTTTATCAACACTTTGTTTCATACCTGTTTATATAAAAGTTGAATGTATATCCTTGAAATTTTTTTCTTTAGTTTTTTTCTAGAGGCATAACGATTCAGGAAAAGTTGATGAAAGCATTTAAATTTTCCCTGAATCAAGAATAAGCCACCCCAGTTATTAGCAAACTTCTTCCATAAAATGCCAGATGATAAACAATTTGGGATTTGTGGGCCATACAGTTGCTATCATGGAAACTCAACTTTGCTATTCTGGCAGGTAAGCAGACAGACAGTACATACATGAGTAAGTGTGACTGTGTTCCAGTCAATAGAACAGATATGGTCCTTGAGCCATAGTTTGCCAACCCATGAGTTGGACAGTTATTGGTAACAGGTAAATAATTTTGGCGCTGGTATTTGAATTTATGTAAATTATGTTGTATATTGTTAAATATGTTTTTATAATCCACATTGCACTGTGTTCTCAAAGATTTCATCTATTTATAACTATATAGAAAAATTGTTATTTTCTCTTTGATTCCATTAGTCTTAGATGACATGTGGAAAACCTTTGGTTCTGAAGGTCATAAGCAAGTTACAACTGCACACCTGGTGGTAGGTAATATTCTCATAAAGATGGAACACTCAAAAGGAAATCATTATCCCTGGGGTACTAACCTTTGCAAGCCCAAATAGTAAAACCCACAAGCCATCTTGAGAAACACCAACAAGCTGAGCTGCTTTTTCAGCTAGCAGTTCTGTTGTGTCAGGGTTTTCCTAGTCAGTGATTTGGAACATCTCAGGAAGGGTGTACTAACACTAAAAACAGTCCCTACCATTCTCCTGGGTTTTTTCTTGTTTTGTTTTCTGCCCATGTCCCAGAAAGGTAGTTGCTCCATAGATCTTTTCTTTCCTTGGCCTTCCTTCTTATTTTGAAATTTATTTTTGGGAAGTTTTCTGTCTTTTTAAAAAATATTTATTTCAACAATTTTTGGTTACATGGATAAATTCTTTATTGGTGATTTCTGAGATTTCAGTGTACTCATCACCTGAGCAGTATACACTGTACCCAATATGAAGACTTTTGTCACTCACCCACCTCCCAACCTTCCCCGCCAAGTTCCCCAAATCCATCATATCATTCTTTTTTTCTTTTTGAGATGGAGTCTCGCTCTGTCACCCAGGCTGGAGTTCAATGGCACGATTTCAGCTCACTGCAACTTCCGCCTCCAGGGTTCAAGCAATTCTCCTGCCTCAGCCTCCTGAGTAGCTGGGATTATAGGTGCACAACACCACGCCTGACTAATTTTTGTATTTTTAGTACAAACGGGGTTTCACCATGTTGGTCAGGCTGTTCTTGAACAGCCTTGTGGGTTTTACTATTTGGACTTGCAAAGGTTAGTACCCCAGGGATAATGATTTCCTTTTGAGTGTTCCATCTTTTTGAGAATAGCCTTCCACTTATAAGTGGAAGCATCATTTCCACTTATAAGTGAGAACATACAATGTTTGGTTTTCTATTCCTGAGTTACTTCACTTAAAATAATGGCCTCCAATTCCACCCAATTTGCTGCAAAAGATATTATCTCATGACTTTTTATGGCTGAGTAGTATTCCATGGTTTATAGCATTTTCTTTATTCACCGGTTGGTTGATGGGCACTTAGGTTGGTGCGAATTGTATTGTTATAAACATGCATGCACGTGAGTCTTTTTCATAGAATGACTTTTTTTGCTTTGGCTAGATACTCAGTAGTGGGAATTGCTGGATCAAATGGTAGAGTTCTACTTTTAATTCTTTAAGGAATCTCTATACAGTCTCAATAGTGGTTGTACTAATTTACATTCCCACCAGCAATGTAAAAGTGTTCTCTTTCTACTACATTCATGCCAACATCTATTGTTTTTTAATTTTTACATTATGGCCATTCTTGCAGGAGTAAGGTGGTATCTCATTGTGGTTTTGATTTGCATTTCCCCAATGATTAGTGATGTCGAGCAATATTTCTTATGTTTGTTGGCTGTTTGTATATCTTCTTTTGAGAACTATCTATTCCTGTCTTTTGCCCACTCTTTGATGGGATTATTTGTGTTTTTTTTTTCTTGCTGATTCCTTTGAGTTTTTTGCAGATTCTGGATATTAGTCCTTTTTCAGATGTATAGATTATGAAGATTTCCCCCCATTCTGTGGGCTATTTACTCTGCTGATTATTTCTTTTGCTGTACAGAAGCTTTTTATTTTAATTAGGTCCTATCTGGAAAAATTTTATCAAGATATCAGTAGTGGATTTGAGTTAATTTATGTGTGTTGTAATTTCTTTAATGCTGAAGACATGTAAGCTTGTATTATTGAATATGAAAGTAGAAGTTTTCTCTTGACTTTGCCCCAGACAGAGTTAGACAGGGAAAAAAAGAAAAGAAACAAAGTTAGGGAGCATGATATAGATGTGAAAAGACACCAACCTCATATTCTGAAAAGCTAAAGGGACTATTATGGACATGGATGGTTAGCCATGGAGAAGTTAAAGCACAGTGCTCTTAGACATCTCCTGCATACATCTAAAGTGCCTTTCAACCCCTTTAGGCTCATATTTTCTGCTACAATGACTGCTACTAGTTTTGTAAGTGCTAATGCTAATTGAAACCACATCATGGGTGCAGATCAAAAATAAGCCAGTCAGGCATCCCTGCTGAAAACGTACGCAGCAGGATGACCCCTTTGTTCTTCTTAAAAATGAACTAATTCAAGACAGGCACTGCCTCTGGATCATTATTCATTAATGTATGCAACATTCCCTCTGCCGCACTCTTTCCTCTTTCTCTCTCTACTCTTCACTATAATTTTCATGTGGAAAAGTAAAAGAACGCCAGTTCTCTTGTAAACTGCATAATTGGGTTTAATATGCAGACGTGCCATTTCTAGGCATGTACGTTTTCTGCATTAATAGGAGTTATACGCAAAGCATTTAGAGATCACCTGTGGATAGGCTTGTTAATTAACGGAGTTAGAGCCTTATTTCATTCCATTTAAACCAGAGTAATTGAAATCAGCATAATCACCACTGCAGTATTCAGTACTTTCGCCCCTTTTCAAGGTTATTTTGGCAATTATGTTCTTGGCTGAGCATGTTAGTAAATGCTGCGGTTACTTCCTGTACTACTTGACTTTTCTTAATGCTGTGCCCTGTAGAATGTATTTTTCATTATTCCATTATTTTAAAAAGCTAGTAATAATTTGAGTCACCCTTCAGTTTTTTCAAAAAAAAAAATCTAATCCAGTCTACAAGTTGCTTGGGGAAAATGTCAGAAGATTAGGTTAAATCTGATCCTCCAATAGGTCATATGCTACTTTGTGAATAATTTTTTAAATGCATATATATATACTATCAAATTTAATATTAGTTGGATGCTAGTACATATTCTGAGGTTCCGGGACATTTGTTATTATATATTTATTTATAATACAAAGTTTTTTAAAATTTGAAAATGAATGTAAATATTCTCAATTTTATCAGATGGAAGAAACTAAACTACTTCAACCTGTAGACAAAAATAAAAAGCCCCTTGAAATTATTTTTTAATTTTTAAAAATCATTTTTACAGAAGATGAGAAATTACCATCTTTCACACTTTCTACTACTACTGGGAAAGAAAACTTCCTATTGCTGTTCTGCATAATTCTAGGATTAGAATGTAAAACCCAAGATGATATTGTAATGATTCTATTCCGTTGACTTATAATAAAGTATTTTCTTTCATCCAAAGTGATACTGCAGAGTGGCCCAATGATTTTTTCCCTATATGCCCATTTTCCTGGGTATAAATACAACATTTTCTTACAAGTAAATTAACACTAGGAGTTTATACTGTGTTTGATAGTTTGCCTTCACACATTTAGCCTCTTTCCACTTATACTTGGTACAGTTCCAACAACTAATATTTACTTATTTTTTTCCTATTTGCATATCTATATAAACATATTTCTGAAGACTGGTTTCACCAGCAATATACACTTCGTGAATAATTTTATCACCTGATATATTAACAATCTTACAGTTTTATTATAAAATTGGTATATGGCTCATGTTGCTGAATGTTTTTAAGGGATATGAGAATATTGCTTATTTAGCTCCTTAAGATGAAAATGAGGATGTATGCATGTTTCCATTCAGTATTGTTGTCTGCATTGTCTTTTTGTGGGGAGCGTTTGAAAATAATCATCTGTTCACATATTCTAACCAATGGTATTTGCAAAAACAAAGTTGATATTTACATATATTTTAAACCATTTTCCAGTGGCTTAGTAAATCTTATTTCGACATGCATTTTCTATCTATATTTGAGCAAGTTTTTTTTTGGAAACCTCTTCTGCACTGTGCTTTCCAGTTAAAATTGTCGTTGTCAAAGACAACTTGAAAACATTCTTTTGAATCAGGTCATCTATGAAGTATTTACATTTAATATCTCAATGAGAGAGAAAAAAGAGAGAGGTTCATCAATAATGATGATTTAAATTCACTGTGTTTATCAGTGTAAATGAACAATCAAAAAACCAGACATCCCTGGTATCTTCTGTACTATCCTACCCAGGAGAGCTCAGCAATAACCTACTTCAGCAATTCTAGCTAATACTGCCTTGCAAATTTGCCCAAATGCATTTCTGTTCATAGTCTATCCTGATTTGGTAATATGCAATTACAGAAAATGACCATTTTAATATAGAACAATTTTCTTGTAAATTACACAGTAAAAAATATTTGAAACATATTAAAATCAAGTGGATTTAGAATGATTATAGTTATGAATTACTGTAATTTGGTCTTACACAGCTAATTCCAAAAGACAGAACAGCCGTTTAGCAATTTCCATTCTCTAAATTTCTCATAATGGGATTTAATGAAAAAAATGAAATCATCGTGTTTTCCCTAAAACTCTCTCCTCCTCTTATATGTTCTATTTAAATAAATGAGCCACCACCCTTTCAGACACTCCAGTCAGGGAAACCCAGGAATCACAATTTCTTTCCTCTACTCCTTACTTCAATACTCATGTTCTCATAGATACCCAGGTGAATGGATCCAGTCCCACCCATCTCCTCCACCATCTGCTCCCACTTCAGATACTCACTACTCACTAGCCTTTGAGCCTCCTCATGAGGCACGTAGCCCACCAGACATACAGCCCTTATTGCATGTTCAGCATAGTGGCTACAAAGGTCTCTCTAAAATGCAAACCTAGCCATGCCTGGTGGCTCACAACTGTAAGCCCTTTGGGAGTCTGAGGCGGGAGGATCACTTGAACCAAGGAGTTTGAGACCAGCCTGGCCAACATGGTGAAACTCCATCTCTAATAAAAATACAAAAATTAGCCAGTCATGGTGGCACATGCCTGTAATCCCAGCTACTCAGGAGGCTGATGCAGGAGAATCACTTGAACCTGGGAGGTAGAAGTTGAAGTGAGCTGAGATTGTGCCACTGCACTCCTCAAGCCTGGGTGACAGAGCGAGACTCTGTCTCAAAAATAATTAAATAAATAAATACAATACAATACAATACAAATCTAACAGTGTCACATTTCTGCTTAAAATCCTGCAGTGGGGGCCGGGCACGGTGGCTCACTCCTGTAATCACAGCACTTTGGAAGGCGGAGGTGGACAGATCACTTGAGGTCAGAAGTTCGAGACCAGCCTGGCCAACATGATGAAACCCCGTCTCTACTAAAAATATAAAAAATTAGGTGGGCATGGTGCGCACCTGTAGTCCCAGGTACTCAAGAGGCTGAGGCACAAGAATCACTTGAACCGGGAGGCGGAGGTTGCAGTGAGCCGAGATCATGCCACTGCACTCCAGCCTGGGTGACAGAGTGAGATTTCATCTCAAAAAAAAAAAAAAAAAAAAATCCTGCAGTGGGTAAAATGTTGTTTACTGTAAATTCAAACTCCCTGGCATGGCACACAAGGCCCTTCATGCATGAGCAGCCCCTGGCCAACGTCTCCAGCCTCATCCCACACCGTTATGTCAGTTGCATCTTATTCTCCAGCCACAGACTGTCCCAGCCAACTGCCCTTCCAAATGTCTGTCCTCACCCTAGAATGTTATTCACTGCTCTTCCCCACCACCTGCCCCTCCTCCGTCTGCTCTTCCTTATCCTTCATGACTTAGTGTCATGATAGCCCCTTCAAGGAAGCCTTCTGTTAAAGAAAATAATATTCTGACACTCATTAAAGTGGTAAGGAAGACTGTATTCAAGACTCACAATAGGGATATTGCAATAGGGGAGAGAGATTGGGTTCAACTCTAAATGCAACAAGGGCAAGTGGGGAATTATAACCAAGGAGCGAAGGAGGGGGTCAGTATATGGAAAAGTACTAAGAAGAGAAATCTAGGGGAAAGAGATTCTTATAAAAAACTGATCTAACAAGAGTCTTGCTAAAAGCAGGCAAAAGACTTATGCATCAAAAGTGGAAGAAGACCTTGATTAAATATCAAGGATGATTAGATATTTAAGGCTGGGGGATGAACTAGTAGGATTCTTTGCTAAAACTGTACTAATCACACCAAAGATAGGGCTAGTGTCAAAATTGAGGCCTAATTGAGAAGATGGCTCAGATGAGCCTGACTAAAGCTTGTCAGGGAGACAGTCTTTGTCGTTTCCCTAAGTCTCAGACACGGCTTGATCTCCACTCCTTCCTGCAATTTTCTGGGTTTCAATAGCACTCTAAGTATCTCTGCAATCCATGTGTCACATTCTGTTGTATTATGAGTATTTGTCTGCTCTTCCTCTAGGGTGAAAGTTCTCTGAGAGAAAGGATTTTGATTCTTATCTCTTGCACGTTGACTGTCACTTAGATGTTTAACAATGTTTGTTAACTAAGAACTGTGTGTGAACTGAAAGAAAATTAAAATTATCTGTCTACATTTCCTCTCTCTTCTAAAAAATATTTTGTAAAGATGGGGTCTTGCTATGCTGCCCAGGCTGGTCTCAAATTCCTGGCCTTAAGCAATCCTCCTGCCTCAGCCTCCCAAAGCACTAGAATTACAGGCATAAGCCACCATGCCTGGCATGCCCTCTCTTTTGTTTTCCACCTATTCCTCCAGGGTCTCTTTTGCTTTTAGTAAAAAAGGTATCTTTGTTATTTGTAGGGATTTTTTTTTTTGACCTAGATATTCCTAAACCAGATGTGAGTCACTAGTATTCACTCTTCATATTCTTATTATGCCCCTATGCATTTATCTTGTGCAGGGATCTATACAGGTGAAATCTCATTGCAACAAACACCATTAAAATGAAATTACTGAATCTCAAAATATATAAACCTCTTTTAGTGATCCATTTATAATAACTAATATTTCATACAATTCCAATAATAGATTTCCATTTTTTTGGAATTTGTGTGTGAGAGAATAAGTTATGTCCTGAAAAATACATCCATGACAGTTTTTCTGTTCTTTTCTTATCACTTTGTGTAACTCTAAAATTAAGAAATAGTTTATTCTGTAGAACCTAAACATTATTCTATAACAATAATTATCTCTTTCTGGGCATGAAAATGAATAAAGCCCTTTGCTCCTTTTTTTCAAAAAAAAAAAAAAAACCATTCATTCTTAAAGCCTATGTATTAAATCATCTACTCCTTTACTTGAAAAATGTATCACTAGTTATTGGCGGTGGTGAATTCAGTTTACATGGCTCTGAATTCATAGCAAGTTTATTTCTTTAGGAAAATGCAAATAGTTATTGTGGTTGGCAGAATTATTTTAATCCCGCAAGAGTACTATAAAATTAAAAATTAACATAAAACAGTAATTCATCATCTTACTAGGCAGAAATAACCATTGTGAGTAAGTGATAAATTGTTACTTTAGTAGCTGGCATTAGAGATCTTTCAAGGTAGGGAACTATCTTTATTTAGGAAAGTATCTTAATTGGCCACGTTGAGTGAGAAAAGAGAGGCCCAGAAGGCATGAACTCAAGAAAAGACCAAGAAACTAAAGAGATCGGCCTAAAAGTAGAGCAGGAAGATAAATGACATTAATTCCACTGAGAACAGGAGCTCCAGAACAAGAAGCCACAAGATTATTAGATTATAGAAATATGCAGAAACCTCAGGGAGCACATTGGTCTTCCCAAAGTGTAGACTAAGGGACTTAACCAAAATTTATGTAAACATTCCAGGGAGGAGTAAATTCAATTGAGAGAAAGATCTAGGATGGTGCTCAAGAGAGTAGATTCTGGAGTAAGATTGCCTGGGGTTCACTTTAGGTTCCAACACACTTTCTCTGTTTCTGTCTTTGTGTGTTAAGGTGTGTGTTCCTCAGGACCCACCCAGTAATGTAGGAACTCTTAAGAATTAAAACCAAGGGAGTTTAACACTGGCTACACTGATGATGGAAGGATGGAGAAGCCAAACTGCAGATAATATGGCACCCAGATATTGACAATAGGAGAAAGTTATTACTACCCTTAATAGAAAGGAACAAAGGGAGAAGCAATTAGAGGGGCCCAGAGATGAGAGTCATGTTTCAGAATCCAGAATCATAATAGAGAAAACTAGGATTGTAGCAGGTATGTCTAGTCGGAGTTGGAGCCATGGAGAAGGCACAGCAGCTTTCCAAAACTGCCCGGGGAAAACATCAGATACTTTACCTGGAAAAAACAGTTTGGTCCAACACATCCATAAACCAGATGTAATAAGAAGAAAATAATACTGACCAATGAGGTTCAGGGCCAGCGCAATGTATGTGTTTGCATATATGTATTTATGTTATCAAATATAAATATATAGGTACTTATATATATTACATATATATATGCACATACAACTATATCATGCAACCAAATGGAACCATCATGCACACATTTTTATAATCTGATCTAATACTTAATGTGAACATGGATATTCCCTCATGACATTAAATATAAATATAAGTCTGTAGTAGCAAAAAATGTGGCTGAATGATGTCCACATCCTAGTGATTTGTGGAAGGCAGGACTTAAGAAAGTAACTAAACTATGTGGGGGGGGGAAATCTCTAAACAAAATATTCAGGGTACCGCAGGGCTTTTCTTGACTGCTTATAGTGAAATGTGAGAAGACAGAAACAACTTAAAGATGGAATTTATAATCAAAAGGGACTTAGAACTCAAAGATCTGGAAAATTCTCAGCCTGGCCACATCAAGAATAAAAAAGTACATTGGGAAAAGAATACCAAGGGTGTGGCCAAGTGAACATTTGATAAGGAGATGAGTATGGATACTAGGAAGCCAGATGCGATTCATCAAGATAGTAGAAGGATGACCTCAAAAGCATTTCAGAGATCTTCATGACTGCCATTCCCATCACAGGCCCAGAGTACCAGGGCATTGAGGGCATACCAATTTCAAAGGAGGGGCCTGAGACACCCATGGAAACCTGGGGCTTGCTGCCCAGGCTCACTTCAAGTTTCTGCTCCCTGCAAGTTTCTGCCCCCTGCATTCTGTTGCAGTGTTTCTTGGCTACCCTAGCTATGGCTCAAGTGGCCCAGGTCCAGTTCAGGCAGCCCTTCCAAAAGGGCATAAGTGGTAAGTTTTGGTGACACCTGCATGATTCCAACTCTGCATGTACACAGACTGCGCAAAAGCTGTGGAGGAATAGCTACCTCCATCTAGATTTCAAAGGATTCCTTGGAGAGCCTTGTAGACCAGGTAGAGAACAGCCACAGAGGCAGAGGTACTCCAGAGAGTCCCCAGTAGGACAATGATTCAGGGAGCCATGAAGATAGGGCCACCCTGAGACCTCAGAACTGTAAATCCAGTATGCAACACCAGCCTAGGGGAGCCACAGACACCTGAGAGCTGTCACATGGGCTACACTCAGGTGAACCATGGGGGCAGGGCCACACAAGACCTTTCGGGTCCAGTTCCCTTCCCAGTGTGTCCGGAAGGCAAGACGTGAAGTCAAAGAAGATGATTCTCAAGCCTGAAGATTTAATGTTGTTTGCCTTGTTGGGTTCTAGACTTTCTGGGGACGTGTTACCCGTTTATTCTTCCATATTTCTCCCTTTTGGAATGGGAATGTCTATCTGATGCCTGTCCCACCATTGTACTTTGGAAGTACATAACTTCTTTGATTTCACGGGTTCAGACCTAGACATAAATTTGCCTCTGGATGAATCATACCTTGAGTCTCACCCATATCTGATTTAGATGGTATTTAGGTGAGACTCTAAACTAGACTTTTGGGTTGATGCTGGAACAAGTTAGTACTTTGGGGCTATTGGGATAAAATGAATATATTTTATATATGAGAATGAATTTTGGGGGATCACAGGTGAGATGCTATGGTCTGAATGTGTTCCCTCAAAATTTATGTGTTGAAACTTAATCACCAATATGAAAGTACTAAGAGGTGGGGTTTTTCGGAAGAGATTAAGTCATGAAGACAGAACCCTCATACAAGAGGTGTGAAGGAGCTGTTTTTCTATTTTGCCCTTCCACCTTCTACCATATGAGGACACAGCAACAAGTCCCCATCTTGGAAGCAGAGACCCCTCACCAGACCCTCACCACAGTGCCTTCATATTAGGCTTCTAGTCCTTAGAAGAGTCAGCAATAAATTTCTGTTGTTTGTAAATTCCCCAACTTAACATATTTTTAATAGCAGCACAAATGAACTAAGACAATCTCTAAAGGGATTCATTTTTTTTCAAACACCCATGAATATTACAAAAACTGGCCAAGGTCTTACACTATGAAGAAAATATCAAGTAATTCTCTAAATTACAAATCAAAGAGGACACATTATATAAAGAGTTAAAAATACATTCTTATATAAGGTTTGGCTTAAAGCAAAAGCTAAAACCAAAAGAAGAGATTATTTATAAATAAATGACCATTAAAAAGTAATACCATGAAATCAATGAAAAGTGGATACCAATGAAAAGATGATACCAAGATGGTAATTTATACTGTTAAATGCATTTAATTTAAAGTGAAAGATTAAAATGTAGACAAACAATGAATAATGAAGTAAACTTTAAGTTGGTAAAAGAAAAGAATAACAGTTGTAAGAGAAACTAATAATTAGACCTACAAATATAATAATTTTTAAAATGAATTCAAAACTAGTTATTTGAAACTTTTATTGAATTGCACAAATTTTTGAAAAGTCTGATGAAAGAATAAGTAAAAAAGAAAAAACAACCTAATGAATGTGAAAGGAGTCTTAGCTAAAACTATCAAAATTGCGTAAAAATTATGACAGATCCATGCTATAATTTTATATAGATCCATTTGGACATCTGAGGTTAAATTGATAGTTCTAAGAAAATATAAATGATTGATATTGACTCAAAACATATTCAAAAGGAAAACAATAAGTTAATAAGCTAGTTTAAATCAATTCTTTTTTAAAAAGCCCCCAGATATTATGAAAGAGAATTAAGAGAATTAAAGAAAGGACACAGTAAATACAGAGAGCTTTTGAGAGAAGTTGGAAAGGGAAGAAGAGACAGAACAATAGCTGTTGTGGGAGAAGAGGTGTCTGGAGTAGGTACAGTGCGTGTGTGCATGTGTGTATATGTGTGTGTTTTATTGAAGAGATATGAGCATATTTTATGCTGAGAAGAAAGGCTATGGTTAAAAGTAAAAATGAATATGAGTAAGAGCAGTGATATTTAGTAGTATAAGGTCTCTGGAAAGGTAAGAATAGTGAACCAATGCATGTCTATTGGATTGGCCTTAAATATGAAGTGATACTATTCCCTCTTTGTAATAAAAAGGAAGAAAGACAAGACTCATACAAGTTTAGTAGGCTAATATGCTTTCTGGTGGGAAGATGACCATGCCCCCTCTGGATACCTTTCATCTTCTCTATAGAGGAAAGCAGAGGAATAGGGGAGTTGGAGATCTGACAGCAATAAAGATTTAAACAAATCACTGTGGAGTTTTGAAGACTGAGTGCAATAAGAAACATAATGTTCTCTAGGCAGTCTTGAGGGCTTAATTGAGGTCAATAACCATAAATTCCGCGATTATTTTCAGATTTTCTTCATCAGAATTCAGCAGATCGGGTGCAAATGTCAAAAGAACAGATAGTTAAAGTTCATCGAGAGCTGTGACTTCAAAATACGAATAAGAAGAAAAGATAGAGAAATGAGACAGTGGAGTTTAGAATATTGGCAAAAGGCAAATCAAAATTCTGAAATCACTTATGAAACTCAAGTTGGATGAGGAGCAAAACAAAGAAAGGAAAAGATTGAGGGACTGAAAGTACAGGAAGTCCTAAGTCAAAGTATGGGCTGCAGTGACCATGTTGGCCAACGAGCACATTCTCTCACACAAGCAGATCTCCATGGGAACCAAACTGTAACCAAATGATTGCTCAGTAAGCAGGAAGTCACAGACTTATGAGATAGTCAGATGACTCAACAAGAACAATCCTCCCAAAAGACCAGAGTGTCACAGAGTTTGGGCACCAAGACACCCTTCCTTAGGCAGTGTTTGAATGGGCTCTGCTAATTTCTGCTTTTGAGGATCTCTTTTTCCTATGTGCTAGGTCATCGTCTCCCAAAGTGTGTTCCACTGGTTTATCTAGATGCGCTGAAGGAAAGGGTTTCCATGAAATAACTGCGGGAAAAGCTATACATAACCTTTTGAGACAGTCCACTTGTGAGGTTTTTTTTCATGCATAATGCAGCTATGTTTGTGTGGTAGGTTAGAGCCAAGAGTTTTTCCTTTAGAGGGCACGCTATCGATTGGCTATAACAAGATCATGGTAAAACAACAACAGAATGTCAATGTAGTTTTGGTGAATTACTCTTTCGAGAAAATGAATTGATTTTCATTATATTGGTCTGTTTCTGATAGAGGTGAGAGGCAAGTCTGTGATTCTCACTGTGAATTTAGTGTAGCCTAAATAATTGCCCAACAGTGAATGGAATCTGCTTTTTAGAACCAACTCCCTTCCCAATTTTAGCCCACGTTTTAGAAATACAGTCAGCTGCCACATAATGTTTTGGTCAACAGTGGACCACATGATGGTAGTCCCCATACAATTATAAACAGAGCTTACAATTTCTATCACCTTATTACATTGCAGTCATGGTAACTTTATAGCATAATGCATTACTCATGCATTTGTGGCAATGCTGGTGTAAATAAACCTACTTCTCAAGAAGAATAGGTCCTTCAGGAGGGATTCTGGAAGAAGACATCTGGTAATATGATAATCAAGGAAAATAATCAACCAAAAGGAGTTGATTAGTTCCAAATGATAATTTACTGTAATATCATTCCTGTATAAAATATGTACTTTATATAATGCTCTGGACTCAGGCGAACCTCTTGCCTCAGCCTCCTGAGTAGCTGGGACCATAGGTGTCTGCCACCATGACTAGATAATTGTGAATTTTTAAATTGTTTACAGAGACTGATTTTTGCTTTGTTGCCCAGACTGGTCTCAGACTTCTAATTTCAAGCAATGCCCCCTGCTCAGCCTCCCAAAATGCTGAGAATACAGGCCTGAGCCACTGTGCCCAGCCTAATTTATTATTGAAGAAAGAATTGTTTTAAATAAATTTAGTGTAGCCTAAGTATACAGCATTTATGAGGTCTACAGAGGTACAGTGCAACTTTGTAGCCTAGGAGCAATAGGCTACACCATACAGTGTAGGTCCTTAATAGGCTCTGCCACCTAGGTTTGTGTAAGTACATTCTGTGTTCACACAAGAACAAAACAGCCTAACAATGCATTTCTTGGAATGTATCACCATTGTTAAACAACACATGATGGTGGAGGTTTACTTTAAGTCATGTTCTCAGATTCAGCTTTATAACTGAGATGTGTACTTCAGGCTTGCATGGGAATTGTCTGTACAGCCCACAAACTGGCCCCCAGGTCTTTGGGACTCCTTCCTGTAACTTAGTGCTCTGATATGGAGAATAGATATATGATTGGCACCACAAGTCTCAGCTGACACATTTTATTGTATAACCTTACCTGTAAGTTATTTTTCAGTCACACTTTGCAGGCAATTTTTTGAATTACTTCCACAGAGGGCTAATGATTTATTATATCAAATGACAAAAGATATATTTATTAATTGGAAGGTTTCTGAGAAGGGGTTATCTCATCTACGAATTGAGAATAAAAAGAAAATGTAGAATTTTAATAGTAGGCGCATATCTCCATTTTATTTTGCATTCCAGAAAAAAATTTTTTTAAGACGGGGTCTTGCTCTGTTGCTCAGGCTGGAATGCAGTGTCGTAATCATGGCTCACTGCAACCTCAACCTCCCAGGCTCAAGTGATCCTCCTGTCTCAGCCTCCAGAGTAGCTGGAACCACAATCATGTGGTCCACACCTGATTTTTTCTTTCTTAATCTTTTGTAGGAACAGGGTCTCCTTATGATGCCCAGGCTGGTCTCAAACTCCTTGGCTCAAGCTATCCTCCTGTTTTGGCCTCCCAAAGTGCTCTGATTGCAGGCATGAGCCACCCTGCTAGGCATCACCCCTGGAACTTTTTAAATGGTTGCTACTATTATTTTTCTCCAAATATTCTACTCAGCAGTCCTTCTGGTAACTTACATATTGTACCACATTTTTTAAAGATTGTATGCTGCCTAAATTTTGCAAGCATTTTAACGTTCTCTTGTTTAGCCGTTAGATAGGGGTAAAGAAACTCAAACTGTATCTCTAACTTTGACTGTAATATCTATTTGCCAACATTAAAATAAAAGAAATAAAATAGTAACTGTTTAGTAATATTTATCTTAAGTAAAATGAAGGGACAAAGAAAATATAATGTATTAAATAATGTAAAAACCAATATTACGTGTACGTGTATGTGTGTCTATTATACATACACATATGTATGTGCATATTTTTTAAAAATGTTAAGTCTGCAATTCTAACCAGAAGAGTTGCATTTGAAATATGGAAATGTATTTTTTCCAAGTAGTTATTTCTAAAGGCAATATTTTAGTTCCTACTCTTTCTAAAATTCACACATTTAGTAATACATCTGGGAATTGTATTGACCTCACAAAACCAGTCTGTGGGCACAGTGTTGATGCAAAGGACAATAGGTTCCCAAGCTTGTTTATTTAGCCAAGGAGCCTTTGTTCTCAGAGACTTCATCCATCTGGTTTCTGGAAGTCAAACTGCTTACAGTAACTTTGGACATGGCAGAAGGAACCAGCAAATGGAAAACTAAATAGAACAGATTTCTAAAACAGTTCATTAGGCATTCGAGGAGTCTCTACAATTTCTGGGCATTAAGTCTTAGAAATTGTGGTGACAGTGCAGCCAAGATCAGCGATGCCCTTTGGAATATTTTATAAAAGATCCTAGATACCCAAAATGAATTTTACAGAAAAAGAAGGGGGGAAAAAAAAAGAAAAAAAATGAAAAGCTTTTGCTCTTGTGTGCAGTGGAAATTTTTATTTTCCCTTAGGGATCAGTAGAGAGAAATAAAGTAATTATTTTTTCCAATTAGCAAATCTAAATGTAACATAGGCCTCTCAGTCACTTAATTCTCAAATATCTTTTCTCTAATTATAACAAGAAGACTACCATGTGGAATTATAAAGCCCATAATCATTTTTAGCCCACTTTCATCCTCCATCACTGTGCCTCCAGTTATAGCTAGGTATCCATGCTCTCATGGGGGACTTTGTCTAGGAAGGCCTTTACCTCGCCTGTGTTGGGAGGGTCGTGCATGGAAGCACCAGATCTGGTAATATGATAATCAAGGAAAATAACCAACCAAAAAGAGTTGATTAGTTCCAAATGATAATTTAATGTAATATCATTCCTGTATAAAATATTTATTTTATATAATGCTCTGACTGAAGTAAGTGAAGAGTTTGAGGTTTTCAAGCACCATATCAGCTACAATGATAAAGACATTTGCGCTTGTACCCCCTCTGTCTAGTCCTTAATCATTCTTGCCTTTTCAGCCCAGACCCATACCCACTATTCTAGGGCAAGAACTTGCCTTTCTATCCCTATATTGTCACCAAAACTTGACTGCAATCGCTTCGAAGGCAAGGATCCACTTTTATGCTTCTTTGGAATTCCTTAAGATTCCTTGGACATTTGTTCATGGGAAGAATGGGAGGAGTTTAGAGCTGGAATGTTACACTACCAATAGCAGAGTCATATCCAGCAACATGGCTTTAAAACTGCCTGCCAGAGCGGTTAGCTGTCTTGTGGTTGTTGTTTTCTGTTGTTTTCTGTCTTCTCAACAGTTATGCTGGATGCAAAGGCGTAAGAATGACACAGTGGACTCTGGGGACTCAGGGGGAAAAAGTGGGAAGGGGGTGAGGGATAAAAGACTGCAAATTGGATGTAGTGTATACTGCTCTGGTGATGAGTGCACCAAAGTCTCACAAATCATCACGAAAGAACTTACGTAACCAAACACCACCTGTTCCCCAATAACCTATGGAAACAAAAAAATTAATAAAACAGAGTCTGAATTATAGAGCCAGACTTTTAATTTGAATACCATTTTTTCCTCTTATTAGTTATATGATCATGAAGGAGTTATTTAACCTCTCTGCTACTTAGTTTTATCATCTGTACAATATGGATAATTACAATACATTTCTCAAAGGTTTGTCATGAGGACTAAATGAATTAAATTAGTTAGTATATGGAAAGCACCTAGGACAGGGCCTGACACATAGTAAGTTACGCAACGTTAGCTGTAATTACTATTGGCTGTATAATTACCAGCAGCTTTTTCCTTTGAGATCCATGGTGCTTTGAACTATTTCCTTGGCCCTGATGTTTCATCTTCTTGATGAAACTTAAGTATTAAATTTCAAAGTTAGATTTGAATCCTGGATACATTCGATCTTATTAGGCTAACTGGTTTTTGTTTATTCTAAAGAAGTTGAAGATACACAAATTGAAAGCTAATTTTCTCTGGTATAGAGAAGGCATTTGTGTCCACACCCTTTTTTCCATGCTCTTTCGCTAGTTTAGGAATGATAACCGTGATGTGTGAAGTTAGGTTAGTTAGTTACTAGTGGATTTGTGCTGTTTCCCATTCTTCTGTAAGTCTGAACCTAGGATCCATTAAAAGTGAATGGTGGACCTACCTTGGAGATAGGGTGACAGCTCCAAGATATCTAGAGGTCAGAATATGATGTTATATTTGCAGGAGGAATTATTGCACAAGCTGCAGTGGCTTGCATATATGATGGGTATGTGAGGCCAGAAAGACACATGACACATTGCTACCATTTTGAAACATATAAAAATTACAGCTTTCAGAGATGGAAGGAATGAAAAAGACAATCTTGTCCACTGACCCATTTTCTGTACTAGAAAACCACAGAAGCTAAGTAATTTGTGAAAGTTTATGCACCCAGTTTAGTTGAAGAATCTGGTGGAGAATGGAGTTGGCTGGCCGCCCAGTCAATGTCGATTCTATTATTCCGTAATTCACACCAACGCCAAAGAGAGTCTCAATGTTGTAAATATTTGTAAATAATTTGCATTAATTAAAATGTATTAGCAATGTAAGACATCTATGATATCAGGATTAATCATTAGATCATCCAAATATAAATGGTTGAAAATTACTTAGGACTTAACATATTAAGACATTAATACCTGTAAATTGGTTATATGTATGGCACTTACCTAAAATTACTAGCATATATGAATTTTGTAACAGCATTTAGCTGTGTCTTTTGCATACTAAGTTCTCAATGAACACTTAGAAAGAAAAAATTAAAATTTGAACATTGTCTTAGTGTCTTAGCATGAAATAATATAATATTAGTACTATACAAGTCAATAAAATATGGATTCCTTATATTGTATATATTATTTCTGTATTATAATTGTTCCAGATGTTCAACAGTTATTCAAAGTCTACTTCCAGGAGCATAAAAAGACAAATTGCATTCGTTTTAAAATGCACTAATTAAAATATTTTGTTTTCCCTTAAAATGTTTTCTTAATCTCCAAATACAGTGAGTGACAGAATTCTGACTCATGATTTTTGTTAAGGTTTAGATCCTCTGAGCCTTGCTGATTTTTAAAAATTTGGTTATTGAAAAGCCTAGCATCTACCACATTTGTGCTTTTGTTTTCAACTGACATTTTGTTTACGATTCCAAACTTAAGGTCTCTAGGTCTCTATCCAGATATGAATTCCTTTAGGATACTTATTTTTTTATGAATTTTTCCTGGAGGTGGCCTTGATTATTAATTATTTGTTAATGTAGCCATATCTTTTAGCTTCACCTACATTGCTGGACTTCTTATAACAGTGAGTTTATTCTGCACTTCATTGCATTGCTCAATGCGATGACCAAAAAAAAGACACAACCTGGTTATTGTGAAATTTGCAAAGAAATATGCAAAGATTTTTATGTCACCAGGGTTATTGAATAACTAACATGCAAAGATTTGGAAACTTTAATTCAACGGTCATCATTTTAACATATTGACTTAATATATATCTGACTGTCTTTATTTCCTGGATAGTAGAGTGCCAGGTTCTGTCAACAGGGTCTCTCTAAGGGGTTCAATGATCAGTATTGAGTCTGTATCATAATACCAAGAGCATTGTTTACTAAGGGCATCATCATCTCTGGAGGTGATAATGCCTATTAAGAAAAACGATCCTGACTGAGGGCCAGGCTTTGTTTACTTTATAAAAAGAAACCACAGCCCAAAGCTTTTACAGTTCACAAGCCTGAGGAAATCCTAATGTAAGTTGTTTGCTGTTACGTTGCATCCCACCTACTCTTGCTTTGAGGCTACTCTGAAAATTCTTCAGTTAAAACCCAATGCTAAAACAGGAGGGGGCATATTTCACTGTAAGAGGGCTTTAAAAGTCCACAAATTAATTTGCTTTCTCCTTCCAGCTGTGCAATTCACCCCCACCTCCAGCTTTGAGCTGTAATTAAGGACATGTTTTTATAATACAAGTAATCTTTTCCTGGTGCTTCCCCAGCTGCAAATTCTGACCCAGATTCCCACTATGAATCATGACTGTCACATGTGCTTGAAATAAGTTTCATTTCCCTCTGCCCACCCCCAGCTGTTGGAGATACCCCTGGATTTATCTCCAACCTTACTGAAGAACTGGAGAGAGGATTTAACTTGTAAGAGCTCCTTGAAATGCTTGTTCTTTTTGTTTAAAGAAGGAGACATCAACCAAGCATCCAGTAACCACAGCAGAGGGCAAAAACCATACTTGTTTAACGTTGTCAAGTAAAACTAAAGCTGGCCACTGAGTTTAATTGGGTGCAGAATTAATACAACATTTTTAAAGTGAAGGCACACATCTCCAATAAGAGTTAAGGCCTAAGGAAGCTGTGTGCGGAGAACACATGTGTTTATGTATTCATTAATTGTGTTTGGATCCTTTTCCAAATTGTATCTTTCATTTGAAGATCTTCAAGCTTATCCTCATGTGTTCCTTTTTCTCTATATCTTCACAAGAATTGCACTGTAGTCCAAGACACCTTTGAGCCACCATTGTCTTTCTCTTACAAGAATCTTCTAACTGGCTTCCACATTCCCATTTTTGTATTTCTCTGATCCATCATTCATAGTCACAGGGCTCTTTGAAGCATGTAAATAATAAAAAATTATCACTCTGTCCCTAAGACTCTCCATTAGTTTCTCATCATAGTCTGTGTGATCTGACACCTCGCAGGAGGACTGCTAACCTCTACATTAAAAAGCTGTTTTTTCTATTCTCCCTGGCACTAAGATAGGCTGTTTCCTAGTAGTGGGGAGCTGGGGTAACTCTATGACTGTGAGCTAATGGAATGTCAGCAGAAGTGATGCATGTGACTTCCAGACCAGGAGAGCAAACACCTCCAATGTACCATCCTCCATGTTCCTTTCCTTGGATGTCGTCATTTGGAGGAAGCTTGGAAGCCAAGGGTTGCACATGGCAGAGTTGGCATTCACCTGGGTCTCTGAATAACTGCATGGGGGCACAATGCTTCTGCCCTCTCTATAATGGAACCATATTGGATTATTACATAAATGTGGTTTATCTATTACATCACTATCCTAGTAAAATTCCCCATCTACTGCAGACACTGAGTCACTCACTCTCTGTCACACTACCATATCCTATTTCTATGCAGAGTACTTATCACTCGATATGATTCCTATTTATTTACTACATCTACTTGTTTATTTTTTGTTCAGTCTCCCAACTAGAATGTGAACTCCTTGACAAAAATAGCTTGTCTTATTGTTCACAACTATGTGTCCAAAAAAAAGACAATGCTTGACATATAGTAGTCTTTTTATTTATTTATTTATTTATTTATGTTTAATTTTATTTTATTTTATTTATTTTTTTGAGACAGAGTCTCACTCTGTCACCCAGGCTGGAGTGCAGTGGCGCGATCTAGGCTCATGGCAACCTCCGCCTCCCGAGTTCAAGCGATTCTCCTGCCTCAGCCTCCCATGTAGCTGGGACTACAGGCATGTGCCACCACGCCCAGCTATTTTATTTTGTTTTATTTTATTTTGTGTATTTTTAGTAGAGTTGGGGTTTCACCATGTTAGCCAGGATGGTCTCAATCTCCCGACCTCGTGATGTGCCCACCTTGGCCTCCCAAAGTACTGGGATTACAGGCATGAGCCGCCGCATCTGGCCAATGCTTAGTAGTCTTTTACTAAGTTTCTACTGAAACTTAATGTCTTCTATAGAACAAAAAATCTTGATTTAGGTGATAGCTCTGAATATTCAGAAAATCAATTTTCTCTGCTTACTTTTTTTATAATTTAAAAAACCATGGCTTTTTTAATAATTAAAAATTCTCATCAGATCTTTATGAATGAAACCCTCTTTTAAACCTTATCTTTTATTGACATGAAGTAAACACAAGCATGAATTGTTACTTCCCCAGGTTTACTAAAAACCTTTTTCATTTACTTAAAGGATTCTGTAAAGACTGTATCCATCCTTTAAATCATCTACAGATTTAATTCAAATTAAAATGAAATATCAAGTCTGGCATGCTCTAGTCATTTGTTCCTCCTAGAAAGACATTAGCTCATGCCAGTCCAAGGCTAACCTCTCTTCTTGTGTCAGGATCCCCCTCCTCTCCTCTCAGCGTTTGTTCTGCTCACATCCTTTCCTCTCTCTTATCAGACATCAAGTTCTTGCCAGAGATTCATCCCTGCTGCCAAAAAGCCACTCCTCTTTTTTAGTTCTCTGTGCCTTCTCATTTGCTGAAGATATTCTGTCCTTTCTGCTCTCTCCACCACTAACTCAGAGTATGACCTTCCCTTCCTGACTCTACCTAACAATTGTCTTCTTCCTAATTCTTTATATTCTTTATCTATCACATCACTCTCCTAATACAATTCCCCATCTACTGCAGCCACTGAGTCACCCACTCTCTATCACATCATCATATCCTATTTCTATGCAGAGTCGTCATCACTCTGATATGTTTCCTGTTAATTTCCTTCCATCTTCTAACAATTGAAACTTCTCTTCCAGAGATCCCCAAACACCAAAAAGAAAAGGTCTCTTAAAGCCCTCATCACATCCTGTCTTCAGTTCTACGCCCTGGTAAGGTGTCTTCACGTCTTGAAACTATTTTCCCAGAGTTTCTAAAACATTTCCACCTTTCATTTTTTTCTCCTACCACCATGATTGCTCATTTTAGTCATTTTTACTGGTTCGTTTCCGTGAATCTCGGTAACAGTCAATCTCAAAATTTACCTTCATAACCATCGCCTGAACGGCAGTTAACCTGAAGGGTTAAAACTCATATTGCCGGGCCCCCACTCCAGAGTTTTTGACTCAGTAGGACTACAGCTATGTAAAACTATTTTTGAATTCTACAGCGGGGGCAAGTGGTGGCGCTTATGGTAGCCAAATGATGGGAGGGATGAGCTTACCCAACCAGTCTAGTTATAGAGGTCCTGCTGAGTGGTGGTTACGGAAGTGCTTATGGTGGTCAGAGCAGTGTGAGTGGATATGACCAAGTTCTGCAGGAAAACTCCAGTGACTATCAGTCAAACCTTGCTTAGCTAGAGAAGGAGCAGTAAACAGCTACTCCAGATATAAAAGTTGTGCATTTATGGGAGTTGAATGGAATGGGAGGGATGTCTACTATATCCAGTATGATTGGTAGATGGGAAATATAATTGATTCTGATCACTCTTCATCAGCTTCTCTTTCTTTATCTTCTCTCTTTCTTTCTCCTCTTTTAAGAAAACAAAAATTAAATTTAACAGTTTTGCATTACAGGCTTGTGATTCATGCTTACTGTAAAGTGGAAGTTGAGATTATTTTAAAACTTCAAGCTCAGTGATTTTGAACACGGAAACATTCATCTAGGACATAATAACAAAGTTCAGTATTGACCGTAACTGTTAAAACAATTTTCAGCTTTCCTCAAGCTAGATTGTAGGAGTGTATCTAAGCAGTAAGCGTATTTGGATTAATGCAGTTTCACTTATGTTAAATGTCGCTCTTATACCACAAACACATTGAAAACTTCGGATGCATGTTGAAAAATATGCTTTTCTGTAAAACTCAAATATAGGAACTGTGTCTATGATTTAAAATGAAGACATTCGGCATGTTTGTTAGTTCTAGCTTTTTGATTTAATATCCTGTGAGGCATGTGAGTATACATTTTTACTTTTTTTTTTTTTTAAAGGATATGGGACAATTTTAAGATGTAATACTGATACTTTAGGAGTTTGGTCATGTTGTTTGTATGAAATTCTGAGGCTTTGGTTTAAATCTTTCCTTGTATTGTGATTTCCATTTAGATGTATTGTACTAAGTCAAACTTGTTAAATAAATTTTTCTTTTAGAAACTTTTTTCTTTTTTTTTTTTTTGAGAGTGAATGAGTTTATCAGATCCTTCCTGAGAATAGGTTTTTCTGATAAAGGGTAAGTGTTTGCACACACTAAGGCACTTAGCTCCTGGCCAGGGCAGCAGGCCAGCGAAAGGAGGGGAGAAAAGAGCAGGGAGACCCTTACTCCATGCTTTCACCAAGTTCCTAGGTGATGATGAAGCTCCTTGTCTGGAGACTGCATTTGAAGAATGGTCTTTAAATTTCCCCCAGAATTCTTCTCTACCTCCACTCTTTCCTTGGGATCCTAGTTTATCCTTATGCTTCACACCAGCTCCATTGGAGGATGGCATCCACAACTGCATATTCAGACATCACTTCTCTCTTAAGCCTGACCAGTGATTTCAATTGCCCACTTAAACTGAAATGTCACATGGTCATTGACACCCTGCCCAGCTCTTTGGTATTTGCATGTGCTGCTTTTCCTGCCTGGAATACCCTCACTCTTGTTGATTCAGCACAGATATCACCTCCCCAGGCACCCCACCTACCTACCAACTTCCATATGTAATGTACTCTACTTAAGTTGATTAGTACTCTCCCATATTGCTTTGAAACTCTTACTTCCCAATCTGAGATCTGCTCCCTGATAGGTATTGTTGATATTGTTGTTTTTGCAAATTTAGTGCATACCATGATAACTGACATATGCTTAATATGCAACTGAAAGTATACGAAGAGGTATCCTACTTAAAAACATATTCATCTCGCAGGTTTTTGCAAAACCAACTCTTTTCTTCTCTTTTTTTGTGATCTTTCCCTCTCTTAAGAGGATCACCATGATTTCAGCTCTAGCTTTCTCCTGAATCTCCATAATCTTTGTATCCAATTAGGCAGCATATCATGTTATTTCATTTCTAAATTGTTTCTTAGAGTCATTTCCTTCTTTTTATAACCAATGTCATTGTGACTCTTGGCATTGCCACCTGGATTATGGAAAGCAGCTTCTTTCGTAACCACATCTTTCTTTAAGATTACTTTAAAACATAAATCAATGGTTCCCATTGCCTACAGATTAAAATATTTATTTGCTTGATTGGCATATAAATCTCTTTGATCTCTATTAATGGTTTCAACTCCCACGAATCCTCCTAGCAAATACCTTTCTCTGTGCTGTTCCTAATGCCTATCTGTATAGAATGAAAACAAGTGTCCTCCCACTGTCCCCTGCCACTCTCATCCATGATGGTCACTTTATTTATGTGTGAGGAATTATCTTCCATATTTCAGGCTCTCACTTTCTTTCTTTGAGTTACAGTATTCTTCCTCACACTAAAATTTCTATTTGCATATGTTACCTTGCCAACCTTACTAATACACTCAGTGAGGTCAGGGATCTTGTTTTTGTTAAAATATTTTGTAAGGTATAAACTGTTCAGCATAGAGTTATGTAAGTTTTAAGTGGTCAAAAAGTATTTATTAATTTGCACTGACATAGAAGTATCTGTGAATGTGTGTGTATAATAAAGGAAAAGAGACACAAAAATTAGTTCTGAACACATTTATCTTTATGTAATTATATATATAAATATACATATATATGTATATTTATATTAGTCCATTCTCACACTGCTATAAAGAATTGCCTGATACTGGGTAATTTATGAAGAAAAGAGGTTTAATTGACTCATAGCCTCACAGGTTTAGTAGGAAGTACGAATGGAAGGCCTCAAGAAGCTTAAAATCATGGTAGAAGGCGAAGCAGAAGCAAGCATATCTTAGCATGGTGGAGCAGGAGAGAGTGAGGGGGGAAGTGACAACTTTTAAATCTTCAGATCTACTGAGAACTCACTCACTATCATGAGAAAAGCATGGGAGAAATCCGCCCCCATTATCCAACACCTCCCACCAGTTCCCTCCCCTCACATTGGGGATT
Source organism: Homo sapiens (assembly GCF_000001405.40). Taxonomy (NCBI): domain Eukaryota; kingdom Metazoa; phylum Chordata; class Mammalia; order Primates; family Hominidae; genus Homo; species Homo sapiens. Next base: position 225,990,265 of record NC_000002.12, on the reverse strand, counting down.
ACAATTTGACATGAGATTTGGGTGGCGATACAGAGCCAAACCACATCAATATTTGTGAACATACACCATTATAAATTTGTCAAGCATTCACTAATAAACAATTCTTGAATATTTGCTATGTGTCAATCTGTGTTGGTTATCTTTCATTTGCACTCCAGGCCTCCCTCCTGTCCATTCATTCTCTACTCTTCCACGCTCCAGAGTGCAGACACAGGTGGGCTGTATCACCACTGGCTTTCTCTCTGTCTTTGAGTTGAGTTGAGCAAATGGAAGGTACTGTCAGGAGATCAGAGGGTAGCAGGAGAGAGAGGTCTTCCCCACCTCTTTCTTGCCTCATCCCAAGGTTCAGGCAGTAGCCACAGCCTCACAACTACAACGTCTGTTGGGCAGAACAACCCAGCTCTTACTTTTATTATTCCAATAAAACTGTTTCGGCACTCCGCCACTTCTTGCCTAGGTATATAACAGCTTCCTACTGTTATGGGTCCCTGGATGTTTTGCCATCTGTATTTGTTTCCTCAACTTTTTCTTTCTCTCTTTCTCTTTCTCTTTTTTTTTTCTCTCTCTCTCTTTCTTTCTCTCTTTTTTTTTCTTTTTTGACGGAGGTTCACTCTGTCACCAGGTTGGAGTGCAGTGGCGTGATCTCGGCTCACTGCAACCTCCGCCTCCTGGGTTCAAGCAACTCTCCTGCCTCAGCCTCCTGAGTAGCTGGGACTACCGGCGCCCACCACCACGCCCGGCTAATTTTTTGTATTTTTAGTAGAGATGGGGTTTTACCATGTTGGCCAGGATGGTCTCAATCTCTTGACCTCATGATCCACCCGCCTTGGTTTCCCAAAGTGCTGGGATTACAGGCATGAGACACCCACTGCACCCGGCCTCCTCAACTTCTGCTATACCTCTGTAAATAATCCCTTTTAAAAATTCACTTATTTTTATTGTGGCTTCTGTTTCTTGTCAGATCTATATATATTGCTTTAAAAATTATTTTCTGTTTCATGCTCAGTTCAGAATAAGTTCAATAGAAACAGAGATTTCCCTTTCTGTTTTTTTTTTTTTTTTTTTTTGTATCTGTATCTTTAGGACTTACATGAGGGCCTGTCTCATAAAAAATGTATGGAAAAATGAATGAATGAATAGCATTTCCTGTTAAGTGTTTGAAATGTATTAATTTTGTGGCTTGTAATTAGTAAAAATTAAGTTCAAGCATTTTTTGTTAAATGGTACTAAGATATTACATTTATGATTTGCTACTTTTAAAGATAAACTTTGCCTTTAAAAAATTGTATTTGTATATTTACTGCTGAGTTCCTTGGAACTTAGAATCAAAAGTTGCATTAGTGCTCATTAACTCTAAAACTTTACCTGGCTCTAAACATAGAATAGTTAGCAAAAATCAGGAGTTAGAGTCCTATATGGTTGTATTATGGCATGATTCTACATTAAGACCTTATTCTCAGCCAAGGATTGTAAGGCATTGGAAATACTATGATGATACCTCTACTTAAATGCCTTCAGTAAACACCAAATCAAATACTTAATAGCAAAATGTTTTTCAAAAATTGAGATATAATCCATGTACCTGTAATATTTGCCATTTTAAAGTGTATAATTCAATGTTTTTTAGTATATTTATGGAGATGTGCAATCACCACCATCTTCTAATTCCAGAGCATTTTAGTCATCCCCAAAAGGAACACAATTGTCAGTCAATTTCCATTCTCCACCTACCCAGTCCCCTGAAATCACTAACCTACTGTTTGTCTCTACATATTTTCTTATTCTTAAGATTTCATATAAATGAAATCATATAACATATTGTAGCATGTGTTGTCACTTCATTCCTCTTTATGACTAATACTCTATTATATATATTTTATATATTAATACGTAATTTAATATATGATATATTAAATATATCATATATTTAATATATAATTAATTAATATATATTTATATATTATATATAAATAATTAATAAGAAAATATATTATATATCAAATATATATTATATATTAAATATATTATATATCAAATATATATTATATATTAAATATATTATATATCAAATATATATTATATATTAAATATATTATATATCAAATATATATTATATATTAAATATATTATATATCAAATATATATTATATATTAAATATATTATATATCAAATATATATTATATATTAAATATATATCAAATATATATTATATATTAAATATATTATATATCAAATATATATTATATATTAAATATATTATACATCAAATATATATTATATATTAAATATATTATACATCAAATATATATTATATATTAAATATATTATACATCAAATATATATTATATATTAAATATATTATACATCAAATATATATTATATATTAAATATATTATACATCAAATATATATTATATATTAAATATATTATACATCAAATATATATTATATATTAAATATATTATACATCAAATATATATTATATATTAAATATATTATACATCAAATATATATTAAATATATTATACATCAAATATATATTATATATTAAATATATTATACATTAAATATATATTATATATTAAATATATTATACATTAAATATATATTATATATTAAATATATTATATATTAAATATATATTATATATTAAATATATTATATATTAAATATATATTATATATTAAATATATTATATATTAAATATATATTATATATTAAATATATTATATATTAAATATATTATATATTAAATATATATTATATATTAAATATATTATATATTAAATATATTATATATTAAATATATATTATATATTAAATATATTATATATTATATAATGTTTAATATATTTTAATTATATTAAATTAAATTAAATTATATAAATTATTAAATTTAAATTATATAAATATATAATATATTAAATTTAATTTAATATATAAATATATATTAATTTAATCTATAAATATATATTAATTATTTAATATATAAATATATATTATATAAATATATATTAATTATTTAAATATGTATTAATTATTTAAATATATATGAATTATTTAATATATAAATATATATGAATTATTTAATATATAAATATATATTTATTACTTTATATATTTATTATTTAATAATAAATATATATTTATTATTTAATAATAAATATATATTTATTATTTTATATATTTATTTGTTATTTTATATATAAATAATTGTTATATAATTATATCAATATAATACATAATATATACTATATAAAATACATGGTATTTATAATATATAATATATAACACAATTATATGTTTATATTCTATATATCATATAATATATATTACATATCATTTATTGTGGATATTATATATTATATTTATATATACACACACCCCACATTTTGTTTATTCATTCATAATTTGATGGTCTTTTCAGTTGCTTTCACTTGTTGACTATTAGGAAAAAGGTTGCTATAAACATCATGTACAAGTCTTTGTATAATATCAACATAAGGTTTCAGTTCTTGGGTGGGGTATATACCTAGCAGTAGAACTGCTGGGTCATATGGTAACTCAATTTTACCTTTTTGAGGAACTGCCAAATTGTTTTCCACAGTGGCTGAATTATTTTACATTTACACCAGAAATGTATGAGGTTCTAATTTCTCCACACCTTCACCAATACTTGCTATTCTTGTTTTTCATTTTAAAAAATCACAGCTTTTCTACTGGATATAAAGTGGTATCTTATTTTGGTTTAAGTTTGCATTTTCCTAGCGAGGATGATAATGATGAACATCTTCTCAGATGTTTATTTGCCATTTGTCTACCTTCTTCACAGAGATGTCTATTACATTTGTTTTGCTCGTTTTTATTTTGCTTATGTGTCTTTTTATTGTTGAGGTTTGAGAGTTCTATAAATATATCCTTGATACTACACATTATCAGATATACGATTTACACATATTTTCTTCCATTCTTTGATTTGTCTTTTCAATTACATGATACTGTCCTCTGATGCACAAATGGCTCTAATTTTGCTGAGGTCCAATTTATCTATTATTCCTTGGTTGCTTGTGCTTTTGGTGTCATACATAAAAAAAAAAAGTTGCCTAATTAAGGTCATGAAGATTTACATCTGGTTTTCTTCCAAGAGATTTAGAGCTTTAAATCTTAGGTATTTGATCCATTTTGAGTTGACGTTATGTGTGGTGTAAAGTAGCAGATCCAAATTTATTCTTTAGCATATAGATATCTAGTTGTCCTAGCACCATGAGTTGAAAATATGATTATTTCTGCATTACATTGTTTCAGTACCTTTTATGGGTTGAATTATGCTCCCTCCACAAAAAAAAAAGTATATTAAAATCCCAACTCCAAGTACCTCAGAAGGCGACCTTATTTAGAAATACGGTTGAAATATATTAGGTTGGTGCAAACGTTAATTGCGGTTGTTGCCATTGCTTGCACCAACCTAGCAGTCAGTAAAGATGCAGCTAAACTGGAGTAAGATGGACCCCTAATCCACATGTCTGGTGTTCTTAAAGATGATCGCCATGTGAGGAGAGACACATGGTGAAATTCACATGTGATGATTAGGGGAGAAACTGGAGTTATGAAGCTTCAACCAAACAATACTAAAGATTGCCAAAAAACCCATCAGAAGCTATGAAGTGTCAAGAAAAGATATTCCTGAAAATTTTAGAGGGATTGTGACCTTGATGATACGTTGATTTCAGACTTCTAGCTCTCAAAACTGTGAGAAAAAAAAAAATTGTTTGTTTAAGCCACACAATTTATGGTACTTTGTTATGGTACCCTAGAAAACTAATATAGTAGCCTCGCAAAAATCAGTTAACCCTAGGTGTATGGGTTTATTTCTGAAGTTTCAGTTCTATTATATTGATCCGTATGTCACCTTCATGTTAGTAGTACAGTGTTTTGATTATGGTAGCTTTCTAGTAGGTTTTGAAATCAAAAAACCTGAGTCCTCCAAATTTGTTGATCTTTTTCAAAATTGTTTTGGCTATTCTTTGTTGCTTGCATTTTCTTTGGGATTTTAGGATAAGCTTTTTTTTTTTGTTCTGTTGGGTTTTTTTAATTTTTTTTTCATATTTAAAAATTCAGCTATATTTTAATAGGCCTTAAAAATACAGGTTTACATTAAAGAGTAACATAGTGTTTTTGTTTTGTTTTGTTTTGTTTTTTTAATTATTTTTTTTTTTATTATACTTTAAGTTTTAGGGTACATGTGCACATTGTGCAGGTTAGTTAAAGTCAGAATGTTAACAGGGATTTTGTTGAATTTGTAGATCAATTTAAGGAGCATTGCCCTCCTAATAATGTTATGTCTTCTAATCCATAAACACTGATATCTTTTATTTTCTTTTATTTTGATCTTCTTTAATTACTTTCAATAATGTTTGGTAGTTTTCAGTGAACAAGTCTTGCACTTCTTGGTTGCATATTTTTCCTAAACATATTATTTTGCATGTTACTATGGTAAATGAAACTGTTTGTATTTTATTTTTAGATTATTCATTGGTAGTATATAGAAATATGACTGATTTTTGTATGTTGCTCTTGTATCCTGTAACTTTGATGAACTCATTTACTAATTCTAAGAATTATTGCTTTTGTGGATTTTTAGCGTTTTCTATAAATAAGATCATGTCATTTTCAAAGAGATATAGTTTTACTTCTTCCTATGTAATCTGGGTGCCTTTAATTTTTTTCTTACTTAAGAAAAATCTCTAGATCTGGCTAGAGCCTCTAGTATATTGTTGAATAGAAGTAGTGAGAGTGGACATCTTGTTTTATTCTTGATCTTAAAACAAAAAGCTTTCAATCATTAATCCTTAGGTAGAACAGTAGCTGTGTATTTTTCATAGATGCCTTTTACCAGGTTGAGGATGCTCCCTTCTATTATCAGTTGTTGAGTGTTTTTATCGTGAAAGTGTGTTGGATTATGTCAAATAAATTTTATTTGTATTGTGATTGTCATGTGGATTTTTCCTTTATTCTATTAAAATGGTGTATTACAATAACTGATTTTCATATGTTGAACTGACTATGCAGGACTGGGATAAATACCACAGGGTCATGGTTTCTAATTTTTTAATATCTTATTGAATTTGGTATGCTAGTATTTTATTGAGAATTTTTACATCTACATTAAGATATTGGTATGCAGTTATATTTTCTCAAGATGTCTTTGTCTGGTTTTGATATCAGGGTACTACTGGCCTCATAGATAAGTGAGGAAGTTTTCTATTTTATTCTATTTTTTCGAAAGAGCTTGGGAAGAATTAATGTTAATTCTCCTTTAAACATTTTACATAATTAATCAGTAAAACCAACCTGGTTTTGGGCTTTTGTGAGAAGTTTTATTATAATTATTACTCAATCTCTTTACTTGTTATGGATTTATTCAGGTTTGCTATTTCTTTACAAATCAGTTTTGATAATTTGTGTCTCCTAAGAGTTTATTCAATTCATCTAGGTCATCTAATTTGTTGGAATAATATTATTCATAGTATTTCCTTATAATCCTTTTTGCTTGTATAATGTCAGGAGTAATGTCTCCTATTGCAATTTTAATTTTAGTCATTTGAAACTTTTTTTCTTGGTTAATCTGGCTAAATGTCAGTTTGTTGATCTTTTGAAAGGAATAATTTTTTTGTTTCATTGATTCTTTCGATTGTTTTTCTATTCCCAATTTCTTTATCTCAATTCTGATATTTGTCTTCTTCTTTCTGCTTGTTTTGGTATAGTTTATTCTTCCTTTTCTAGTTTCTTAAGGTAGAAGTTTAAGTTATTGATTTGGGGTGTTTTCCCCCTTCTAATATATAAGCATTTTGAGATATAAATTTCCCTCTGAGCACCATTTTGAACAGCATCCCATCAGTTTTGGTATGTTTTGTTTTGTTTTCATTCACCTCAAATCATTTTCTAATTTCACTTGTGATTTCTTCTTTGACCCATTGGTTTTTTAGCAATGTGTTATTTAACTTCTACATTTTAAAGAATTTCCTACATTTCTTTTGTTATTTATTTATAATCTCATTTCATTATGGCTACAGAACGTGCCTTGTATGACTTCAATTTTTAAAAAACTCAGTGTAACTGATTTTAGAGACCATCCTTAAGTCTATCCTGAGGAATATTTCATGTACACTTGAAAACAATGTGTGAAAATTGTGATGGTGTTGGGTGAAGTGTTCAATAGATATCTGTTGTTAACTTTTTATATCATGTTGTTCAAGTCTTCCATTTCTTTCTTAGTTTTCTGTCTAGCTTTTCTATACATTGTTGAAAATGGAATATTGAAGTCCAATATTATTGCAAAATTGTCTATTTCTCCTTTTTAATTTTACTCAATCTTTACTTCTTTACTTCTTTATCTCTGGTAATAATTTGTGTCTTAAAGCCTATTTTATATGATATTAGTATGTCTGCCTCAGACTTCTTTTGATCACAATTTGCATGGTATATCTTTTTATTCTTTTACTTTTAGCTAATTTTTGTATTGAATCTAAAGTATATGTCTTATATACAGCATATAGTTAGATCCCAGTTTTGTTTTCTTTCCCATTATACTGAAACCATGATTGCAAAATTATAACTGAGAAAACTATTACAGTGAAAGAGATCTGATCTAACCAACTCCATTTTGCTTCTAACCTCCAAGCTGTCCTTGTTCATTCCTGAGTGTAGGCTGAACTAACTTTGGGAGAAATTTAGTTTATAGTTTAACTTTGAAACAAAGGTGGTAACAGCCCTTTCCCAAAACAAACCCCTTCCTGCCTGGAGACTAGACTGTCTTTGCAGGACTAACAAATTAGCCAAAAGATTAGAAATTACCATTTAGTAGTCATGCAGCTGGAGGTTACAAGGTTCTAACCCTCCCCAAATTGCTCCTGTGGAATAACATCACTATTGTAAAACCTAAAATCAGTGCTTGCGATATTATGAAGACCCTGCACTTGATGGATCAGCTGGCACCATGCAGATAGATAAACTGGCTCATCTGATATTGTGGCCCCCACCCAGGAACTGACTCAGGGCAAGAGGACAGCTTTGTCTCCCTATAACTTCACCTCTAACCCAACCAATCAGCACTCCTGACTCACCGGCCCCTATCCACCAAATTAAACTGAGAAACTCTGATCCTCAAATTCTTGGGGAGACTGATTTGAGTAATAATAAAACTCTGGTATCCCGCACAGCCAGCTCTGCGTGGATTACTCTTTCTCTATTGCAATTCCCCTGTTTTGATAAATTGGCTCTGTCTAGGCAGTGGGCAAGGTGAACCCCTGGGGTTGTTACAATACCAAGCCTGGTCTTTTAATTGGAGAATTTAATCAATTTACATTTAACGTAATTACCGATATGGTATGATTTACACCTGACATTTTGCTATTTGTTTTCTACATCTTAGGTCTGTTTTGTTCTGCAATCTCTTCATTGTTGCCTTCTTTTGTGTTAGACATTTTCTAGTGCACAATTTTAATTTTCTGGTAGTTTTTTTATGATATGTTTTTGAGTTATTAGCAGTCAGTATAGAGATTGCCATTAATACCAACTTAAATTCAATAGTATACAAATACTTTGGTTCTTTTAGACTCCATCTCCTTACATTTTGCTATTATCACAGGTTACATCTTTACACATTATGTGCCAATTAACTTAGATTTTTAATTATTGAATTATGCAGTTGTCATTTAATTCAGATAGGAGCAAAATAGGACATACAAACAAAAATATATTTATAATGTCTTTGAGTTTTACACATATACAAATGTAAATTATTACATTTACTGGTACTCTTGACTTCATTATCTGAATTGGTGTTGTTGTCTAATGTACTTTCATTTGACCCTCAAGGTCAGTGAGGAATAAGAGCTTAGGACCTCTCCTGTCTTTTGTGAGCATGAACACAGCTGCATACAGCCTGTGCATGCACAATGCCTTCTAGATTTCCAGGGATATATTGGAGCTTTTCAAAGCCCTATGGGTATCTCATTCTGCAGCTTTTTCTTTTAAGCTTTTTGACTAGTTTATTGTTTGCCCCAACTTTTATCCATTGCTTCGGGCAGCTGTGATGCTAAAACATTAGACACACACACACTTCCCTGAGGCATTTAGCACTGGAGGAGTTCAAGTGAGTTTGCATAAAGATAAGCTTTTGGAGTGGGGTTTTCCAGGGAACCACAAGACAGGTCAAATAATGGCAATCATTTGGGAATGACGTCTGTTCTCCCTCAAGTGCCAGGAATATAGGCTGTGATTTTTTTTTTTTTTGAAGACTGCCACTGAGGCCGGGCGCGGTGGCTCACGCCTGTAATCCCAGCACTTTGGGAGGCCGAGACGGGCGGATCACGAGGTCAGGAGATCGAGACCATCCTGGCTAACACGGTGAAACCATGTCTCTACTAAAAATACAAAAAGTTAGCCGGGCGTGTTGGCAGGCGCCTGTAGTCCCAGCTACTCAGGAGGCTGAGGCAGGAGAATGGTGTGAACCCGGGAGGCGGAGCTTGCAGTGAGCTAAGATCGTGCCATCGCACTCCAGCCTGGGCAACAGAGCGAGACTCGGTCTAAAAAAAAAAAAAAAAACTACCACTGAAATAAAAACCAGAAGATGAAACCGACTACCACTGAAACAAAAACCAGAAGATGAAACTAGGGTAAGTTAAAACATGACAGAGCCCACTGTTCTTACTGATATTCAACAGTTTTTCTTGACTAAACTCTCCTCTGGTTGCTGCAAGCCTTTTGTTAATTCTCCAAGTTCTAAAAAAAAAAAATCAATTTTGGCAATTTTTGCTAGTTTCTTTTATTGCTTTTATGGAAGGGTGAGCTTTCAGAGATTCTTACTTCTCTGTTTTCACTAACACACTAACAGCATCCTGTGTTTAATGGAACAAGATCACATTATATTGTATTGACTATAATCATTACTTTAGTAATTTAAGGAGTCATCAGTGTGAAAAACGGTTATTTACATTATGTGTATAAATCTACCTGTCCTAAATTATTGTATTTGCTCAGAATTTAAGTGTACCTCAGTTTGTGGTAGCTCAAGGTCAGTATTTACATGCAATCCATATTTTGACCTAAATATTGAACATTGTCTAATACTGCTGACTAGTTTATGAACTATGATATAGATTAAGGTCATCTACCTGGAAATAGTTTATAAATATCAAAATGAAATTACTGTAGAGAGTTGAGCTACAGGTAATTTGGACCCCAAAACTAATGTCATGGCAATGTTTGAAAAGCTTTAGTATTATAATCACAGTTAAAAATGCTTTCCCCTCCCCACTCTTTAAATCAAACTCACACTATCAACAAAACACAGTAGAATAGAAACTACTGCTAATACTTTATCTGGGAACAAAATAAGTTCAGAAATAACTGTGGAATGATGAGGAAGAGAACATAAGCCTAAAATTACATGCAACTATTTTACTTATCTCTACCTAATCTTTTAATTTTGTTGCTTTACTAGTAGATTGCATCCTTCAACAGCTCTTAATTTTTCTGTGGAGCAGAGAACAGCTAGCCATAAAACTAATTGCTTACCCTGAGTGACTATTAGTTGAACTGCTAATGGGAAGTTATGCTTGGAAATGTGGACACAAATGGGGGATTAATAAGTCTGAAAGCAGAGGCTATTATCATATCATAATCTCCCTTTTCATTCTGTTGTCCTAGAATTCTGTAAGACTTCATATTCTTTAGATGATGTATCATGTACATTTCTTCTGTATCAAAATATCAACTGGAAAGACAATGCATCCTTTATTTTAGGATAAAGGTAAACAATGGCACTGTTCAAGAAGGAAGCAGAGATCTGCAGTTTTCAAATAGCAGTTCTTTCAATGATCAAAACATGTCTCTCGCATGAATTCGGAGTCACTCTGAAGTTCACAACTAAACTAACTAAACTGTCTGTTACACTGTGAAGCTTTCACTTCTTGCCCTGCTAAAGGCCAGATTGATATATCCTCTCCCCGTCTTGCCATAGAACTTTGTTAATCCCCTATCACAGCATTGTTCACATTTTATTATGGTGGCATGCTTGCCTGTCTCTTCAGTTACATTTTAAATTTATGAAAAATAAGAATCGACTCTTATTTATTTTTATATCTAACTCCAAGGGAATTTTCACAAATGCCTCGAAAGAAAGGAGCAGGATTTGGTAAAATAGTAATAGAGGTACTTATGTAAGACTATATGGAGAAAAAAGGTCCTTCTACAGAGAAGACATTTAAGCAGATTCCTAACGAATAAGATAAAGCTAAACAGATAAAGCCAAAGTGAGGAAGCAGGGCCTGGGAAGTATTTTTAGGTTGAGGAAAGAGATCATGGAGTAGAGGTAGGTTGAAAAGTAGATAAATGGGTTGTATGAAAATGCAAGGAGGCTGATGTGAATGTTGCTTTGTTTGTTCACAAAGGGAACAAGAGAAAGTGTGGCATGAGACAAGTTCAGCAGCCTAATCATGCAAGTCTTTGGAACAATGATAAAAAATTTTATTCCAAATATTTATTCAAAGTGCAATAAATTGCAATTGAAGATATCAAGCAAGGGAGTGCAAAAATCTAATTTTCACTTTAAAGAGACCATTTAGGCTGTTAAGTGAGAAAGTATTAGTAATGGTGATATGGTTTTGCTGTGTCCCCACCCAAATCTCATCTTGAACTGTAGCTCCCATAATCCCCATGTTTTATGGGAGGGACCTGGTGAGAGGTAATTGAATTATGGGGGCAGGTTTTCCCGTGCTGTTCTCATAATAGTGAATAAGTCTCACAAGATATGATGGTTTTGTAAAGGGCAATTCCCCTGCATGCACTCTCTTGCCTGCTGCCATATAAGACATGCCTTTGTCCCTCCTTTGTCTTCCACCATGACTGTGAGGCCTCCCCAGCCATGTGTGACTGTGAGCCCACTAAACCTCTTTTTCTTTATAATATAAATTACTCGGTCTTGGGTATTTCTTCTTAGCAGTATGAAAATTTACCAATAAAAAGGAACATATTCCCTCAAAGTAGGAGAGTAGTTAGCAGGCTCAGGCAGTACCCTCAATGTTGGATGGATGAGTATTCAGACTAAGAAGGGCTTGGAGTGAGGTGGATGGATATGAGATATGCCCTGTAGATACAGTAAGACTTGTAAATCAGGTGACTGGATGTGAGAATCAAGGGAGGGGATATGTTAAGACTGACTCCTGGATCTTGGGCTTGAGCAACTGGGCGATGCCATATCCTAAGAAGAGGAAGGCTAGGCAAGGAGAAAAATGAAGAAATAGATCAATTTTTCATATTGAAATGTCTTAAGTCTGGGATGGAGAGGAAAGGTGAAACATTCACATGTACATGTCTAGAGGTCAGATGGGAGGGTTACATTAGAGAGCCATCAGAATATGAATGTGATTAAAAACTATGGAAAAAGTGGGGTACTTTAAAGCTAGAATAGAAGAAGTCTTATCTACAAGACCTGGGGCACTCTAACATTTACAAATTAGGTAGAGGAAAGGGCCAAAAAGGTGAGAGAAACACCAGAGGAGGACAATATTATAAAAGCCAAAAGAAGAGAGGTTTTTCAAGTCACAATTGTATTCATTCATTAAGTTATAGTGTAGAATTAAGCTCTGGGTCTGGTGTAAGAGGGCCCAGGTTCACACCCCTGCTCCACTATTCACCTCTTTTTGCCTCAGTTCCTACCCCATAAGATGTCATCAAGATTAAATTAAAACACACCTAAAGTATGTAGGGCAATAGTCAATAAATGTTTATTGTCATTTTTACTATTTTTCATTCATTCAATATAATTTATTGCATAATTTCTCCATAAAAGGTAGAGTGCTGACAACTGGTAAATATCACTAAAGAATGTGACATTTAGATGAGGCATTTACCTGGGAAAGTTGACATTTGTCTTCTTGGTAGAATTAGGGAAATGAGATGTACAAGGTTAGTAGAGATAATTTAGGATGAATAAAGTAGTAGAAAGGAAAAGAAAAGAAACATAGATTTGAAAGAACCTTAAAGGTAGTGAAGGTTATAAATTCTTCATTATGAATAAATTACAAAGTGAAAGGAATCTGGTTAGATAGGCATGAACCTGGCCATGAAAGAGTTAGTTTGATATGTAAAGACGTTAAAATTAGACCTTTAAGTCATGAGGAATTGTGGAATAAATTTGAGGAGGGAAGAGACCATAGCAAACAAAAGTGGTTAGCTAATACAATAGCCATTGCCAGATTCTTCTCTCCCCTACTTTCTGCTACCGAGACTGGGAAGCCTGATTCTCAGTTTCAAGCATCCATTGCAACCAGAGATATCCACAGGATAAATTTCTGCACTGTAGAATGTAGGTGTTACCTGGTACAATGGCTGGTTCATTGCACAATTGCTGTAAAGCAAAGCATGCCGGACAACAACCTCTGCCTAGATTCATACTGGTATTAAGTCATCTTTTTATGGCTACATTCTTACATAGGAGCAGACAATCAACGACTTCCATACCCTTGAAGAATGCCAGCAATATTAAAAAGTAAGACAAAACAAATGAAAAAGTAAATAGTCACAGATCGAGGAACAGAAAATAAATTATAAAAATGTCTTAATAGTGTTGTCAGATTCAAGAAGTTACTGTACTGATAAAGCAAGAAGTGTGAGTTATGAAAAATGAGCAAAGAACTTGAACAAGTTTCTTGAAATTGAAATATGATTTTCATTAAAAAATAATCAAAGGAGTAGAAAATAATGTCAGAACGATTTCTCAGATTAAAGATAAAAAAGATGAAGGATCAGAATATTGGCTTATGAAGATATATATGATCTTAGAAATGTTTTCTCTTTTGCTACCTTCTTTAGGAATCTAAGGATATACTCTAGTAGCATTTAGGAAAAGATTAAGAAAGAAGAAGACATGGAATCCATGAAATAGTGCTTTAGGAGGGCAGTGAGCTGTCCTCTGTATAATAGGAGAATAGCAAACTTAGATAGCAACAAGTTGATATGGTAATATGGAGGCAGAAAGTTATGGAGGGAGATTTTTTTGGAAATAAGAAGCATTAAAACAGAAACAAAGTGATGAGTCCTTTAAGAAAAAGTGAGCATATTGTCAAAATGATTGATAGAGAATAAACATTTATGAATCCATTCTAACTTGACTATAATCATATCCCATTTTCAGTGCAAAGAGGTTGTGACATTGATTGTGTTTGGCTCTGGAGTAAACACTCTGAGTGACCATCATAATGTAAACATCCTCGAATGCTTCTTAACTTTTAGATTCCACTTACAGATAAATCATGTAAAGCCCAAGTATATTTATTGAACACAATGTAAATATTATCAGCCTTATACAGGGATACCTCATTTTATTGTGCTTTACTTTATTGCACTTGGTAGATGTTGTGTTTTTTACAAATTGAAGGTTTGTGGCAAGCCTGTATCAAGCAAGTCTATCAATGCTATCTTTCCAACAGCATGTGCTCAATTTTTGTCTTGGTGTCACATTTTGGAAATATTTAAAATGTCAATATGGTTATTCATATATTTCAAATTTTGCCATATTATTGTATCTGTTATTTTTATCTGTAATCAATTATCTTTGATGTTACTGCTGTAATTGTTTTGAGGAACCATAACCAGCACCCATATAAGACAGCAAACTTAATCCATAAATGTTGTGTGTTCTGACTGCTCCACTGACCAGCCATTTCCCCATCTCTCTCATTCTTCTTGGGTCTTCCTATTCTCTAGACACAAAAATATTGAAATTAGACCAATTAATAATCCCACAGTGGCCTCTAAGTGTACAAGTGAAAGGGAGAATCACTCATCTCTTACTTTAAATCAAAAGCTAAAAATGATTAAGCTGAGTGAGGAAGGCATGTTGAAAGCCAAGAGAGGCCAAAAGCTAGGCCTTTTGCACTGAACAGTTAGCCAAGTCATGAATGCAAATAAAATGTTCTTGAAGAAAATTAAAAGTGCTACTCCTGTGAATGCATAATGATAAGGAAATGAAACAGTCTTACTGCTTATATGGAGAAAGTTTTGGTGTTCTGGATAGATCAAACCAGACACAACATTTCCTTAAGGTAAAGCTAAAGTAGAGCAAAGCCGTGACTCTTTCCAGTTCTATGAAGGCTGAGAGAGGTGAGGAAACTGCAGAAAAAATGTTGGAAACTAGCAGAGATTGGTCCATGAGATTTAAAGAAAGAAGTTGTTTTTATAACATAAAGTACAAGGTGAAGCAGCAAGTTATCCAGAAGATCTAGCCAAGATAATGGATGAAGGTGACTATGCTAAAAAATACATTTTCCATGTAAACTAAACAGCCTTATATTGGAGAAAATGCCATCTAGGATTTTTACAACTGTGGAAGAAAAGTCAGTGTCCAGCTTCAAAGCTTCAGAGGGCAGGCTGACTCTCTTGTTAGGGGCTAATGCAACTGGAAACTTTAAGTTGAAGCAAATGCTCATTTAACGTTCTGAAAATCCTAGGGTCCTGAAGAATTACACTGAATCTGCTCTACCTGTTCTCTATAAGTGGAACAACAAAGCCTGGATGGCAGCACATCTATCTATTTACAGCATGGTTCACTGAATATTTTAAGCCCACCTTTGAGACCCACTGCACAGGAAAAAAATGATTTCACAATATTACTTCTTATTGACAATGCACCTCGTCAGCCAAGAGCTCTGATGGAGATATACAAGGATGTTGTTTTTATGCCTCTGAGCATACTATCCATTCTGCAACCCATGGATTAAGGAGTCACTTCTAATTTCAAGTCTTATTATTTTAGAAATATATTTTGCAGGGATACAGCTATCATAGATAGTGATTCCTCTGATGGATCTGTGCAAAGTAAACTAAAAATCTTCTGGAAAAGATTTATCATTCTCAGTGCCATTAAGAACAGGGTAATTCATGGGAGGAGGTAAAAATATCAACATGAACAAAAGTTTGAAAGAAGTTGATTTCAACACTCATGAATGACTTTGAGGGGCTCAAGACTTCAGTGGAGGAAGTAACTGTAGATGTGGTGGAAACAGCCAGGAAACTAGAATTAAAAACGTAACCTGAAGATGTGAAGGAATTACTGCAATCTGAAGATAAAACTTTAACAAATAGAAAGTTGCTTCTTATGAATAAACAAAGTGGTTTCTTGAGATGGAATCTGCCCCTTGGGATGATGTGAACAGTGTTGAAGTGACAACAAGGGACTTAGAATATTATATAAACTTAGTTGATAGATTAGTGGCAGAGTTTGGGAAGATTGACTCAAATTTGGAAGGAAGTTCTACTGTAGGTGAAATGCCATCAAGCAGCATCACATGCTACAGAGAAATCTTTTGTGAAAAAACAAAAAGAATCAATCAATGCCAAAAACTTTAGTCTTATTTTAAGAAATTGTCCCAGCCACCCCACCTTTCAACAACCACAACTCTGATCATTCAGCAGCCAACAACAGAGGCCAGACCCTCCACCGGTAAAAAGATTATGGCTTGCTAAAGACTTAGGTGATTACTAGAATTTTTCAGCAATAAAGTATTTTTAAATTAATGTATGCATGTTGTTTCTTTAGATATAGTGCTATTGCATATTTAATAGACTGTAGTATAGTGTAAATATAACTTTAATATGCACCAGGAAACAAAAAAATGTGTAACTTACTTTATTGTAATATTTACTTTATTGCAATGGTCTGGAACTGGACCTCCAGTATCTCTGAGGTATGGCTGTAATGTAAAAGTATAGATGTAGCTGCAGCAATGAAGAGGTTGAAGGTGAGGAGAAGAGGTAAAAGGAAAGTTGGGAGAATTAAAGGCTTCATCTTACAAAAGAAATTCTAAGTAAGTTTAACTGAACAAGAAAGGAAGAATTAACTTACCCTTTAGTAAAAGAAATGACAAGTAAAAAACTGACAGTCATGTTTATACTTACATTAGAAAGTCAGAGGGAAACTAGTGTTGTAAGTTGCTAAATCCTAACCTAGAATATTAGAAGATAGTAGAATATGTATTCATTTCATAAAAGAAATAGTGCTATAATTTTTTTATTCATTGCAATAGAAAAGAACCAAATAATTAAAAATGTGTTTGCCAGCCTCTCCTCACATGCCAGCAGGAGTGGAATGGGTGAAACGTTGCTTTTCATTATATGTCATACTAGAATCTGATTTTAATTGTGAGCCTTTACTAGTGGGATAACTTTTTTTTAAATCTTAAAAATGACTTTTTTTTTTCCTGTAATAATAAGTAAGTATAAGAACGAGGATGGATTTTTGATCATTCCCAGATTTTGGTCTTGTTACATGGGGAAGAAGCAGATTTGGAGATGAAAAAGGAAATAATTGGGGGGACATTGAGGTAGCGATATTAAGTAGGCCTATAGATAATCAGGTTCTGAGCACTGGGGAGAAATTTGGGCAGGGGTACATGTTTTGGAGTCATCAGCACATAGATGTTAATTGAAGTCATGCAAATGAACCAAGTAACTCAGAGGATAAGAGCAAAAGAAGACTAAGGCTGGAGACTCCTAATTTATGAAGAAAAGAAGAAAGATGAGTCTGTAAGTAGAAGAAAGCAGGAATATAACAAAAATCAGTAGAAGGGGCACATACTCAAAATTTTCCACTTGTAGCTTTTCTTTTTCTTTTCTTTCACTATACTTTGTATGTACATGATTATGCAGTTTCTTACTTTCTGGTTATACTAAGTAAAAACCTCGTGTTCTGGAGTTGCAAATGAGAGGAAATCTATTATACATGGGCATCAAAGAAAAATAAGCATTTGGCAGTCATTTTATTCAGAAAAAAGCTAACATTTATTAAGCGCTTGTTGTGTACCACAGGTGTTTCTAAATGCAATAAACCATTTAATTCTCACCACAATATATGAAAACGTCATTATATTATTGATTTAGAGTTGGAGAAACAAAGGGACAAAAAACATGATTACTATAATCCTAAAATCCAGTAAACATCTTTCTTCCCATGCTAATGCATTATCCGCATTGTTTCTCAGATCCAGTATCCTAAACCTCAGAGTTCATTGAAGTATTAATTTAGTCCAATGACTTCTACTTCTATACCCCTTGAAAAACCTCCTTTACTGTACACACTGGTCCTGGTCATGATGCCAAAACTCAAACTCCAAGTTCCCAGGCGATGATAACAATCCCCCACCTTTCCATTACTCCCATTTCTAACTTCCACTAATTGCCCTCTGCAAACTCCTTAGGGCATTTCATGTCATAGTCTCTGCTCATTTATTCTGTCTGTCTGAACCCTCATAGTTTTCCTGCAATGCCTGGACATCATGGGCAATTGGCTTTATGGCTCTTTTATTATACTTTTTTTCCACAACTTGACTTTTCATACCCTCCTTGGATGATCAGATCACATTCATGATTTGAGAACTTGTTTTTTATATTTGCTAATAGTTATCTCTAGGATAGTAAAGTTAATAGTTGACCTTACATTGATTTAAACATCACAGTGAATGGTATTCCCCTATGTGATGGTTAATTTTGTGTGTCATCTAGACTGGGCCATGGAATGCCCAGATATCTGCTTAAACAGCGTTGCTGGGTTAGTTGCTAAGGATGTGTTCGGAAGAGATTAGCATTTGAATCCATAGACTGTGTAAATCTGAGCACCCTCCCCAGTGTGAGTGGGCATCAACCAATGCACTGAAGATCTGAATAGAACAAAAAGGCACAGGAAGATGAATTTGCTGTCTGTCTGCCTGACTGTCGAGCTGGAACATTCATCTTCTCATCTTCTCCTGCCCTCAGTGTTCCTGGTTCTCAGATCTTCAGACTGTAACTGGCATCTACACCATTAACTTTCTCCTTCTCAGGGCTTTAAACTACACTACGGGTCTCCAGGTTGCAGATGGCAGTTCATGGGACTTCTCAGCCTTCATCATCACTGAGCCAATTCCTTATAATAAATCTTACCTATTGACTTTTTTTCTTTGGAGAACCCTCACTATTACACCCATTATACATTAACAAAATTGACATTTTTGCCTTTTCTTCCACATTTCCAGGCTTGAAATATGTATTGCTATTAATTATAACATTAATGGTTTTAACAATTTCACATTTATTTTATTTTATTTTATTTTATTTTATTTTATTTTATTTTTTTTGAGACAAGAGTCTCACTCTGTTGCCCAGGCTGGAGTGCAGTGGCGCCATCTCGGCTCACTGCAAGCTCCGCCTCCTGGGTTCACGCCATTCTCCCTCCTCAGCCTCCCGAGTAGCTGGGACTACAGGCACCTGCCACCACGCCCGGCTAATTTTTTGTATTTTTAGTAGAGACGGGGTTTCACTGTGTTAGCCAGGATGGTCTCGATCTCCTGACCTCGTGATCTGCCCGTCTCGGCCTCCCAAAGTGCTGGGATTATAGGCGCGAGCCACTGCACCCGGCCAATTTCACATTTCTTAGTATGAACTCAATTTGACATTTATATATAGCATTGTGAACATTTGCTGCAGTCATTTGAAACTCATGCTGTGTGTTATTTCTCAGTTACTCCCCTACATTCATTTTGTATCAGAGCTTACTCATTCTGGAAGTTTATTTATTATAAGTATTAATCTGATACATCCTTTGCCTGCCTGGACATATATTTAGTTCGTATTTTTTCAGAAAGTACGTGTGTAAGGGTAAGCTTTACACCCTAACGCTTTCCAATATTTTTCTATTGCCCTCACACTTAAATAGCACCTTGAAATCTTAAAGAATTCATAGGAAACACCCCCCACCCCCGCCGCACACACCCCACTATCACCACCACCTAGCGTTTAATGATCTAAAGGTATTACTTAGCTCTTTGTAAATAAATGCTTCTAATATTATTTTTTCTTCTGGATGAAAATCTGTCATTCTCCCAATGTCCTAGAAATTATTTTAAATCTCCAGAATTTGCCACATATTGGCATATTTTTCATTAATTTTGCTTATTACTCTGAGGGTTCTCCAAATATTCAGAAAATATTTTTGCGCATTCACAAAAAGCATTTTTCTAGTATATATTCTGTTATTTCTCCCGTATTCTTACTTCTAGTCTCTTCTTACAAATAGCAATGAACTATATGCTTTTTTTCCTCTATTCTCTGTTGCTGACTTTTTACTCACCAAGTTGGTTTTTTTGCACTTTTCCTTTGTATTTGGAGAAAAAATTAAGGTTTTCCTCCCTTTCTCTAATATACTGATCATATTGTTTTATTTTATTGACCACTTCTAATGCTCATTTTAAGTACCTCTGTTTCTTTGTTCTGTCTGTATAGTTTTCTTTCGTGCATTTCTCACTTTTTTCAGTTTTGTCTCTCAGTTTCTTTTTTGTCTTTCTCTTGCTTTATTTAAATTATTTTCCTTTATCTGTTGTTTTGTATGTACAGCATGTGATATCTTGAATTTTATTAACAGTACAATGTGTCATTTTCTAAATGTATTTGTTTCTTAAAAAAAAACTTTTCAAAAACTTGTTATTTTTCATTACTTGTTTTTTGTTTGTTTGTTTGTTTTTGAGACGGAGTCTTGCTCTGTTACCCAGGCTGGAGTGCAGTGGCGCCATCTTGGCTCACCACAACCTCCAACTCCCTGGTTCAAGCAATTCCCCTGCCTCAGCCTCCCGAGTAGCTGAGATTACAGGCTCCCACCACCACGCCTGGCTAATTTTTTTGGTATTTTTAGTAGAGACGGGATTTCACCATCTTGGCTGGACTGGTCTCGAACTTCTAACCTCAGGCAATCTGCCCACCTCAGCCTCCCAGAGTGTTGGGATTACAGGCGTGAGCCCCTGGGTCCAGCCTCATTACTTGTTCTTAAAGGAGGCTGGACCTTTCTAGGTCAGATGTTAGTCCAAATCACTGCAGGTGTTTTTCCTTAGCTCTTCATACATCCATCTGGGTATTATTGGATCTACTTAGTTATTTTTGGAAAACTGATGTTCATAGCTCCTGGACAAATTCCTGGTAGTTTTAGTCTTTTATCTAGAGTAAATCTGTGGACCTATGCAAACACACTTCTGATGACCCTACCTAGTTGGAAATTGGTTGAGGATAATCTGAAATTAGTTGTATTCATTCTCTTGCCAGGAAGAGTAAATTTAAAAACTGAAGAAAAATGTGCTGATGTACTGGGAAATGCTTAACAGTAGGCTCTCCTGAGGGGTAAGAAAAGAAGCCGTGATATGCAGTATTTGCTAATTTCTATGTTATAAATGCTGCCACTGTGGTCTATTTCAAGCTACCACCTGACATCACTGCACATGGAGGAAGAGCTGTGGGTAATTGGCTCATGGAATCCAGCTCCAGATTTAACACTGTAACAAAGTGTTTTGTTTTTTCTAGTATATATTTTTCTAGTATATATTCTGTTATTGCTCCCATATTATTACTTCTGGTCTCTAGGCTATTTTACTGCTAACCTCAAATCTCTGATATTGCACGTTGTAATCCCCTGTTTATGTTGTCTTTCTGGAAATGTCAGTCTCAGAAAGAATTGCTGATTAAGGCTATAGAGGTGAACCAGTCCTGGCTGCAGCAGAAAAGTATGCTTCTGAGATGGCTTTCTTGCCTCTGGTTGGAGGACAGCCTTTGAATTTGAAGTAGAGTTGCAGATGGTGGTATAGTGGAGATAGGAGGAAGGGGAAGCTCTCATCTTTTCTTCCACAATGATCATGAGGATCAGCCTTTGTCTTCATTTCCTTTGATAAAAATTATTTCTGCCATACATAAATTATGCCAGCATTTTATTTCCCATGGTTGTTGAGAAATTGCATTTATCCTTTTAATTTCCATATATGTGTCAATGTTTAATATGGAGAAGTTAAATCAGATTTTACTGATTTTCTGCCAGAATATTTTCTTATCTATAAATTTGTGTACATTTTTGTTCTCATTGTTATGTGCTTCCATGAATACTTTAAAAATATATAGAGATTTATAAATAAATAAAAGTGCTGATAATTCCAGAGTCTATATCTCTAATTCTTAGTGTTCTACTTAAGCTTTAGGCAAATGTTGTGATTTGGATTTAATATGTTTATATTCATGAGTAGTTTGAACATATATATTAATGAGTGGTTTCACTAAAGCTATTAATGGTGAAATACTGGTATATTCATCACCTCTAGGTAAAGTCTGTATATATTTGGCACTTTTCTATCCTGCCTCTGCAGCTAATACGGAATTCTGTACCTGGTAGGCAGTCATAACATTTGAAAAAAAAATGATGTAGTAAGAGCCTAGATAGAAATAGAGGACTGAAAACAAACCTTCAGAGAATGTAAGCGAATAGAGGGAGAAATGGGTTTATCAAAACAGAAGAGAATTCTCTTTAAAGTGTTGCTTTAAAACCAGTTTGCCACAGATTTCCATATTGCAGATGTTACATCAATGGGTTCTTCTTTTCTCCTTCCCTAGATCAGTGTCTGTATCTACATATGTATATTCACATATTGATATGGTTTGGCTGTGTCCCCACCCATATCGCAACTTTAATTGTATCTCCCAGAATTCCCACATGTTGCATGAGGTAATTGAATCATGGGGGCTGGTCTTTCCCATGTCATTTTCGTGATAGGGAATAAGTCTCACGAGATCTGATGGGTTTATCAGGGGTTTCCACTTTTGCTTCTTCCTCATTTTCTTTTGCCACCACCATGTAAGAAGTGCCTTTCACCTTCCGCCATGATTTTGAGGCCTCCCCGGCCATGTGGAACCATAAGTCTAATTAAACCCCTTCTTCTTCACAGTCTCGGGTATGTCTTTATCAGCAGCATGAAAACAGACTAATACACATATATATTACAATATTGATATTTCTACTTATAGAGACACACTGCCATATTTTATAGCTATACAATTACTCAAAGGGAATAGGTTAAATAACATTGTTCAGAGCCCAGAGTAAAACTATTCACCCTGACAAATATAATTAGGCAAAAAAAATAAAAACTCCCTCTTCAGTCGCTCCTTGGCATTTTCTACCAGACTTTGCAACTGCTAAAACCTGGTACCAGATGACTTTTTAAAAAGCTATTTTTCATCATGCTAAATGGTGTCTCCAACTACTAGTCTACCAGAACAATACCTTTCTAAATAAAATGGTCTTGGCAAAACGTTGTGGATTTCTGAAGGTAATGCGGGATCATTTCAAGGTACTTGGTTTTGAGAAGTTGATAATGCAGTTTTCATGTTCTACCAGTTATACTTTTTCCATTAGTTAATTATGTAATTTAATAAACATACATTGAACGAGTATTATGTGCCATGTAATTCGCTGGGGATATAGCAAAGAAAATATCAAATTTGCTTCTTGCCATCATAAAGCCTACATTTTTCAGAGTGGTACAATAATAATAAAGTATTTCCACATCATATTACTCTATTTTATTCATCATTGGTCTTAGCAGTATCTAAGACCAATGATGATATTTTCTAATTTATTTCTTATGTGTTTTCTCTCTCTTCCCATGAAATTATGTTCCATGAAAGTCTCTTTTTGTTGTTGTTGTTACTACATTGCTTTTGGCGTGTCCAATGTTTGGAACACAGTGGGAACTTCATAAATATTTGTTGAATGAATGAACTTAAGCAATACCTGGAATAATTACAGATTTATGTTAGTGCTTGAAGGAAGCAAATAGGCTGTTATGATGGAAATAAATTTTATATAAGAATAGTGAGAAACCTCTTTATGTTGAAATGGCATACAAGTCTTAAAACCTTAAAAAAAAAGTGCGGTCACAAGGAGGAGAAAGGAAGGAAGGAGGAAGATAGGGAAATAGGAACAAAAGGAGAAATAAAAAACAGAGGTGTTGAAGGTGACGTTAGAGAGCTTAAAGTTTCTCTCAGTGGTTTGAGAAATCACAGATGAACATTAAGCAGGGGTGTTAAAGGACCCCGAGTATTAGAAACAAACAGGCTTCTTGTACATCCAGTATCACACTAACCATTTATCTCATTTAATGTGGTGGGAATTTTAAGTCCCCTAAAATTGAGATTTCCAATCCATTTAAGCAGGTTATACTAGGGGTGCGTGTGTGTGTGTGTGTGTGTGTGTGTGTGTGTGAGAGAGAGAGAGAGAGAGAGAGATTTAACAGAAAACACTTGCTCATGAAGCACTTGAAGATTCTATATGGTACCAGTAAAGAGAATTTGCCAACACACAAGTGTCCAAAGAGATCACTTCTTTAGACAGCCATGAATTAATTGACTTAAAACCATGAAAATCATGTTTCAGTGAAAATATTGAGTACATTAGTAGGGAGAATTATCACCCATCCTGTATATGTAGTCCCAATATTACATCCAATGTTTATAGTTGTCTTTCTTGTCTTCACTTTATAGTATTTTCCACAAATTTCCTGAAGGTTGGAGCTGTTGTGAAGAAAAGCTGGTAATACATATAATGTGAACACTAGTAACAAAGCAGTATTTAAGGTCTCTTTCATGAATTCCAGTATTAGATTCTTCTGACAACTGGTCTTGGGAGACGTTCTCAGCTTGACATCATTACATGACACTATGGAAGAAAATAAAGACATACAAGTACCACTGAACCACGATTTTCAATTTATTTTATCACTGGAATTTGTATGTGTAATTTTTTAGCCTGCTTTTTGAATGATTTCCCATGGGGAACAAAAGAATTGAGATCCATATATAATAAGCCTATTTAAGTGAGGTATTTGAAATAAGCTAATTTCTAACAGTTTAATCTAATACTGGCTTTAGATTTTCTGGAAGCAGAGGCAAAGATAAAAAATTTGGATTTTGTGATTTGCTTTTCCTTATTTTTTTCCAAGTCACATGTTTATTTTATGGTTTTATATGGGACAAAGTTAAACAGAATAAGGAAGCTTTTCACTTTCTGGTTTCTCAAGAAAATAATGTTGCTCAAGTGTATGATTCTAATATCAACTATCAGCCAAGGCAAAGGGTACAGCAGTGAATCATTTTAAAAGAGTATTTTTACCATCTTTATTTTCTTCAATCAGACATTTATTTCATGCTTTTGATGGGCCAGGCATATGATAGTTTTCAGAGATACAAAGTGAATTAATATATGATCTATGTTATTTGATAAATATTTATAAAGAGCCTAAACATTCAGTAAAATGTTAAAACAAAGTCCACAAAGTCTAGAGTCTGGTGAAGGTCCTTATGGGTTCTTTAATAAATCTGAAGGCTGGATTTGTCTTCATTTAACTATTTCAAGCAGTTAGAAAACATCTTCATCTTAACCATTCTCAGAGATCTTTAGTTATTTGTGTAGATCCAAGTTTCTGTTACCATATTCCTTTTATCTTAAAACTTTCTTTAGCATTTCTTTTAATGCAAGTCGGCTAGTAATAATACTCTCTTTTTTTGGTCTTTAAAAGTCTTTATTTCACCTCTGATTTTGAAAGATATTTTTGGATATACTCACACTATTTATCTTGAAATGTATTGTCTGATAGTATTAGCCGTTCCAGCCTTATGTTTTCTGTTTGCATGAAATACCACTTTCTTTTCGCTTTACTTTAGCCTGTATTTTACCTATATTTTTAGATTTGTATTTTTTATTTATACACCATATTTGTACATATCCATGAGGTACATGTGAAATTTTGTTATATGCATAGAATGTGTAATGATCAAATTAGGGTATTTACGGTATTCATCAGCTCGAGTATTAATTTACCTTTCTTTGTATTGGGAACATTTTAGGTCTTCTAGCTATTTTGAAATATAAAATACATTGTTGTCAACTATGGTCACACTACTCTATTTACTACTACATAATAGTAGTAATAGAAATACACAATACATTCTTGTTAACTATATCCACACTACTCTATCAAATACTCTGCTATTGAATACTAAAATTTATTTGTTCTATCTAACCACATGTTTGCACCTATTAACCACCCTCTCTTTACCCTCTCCCTAACACACCCTTCCCAGCCTCTGGTATCTATCATTCTACTCTCTGCTTCCATTATATCAATATTTATTAGCTCCCACATATGAGTGAGAACATGAATATTTATCTTTCTGTGCCTGGTTTACTTCACTTAATGTAATGACCTCCAGTTCCATCCATGTTGCTGCAAATGACATAATTTTTTTTTTAGTGGCCAAATAGTATGTGTGTACATTAAATATATATATTATAAATTTACATATAAATTATATATATAATTTTCTTTAAAAATTTATTCATTGATGAACACTTAGGGTGATTCCATATCTTTGCTAATGTGACTAGTGCTGTGTGTTTACATCATTGGGGTTCAGGTATCCTTTTGATATATCAATTTCCTTTCTCTTGGATAAATACCCTGTAGTGGGATTACTAGATCATATGGTAGTTCTATTTTTAGCTTTTTGAAAAATATCCATACTGTTTTCCACAGAGGCTGTACTAATTTACATTCCCACAAACAGCATATAAGAGTACCATTTTCTCCATATCCTCACCAGCATCTGTTGTCTTTCGTCTTTTTAAAAATAGCCATTCTAACTGTGCTAAGATCATATCTCATTGTGGTTTCGATTTTCATTTTCCTGATGATTAGTGATGCTGAACAGTTTTTCATATACCTTTTGGCTCTTTGTATGTTTTCTTTTACGAAATTTCTATTCATGTCCTTTGTCCATATTTTAATGGGATTATTTGTTGGTGTTTTTGTTACTGTCAGGTTGAGTTCCTTGTATATTCTGGATATTTAGTCCTTTGTTGGATGAACAGTTTGGAAATATTTTTTCCCATTCAACAGGTTGTCTTTTCACTCTGTTGATTGTTTCTTTTTCAGTGCAGAAGATTTTGAGTTTAATATAGTCTGATTTGTCAATTGCTGATTTTGATTGCTGTGATTTTGAAGTTTTAGCAGTAAAATCTTCACCCAGACCAATGTCCTGAAGTGTTTCTCCTATGTTTTCTTCTAGTAGTTTTATAGTTTCAGGTCTTATATTGAAGTCTTTAATCCACCTTGAGTTAATTTTTGTATATGCTGACAGATAGAGGTCCAGCTTTATTCTTCAAGTTTTTTCCTCTCTGTGCCTCTAATTGGAAAATGCATATATACACATTCAAATTTACTAACTTTTAATGTCTTCTTCATTCTGCTCTTTAGTCCATCTTTTATATATGTATATATACATATATTTATATTTAAGTTGTACATATTGTATTTTTCATTTTAGAGTTTCTTTTTCTTACCTTATTATACTTGTTCGTACCACAAGTACAATATTAAACAGAATTATGATAGCACCACACTTGCTTTATTGTGGACCTTATAGGAAAATCTTCCAAAATTTTATCAGTACATGATGTTTGTATTAGATAAAAGAAGTTTTTTTTTCTAGCTAATTTTCTAAGGCTCTTTATATGAACAGGGGATATTATCTATCAAATGATTTTTCTGAACTTATTGAGAAATCATGTTTTTGTTTTTTATAATAAAGCTTTTTAATTTGAGATAATTGTAGGTTCCGTGGCAGTTGTAAGAAATAACCAAGAGATTCCATTTCTTTTTTACCCAGTTTCCTCTAATAATAAAACTTGCAAAACTATAGTACAATATCACAACCAGTATATTGGTATTAATACAGTCAAGATACAGGACATTTCTATTACCACAACAATCATCCCTGTATAGCCACAATGTCTTTCATTCCACCCCCACACTCTGTAACCTCTGGCAATTTCTACTCTTTCTGCTGCTTTTACAATGTTGGCAAATCAAGAATGCTGGATAAATGGAATCTTACGGTATATAATCTTTGGGAATTGGCTTTATTTTGATTTTTTTTTGGATTTGGGAATGTGATTTTTCCACGATCCTCTGGAGATTCATGTATCTTGTTATATTTACTAATGGTTTGTTATTTTATGTTCCTGAGTAGTAGCTCAGGATATGGATGTACCATAGTTTATTCACTCATTGAAGGAAATTTGGATTGTTTCCTATCTGGACTTATTATAAATAAAGGTGCTATAAACATTTGTGTACATGTTTTTGTATAAAATAAGTTTTTATTTTTCAGGGATAAATGATGGTGCGTAATTAATGAGTTTTAGATTTGTCAAATGGTTTTTCTGCACCAACTGATATGAACATGTGGTTTATTTCTTTAGCCTGTTAATATGATGTCATATATTAATTATTCTTTGACTATTGAACAAATCTTGCATGCTTGGAATAAACCATCTATCTATTGAGATGTTATTATTTAAATAATTTATTCTGTTATTGTAGTGGATTATATTATAGTCTTGAATAAACTCAATGTGGTTATAATAGGATGTCCCTTTTCTATACTGTTGGGATTATTTTGTTAATATTGTTAATATTTAATTTGGGAATATTACATCTATATTTTTGAGTAAAATTGTCCTATAATTTTCCTTCTTAAAAATTATTTTGATGTCAGATATGTTATAAGGGTCATGCTGACCTTATACAATGGGCTGGAAAGTATTCCTCCTATTTCTATTCTCTGGAAGAATTTGCATGTGTTTGTCATTATTTCTTTCATACGTGTTTGGCAGAATTCACTGGTGAATTCTTTTTAGTCTTGGTATTTTGTGTTTTTCTAGGAATTTGTCATTATTTTCTAGATTTTAATTTTTATTGCTTTGAAGTTAATCAGGATAGCTTCATATTATATTGTTTAATGTCTATGATATTAGCAATATAACTCTTCAGTACTAGCTATTTGAGATATCTCTCTGAAATTTTCTCTATCTCTCCGTATCTCTGTCTCACCTCACCCCACCACTTCTCCCTCTTTGTTGATCAACATTATAAGGGAATTATCAATTTTATTAATCTTTGTAATATGTTAACTTTTTTTTGGTTTATTATATTGTCTACTTGTTTTCTATTTTATTATTTTCTCTTATTTATTAAATTTTCCTTCTCTTTGTTGAGTTTAATTTGATGTTATTCTAACTTCTTGAGAAGGATTCTTAGATCATTGTTTTCTGCCTTTCCTTTTATATATTAAATGAATTTAAGGCTAAAATTTCTCAGTAAGCAGCATCTTGCTTGCTGAGATATACAATAGTTTTATTCATATTCAGTTAAATATATTTTAAATTTTTATTAGAATTTATTTTCTGAAGTATATTTCTCTGGAAATATGTTCCTTAGTTTCCAAACATACGAGGATTTCAAAGTTAATTTTGTTTTAATTGAATTATAAATTAATTTCACTGTGATTTAGAAATGTCCTATTCATTATTTAAATTCTATGACATGTTGAGATTTTATTTCTAGCAAATAATAAATTTTGTTAAATATCTTATGGTCACTTAAAAAACCTATTTTCTATAGTTCTTAGGTGAAGTATGTTAATTAGAACAAATCTGTAACTCTGTAGTCTGGATCATCTATATGCTTACTTTTTAATCTGCTTGTTCTATAAATTACTAAAAAGAGGCTTAGTAAAATCTTCCAAACTTAAAAGTTTGATGGTTTTTTCTTTTTCTTATAGTTTTGTCGACTTTTTCTATACGTATTTTAGCCTAGGTAATATGTCCACATACATTTAAAATTGTCATGTCTTTTTGTTGGCTTGACCTTTTATTATTATAAAATATCCCTCTATTTCTACTAATTCTTCTTTCCCTAAAGGGTTTGATATTTAGCAACTTTTTTTAAATTTTTTACTGTTTACCTGGTATCCACACTGTGTCTATTATTTTAATTTTACCATTGTAATCTTTACATTCAAGTTGTGCTCTTTGTAAACAACATATAGGCTAATTTAAAATTTCATTTTTACAATGCTTTAGATAATTTAGTTTGTTTACATTAAATGTAATTATTTCAATATTTAAATTTAAATCCATAATATTACTGTTTGCTTTATATTTGTTCAAACTGTACCATGTTACTTTTTCATTTTTCTTATTTACAACTTATTATCTTATTCTTCTAATTTGTTATATGTTAACTAGCTATTAGTATAGATGAAATATAAATATAAATACAGTAAATCTACT
The DNA here is from genome assembly GCF_000001405.40 of Homo sapiens. NCBI lineage: Eukaryota > Metazoa > Chordata > Mammalia > Primates > Hominidae > Homo > Homo sapiens. The sequence goes on along the minus strand of NC_000002.12, from coordinate 225,960,231 downwards.
TTTACTCTTTCTTTGTCAGTGAATTTACTTTAGAAAACTTTAACTTGATTTGGGCTCCTGAAAGTGAATCCTGCATTGATAGTTGTTTTCTTTTGTTCACTATTTCTACACAAAGAAGTCAAATATTAGGTTGTTTCAGTTGTTTTTATGAAGTTACTAATATTCCTATTTTTTACCTACTTTTAATATTTCCTCTCTCCACCCTTATTCTACTATTTTATTATGATGTAAATAGGAGCTTTATTACATATTTTTAAATCTCGTTAGAGATGAGGATTCTTTCTAATCACTTTGATATCTCTTCTCAGTTTTGAAGAATTTTCCACCATTATCTTTTCAGTTATTAGTCCGGACCCATCCTATTTATCTTCTCTTTTTCTTAGGCTCCAATTACACAGATAGCAATTTTGTAGACAGATTGCAGTAAAGTTGATCATACCTAAGACCTTTTTAGTTCCACCCAGTATGACTCTGGCCTTCACCATGTGACTTGCTTAGCCCATGGAATGTTAGCAATATTTATGCAAGCAGAGGCTTGAAGAAGTATTTGTGGCCATTCAATTTTAATATTTATGTCAGGGTAAGTGGTAGCAGACTACCCCTTATGTTTTTAACAACCATAAAAACAAACACAAAATATACGAAGAAAAACTTTCAGTATTGGAAGACAGATTGCACAAGACTGTGATCCATGAAAGAAGAGAAATAAGAAAAATTCCCTGGCTCTCTGTCTTGGGACAGTATTCCAACTGAAGAATGGATTTCTGGAGATTGAGGTGACTCTGACCATCTTAATGAGTGGGAAGGTAGATATCAGAATTCAAGGCAACTGACGCAGCTGGTATCTGTAGGACAGGACCTGAGGCAAAAGAGAGACTGAATCAGGGTTATCTCAAAGGTCTGTGGTGGCTTCCCCATGAGTCCTTGACCGAAAGCTAGATTTTACATGGAAGGAGTAATACAATAACTGACTTACGAGATATGTGTTCTCCAGGGTTGAGAAAGGAAAATTGATATTAGCAGTCAGTTAGTGATGTGGAACACGTAGACACTGGCTAGCCAACATATATTTAAAAAAAGAAGTTAACCCTTATTAACACTCTGGAGCTACTAGAAAGGCTATTCTTTAAGTATAAGGACGATGCCCTATGGTAAGCTCTTCTTTTAGCCTCATCCTAATAAACTTTAAAATTAAGTCTGAATTAGAGAAGACAGAGTTGTAGGTTGAGTCTGCCAATGAGAGGATATTAGAAATTTTGGGGGGATTTTTGTGGATCTGTTCTTACAAAACATAAAAATAAAGGCTACAGAAGTGTAAGTTTTTACCAGTAACTCAATTGCCTATTAGAACGAAGTAAATAACAATTTTAACGGAATATTTAAAGGAAAATCTAGAACATCTACAGTATATCTTTTACTATGTCCAGTGCACAGTTAATATAAATATTTTAAATAATCCAATAATGCCCAAATGATCTAAGGAAAATATAATCTTAATAGAGAAAGAAGAAGTAATGTGTGCAAAACAACTGAAGTTATGTGAAAGCACCAGAAAGATATTTTAAAACTTAAAAGCATGCTAACTGAAATTATATTTTTTTCTTTACAGCCGCAAAGGCATATTAAAGATAGTAGAAGAGATTGTTAGTAAACATGATTAGCAATATATGGAACTAATTTAATCTAATTAAAAGGGGAAAAAAGAAAAATGAAGCGAGCCCTCAGTGACCTGTAGGAAAGTATCAAGCAACTTAACATTAGTAAAATTAGAGTCCCAGAAGAAAGAAGAGAGAAAAGGAAATAGAAAAATTCTATAAAAAATAATTGCTCAAAAATAGTTTACTTATACTAATAGTAATAATAATAATGACAATAGACAATGATACACATATTAAAGATTCTCAGCTAGTCCCAAATACAGTACATATAAGAAAAATCACAGCTATACACATTGCAGTCAAAATGCTTTAAACGAATCGCAAAGATAGGATCTTATAAGAAAGCAAGAGAATGAAAGGTCAATCATATATACGGAAACTCTAATGATGATTAACACTGATATTTCCTTGAGGTCGAGGTGGTGGGAGAAAAACAGGAATAAGGACAACAGAACAAATTAAATAAAGAAGGGGGAAGTTAACTCAGAATTTAATATCCAGGAAAAATAAACTTCAAATATTATTTAAATTAAAATATTGTCAGACAGATAAAAGACAAGTGAATTTTTTTTACCAGTATACCTTCACTTCCAGTAATCCTAAAAGATGTTGTTCAGGTTAAAGAAAATGATACCAGATGGAATCTTAGAGCATCGGAAATGGTAAGTAAAGAGGTAAATGTAAAACATATTGTAATTAAATAAATTAATTATTGAGATGCAGTCTTGCTCTGTTACCCAGGCTGGAGTGCAGTGGCATGATCTCGGACCATTGCAACCTCCACCTCCCGAGTCCAAGCAATTCTCACACCTCAGCCTCCCGAGTATCTGGGATTACAGGCATGCACTACCATGTCTGACTAATTTTTGTATTTTAGTACAGATGGGGTTTAACTCCATGTTGCCCAGGCTAGTCTTGAACTCCTGGCCTCAGGTGATCTGCCCACCTCGGCTTCCCAAAGTTCTGGGATTAAAGGCGTGAGACACTGCACCCGACCTAAAACACTATTTTTATCGAAAAAATTAATTTCTGTAACTGACTCAGACTAATTTAAGTAAAAATAACAATATCGTGAGGTAGAGCTTATAAATATAGCATATGATTAAGAGAACACAAAACTGTAATCCCAGCACTTGGGAGACCAAGGCAGGAGGATCACTTGAGGCCAGGAGTTTGAGAACAGCCTGGGCAACTAAGAAAGACTCCTCTCTACCAAAAAATTTAAAAATATCCTGGTGATGTGGCATGTGCCTGTAGACCCAGCTGCTCAGGAGACTGAGGCAGAAGGATTGCTTGAGCCTGGGGTGGAAGCTGCAGTGAGCTGTGGTTCCGCCACTGCCCTCCAGCCTGGATGACAGAGCAAGACATTCTCTCTCTCTCTGTAGCTGTACTTGAAAATATTGCTTTTGATATATATAGCATTCTAAAAAAAAAAAAGAAAAAAGAAAATAGCACAAAAGATAGAAGTGTGGGTAGAGAGAATTATGACATTATTAGGTCACTTCTAGAAAGCATGATGTGTGAAATTTCAGGTATGAAATCAGAGAAAGTATCAAATAGGAATTGTAGAGTCAAGTATGAAATGTAAAGTAGTACAATATTGACACTAATTAGATATTGTTACAAATATATTTATTTACAAATGCATATTATTCACTTCAGAGCATATACTGAAAAATATTTTAAAAGGTGTAGCTAAATTTGTGGTAGTGTGGAAATAAAATAAAACACTATTATCTTTCGGTTTTCTATTGCAGTGGTTTCTGCGCTGATACTTATTTTCTTTCTACTCACATCTGAATTTCTTCTTATAGTGTCATGATGAGAACTTATATCAGTGGGCATCTCCTGAATACTGAATTTTTATTGATTTCTAAGTAAAGTGTATTGTCTTATGATAATATTTTACAAAATACTTCAATCTTTTAAAATGTATTTATACTCACTTTATGGTCCAATGTAACTTTTATTTTTGAAAATGTTTCATGTGTACTTGAAAATATTGTGTACTTTGATTTTGATATTTGTAGCATTCTGAAAATGCTTTTAATATCAATTTGGTTGACTGTTTCTTTAGGTATATTATATGCTTAAAATTTTTGGACTACTTGTTTTATTGATTACCAAAATGAGATGTTAAAATTTCCTGCTTTTATTTTAGATGTATGTGTTTTTCCCTTAGTTTTGTCATTCTTTTGCTTCTTGAGTTTTGAAGCTCTGCTATTTGATGCCTACATATTTTGGATTGTTATGTTTTCCTGGTAAATTGCCTGTTTCATTTTTATAAAATGTTTATTTTTTAGACTCATAATACTCTTTGCATTATAGTCATTTTTCTGATACCAATATGGCTTTATGAGCTTTATTATTATAAACTCTATGCTTCCAACTCATGTAGTAGGTTGTGCATTTTTGACCATTCTAATAATCTATTCCTTTTAATGGGAATGTTTAATCCATTTATATTTAATTAGGTATTGACACCTTCTAATTGAAGGAAAATATCTTCTACCTAGTTTTCCATTGGTCTCTTCTGCTTTTGTTATTATGGTGTATTATTGCTTTTTGCTGCCTTTTTTGCATTAATTGATAATTTTTTACAATAAAAATTCAGTATTCAGGAGATGCCCATTGATATAAGTTCTCATCATGACACTATAAAAAGAAATTATCAGACAAAAGTTGGATAATTGAAAAGATGGATAAAACTGAAAAGCCCTAGCAAGACAACACAACAATAAAGAAAGCACAAATTACCAATATCAAAATAAACACAGAAATACTATTATCTGTCTTCCAGATATTTAAAAGATAATAAAGATATGAAAAACTAATCTATGTCAAGAAATTAGATGATGTGGAAGAAATACAGAAGTACCTTGAAATATACAAGCTACCAATACACGTTCAAGATGAAATAGATAACCTAACAATATCATATCTTTAAGAAATTTTGAATTGTGATAAATAGGTCCCAAAGAGCAATCCAAGAGTAGATGGTTTCACTACTTTTTTCATCAATTATTTAAGGATGAAATTGTTTCTGTTTATGAAAACTTAGGAGAAGAATAAGCAAAAATACTTTGCTATTGATTTTTGTGAAAAGTTTAAGGCCTATGTCTAGAATGTTTTTGACTTTTTTATTTGCAAGTGGATGTCCAATTATTCCATCACTATTGTTGAAAAGAATATCTTTGCTTCATTGTAATTGTAATTTTTTTGATTCTTTGTAAAAAAAAAAAAAAGAGTCAACTATATTTATATGAGTCTATGTTATATGGGTCTGGTCTTTCTAGTCTGTTCCATTCATCTATTTGTCTACTCTTTCAGAGATACCACACTGTTTTGATTATTGTTACTTTATAGTAAGTTTTAAAGTCAGGTAGTGACAGTTCTCTGACTGTGTTCTTCTTCAATATTGAATTGACCATTCTGGGTCATAAAAGCTTTAGAATCGGGTTGTTGATATCCACAAAATTACTTGCTGGGATTTTTACTTGGATTGCATTGAATCTGTAGATCGAGTTGGGAAAAACTGACATTTTGACAATATTGAGTCTTCCTACACATGAACATGGAAAACCTCTTCATTAATTTAGTTCTTTGATAGTTTTCATCAGAGTTTTGTAGTTTTCTTCATATCAGTTTTGTACATGCTTAGTAGTATTTATATCTAAATATTTCATTTTGAGGGGTGCTGATGTAAATAACAATATGCTTTTAATATCAAATTTCACTTGTTCATTGCTGCTAAATAGAAAAATTATTGACTTCTGTATATTAACCTTGTAGTTTGCATTCTTTTTTTCCCCCCCAAGACGGAGTTTCTCTCTGTCGCCCAAGCTGGAGTGGAGTGGCACCATCTTGGCTCACTGCAAACCTCCAACTCTTGGGTTCAAATGATTCTCCTGCCTCAGCCACCTGAGTAGCTGGGACTACAGGTATGCACCACCACACCCGGGAAAATTTCTGTACTTTTAGTAGAGGCAGTGTTTCACCATGTTGGTCAGGCTTGTCTCAAACTCTTGACCTCAGGCGATCCACCGGCCTTGGCCTCCCAAAGTGTTGGGATTACAGGAGTGAACCACCACGCCCAGCCATATTTTGCATTCTTGATATAGTTCCAGGAGGTTTTTTTAAATTGATTGTTTTGGATTTTATACATAGGCAATCATGTCATCTGGCAACAAATACAATTTTATTTCTCTTTGTCCAGTCCGTATACATTTATTTTCTTTTCTTATTGCATTAGACTTCCAGTTTGATGTGGGAAAGCAGTGGTAAAAGGAAACATCTTTGCCTTTTTCCTGATCTTAATGGAAAGGCTTTGAGTTTCTCACCATGAGCTATGATGTTAGTTGTACTTGTTTCTTAAATGGTGTTGAGAAAGTTCCATTCTATTCCTAGTTTTTTTAGAGTTTTGTCAAATACATTTTTTAATTGCATCTATTAATGTGATAATGTGATTTTTTTCCTTCAATATGTTGCTGTGATGGATTACATTAATTGATTTTTGTATGTTGAACCAGACTTTCATACCTGAGATAAGCCCTATTTGGTTGTGGTATAATTCTCATTATATGTTATTTGTTTTGATTTGCAAATATTTTATTGGGAATATTTTCATATATCTTCACAAGAGATATTGATCTGTGGGTTTCTATCCTTATAGTGTCTTTGTTGGGTTTTGGTATTAGGGTAATGCTGAGCTCACAGAATACAGAAGTCTTGCCTATATTTTTTTTTTTGAGATTGTAGATAATTGGTATCATTTCTTTTTTAATTGTTTAGTAGAAATCACCAATGAACCCATGTAATTAGCTAGCCTGGCTAGAATCTTATTAATTTTATTGATATTTTCTTTTATATATATATATATTTTTTTTACTATACTTTAAGTTCTAGGGTACATGTGTACAATGTGCAGGTTTGTTACATATGTATACATGTGCAATGTTGGTGGGCTGCACCCATTAACTCATCATTTACATTAGGCATATCTCCTAATCCTATCTCTCCCACTTCGCCCCACCCCACAACAGGCCCTGGTGTGATGTACCCCTTCCTGGGTCCATGTGTTCTCATTGTTCAATTCCCACCTATGAGTGAGAACATGCGGTGTTTGGTTTTTCTGTCCTTGCGATAGTTTGCTGAGAAAGATGGTTTCCACCTTCATCCATGTTCCTACAAAGGACATGAACTCATCATTTTTTATGGCTGCATAGTATTCCATGGTGTATATGTGCCACATTTTCTTAATCCAGTCTATCATTGTTGGACATTTGGCTTGGTTCCAAGTCTTTGCTATTGTGAATAGTGCCATGATAAACATACATGTGCATGTGTCTTTATAGCAGAATGATTTATAATCCTTTGGGTATATATCCAGTAATGGGATGGCTGGGTCAAATGGTATTTCTGGTTCTAGATCCCTGAGGAATCACCACACTGACTTCCACAATGGTTGAACTAGTTTACAGTCCCACCAACAGTGTAAAAGTGTTCCTATTTCTCCACATCCTCTCCAGCACCTGTTGTTTCCCGACTTTTTAATGATCGCCATTCTAACTGGTGTGAGATGATATCTCATTGTGGTTTTGATTTGCATTTCTCTGATTGCCAGTGATGAGCATTTTTTCATGTGTCTGTTGGCTGCATAAATGTCTTCTTTTGAGAAGTGTCTATTCATATCCTTCGTCCACTTTTTGATGGGGTCGTTTATTTTTTTCTTGTAAGTTTATTTGAGTTCTTTGTAGATTCTGGATATTAGCCCTTTTTCAGATGAGCAGATGGCAAAAATTTTCTCCCATACTGTAGGTTGCCTGTTCACTCTGATGGTAGTTTCTTTTGCTGTGCAGAATCTCTTTACTTTAATTAGATCCCATTTGTCAATTTTGGCTTTTGTTGCCATTGCTTTTGGTGTTTTAGACATGAAGTCCTTGCCCATGCCTATGTCCTGAATGGTAATGCCTAGGTTTTCTTCTAGGGTTTTTATGGTTTTAGGTCTAACATTTAAGTCTTGAATCCATCTTGAATTAATTTTTGTATAAGGTGTAAGGAAGGGATCCAGTTTCAGCTTTCTCCATATGGCCAGCCAGTTTTCCCAGCACCATTTATTAAATAGGGAATCCTTTCCCCATTGCTTGTTTTTGTCAGGTTTGTCAAAGATCAGATGGTTGTAGATGTGTGGTATTATTTCTGAGGGCTCTGTTCTGTTCCATTGGTCTGTATCTCTGTTTTGGTAAAAGTACCATGCTGTTTTGGTTACTGTAGCCTTGTAGTATAGTTTGAAGTCAGGTAGCATGATGCCTCAAAGAACCTGTTTTGGTTTTGCTTTAGTCCATTCAGGATACTTTAACAAAGTACCATAAATGAAGTAGCTTATAAATAACAGAAGTTTATTACTCACAGGTCTGGCAGCTAAGTCCAAAATCAAAGTGCTGGTAGTATGACGTTAGCTATGGGTTTGTCATATATAACCTTTATTTTGTTGAGGTGTGTTCCTTCTATGCTTAGTTTGTTGAGACTTTTTACTGTGAAGAGATGTTGAACAGTTTGAGGAGAATGGGTGTTATTTTTTTCCTTTGTAAGTTTGGTAGAATTCAGCAGTGAAGCCACTCAATCCTGGGCTTTTCTTTGTTAGGGGACTTTTTATTACTGATTCAATCTTATTACTTATTATTGGTATGTTCAGGTTTTCTATTTCTTCCTGATTCAGTCTTCATAAGTTATAAGTGTCCAGGGATTTATCCATTTCCTCTGAGTTTCCCAGTTTGTTAGTGTACAGTTATTCTTAATAGTCTCTGATGATCTTTTGTGTTTTCATATATCAATTGTTATGTTTCCTTTATAATTTCTTGTTTTATTCATGTGGGTCTTCTCTCTTTTTCTTTGGGTTAGTCCAGCTAGTGGTTTATGAATTGGTGGGTTTTTTTCAAAATATCAACTTTCCATTGTATTGATCCATTGTATTGTTTTTTATATGTCTATTTCATTAGTTCTGCTCTGATCTTTATTTTTTCTTTCCTAAAACTAAGTTTGAATTTGGTTTATCCTTTTTCTTCCATGTGTGGGATTCCTTTAAATATTTCTTGTAGGGTCAGTCTTGTGATTAACTCTCTCAGCTTTTGTTCATCTGGAAAAGAATTTATTTCTCCTTTATTTATGAAGGGTAACTTTTCTGGTTATAGTATCCTTGACTAGCATTTTTTTTTTCTTTTTCTTTCAGCATCTTGAATATATCATCCTATTTTCCCCTGTCTTGTAAGGTGTCTGCTGAGAAACCTGCTGTTAATCTCATGGAGGTTGTCTTGTAAGTGACTAGGTGATTTTATTTCACTGTTTCTAAAATTTTCTCTTTGTCTTTGACTTTTGACAGTTTGATTAGAATGTACCATGGAGAAGATGTTTTTGAATTGTATATATTTGGGCATTTCTGAGCTTCCTTTATCTGAAAGTCTAAATCTCTTGCTAGACTTGCAAAGTCGTCAGCTATTATTTCATTAATATGTTTTCTATTTATTTCTCTTTGCCTTCTGGGCTACCAAAAATTTGAATATTTTGTTTATGGTGCCCTACATGTCATGTAGGCTTTGTTTATTATTTTTAGGTTTTTTTTTCATTTTTGTCTAACTAGATAATTTCAAAATACTTGTCTTCAAGTTTTGAAATTCTTCTGCTGGATGTAGTCTATGGTTAAAGCTTTTAAACATACTTTTTATTTTATCTAATGAATTCTTCAGTTTCAGGATTTCTGTTTGGTTCTTTTTTATGAAATATATCTCTGGTAAATTTATTATTCCTATCTTGAATTGTCTTCCTGATTTTTAAAACATTTGAGCATTTATTTTCTTCCCAAAGAAATTCATGGAGAGTGAGAGCGAGAGAGAGAGAGAGTCTGATTTTTTGTATTATTTATCTGTGTTCTCTTGTATTTCACTGATCTTCTTTAATGTCATTATTTAGAATTATTTTGCTGGTGTTTCATAATTTTTTTATTGAAATATGTTGCAAGAGAATTGTTGTGTCCCTTTGGAGGTGTTATATTTCCTTACTTTTTCATGTTTCTTGTATCCTTACATTGATATTTACATGTCTGTTGTAACAATTGCTTCTTCCAATTTTTGGATTTGCTTTTATAGGGAAGGACTTTTTCCTGAAGATGTATCTATGGTGTTGATTGGGTATGGCACTTTGCCTTTGCTTTTGGGTGTGTGCAATAGTGTAGTCCCTATATAATTTATTCATCTGTAAGCAGTGTCAATGGTTTTTTTCTGTGGCTTAGGGTGTAATTCTTAATGGAGACTGTGTTTAAGTTTTACTGTGGATGGGGATGCCAGGTGGGCCAATACTTGGGCCCATTGGTGGCAGCAGAAGGCCAAGCATGCCTGTTCCTGAGCCCCAAGGTATTGTACTCTGGCCCCAATTTTAATGGGCTTATGTGGGCTGATTCTTACAGGCAGCTTGTGGATTAGTTGTGGAATGGGCTGGTAGGTGGGTCCTTGGGCCCCTAGGCAATGGGCATGACATGGGTGATGCCATGGAAGACAGCAGTGGCAGGACAATCTTCTGGTTTCCAAGCATCTACACTGGTGTTTGTGGTGTCTGTGAAAGGCTAAGTGGGCTAGTTCCCAGGCCCACAAGTGGCATGTATTGGTGGGTGCCAACTGTGGTGGTTGCAGCAGGTTGAATGGATCCATGCTCAGGCCCTTGGGAGGGGTGCTCAGGTGTTAATGGCAGAATGGGCAGGATGACCTCCAAACTCCCAGATGGTGTGCTTGGGCACTGACAGGGGCAGAGCTGGGCCAGACAGGCGTGTCCTCAGGCTCCCCAGTGACATGTGCAGGTGCTTGCTTTGGTAGGTAGCCTGGGTGATACCTAGGCTCCTGATAGAATGGTTGGGTGGGGGAAGCAGTGGTTGTGCTGCAGGCCTGCTGCCGGTAAGAACAGGGTTGCTTTCAGTGGCAGTGGCCTTAGGCAGGCAGCTGGGGAGTTCTCACTTTAGTCCCAGGGAGCGGCTTCAGGCAGGCTAATCTGTCCTTAGGGTTGCTGCCAGTGGCTCACACTTTGGCCTCAGAAGTGACAGCCAGCAGCAGCAGCAGCCGTAGGTTGGGGAGTCTGTCCTCAGGGTACATGAAAATGTGACTGGTGGAAGGGCTGCTGCCAATAGCTCATGCCTTGGCCCTGGCAGTAGCAACCAGCAGCAGCAGAGTCTGCAGGCTGGGGATGTCAATGGGGCTCCAAGGTTTTAGAGATGCAGGGGTTGTGGGACCCCAGGGCAGGATGCAATCTTTTCGGGGTGGGTCTCTCTCTGTGTTATAGCATCTTGGAACTCGGGCAATATGGGACCCAGCTTGAATGCCTTCTCTGGAGCAATACCATTGTGTGATTTCCTGGCAGCTTCCTGTTAGTCTTAGGGCCCCAAGGGTCAAGGGGCTCTCTCACGGCCAGGATTGCAGGAGTCTGCAGAGGAAATGTTGACCACTGGGGGTCTCTCACCCTCCCTTTCCCTGTATTGAGGAGCCTCTCCGGACAGGCTCCCAGCTGATCCCAGCCAAGCAGCCTGCCTTACTTTCCTCTCTTTCCTTGCCTTAGGTGTTTCCTTCCAGACACTTCCCTATTGAATCCCTGCATTCTCTCTTAGATGATCTATTTGAAGTGTGATTATTTACTTGCTATTTTGGTTCTTTGTGGAGGAGGTGGGTTCCAGAGGCCTCCAATCACCTGTCTTGAAATCCCTTCCATACATAGTTATAGCAGTTTTAAAACTGCCTCTGATAAACCCAACATCAGCATCATCTTAGTAATAGTGTCTTGATTATATTTTCTCTTAAAATTTGCCACATTTTCCAGGCTTTTCAAATGTCTAGTATATTGGATTTTATCATTGATGTTGTGGAGTTATGTTGGGTATGTTCTGAATTCTATTATACACATTTGGCCATGTTTGTTTGTTTTATTTTGCATGTAATTAAATTGGTTGGGTTCAAACTGTAAACTCTGTTTCTTGGGTGGCAAATCAATCTCAGTACTGATTTTACATTTTGGAATATGTGCCATACTTTAGTGTTTAGAAGTTAGCTTGATATTAGGCTAAATTTATAAACAAAATTTGGAGTTCTCCCTCTTTGGCTCCATCTTTTCTGGGACTGCTCTCAATAACTTACCAGTGGCTACAATACACCAAATCTTTGTCTTGTGTTTCTGCAGGGGGTAAAGTATGTGAGCTCCCTAGAAGAGTTTTATATACCCCATGTGTAGACTTTGACCTGACCCTGAGTTAAAAGGCATAAAACCTGATAACTCACTCATGCCAGTTTCATCTGCCAAATGTTACCTTCCATTAGGAATTGGCCTGTGTATTAGTCAGTACTCACACTGCTAGTAAAGACATACCTGAGATTGGATAATTTATAAAGGAAAGAGGTTTAATTGACTCACAGTTCCACATGGCTAGGGAGGCCTCACAATCATGGCAGAAGGCAAAAGAGGGGCAAAATCATGTCTTACATGGCAGCAGGCAAGAGAGAGAGAGAGCATATGCAGGGAAACTCCCCTTTATAAAATCATCAGATCTCATAAAAGTTACTTACTATCACGAGAACAGCATGGGAAAGACCCGCCTTCATGATTCAATTACTTCCCACCAGGTCCCTCCCATGACACATGGAAATTATGGGAGCTACAATTCGAGATTTGGGTAAGGCCACAGCCAAACCGTATCAGCCTGTTTTGGTTCATTCTCCAGTTCCTTTATGTCATTATGGGATTTTTGTTTATATGTTTGTTTGTTTATATTTTTAAAAAATGTGTAGCTTTTATATGTGTCAGTATTGGGTCCTTTAAGAGCTACTTGGTCATACCAGAGGCAAAAATCTCTTGTTAGACTATTTTTACCCAATTCTCTTAAGGTAAAGAAAACAAAAATAACAGTGATGCCTTATGTTCCACTAATTTAAATATAGCATATAACGTATTTTTAAAATCAATTTTATATTTGCCTCCATAAAGTAAATTATCCCTTAGAAGAAAGGTTTAATAAAAATTACAAGTGTTACTAGCTCAATGATTTCTCATATTACCTCTAATCTTGCCTTTAGTTAACAATATTTGTCTAACCATCATTGATATTTTGGCTTGTTAACCTCAGAATATGTCCAGTGACGTCTTATCAACCACTATTTATAAAGAGGACTGGGAATCAGCCTTTTAAGTTCTTTCAATTAAATCCACTCTAAATTCAGTGCAATTGGCTTTCATTTGTTTATTTTGTTTTGTTCTCTCTAATGATTTACATACAGATGCGTGGGCAGTAGATTTTTTTTTAAGATGTGCAGTATTTTCAAAATATCTCTATTAGGAAGTTATAAATTTACATTTATTGGTTGAATATGTAAACAGTATGGGCTCTGCTACAAGATAGGCCTGAAGTCTAATCCTTTTTTAGGTTATTTAATCAAACACCACCCTTCTCATCAAACTCTTCTCCAGTCACCTTACCTAAAATTAAAACCAACAAACCCTTCTCATTTCTTATTTTTCTTCCTAATTTACCTTCTTCTTTAACACACATCACCTCACAAACTAACATATGACATACTTTATTGTCTTCTCTCCTAAAACCAACTAAAATGGTTGACAGGGATTATGATCTGTTTTATTTATTGCTATTTTTATTGCTTCTATAAGAGGTCCTGGTATAAGTTAGAGACCCTATTTGTTGAATCATGAATTTGGCCTCCCATACTTACTAGCCACATCATCTTGGGAAAGTTACTAACCCTCTCAAACTTCAGTTACTGCAGTTCAAGAATGAGGATACTAATAGTAAATACCACATGCTGTTTTATTGAAAATGAAATGAAATCATTCATCTAAATAATTTTGCACAGTATTTGGTCTAATTCAACATATGTATATATTTCATTTGATGCCAACTAATTCATAGCAACACTATTTTTAATACATCCAAACTAGAAGCAATCCAAATGTCCATCTAGAGTAGAATGGAGAAATATGTTTTGATATACTCATATATTCAAACAATACAATGCCATTATATAAATGGTACAACTTCCCAAAACATAAAGGAAAATTAAAACATTTAAATAAATATTTAATTAAAGGTAAAAAATAGGCATATGTTGTTTATAGTGTAAAGAATTAGTAGAGATTTTATCCTGCAGAAGGGCCGTGTGCATTGGAGAGTCTTAGGCATCTTTATGGGAGGCTGGCAGGACTTTGTTTTTTGATCTGGATGCTGGCTGCACAGTTGTGTTCACTTTGTACAACTTTACTGAGATTTACGCATGATTTATGTACTTTTCTGTAAACACGTTATATTTGAATGAGACTTTTACTTGAAAAAACATAGGTACAAACTTAAGCAGCCTAGTTATTCTCTCACTTAAATGATCTCTTACATCAGCATAAATTCCAAATGTTATTGATTCAGCTTTTCTCAAGAATATTATATAGACAGTTTATGTTATTGTAGAACAAGCAATTTCTCTTTCATTGTCACCTTGTTATTGATCATTTTCCATATGGTTTTTATTATATTTAAATAACTATTTATTAATTTTTTACAGAGTCTTTTTAAAAGATAGTTTCTGGTAACAAAACACAGAGAAAAGATAGATGACAAATTGTAAAATTGCAAGCAAGAAATACATGAAAAAGAAAAGTGGCTGCCTTAGAAAAGTTTCTCAAATATTTAATTTCTATTTTAACATGTTAATAGATAGGATTCTACATATAAATAAAATTTCGATTAAATATTGACACACATAAGCCACGTTCATTATTTTGTGCTACATATCAAGATTGTCTTTATCATATAATGGCTCTTCATTTACTTTTCTGTATGGCAAGTTGTGCGTTTTTACTTTTTAAACTCAGATTTTAAGGCTCATTAGGGAGGAGATAGTGCATGTGTGTGCATGTGTGTGTGTGTTTACTTTCTTTCTTATTTTATGTATTTATTTATTTTTTGAAATGGAGTCTCGCTCTGTCACCCAGGCTGGAGTGCAATGGCGTGATCTCAGATCACTGCAACCTCCGCCTCCTAGGTTCAAGAGATTCTTCTGCTTCAGCCTCCCGAATAGCTGGGATTACATGCGCCCACCACAAAGGCTGGCTAATTTTTGTATTTTTAGTAGAGAGGAGGTTTCACTATGTTGGCCAGGCTGGTCTTGAACTCCTGACCTCAAGTGATCCGCCCACCTCGATCTCCCACAGTACTGGGATTATAGCCGTTAGCCACAGTGCCTGGCTGTGTTTAATTTCTTTGTAATTTATTCTGTACTTATCACTGTGTTACTCAGCCAAACAATAGTGGACTCATTCTCAAATACAGTAATTTTGATTTATCTTACTTTTCACTATATTTATGAGGTTTAATTGCATGTATTTCAAAACCAAGTAGGATGTTAGGAGGTTGCAAAATAGGGGACATGAGTATTTGGAATTCATTTTCATGTTTTTTCTTCTCTCTGAAAATACTGTTTTTGGCATGTGACGCTATCTACCTATCACAGCCATATGTCCTCAGATTTTTAGCTGCTTCAGCTACAGATGGGTAGTAGTTGAAGAGATAATGAGTATAGAATTCCTGTTTTAGTTACTTCCTAGTGATGAAAGTAGAAGGAATGATACTCCAATCATTTGTGTTGACATTTGTAAAGATCTGGCATTTCGGGCACAGCCTCATTTACCTGTGGCATTCTTGGAGGCCTGTTCTTTGTTTCTGGGTGTCTTCCATCCCCACTGTTATTCCTTTAGTCTGTATTCACACATTCTCATACATATATAAGAGCTTGCCTCCATGACAGCATTTTCTTCTCTCTGTATTCCATGGTGCAGATGTCCACCCAAATTCTATAAACATAGTTTTCATTACACCACTTCTGAGTTTAAAAGCCTCCAGAGACTCCTGATGCCTGAAAAATCACCCTGTTCTCATTTGGTTTTTGAATATTTTTATTGAATATTTGATATCTGATATTTGATATCTGATAGGCATAATGTTAGGCACTGTGGAAAGAGGAAATTAAGGCAAATTCTTATTTTGCTAGTAAATGTATAATAAATCTACTGGAAAAGTTTGAACTTTAACCACCTTGATTATTTTTCAGCTATCTAATCAAACTTACTTTAAAATCTACTATTGCAAACCAACTTGAGCTTAGCTCTTTGCTTTACAAATACTCAGTATCCTGATTTTGATGCTTTAGCGTATGTTTTTCTGCACATCAAATGACTTCACAACCTGCATTCACTTGTTATGCCCATCCCAAGCTTATCTGTCTTACATAGTCCTTACTCTTCATAAGTCATTCCTGGAATGTGGTATCCAACACGTGTATCTTTCGTCCATGGGATTAGTAGTGATGATGACTCTATTAGCTATTTGTTGATGCATAACACATTTCATGAAACCAAATGACTTAAAACAACAGACATTTATTATACCAAAAATTTCTGTGGATCAGGAATATAAGCACAGGTTGTAACAAAAGTATCAACCAGAGCTGCCATCTCATCTAAAGACTTGACTGGGGAGGATCTGCTTCCAAGCTCACTCAACATACTCATTTGCAGAATTTACCTCCTCTTAATCTTTCATCAGAGGATTACATCAGTTCCTTGGCAACTGAACCTCACCATAGAGCATTTCACAGCCTGGCAACTGGTTTCTTCAAAGCAAGGCAAGTGAGAGGGCAAGAGAGAATGAAAGTAAGGGAGAACATGCTGGCCACATAGAAGTTATAGTCTTGTGTATCCCATCATATTCTATCAATTTTCCCATATATTTTTCAGTAGAAGCATGCCAGTGGATACAGCCAACTATCAAGAGGAGGGCTGTATATAAGGCCATAAATAACAAGATGTGTGAATCATTGGTAGCCACCTGTCATCTGTCACACTGGTGATGATAATGACAACAGCAACAACAATAACAAGAATTACAATGATAATTTATGTTTCTTGAGTATATTTCCCATTTAACTGATGAAAGAACTGAAAAACAGATTACATAACTTGCCAGAGGTCCTACTTGCAAAACCATGTAAAAGCCTGTCTCTAATGGACTATCACCCATCCAAATAAGCACAAAATATCTTGCAAATCATACATTAAGTAATTAACTATACACCACACTTATATTGTTTATTACAATATTTCATGTAAGCTAGTCTTGTTTTCCTGAGTATATAGCAATCTTTTGGAAAGAAGAAAATTACCCATATTTTTTCTATATGTATTGCATATATTCTTGACAATACTTAATGTAATATAAAAAAAAAATTCAATATATTTCCTGTAAACAGGATTTCTTGCATTGAACTAACATAATTAGTGACATTATAAGCATGGCAGACCGATATTGTACAATAGGATCCAGGTCTCAAAGAATATGACGTTGGGAAAAACCATAAGAAATGAAATGGAAGTAGACTGACAGTATTTTTAAAATTAATGTATTTTTAATTAAAAAAGTAATTGCTTGTATTTATGGGTACAGTGTGATCTGGAGGAAAACCTTTTAGTGATCTATTGCACCGTATGGTGACCACAGTTAGTAATAATGTATTCTATATTTCAAAATTGCTAAAAAAAATAGATTTTTAATGTTCTCACCACAAAAAATGGTAAGTAGCTGAGGTGATAAATAGGTAAATTAGCTTGATTTAATCTTTTGGCAGTATATACAGATATCAAAACATCACACTGTACCCCATAAATAGACTGATTGTATTTTTTAAAGTTTACTTCCATTTGTCTCTGTATAAAGAAATGTAGCTGCCCATAAAAAAAATAGTAAGTAATTATGGATATTTCTGGTATTTTCAGGTTTTTGAGTACCTGAGAAACCCTCATATTTGAAAAGATGCGGGACAAGCATTATTTTCAGGACCTGGTAGTGATAGAAGGATCTAAGAACTGCGTTCTTCCCTTCCTTTTTCCCTCTCCTATTTTCTCCCTCCCTCCCTCTCTCTCCCTTCATTCCTTCTTTCCTTCTTTCCTTCCTTTTTCCCTTTCCTTCCTTTCTTCCTCTTCCCCTCTTCCCTCTTCCCCTTCTCCCTCTTCCCCTCCTTCCTCTCGCCCTCCCTCCCTCCCTCCCTCCCTCTCTCTCTCTCTTTCTTTCTTTTTCTTTCTTTCTTTCTCTCTCTTTCTTTTCTTCCTTTCTCTCTCTCTCTCTGCCTCCCTCCTTCCCTCCCTCCATCCCTTCCTTCCTTCCTTCCTTCCTCCGTTCCTTCCAGAATAATCACCTTGTTTCTAACCCTGTGCTTAGCAGTGAGGATTCAAAACTAAAACATATAATTCCTAATTACAGTATGCTCATACTAATAGGATAACGACTGCATAAATTGAAAATTACTAATCCATAAAGATGTACTATAAGAGCAGGCAGTGTTCTATATGGATTGTTGAAAAGAGTATAAAATCAAACCCTGAAGGGAAAAGGGTTGGAATTTCTAGGAGGAAACTCTTGCTAATTGATGGAGCTTGAAAGCTACAGTTTCTTCTTGTATTTCTTCAATAACAAATTTAGATTCAAATATAACCACAGAAAGAAGCATATTCAAATATAACCACAAAAAATAGTGAAAGAAAATATTATTGATGCTTGCATAAAGAATAAAATTAAACTACCCAGTCTCACTACTCTTCAGCAACCCTCTTCCCAGTACTAAAGGTGTTAAAATGTACCTCCATATGCTATCAACTATAATAATAGACAACTAGTGAATGCATTCGCTGCATGGTTTGTATCCTAGCTTTGCATCCCTCCTGAATGTGAAAGGCATTTGGAGTGGGGTGAGGTGGAATGAAGAACAAGAACTTTCAGGAAGTCTACCCTGGGAAACTTGGGCACATATGTTGAGTGATTGCTGGAGCTATTGTAAGTATGTAACACATGTTTTTTAAGCACTTACTATGTGCTGGGAAGAAGACCTGGAGGTTGTGAAGACTCAGCTCTTGCTCTTAAAATGTTGATACGTTTTTGGACTAGGTAAGCAAGTAAAAAGGGCAACTAACATACTGTACAATGTGATACATGCAGAAGGGTAAAGAGGAGCATTATGAGAGTGCACAGGAAAGCACCGAACCCATTATTAGCTTCTATGTCTCCTTCATTTATTCCCCATGGGGAGAGCTATGAACATTCTAAAGGGATATCTTTACAAATAGCAATTTAAGGAGGAGGATCTTAGCATTTATTTTTTTCTCTTCAAAAGTACCCCTGATATTCATTCTAAATGGAATTACTTAATGCCCTTTAAATTGGTCTTCTTTCTTTCACTTTTGTGCATTTCTCCTACAGCCTGTTTTCTACAAAACAAGCCAAACTTTTTAAAATGTAAATCAAATTGTGTGACTTTCATGCAAATGTTTAAAATTCTCTAAGGCTTGCACATTGTAGCTGGAATCTTTACCTTGGCCTGTGAGACTCCAGAATCTGGGGCCTTTCTGTTTCTCTAACCTCATCCTCTCTATTTTCCCTTCCAGCCTCATCAACTTCTTTTTGTCCTTTGACCATAACAAACTCATATCCACATAACATTTTTACTTGCTGTTCAATTTGCCTAAAAATGTTCTTCTGTTGTGCTGTTGGATGGCAAGCTGCTTGTCACCATTGAAATATCAACTCCTGTAATCCCAGCTCTTTGGGACGCTGAGGCGGGTGGATCACCTGAGATCAGGAGTTCAAGACCAGCCTGGCCAATATGGTGAAACCCCATCTCTACTAAAAATACAAAAAAAATTAGCTGGGCATGGTGGCAGGCACCTGTAGTCCCAGCTACTTGGGAGGCTGAGGCAGGAGAATCCCTTGAACTCGGGAGGTGGAGGTTGCAGTGAGCCAAGATAGCGCCACTGCACTCCAGCCTGGGCGACAGACAGAGCCTCTGTCTCAATAAAACAAAACAAAAAAGAAATATCAACTAAAACGCTGCTTTATTCTTTGAGCTATAGCTGAAAGGAAAACAAACTGAAACAAAATAAAAATAAAATGCTGCTTCATCAGAGAGGGCTTTCCTGACCATCTTATCCGAAGTACCTTTTCTCACTTCCCATCTATCTTCTTTTTTCATTGCTTTGTTCCACTTAGTTCATTAGAACTTTTTAGAGACTAAAGGATAATCATCTTTATTGCCTCCCTGCACTTGGCAGTAAGACCATGATAATATGGACCTTATTTATTATTTTTTTAATACCTGCATACTGGCTCAAGATTAGTCCTAGACATAGTGAAGCTTAACCTATGTTTAGCAAATGAATAAACAATGATTTCAAGTGCAATATAGCATATTCGATCGTATTAAGACTGCTTAGTCGGCCGGGCGCGGTGGCTCACGCCTGTAATCCCAGCACTTTGGGAGGCCGAGGCGGGCGGATCACGAGGTCAGGAGATCGAGACCATCCCGGCTAAAACGGTGAAACCCCGTCTCTACTAAAAATACAAAAAATTAGCCGGGCGTAGTGGCGGGCGCCTGTAGTCCCAGCTACTTGGGAGGCTGAGGCAGGAGAATGGCGTGAACCCGGGAGGCGGAGCTTGCAGTGAGCCGAGATCCCGCCACTGCACTCCAGCCTGGGCGACAGAGCGAGACTCCGTCTCAAAAAAAAAAAAAAAAAAAAAAAAAAAAAAAAAAAAAAAAGACTGCTTAGTCAATCTGTAATAATTCTGGGGAGTTCAGTGAATAAGTAACCTTGAGCAATTTTTCGAATCCTCTGTTGACCTCAGTTTTATATCCGTACAACAGAGGTAATGATTGTACTTGTCTCATAGACCTGTTACCAGGATTGAGTAGGTTAATGTATGTCTAGCTCATAAACTACACACACAAGATGTTATCTAACCTGCCTAAAGAAGGTCTTACAACCTATTAAGATACTACAACCACACATAAAATTATTCAGTGCCCTAAGATTTCTCTCCCAGTGTTTGGTTGTTTTTCTAAAACAGATTTTGTAAGTAAATTAAATAAGATTCTATTTGATGCTCCAAACTTATGTACACTGGGTTAGTAATTTACAACCTCTGTTTCTGAGTACTCTTTTGGACCTGTGATATAATCCTGCAGCTGAAAGGTCTTAGTGAATAGATGCTATGGAGAAAGGCCAGGTCACATTTTAAACACCAAACCAAATTAACCAAAATTAATAAGTCAAACCTTATATCTATTATGATTAAATGCAATTACTGTTATGTAAGTGAAAATGTGTTAACAGTAGTTATGCTGCTGATTTCTTAACAGTAATCTTGACCTTTCACATTAGGTATTTGCATTCACTTGTATTAGGCTCTAGCAATTGAATATGGTTGGGGATATTGCACTTGTTGCATCATTTGGAATGTGAGACAAGACAAATTTAAGGGCTGCACCTGCTATGAAATCTTTAGTCACCACTGACGCTAAACTGATTTGGTTTCAATATCACAGCTGCATTTCTATTTATGTAAATATTTAAATATTTTAATTAAGGAAGGGACAAGGCTTATGTAAGGTGAACCATGTATGCTGTTTTATTTACTATTTATATATTATTACATTTCTTTGTATCTCAGGATCCTAAATTATAAAATAAGTGGATATGACTTGATTCTTAGATTCTTCCAGTTCTGAAATTCTCTAGAGCCATTAAAATATGGAGAAAAACATTGGCTACAATCATAATTGATGGACTGATGACAGTAATTTTATACAGAGGGTGCATTCAAATTCTCAAATCAATGCTAATGACTCAATAGATAAGACAGATAATTGATATGACGAAATAAGTCATGCAAACATGACTAGAATTCAAACACAGTAATATGGTACCATTTTCTGAATGATGAACATTTAAAAAATATAGCAAATTCTAGTACTAAAAATTGATATGCTCATCAATTATTGATTACAGTGCAGTTACTAGTTATCTTTTGGAAAGAAATTTAAAGAATTTTCAAAATATTTTAATTTCAGGGAAAAACTACAAGCTCCAACTAGCATGAGAAAAGAAAGTGGGATGATCATGGGTAGTTATTAGAGTCATGAGGCTCCATGTCTTAGCTGTGCCTTCATATGTGTTGGGTTGATGCTCAGGCTGACCCTCTTTATGGGCTTCATTGTTTTAATTTATATTGTTATTTGTCTGTAGTGTCACAGATTTACTGTGAGTACATATGTATTAGTCTATTCTCATGCTGCTTGAAGAAATGCCCAAGACTGAGTAATTTATAAAGAAAAAAAGCTTAATTCACTCACAGTTCCACATGGCTAGGGAGGCCTCAGGAAACTTACAATCATGGCAGAAGGGCCTTCTTCACAGGGTGGCAGGAGAGAGAATGAGTGCTGAGTGAAGGAGAAAACACCTTATAAAATCATCAGATCTCGTGAGAACTCATTCGCTATCACAAGAACAGCATGTTGGAAATCACCCTCATGATTCAATTATCTCCACCTAGTTCTGCCCTTGACATGTGGGATTATTACTATTCAAGTTGAGATTTGGGTGGGGGCACAGAGCCAAACCATATCAACATATGTGTTTGATATAGGTCTCATGGCTACACTTAAAGCATCACTGTGGCCATGCAATATGAGACTCTGACAGGCTAGGTCTAGATCATGAGTCAATATTTGGATCTGAGTGACAGAACTGTTCATTCATTCATTCATTCTCCTTTCAAGAATGTATTTAACATCTATTTATTGTGCACCAACAATATGTTGGGCACTGTCCTGGGTGCTGAAATATAGACATGTGCAAATCAGTCTTTCTTGTCAATTACACCACATGCCAGTGGGGAAGGAAAGAAAATAAACAAACACCAACTGTGTTGGGTGGTAATAATTGCTGTAAAAAAATTCCACTACTAGGTATATATCCAAAGGGAAGAAAATTAGTCTGTCAAAAAGCTATCTTATTGCAGCACTATTCAAAATAGACAAGATATAGAATCAAGCTAAGTATCTGTCAACAGATACTGTCAACAAATAAATACCTCATGGCCTCACTTATATATGGAAGCTAAATGTTTTATCACATAGAGGTAGAGAGTAGAATAGTGCTCACTAGAGGCTTAGAAAGATAGGGAGGAGTGGAGACAGGAAGAAGTTGGTTAATAAATACAGAAATCCAGCTAGATAGGAGTAATGTGTTCTAGTGTTTTATAATACTGGAGGGTGACTATAGTTCACAATAATTTATTGTATATTTTCAAATAGAAGATTTTCAATGTTTCCAAAATGGAAAAAATATCATAAATGTTTGAGGTGATGGATATGCTAACTACCCAGGTTTGATCATTATACATTGTACACACATATTGAAATACCACTTTGTACTCCATAAATAGGTACAGTTATTATGTCAATTTAAAAAATAAATGCTTAGCACATTTTTAAAAATTAGGGAGGCTAATGGGATAAGAGGGTTTGTCCATCCATCCGTTTGTTTGTTTGTTTGTTTGTTTGTTTGTTTGTTTTAGATAGAATGGTTAATATAGTCCTCCCTGAAAAGGAGATATTTGAACAAATACCTCAGTCATGTGAGGGAGTGAGCCATGTGGTTATGAACATAAGAGTGTCCCAGAATGAAGAGACAGTAAGTTCAAGGGCCTTGAGATGGGAATGTGCTTGAGATGGGGTATTTGAGCACCTGCAAGGGGCTGGGATGGGGACATAGCATGGCGGGAGCAGAGCTGGTGGATTAGAGTGAGAGAGCATGAGGTCAGAGAGGCACCTGGACACAGTTCTCTAGGCAAGTCTTGAAGGTTATTTTAAGGGCTCTACAGTTCATTCTTAGTGAATGGGGACATCTTTAGCAGATACTGTTATAACTTATGGTTTTAGACTAAGAATCAGCTAAAAGTGTTTCCAGAAGAAAAATTTAAGTGCTAAAAGAGGAAAAGTGAATATTGGGAAAGAATATAAAAGTCATTGAAATTCCCAACTTTTGATTCACTAATAAATGTGAACTTATTTTAACTACATGTGATATGAAAAAAATTTGATAACTGCAGCCTAATTTTAAAGATCTAGGAAAAATATTGACACGTAAAAAATCAATTAGTTAAATTATTCGGTCTATACCCATAGGCATTTTCTATTTGTTGGAGTTTAACTAGTTTTCTAGAATCTTCTGATATCTATAATAGCACAGTTGTTCTAAAGTTTATAAAGCTACCTCCCAAATTGTATTATTTTGGAGGAGTTTATGTAGATTGGACTACTCTAAATACAATTTTTGTCTGCTCAGGATTCTTTCCCATCTTCATTTGGAAATACCTTTTCCATTACATAAAATTTTGGTAGGAATTTCAGTCAAAGTTCTATAACATAATCTCTTATCCCTTCTACCCCTACCATTATAAGGATGTATGTGTTATGTAGACTAGGCCACAGATAATACCACATCTTCCTGCATTTTTAAGAGGCATCACCCCAAGGGAGACTTCCTGTCTTCAAATTTCTGCTGGAAATAAAAAAGACTAACCTTTGGATTTTAAGTTTGTAGAAAATTGTGTTAAAACTGTTATAATGAATAAATCCAGTCTATGTAACAGAAAAGCACATAATGAGATCAACACATACAGGATGCAGGGCTGAGAAATTAAGAAGGAGGAAAAGAGAGAGCAGGTAACATGATGACATAATTTGATCGAACTGAATCTGAAGATAGTTTGTCCTTGGACTTTTGGTTATGTAGGCAAGACTTTTTTCCTTTCCTATGGTTTAACATGGCTGAATTTGGATCTCTCACTTGCAACTGAACGAATCTTGACTAATACAGAGCAATAAAAGACAAACTGTAGAATGTATGGGAAGGTAGTTTCCAAAGCTGGAGAATAATACATCAGTTGTTCCTAAGAGAAAGGGCCTCTGAGAAACAGAACTTTAGCAAGAGTAACAAGTTTTTTTCTCAACCAGTGTCTGTGTTTAGTAAATACTGGTGAATTGTCCAAACTATACCCAGGTCAACTCTAGAGACATTAATAAGAAAACTCTTTGTTTGAAAGTTTGGGAACAGACTCTTTAGGGTTATGAAATGGAACTGATGGATTATTTCATTAGAGTGTGAGCTATCAAATCTTGATGATGTCTTGGAGGCAGGACAGCCAATAGTGACAATTGGAAGGTGAAATGAAGGTGAGTGAAGACTGAACTCTCAAGAATGGGGTAGGACAAATGATGGACATCCCAAAATAATTCTTTAGGACTTTACAAAGAAGGAGTAAATGGCCTATTCCTTGTTGGTAGTAGGGTTTTGTGAGGTCTCAGACCAGGAATATGAATAAATAATATCTAAGAAAAAAATTGGGCCATGCGTGGTTGCTCGTGGCTGTAATCCCAGCACTTTCGGAGGCCAAAGTGGGCAGATCACAAGGTCAGGAGTTCGAGACAAGCCCGGCCAATGTGGTGAAACCCCATGTCTACTAAAAATACAAAAATTAGCTGGGTGTGTTGGCGCATGTCTGTAATCCCACCTACTCAGGAGGCTGAGGCATAAGAATCACTTGAACCCAGGAGGCGGAGGTTGCAGTGAGCCAAGATCGTGCCATTGCACTCCAGCCTGGCAACAGAGAGAGACTCCGTCTCAAAAAAGAAAAGAAAAGAAAAGAACAAAATTGGGCGATAGAGTGATAGGAGAGATGAGCGAGTAAGAAAAGGTCATAAGAAAGACAATTTTATTTAGAAGGGAGGATGTATGACAAAATAAATACATAAAATAATAATATATTTTGAAAAAAATAATGGAACAGCTCAAAGAAGGGAAATGGCAAGCTGAGTGGGAAGAAGAGAGAGAGAAAGAGAGAACAAAGTAAAAGTTGCTTTGATAGAGGCAAATTTCCACATTTTAAAAAGTGTTTAAATATTTAGAAACCTCATTATATTATTTTCTCCTTGTCTGACATCTAGGTGCAATTATGGTTTGCGCTATACCAGCAGTTGAAATAAAGAAAACAACAGCAAAAATTTCAGATCAACATTTTTTTTTAGAATGAGTGTTTCTCTTTGTTTCAAACTTTGTCTTATAAACTAGAAATTCCATAAAAACATTTAGCATCTACTATCCAAAGTGGTTTGGTAGTCCTGTCCATAAGACATTAATTTAATAAACCAATTTTATATAATTGTTTTTTTAACTCTAGATTTTGACCTACTAATAACGTTTTGTTTTTTTTTCACAATAAAATTGCATTTTAAAATTCTTCATCTTCATCAGCTGTTTATCAGTGTTCCAGGTATTATTTTAAAACTAAGTTCTGATTTTTTTTCATCATAGAAACTTTAATTTGAAACACTAGACAACTTATATTAATAGGTATGGGGCATATAATTCCCAATATTAAACTGCCTAAGTATTATGTTGTAATGATTTATAGCACATAAATAAATGCCATTTATGCTGCAAGAGAAGTTGGGTTATAAATTCTGTGCATTAATCTGTTTATTCTTGAATCCCAATTGCCTATATAGAAGTCTAGAAAGTTCTCAGTTTTTTTCATTAATGATTGAATGCATGCCATCTAATATTTTATTTTATATTTATGGAAACTGAGACCCCGGAAGTAAAACAATTAGCCCAATGTAATACTCTTTAGTGGCAAAGTAGTGATAAGGTTTTACATTTCTTGATTCTTGGTCCATTTCTCCTTTCACAATTGCCTTTTCTCACCTGGGTTAAGAAAAAGAGGAAGAAAAAAGACACCTAAGTCTATCCGAGTTAATGTTTCTTTAACAACAAAATATATATTTTAATTACGAAAAATTCTGAGACCATTTTGATGTTTCATCTATGTTATACCAAATGTTCAGATATTTTTAAATGCTAATTGGATAGATTTCACACGGAAGAAAACCAGAATTAAGTGTTTAATAAGCTCTTATAATCTATTTCAATTAGCTAATTTAGCAATGAAAATAATCTCAAAGGACTAGTTAATTGAAATGTTGTCGAAAATCCTATTTATCATTACTAAACACCTGTCGTAGTTTTAGTACTTCCCGTTAACTTCTCCAACAGTCTTTGCATTTTAATATGTTTTTGAGATTTAAATGTATATTTTGCCATGTTTATTTCCCCACCAGGATTTTAAGTGGCTTGAAAAGAGTCTGTCTTCACTGTCTTGACTAAACATTTGGAATCACTGCAATGATCTCTGGGCTGAACAAAAAAGTTTCTATCTGCAGTTAGATGAATGTTATTACTCCACAAAATACATTTTAAAATGTTTGGTTTTAGTCCATGTTTTTTTCATGACTGATTTGGAAATGTGGAAAGCCCCATAAGCCTTGATGACTGAGGCTGTTATTCTTAACACAGAGTTAGAACGTTGTAAACATGAAATTTTATACAATAATGGGGTTGAAATTGGAACCAAGAGAGGGTAGGAGCTTACTAGTTGGCTTGAATTAATGCTTTGCCTTAAGTAGGATGCAGAAATACCAATTCCAAGAATTTTATAAAGTAGGAAGAAAGGAAAGTATATGTGAAAATAAACATCAACTGCCATAAACCAGAGCCTCAAAGCAAAAAGCATAACATCAAAGTAGAGTGTGATTGGATTGGCAAGTTTACAATCTGTCTCAGTATTAAATAACATTCCCAGCTTCTGACCCAGTCCAACTCAGTGGTGAACCTTATGGCTTGACCTTTCAAGATTCTCACTTGTTATGATTTATTCTTGTTCAGTTATAGACTTGTTGCATAGAAACATCTCACAAGACAGTGTAGTTCATTTCTCAATTTCCCAGCAGAGATGCATCAGGGCAAACTCAAGCATTGGGGAAATCTAGCATGTTCATTCATTTCTTTAAGGAATTATATTCTGTTTCCCAAAACAGAGTCTGGAGAATGATGCTGATTTCCAGTAAAATTCCCTTTCGAAATTATTTTTATTTTTATTTTTTTTATATTTTTTGAGACAAGAGCCTCACTCTGTCACCCAGGCTGGAGTGCAATGGTACGATCTCGGCTCACTGCAACCTCTTCCTCCCAGGTTCAAGCGATTCTCCTGCCTCAGCCTCCCAAATAGCTAGGACTACAGGCATGCACCACCACACCTGGCTAATTTTTTGCGTTTTTAGTAGAGACAGGTTTCACCATGTTGACCAGGCTGGCCTTGAACTCCTGGCCTCAAGTAATCCACCCACCTCGGCCTCCCAAAGTGCTGGGATTACAGGCGTGAGCCACCGTGCCTAGCCTCTATTTTATTATTATTATTATTTGATTGTTGGTTGAAATTAAGAAAAACTGGTTACTGTATACTTCTTAATACTCAAAGAATTAAGGGACAGTGTTTTTCAAATTGTCTTATTCTCATAGGCCATTATAAAGGTCTTAGTTTTCTATCGCAGCTGTAGTAAATGACCACAAATTTACTAGCTTAAAACACAAATTTATTATCTTACAATTCTGTTAGGTTAGAAATTTGATGTGGTTCTCACTCTGAAACCATGATGTCAGTAAGGCTGCATTTCTTTCTGGAGCCTCTAAGAGTAAATCCATATCCTTTCCTTTTTCAGCTTCCAAAGGACATTCACATCTCTTGGCTCATAGCTTTCTTCTTCCCTCTTCAAAGCTATCAATGGCAAGTTGAGTCTTTTTCACATCATATCATTCTGACACTGACCCTCATATGCCTCTCTTTTCCACATTTAAGGATCCATTAGCACCATCTGGAAAATCCAGGACAATCTCCCTGTTTTAAGGAAATAAGCATCCTTAAAATTAGCAACCTTATTTTAATTCCCCTTTCCATGTAACATAATATAGTCACAGGTTCTGAGGTTTAGGATGTAGATACCTTTTCTTTGGTGGAGAGTGTATTATTCTGCCTTTAACAGATGATTCTAAAAAATGTTTGTTTCTGTTCTATCCTTATAGTGCTACACACACACACACACACACACACACACACACACACAAACCCATAACTTTAAGGAAAAAAATTAAAGTAAAAATATTCCCCATGCTTAGGTTTAGTCAATTTTAGAATATCAGTATTTTCACCTAAGAAAAGTTGATGATGTGAAGAAGTAGATGACAAGATGACCCAAGACCAAGAAGAGAAGGCAGTTAGAATACAAAAGTGTTGATTACAAGGGTTTCCCATTTATGTCATCACTTCATAAATTCCCACTGAATAAATTGTAACAAGATATTAGGAGAATCAACCAAATATGTTTTCTTCTTTAGACAAGGCAACTCAAAATGACAAACAATTTTGGTAGTGAAACATTATTTCTCTTATGACTTTCATAACTTCCCTCTAGTTCTCATAAGTGTAAAGTCTCCTGAATAAAGAAAATCTCTACCAAAGCTCTCCTCTTAAAAATATTTCATTCTCAAGAAAAGAAAATTTGTTTCTCAAAATGTGCTATTTTAAACTCACTAAAAAAAGAATAGTAACATTAATATAAAAATTTTGAACTTTATTAAAGTCTCTAAGGACTGCTGGCATGGGGCAGGTTTCTTTTGGCAGTATTTGTCATTTCCTGCCCTCCAGAAATAAGACACCTAAACATAAACACCCTCAGGATTTCTCTTCATGTCCTACTGCCAACGATAATACCCTGTAAATGAGAGATACTGGCTGCTATAGAATATTTACATAGTAGAGAGTACTGCTTAAAAAATATCTGTTTATATGGGTCAGGAGATCCTTTTCTAAGAAAAATATAGCTTACAATGCAATATTTGAAGTATTAACTCTCTGCCATCATTCTTTTATATTCCAAATTGTTGTATGAAGATGAAGAGTCCAATATTTGACTAAATTTGGGCATGTTGTTCCCTTTTTATTTAGTTTGGCCTCAGCTTCTAATAAGCTTTTTTGAATTAAATATAATAGGTCAAAACGTAAATACTTGTGCATTAAGCACTACATGGGAATATCATGGCACAAAAAGTGCTGTCTAAATTTATATTCATTAGTATATTCTAGGTTGTGCTGAAATAACAATCAAAACAAGTTAGTGGCTTCACACCCCAGAGGTTTCTTTCTGAGTCATGCTAAGTTTTTGTGCATCCAAGTAACTCTCTCAGGCAGGTTTCCTCCAGGTAGAGATTTTGTTGACACACGAACCTTCAAATCCATAGTTCCACCATTAGAATATGAGTCTTCCTCCATGATTATCATAGAGGGAAAGAGTGCATGGAGACTCATATCAGCAATGAAATGCTTTAGCTGGGAAGTGACCCATGTCACTGCTGGTTGCTTCTGGACCAGAAACAGTTGCACATTGCTACCTGGATGGAAGGGTAACAAAGGCTAACCATTCCAGAAACCTGGAAAGGGAAGATAAATGCATATGTGTGAGTACTACGGGCTGTACCATAGCTGTCAAAGACAAATAAAACTAATTTATGTATGTTTTTGCAGTCTCTTTAAATTATATCATTTTTCACATAGAATAGAGTCACTATGTTTAAGGCAAATTTTCAGTCAGCCCATTGAATATAATATTTTTCCTTAAAAAGTCATAAACCATTCTGATGTGCTTTGCAGGAGTGTATTTCAATGTCATTTATAACCAATAAAGAGCGTTTTTGATTCAGTGAAGTAAAAGTTATCTATTCAGTTTCTATTTAATCTGTCAAAATAACAACCGGCAGTGACAAATATATATATAGTCTATATATAATAATTTTATGTGTGTATATATATGTATAATTTCTTCAGATTCATGATCCTGGTAGCTAGTATGGGCAAAAAAGCATAATGTTTTGTTGAAAACCATCTTTCACAAAGACAGTAAAGAATTTGAGCTTTCCAGATAGGATTTATGTTTATATCAAAACCTGCACATCTGTCATGAAAATAATTTATATAATTTTTTTTTCTAAAACCTCTCCTATGTTTAGACTTAAAATTATTTGTATAAAACAAAATAAATTGTCTTGGTTAGAAGACCTCAAACATCATTATTAAATTAAATTATAATACAGGTAATTTTTTTCTAATATTAAATTTACATGCCTTATATAAGAAGGTTAATTAAAATTATGTATTTTGTGGGAGGCCGAGGCAGGCAGATCACGAGGTCAGGAGATCGAGACCATCCTGGCTAACACGTTGAAACCCCATTTCTACTAAAAAAAAAAAAAAAAATACAAAAAAATTAGCCGGGCGTGGTGGTGGGCACCTGTAGTCCCAGCTACCTGGGAGACTGAGGCAGGAGAATGATGTGAACCCGGGAGGCAGAGCTTGCAGTGAGCTGAGATAGCACCACTGCACTACAGCCTGGGCGACAGAGTGAGACTCTGTCTCAAAAAAAAAAAAAAAATTATGTATTTTGATTTGCTCCCAGGGTTGGTTCTAATCCACTATATAATGACCATTGCCCTAAACTGTCACTTATGAAGTGCATATCACACATAGTTTTGCTCAGGACCAAAAGTCACTTATGCCCTGAATTTTGAGTTTTAAAAATGCCGGGTCATTTATTCTTTCTTCTGAGATGCATTTGCTCCAGACTTTTTCAAAATAATTTTTATTCACATATCATGTCCTTGGATCTATCTCCTGGGCGTGTATTCTGTTTGTAGAATATTGGGCTTAGTTCTTCATTTTCATCTGCTGTAAGCCTGTGGATGATATAAACCTGGGTATCTGGGAGCAGTTTCCTAGGAAACAGGAAGGGCAGCCCCTATCTTTGCAGCCTCTGTGTTCTGTGTTCTGTCCTCGTCACTTACCTGAGCCCTTAGCATTATTTCCTTTTATCCCCTCCTGTGTCTTCCTTCTTTAGGCTCAGCTCCAGACTCATGTTTATAGAGTAACAAGGTGAAACCCATGCTCTCTAGCTGGCCCCATTACTCTTCCAATGTTCACCTCCCTGATTATCACTCCTCCCGAGTTATGTGTTTCCTAATACCAGATAGAGTTTGGGGCTTGAGAAAATGCTATCAGATTTTCATCTCTAGATTTATACTTTTCTATCTGATTAAAACAGCCATAGCAACTTGGTATACCTAAGTATTAGGACACAATCACAGAAGACTTGTTTCTGGTACCATGCATGTTTTGTAAACATTTTCAATTATCATCACCATAAAAAAATGAAGACTTATGGTAACAAAATACTTATTTGTCTTCTTAAGTGCTTGTTCATAATTTAGTTTAATGATGCTACACTTTCTTGTGCTCTCTCTAGGCCTCAAGGGCCATTTGTATTGATTTACCCATTTGGTTTGTTTCAGTAACAGCCACATAAAACACAGAGTGGAGAAAGCAAATTTTCTCATGTGGAAATTCACATTTATCGGTGTAATAGAACTTTTGATTCTGGGTGACATCTAGGAAAGTATTCTAATTCTGTAAATATAAATTTGGATGAACATAATAAAGAAAGGTAAACTTAACTTTCATGATTACTCATTTTACATTTTTAGAATTATACACACAAACACACATCAATTGATAATAAAGCTTGTTGAGTTATTTTGCCCTGGAAATCTAGGTTTCTTCAAAGTGTTATATTATGTCTGGTTAATATGTAAGACAGTGGAGTAAAAAATGAATTAAGACAAAACAAAGCAAATAGACATAAAAAAAAAGAGATGAGAAATCAGCTAATTGAAGTCACCCTCAGATTGTACCTCATTGTTTCTGGTATAAAGTCCCCTGAAAAAAATATTACTTTTATTTAGCACTGCAAAGTGATTTTTGTTATTATTTTTGATTATGATATTTATTAAAATGATCATATTTTTCTTTACACATAGCATCCTTAACTTAGTTAACTGTATAACTCAAATCCAAGAGAACTGGAATTTAAAATCACAGAGAGCCTGTCATTTAAGGTTCTCAAGCACTTCATTGCAACTTATTATCCATGACAGGTTTTTCATTACATTTTTGCGGGGTTGAAATATTAAAGCATTCATTTGGATACAGGTATCTAGTTGAAAAATGAATCCAACTATCAATCATGAATAATCCCCATAAGACTATTGCACTGCAAGGGGAGGATGGGGTCAGGAAATACTGTTCTGTGAAAATTTATAATACATTATGCATATATATTACATGTAGAAATGGTATGCACGCATGAGAAAAAAGAATCATTTCATGCTTATTTGCAAATGGTCAGAGAAACATTTGGGGTCACTTCAGATCATTAGGACCATTAACTGTGATTTGAATTAAGAAAATAGAATTTAATAATCTTTGATGATATGCCTGATATGTGCCAAGAACTGTGCTGGGAACACTGAAATGAATAAAATATGGTACCTTCATTTCGTGAGCCCAAAGTCTATTGGAAGAGACAGACACACAATGAGGACTCAATACTCTTTTGCCCTTGTGGAAACTGACAGAGCTCACCTTCCGTTACCAAATCAGTCTTCTGTGTGTCTCACCAACACAGCCAGCTGGTTTCCTTTGTTGCATTGATGTTCCTGAAAAGACCATGCTGGAGATTTCAGATACTTTTCCAAAAATGAGTTTCCAAAAAGTTTTTTTTACATTGGCAGCAAACTTGGATACACATATAAGTGAGATTACAATAAATATAGTTCATTTTGATGTGTACATTCTGTTAAGTTGACTTTTTAAAATTACCGGTCCTATTTGCTAGAAGCAGCATGGTCAAAAAAAAATTAAAAATTGAATAAGTAGATCTCAGTCATATTTTTATTCTAATAAAGATTTTCTGGGCAGTGCTGAAAATATTTTTTATATTTTTCCTTACTGATAGGCAAGAAAAGGTGCTTTATCTTTTCCTTTTTTTTTCAGTGTTAACGTATTATAATTAACCTATTTAAATATCTCCAAAAAAAGTTGGCAGAATTTCTCAAGTTGGGCACCAGAAAGAAATGCAGTCTCATCTAAGCCAAGGTTAGGTTACAAAGCCAAGAGTATCAGGCAAACATTGTATGGGGTCAGATCCCCCTTGAAAATTGTTTGGGATGGTTCCATGTTTCAGACAGTCATAAGATATCTAAAAGCCAACACCACTACATGTGTAACCATGGATATTCTGTAGTTCATTTCTTTCATTTTTATTCTGAAGTAGAATACATAGATATTTCTTTAGATGAGGAGAAATTAAGTAGTTGTCTTGAAGTTTAGTGTCTTGGTTTATGAAAAATATTTATCTTTAAACATTCAGAGTTCACCAAGAATAGCACCCAGGGAGAAATCAATTTAGAAGACATGCTCTGATCTCCATGTAAATCTCTTCTTGTCCTCCTTTTCCCTCTAGTCTCAGAGAAGGAAGCTGATCCACTTCTGCTTACGAAAATGATTTCCACTTCCGCTCAGACCTTGTTCCATCTCTCATCACTCTCTGTGGTTGAATTAGACTTTACATTTGTTATCCGCTGAATCCTTCCCTGAAGTCTATGAATATATGACTCCTCCAACAAAATGTATGATCTTGATTTCAGAATTTTTTATAAGAAAAAATCTCTAAAAAATTCATAGAAACAGGCTAATAACTGTGTCATTTATATCACAGAGAAAAGAAATGCCAATCCAAGGTTCTATATTCAGTAAAAATATCCTTAAGAATGAAGGGGAAATCAAGAGCTTTTCAGGTGAAGAAAAACCAAGAATTTTTTTTTTTTTTTGCCAGCAATTTAACCTTTAATAAATGGCTAACCAAAGTTCTCTAAATAGAATATAAATGATAACAGAAGAATACCTGAAACTCCAGAAAGGAAGGAAAACCATGGATATGTATAAAAATGGGAGTGGTTTTGTATTTCTTTAATTAGTTTATTAAATCACATTTCATGGTTGGGGCCAAAACTGTAACACCATCTTACATGGTACTCAATGGATATATAGGAAATACTTAAGACAAACAACTATATTTTAAAAAGTAGAGAGGGCAAAAGGAAATAAATGAAAGTTTTCTACACTTCACTTGAGTGATAAGACATCAGTGCCAATGAACTATGATAGGTTACACATGTATATTGTAATTTCTAGACAAGTCACCAAGAGAACTATACAAAGTTACATACTCAAAAACACTGTAGATTCATAGGAAGAATTTCTAAAACATGTTCAAGAAACCAACAGGTAGGCAAGAAAAGAGAAACAAATAAATCAGAAACAGAAAATAAATAATAAAATGACAGATCTAAGCCTTAATATATCCACAATTTCCTTAAATGTAAATGGTTTAAATACACCAATTAAAAGATAAAGTACATTTCAGATCAAAGAAAATGGCTAGAGACAAAGAAGGACATTACATAGTGTTAAAATGACCAATCTGCCAGGAATTTGTAGGAATTCTAAACATGTCTGCATCAAGTAACAGCATAGACTGCCAGGCAAAATCATTGTTACCAAAAAAGAAAAAAAGTTATAGAAATTATTAATAAAATTTATACTATGCCCTGAAGAGTCAAGAATGTTAATATGGCAGCTGGCATTGTATCTAAAAGTAGAAGAAGGCTTGAAGCACCTGAATGAGAATCCTCTGGGTGCTTTGCAAAAGTGAAAATAGTTCACCCAGGAGCAATAGACCTTGAATGGGAGAGCTAGGAGTAGAGCCCTGGAATTCACAATTTGAACGGGCTCCCAGATAATCCTTTTTGCAGCCTAAAGTTTGAATTCTGAGAGTTAAGAATCATGCATTTGGCGTGATTGCAGCACAGGACTTATCATCCATGAAGGAACAGTTGGTACTAAAGAAAAAACAATCAGTGTATTTGTGACTAAGGTAGAGGGAGGGTAGGGCCTTAGTTATGGTTCTAGTTGAAACTGATAATATTTTTGTTCACAATCAATACATTTATTGCCAGAGTGTGGGACAGAGCAAATGAGTGAGTGAAGAAAGGCAGAAAGAGAAGAGAAGCATTTTACCAGGAGCCTCAGGGGCAGATTGGAATGGGCGGGTTGCTTCATGGAGAGACCACCCATGACTGAGGGAAGGAGGGAAATCAGAGATAAGCAGGTGTCCCATTGCTTTGCTTCTGTAGTTCTCTGTGATCAAGCAGGCTATTAATGCAAATAGTGCAGTTGGCTCTGACTCAGTAAGGCAGCAAGAGAGCAGAGTGGTTTCACTTGTAAGGTCAGTAGTGTTGGAAGTCCTAGTAAATATTATCCTTGTGAACATCACCAGTCACAGGTGACCACAGCAGGCATGACAGAATAGGGGACCACTTTTAGCAGAGAAACAGAGAAAATAACTGCCCATTTTCTATACTGTAAGAAGATAGCCTTACTTCTTAAAGTCTGTAGGCAGTTAGTTTGTGGGATCCAAAGTTCAACGTGATGTAAGTGGGATTAGGACCATTGAAATTTGGGTACCTTGTTAATGTGAGCCCTGTTTATTGCCTGAGATAACCATCTAGTTATCAAATGACTGAAAAAATGAATTCTAAACCCAAGAAAAATGATGTGTGCACTTACAGTGTACCTTGTAGAACCCAGCACTATAGTTTGAATAATTGCACTTTCCAAAATTCAACAAATTAAGTCTGCCATGTGTCATGGAAGGTTAATTCTTTTTAATAAATAAGCAAAAGAACATCTGTATTTTTAGAACACGTAAAGGTACTGAAGGAGTCTTGGCTGTTTTACAAAATAGTCTGAAGTTAAAAAAAGAAACACTGAAAACAATAATAAAAATATGTTCTTCAAGCTATTTTCACATTCTCATTGAGCAAAAACAGTAAGTTTAGTAAAAGTCCCAAGAAATGGTGTAAAAGGGAAGTTGTTCAAACCTCTGTAGCTCTACTCAGTTGGGGAATTATTGGAAAGGCCTTGAGTTGCAGTAGACTGGCTTGTGTCCAGTGGTATAAAGCACACAGTCCAGGAATGACATCCAAAATGACAGAGAGTTACCATCTTTAGTATAAACCTCAGGACGCAAAGAGATGCCCAGCGATGGAGACATTTTGGGTTGTTCGGCTCCAACAAGTCTTGACTGTCAGGCATCTATCAGAATGTGAAGTTTCTTATTGCTTTATGCAGGATTAGGAAACAATTTTAGGACCTGTAGAACTAACATGTAAGAATATTTAAAATATAGAGAAAGGACATTCTCAATATAGTAAACTTTGTGGAACAATCCCAGGCAGGTCTGGGTAAAATGCTTAGTTTGTAAAATTAAGCTGAGTTTATTAATTCACAAAATGTCTTAAGTCTGTTGGGACAAAGTAAAATATTAGGTGGTTTATAAATGAAAAATATTTATTTCTCACAGTCCTGGAGGCCAGGAAGTAAAAGATAAAGGTGGTGGCAGAGTTGATATGTCTGTTGAGACCCATTCCTCAAGGACAGCAACTTCTTGCAACATCTTTATAAACATTTATATTTATTGATACATAAATATAAGTCTATTTAATTTTATCTTTACATTTTTGTTTTGTGTTTGCCTGTGTGTGTGTATGTGTGTGTATTTGTTTGGCTTACCTAGTTACATATATGTACTTTTTAAGAAAAAGTCCAACATGTCTAACTGGCTTTTACATTCCACTAATGTCATGTCTCTTTTACATTTCACTAATGTCATGATAGAAAGGGCCAATGCAATGAGCTCCCTTGGGCCTCTTTTATAAAGGCACTAATCCCATTCATTAGGGCTCTGACATATGACATAATCACCTTCCAAAAAAGCCTACCTCTTAATACTATCACCTGGGAGGTTAGTATTTCAACATGAATTTTGAGGGGACACAAACATAAATACCCTAGCCCAAGACATAAGGGCAAAGTTGTACATATAGAAGTAATAAAATTATTCTTCTAGTGAAGTGACATGTAGGCAGTGCTCTCCATGCTCAAAAATAAGAACACAGTAACCATGTATTTAATAAGTAGATGGTTTGTGGACGAACACCCCAAGAGTACGGAGCTTCCTCCCCTAAATACAATTGCACAATGACCTACATAAGCTCTGGAAGTTCTGTTGAGTTACCTTTAGAAGACATATTTGAAATAAGAAAATGTTGCCCCCAAAATCAGCTGCCTAAAGAGTGAAATCATAATTTCAAAACAGAGTTAAAGAAGACATCAAGAGCTGAGGAGCACAACTGAAGACAGCTTATTTCTTGCTCGAGCCCATGCTCAATTTGAACAGATTTCCTGGGCAGCCACTGATTCAGAGATCTGGACTCTTATCAACATATGTCTCCACCATCTTGGAATCCTTTGCTTCCGGCCACATAGTCTGAGGAGAGATAGCATGGAAGATTGTGCAGGATGCTTTATGACCAGGTCTGGCCTGAGAGAAACAAATACTACCTCTTGTTATATTCCAGGAGCTAGATGCAGGAGGACTATGAAATGTCGCATTGTGTGCAAAATAGTGAAATGGATGCTGGCTACATAATTATTATAGTCTGTATTTCATAGGTTTGTATTGGTAAAGTCATCTCAAACTGTGAATTTAATGACAGATAGCTTAATAAAAACAGTTATAAAGCATGAGCAAAGGGGAAAAACTTCTTTTACCAAAAGAGACATGGCATTAGTGGAATGTAAAAGCCAGTTAGACATGTTGGACTTTTTCTTAAAAAGTACATATATGTAACTAGGTAAGCCAAACAAATACACACACATACACACACACACACGCAAACACAAAACAAAAATGTAAAGATAAAATTAAATAGACTTATATTTATGTATCAAAAGCATGGTGTGTGCAAATGATTTATTGCATCTGGGGTCTGTAGTTTAGAGATAAATCCTCAAATTCCCTAGCAGAGCATCAAGTTTCTTCAGGCATGCTAGATGGCATCTCTTACACCAAATTTCAAATCAAAGGAAACTTACTTTTAACTTTTTTATTTTTGGTGGACTCATAATAATTAAACATATTTATGGGGTTCAGAGTGGTATTTCAATACATGTATATGTGTTGAGATGTGTAATGTGTAATGTTCAAATAAGAATAATTAGCATATCCATCACCTCAAACATTTGTCATTTCTTTGTATTGGGAACATTCAAAATCCTCTCTTCCAGCTTTTTGAACATATACAATAAATTGTTGTTAACTATATATACTCTACAGCACTATAGAGCACTAGGACTGATATCATACTTAATACTTTAGCTCATATGGAGGATATACTTAAAATTCCAAAGAATATATGTTCATTCAGTCTTCAAAAGTATCCAAAATCATTTATTTGAATACAAAAGCCATCCTATGTGATAGGCCTTAGTAAGAATAGAGATCGATGGTGCATTTTTCTCTCTCAAAGTTACATAATAAATACCTCTTTTAGAATTGTATGTAAAGGGTTGTGCCTAGTAATGTAGGTGAACTCCACCCAGAGCTCGTGGCCTTACTTGGAATGAGAGGTAGGTTTGGAAGCCTGCTAGAAGAGAAAAGGATCATTTATTTGCCGGCATAAACATATATTCATTTAGTGTGTTTGTGTATAGACTACCTCTATCCCCACCTCCAAAGAGAAGATCAAACACAACAGATTGCATGTTTTACAAAACCACACACATCTAAATCCATTTTTACTAGCAGTGGGTTAAATTTACTTTGCCTTAATGTGTAACGCATTATCTGATTCATTTCAGTGACTGATCCATCCAGCCTCCATATCAGATTTATAGGAATATAGAGGAAATACTTAGAGTGAATCAATTTAAATGCGATGTTGAAGAAAAAGCGACCTTTGTGTGAAATCCAGATTTTATGAATGTGCTTTGTTTCATGTGAGCAGAAACATCAATGATACGTATAACATTAGCATAAGGAGTCACACAGAACATTAAAAGCTTTAACAGGAAGAGCGCTTGAAATAATTTAGTGCTGATAAACAGCACTGCAGGCAAGGTTTTGGCAATTTGTGATAAACCACAACATTTTAAAAGACTCACAGAAATCTTTCTAAATGTGCATTACACTGGAGTCACAGTGAGTTCATGGGGGTTCTCAGAAGAGTATTTTCAGAGCTGGACATTTTGCCATGGTTAACAAGAAAGTCGTTTCAGTAAACAGTGGGAAGTCTGCACACTTTAACAATGTTCCTATTCTGGATGCTGGCAAACCAAGACAGGTAGTAACAGCTCAGTCAATCAATGTTATGATTCTTGATCATGGCAAACTATCACAGATAGTAATGCTTTTTAAAAACTAAAAGTAGGGAGAAGTTTAGTTTAAAAAAATAGTAAAAGTTCTTAAATGCCAGGTAAGTTGATACAATTTTCTTACTAATTTTGTTTTTCTATACACTATCTTTTGCCACTTACCCTGGGCATTTGCAAGACAAGACACATTTTGATTCTATTACAGTCTCTATAAAAAAATTCATAAAATAATTAATTTCCTAGAATAATTTTTAAAAATGGTTAATGCCTTTAGAAAAATTCATGCGATGAAGGAAGCTATTAAATTTTTGTATAAGGAAGCCTCTGTACAAAGCTGACTACAATATCTGAACCCATAGTTACTGGGCAAGTAGTGAAGAATAATTCTTTTGAAATTTTATAACATAACAAAGTCTCTAATTTGTATAGTAGTTTAATTCTAACTAGAATAGGACAACACAAAAAAGAACAATTCATGACTTCTGGAAATAATTAGTAAAGGTATAATAATTTTGGAATTTTTTGCTTTAATTTTTTTTTGCATTAAATCTTTTTTGTGGGAAAGATAAGATAAAATTGATTGCATTGGGACTTTAGCGCATTTGGACTTGTATCTTTATTTATAGAAGTGGATATAATGACATCCTCTCTAGATATAATTTGAACAGTATGGAAAATTTGTAATTTATTGGAATTCCAGGAAGGCTGGGGAAAGACAATCAGCCAGTTGGCACTTATCCTCAAAGAGGAGAAGGGAACCGATCAAATAATCTAAATGATCATGCTTTCCAGGGATGATATAAAACAATGAAGGTTATTCACTGTTAGTACATCCCTGCAAAGACAGTGGAATATGAGTGTAATCCTAGAAAAAGAAGAAAAGAGTGCAAAATAGAGGAACCCAATTGTCAGAGAAATGCTGAGATGAACAGAATTGTCAAATGGGGTGTTCGTTCAGTGTTTTGCTCTGTAATGTGAATCCTTCTGCCTCCCTTGAATCTTTGGTACGATCCACTTTACTACTAAATGCTTTCGCATGGGCATGTTCTTTACGTTGAATGTAAAGTGCTAAGTCTGTTTTCGATGTTAGTATCAAGTGAGGAAGGAGGCTATGTATAAGATCACCCACATTTTGAGACATTATCCAAGGCTTTTAATTTACAATGCAGTGAAAATTCCATCTTTGATGAAGTATTCCCTTCCTATTTGAGCCAGGGTGCACCCTCATTGTCACCATCAAGCTGTCACTCTACGGATGCACAAAGATGGTTGCAATCAGGGAAATGATTCTGAGATCACTATTTCATTTTCTTCTTCTTGTGGTAAGAACACATACCATGAGCTTCACTCCTTAACATTTTAAGTGTACGGTACAGTATTGCTAATCATCAGTACCATGTTCTGTTCTGGGACTGCTCCACCCTTGACTCGTTGTTTCAGAGAGAAAGTAGGACAACTGTGGTATTGTGTGAGCATGTCTTAAAACATGTCTTATAAAATCACCAGCTAATAGTCAATGTTTAATTCAGTATTGACTGTTATCCAATATCATAAGATGAAATTCTTCCTAGAAGCAGAAGAGGCACCTATTATGGATTTGGAACTCATAATCCGCTTCACTTGATTAGACAGTATTTTCTGTAGTCTGAGTTGAAACGTGGAGTTGTCCATCAAATATGCATGGAAAACCCCATTTGACAATACTTGCCAGCAGTGACCAA
Source organism: Homo sapiens (assembly GCF_000001405.40). NCBI lineage: Eukaryota > Metazoa > Chordata > Mammalia > Primates > Hominidae > Homo > Homo sapiens. Next base: position 225,918,829 of record NC_000002.12, on the reverse strand, counting down.
AGCCATCTGCAAAGCATGAAATGGTTATTGTAAGACAGTACCACTAAAATCCTGCAGGAGAGACAGAGAAGCAATGGAGGTTAATACAATATTCACAGGCTCAGTCTTTAGGAATAATATGTGGACATGTGGCTGCAAATGCCTCTCTCTCTGTGGGGAATACCTACAAGCACACCTATGGTATGTGGTTATGCAGACAGCTGCTGTGATTTCTATCAAGTGATCACTAAATCATGACAGAGAAAAGAACTGCATGTGAGTTTATTCCTTACATCAGCAGAGGTTTATCGCGTGCCTTCTATGGCATACAATACTGTAATTGTAGGAGATATGGTAGTGAAAAAAAAAACAACAATGTCCATGGCCATATAGAGTTTTCATCTTATTCTTTTTTGTGTGTAATGCTGCAAAACAAGGTAGGTTGGCTGAAATTCTTTACTGAAGAAGCACCTTATGAAGAAGAACTTTATGGAGAAGCTCAGAAATTGTAGAAATTCAGAATTCGCTGAAGAGAGTTGAACTACTCTGTGAAAGCCTGCTCTTAGTGAATTAAATTTGAGACAAGAAAAGAAGGCAATAATACACTTAGTGTGTAGGACCAAATCTCTGAGGTTGAAAATTGGTTCAAACCTGGGGAACTAGAATAACTGGGTTAGGACTCATCTCCCAGATGCCACATTCTGATGAGAAACACTGGGGCAGCAGGACAATTCAGGTCTCTCACCTCTGTTCAGGCGTCTCCTGAGAATGCATCTGAAACTTTAGTTGAAAATGTTGACCATTAACTCATGTGGGGAGTGCGTAGGAAGGTGGGTTACAAACAGAAGAACTGGTACCACAAATAGAACATGTCTGTCGGGCGCCAGAGTGATTACAGCAAGATTACAGAAGAAGCAAACTATTGTCTAGCTGTCTATGGAGTGAGAATACTCACTCATTTGTTTTTATTCATTGTTTTGGTGGCAACGGTCTATGACTTGAGTCTCTTTGTATGAGTGAAGTCTGTCTTCCTCCAAAATTAAAGCCTGTAATTGAGGGAAACTAAGAGTGACTAGCCATTCTGCACTGAGAACAGAAAATTTTTGTGGACACCTGCACCCTTGAGGAGACAGAGACCCTTAGGGAGGGGAGGAAGTGAGCAGGTACCCAGCAAAGATGGATGCACTTGGACAATAGGGGACACCGGGGTGACTCTGACAATGAGGATGGAGGGAAATTAGTAGAAGATCCAGGCTCCAGATCCAGCTCCTAACAGCCCAAGTACATCAACAGATGCTGGATCAACAAAATGTAGTATATACTTAGAATATTATTTAGCCTTATAAAGAAATTGAATAGACTTTTGGTTCCAAAATGGCAGTGTAGTTGCAAGCTGGCTTTACTACTGACCCTCAAAGAAAACCTGTATATACTTACATATACACACACAGTGCTGACATTATCACCAGTAATATCCTAGAACTCAAGTATGAGAATGAGACAGTTTCTGAGGCCACAGAGAAGTAGAAGTAAAAAGACCTCAAGCAGACAATAAGAGAATCAGACTTCCATAGGGGCAATGCCCCTTCTCCCAATCTGCCTGGCTATAAGCAAATGGACAATTTCCCCCAACTCATGGTTTTACACTGGATAAAGTAAGATATAAGTAGACAATTAGCTTCCCCACCGTCTTGAGTTCCCTGGCAAAAGATTTATCTCTGTCTGAAGCCACAGGAAGATTGGGAATGTCTGAAGGGAGAAATACACCTGAGGACAGCCAGAGACAAAGGGGGACATGGTACTACCATTCCCATCCCTGAAAATTGTGCTCTGCAACTCGACTAAAGGAAACAACAAGTCAGAGTGGCTGTTCAGCAGCACCATGCTGTAAAAGGTTTGCTCCACTGGTGCCCTGGGCACAGACAAACAGCCAGCCTTCCCGCAGTAACTATGTATCACCTTTGGAACTTGCCTCATTCTTAACAGGCAGTACTCTGATTGTTTACTAGAGCTGAGGCAAACCTGGGCTTAAGGCACCATGTAGTCCTGAACAAGAGGCAATGACCTAGAGGGGGAAAAAAAAAGAAAGAAAAGAAAGAACATTAACAAGTAAATTACAACAAGTCTATAAGCAAACATATTCACTAAAACCCAAAGCAATCCAGACAGAGAAGACTGGAAGAAATAACAAATCATTTAATGCAAAGACATAGATGTACATTCCCAAAAAAAATGATCTCCTCAAATGGACAAAGCCAGGAACCAGTGACTGACCTTAACAAGGCAACCATATGCAAACTCTGACCAGAATTCAAAATAGAAGGAATTTTGGAAGAAACTCAGTGACCTTCAAGGTTACAGAAAAGCAATTCAGAACTTTATCAGAGAAATTTAACAAAGGCATTGCAATAATAAAAATAAAACCAAAATAAAATCAAACAAATCTTGGAATGGAGAAACATGCTTGTGGAACTAAAAAATTCAATAGAGGCTCTCAACAGCAAAATGAGTCAAGTGGGGAAAATAATTAGTGAGCTCAAAGACAGGCTATTTAAAAATAAATATTCAGGGGGAAAAAGAATGACAAGGAACAAAAATCACCCACAAGGTATAGAAAATTATCTCAAAAGATCAAATCTAAGAAGCACTGGTGTTCAAGATGGAGTTGAGCTAGAATATGGGGTAGAAAGTTTATCCTAAGAAATGATAACTTTCCTAAACTTAAATAAGAGATAAATATCCAGGCACAGGAAGGTTTGAGAAGACTAAACAAATTCCAGCCAAATAAGAATAACCCGAGACACATAGTACTCAAACTCTCAAAGGCCAAGGATAAATATAGGATCCTAAAAGCAGCAAGAGAAAAGATCCAAGTGACATATAAAGGGGGTCCAACTCATCTGGCAAAGATTTCTCAGTGGAAACCATACAGGACAAGAGGGAAAGGGACAACATTTTCGAAGTGCTGAAAGAAAAGGACGGTCATCCAAGTTACTGTGCCCATCCAAGCTACCTTTAAGTATGAAGGAGAGATAAAGTATATCCCAAAAAAAGAAAAGCTGAACAAATTTACCACCAGCAGACTCGTCGTATAAAAAATGCTAAAGGAATTCTTCTGTCGGAAATTAAAAAAAAAAAAAAACTAAGGTGAAAAGTGAAGATATTTGAAGTTATAAAGCCAATGGGTAAAATTAAGTACATGGACAAAACTAGATACTCTAATGCTAGATTTGTGGTGTTCAATCCACTCATAACTCTAGTATAAGGACCCAAACACAAATCAAAAACAATATTATCCACAGCAACCTAAGAAATAGGCAGTATAAGATTATGCACACTGAGAGAGCACAAAGTAAAAATGGATGGAGTTAAAGTGTAGAGTGAAAGTGAAAGATCTACAAAATACTGATGAAAGAAATTGAAGAGGACACAAAAAATAAAAAGATATTTCATGCTCATGGATTGGAAAAATTATATTGTTAAAATGACAGTTCTACTCAAAGCAATTTACAGATTCAATGCAATCTCTATCAAAATACCTATGTCATTTTTCATAGAAATAGGAAAAGTAATCCTAAAATTTATATGAAATCACAAAAGACCCAGAATAACCAAAGCAATCCTGAGCAAAAAGAACAAAGCTGGAGGTGTCACACTACCTAATTTCAAAATTTACTACAAAGCTCTAATAACCAAATGGGTCATCTTGGTACTGGCATAAAAACAGACAAATAGATCAGTGAAACTGAATAAAGAAACCCAGATATAAATCCATGCATTTATAGACAACATTTTCAACAAAAGTGTCAAGAACATATAACAGGGATAGGACAGTCCCTTCAGTAAATGATTCTGGGAAAACTGGATATCCATATGCAGAAGAATGAAACTAGACCCCTATCTCTCATTGTATACACAAATCAAATAAAAATAGATTAAACTATGAAACTATTAGAAGAAAACACTGTGTGAAATGCTCCAGAACATTGGTCTGGGCAAAGATTTTTTGTGTAGGATCTCAGAAGCACAGGCAACCAAAGCACAAATAGAGAAGTGGGATTACATCAAGCTAAACAGCAAAGGAAACAATCAACAAAGTGAAGAGATAATGCACAGAATAAAAGAAAATATTTGCAAGCTATGCATCTGACAAGGAATTAATAAACAGAATATATAAGGAGCTCAAACAAACAGATTTAAAAATCGGCAAAAGACATGAATTGACATTTCTCAAAAGAAGACTTACAAATAGCCAAATACATGAAAAATGTTCAACATCCTTAATCATCAGATAATTGCAAACCAAACCACGATGAGATATCATCTCACCCCAGTTTAAATGGCCTTTTATGAAAAAACAAACAAACAAAAAACAAAACAAAACAAAACAGAAAAACAGAGACTAACAGACAGTGGTGAGAATTTGAAGGGGAACCCGCATGCACTATTGCTAGAAGTGTAAATTAGCACAGCCACTACAGAAAACCATATAGAGATTTCTCAACAAATCAAAAGTACTACTACAATCCAATATACTGGTTATATATCTAAAAGAAAGGAACTTTATATATCAAACAGATACCTTCACTCTCATGTTTATTGCAGCACGATTCACAATAGCCAAAATATGGAATTAACCTAAGTGTCCATCAATGGTGAACAGATAAAATGTCGAATATATACATAATGGAATACTATTTAGCCATAAATAGAATGAAATCCAGTCACTTGCAACAACATGGATGGAACTGGAGGTCATTATATTAAGTAAAATAAGCCAAGGACAGAAAGACAAATACCACATTTTCATTCATATGTGGAAGATTAAAAAGTGAATCTAATGAAGATAGTAAATTGGTGGTTACCAGAGGCAAGGAAGGGTAATGGGGAAGGAAAAGCATGAAGGGATGCTGATCAATGGGTACAAATATACAATTTAGTAGAAGAAATAGGACCTAATATTCGATAGATCAGTGAGGTGACTACAATAATGTATTGTATATTTCAAAATGTCTTGAAGAGATTAATTTGAATGTTTCTAGCATAAAGACAATTATTTAAGGTAATTCATATCCCAATTACACTGATATTTTAAAATTACATAAATGTGTTAAATGATCACTTGTACCTCCAAAATATGTACATCTATTTTCCATCAAGTAAAAAATAAAAATAAACTAGAGCACTGATACACACCACAATGTTGATAAACCTTAAAAATATGATGGTAAATGGAAAGGCCAAACTCAAAAGGCCACCTATTGTATGTTTTTAGTTACATTAAATGTCCAGAATGGTTAACTCTATAGAGAAAGTAAGTAGATTAGTGGTTGTCAGAAACTAAGGGTCAGGGGAAAAAGGGGTGGAGGATGACTGCCTCATAAAGATGACAGAGTTTACTTTGGGAGTGATAAAAATGTTTTAGAATTAGATAGAACTGGCAGTTGCATAACATTGTAAATAGACTCAATGCCATTGAATTGTGCACTTTAAAATGGTTAATTGTGTGCTATGTAAATTTTTCTTAAAAAAATGTAGCTCATGTTTCAGATTACTGTCAAATCCTAATGCTACTGGGTCTCATCTGACGGCAACCTTACAGCTCTGAGTGTTCTCTCCCTGTCCCAAGCCCATAAAGGAAGACATAAGGCTTGGAGGAGATGAGACCCATTTGGGATCTTGTACTGCCCATGAGGAGATAGTGATGCAATCTCTTTGTGTGTATATAGACATGATTGATACCCATGAGAAGACCTGAGACACAGCAGAGTGTGAGCTAAGGGGCCTGAAGCTTCTACAGTGTGGGAGGCCTTCTTTAATAAATTTAAACAATATTTTGAATACAAAATTAGGAATCAATGTGAATATTTATTTAGAATAAGAAGATATCAGAAAATTGTACATTTTAGAATGCTGAAAAACCTACAATATAACAAAATCCACAAAAATAACACAATGAAAGACTTTTATACATAATTTGGCTGAACACAGCTTCATAAAAAAACTCAAAATATTATTTTCTGTAAAGAAATAGAGAAACTATTCACTACTGTGACTAAAAATATGTCTCTTTCTCTTAAAGAATTATTACTTTTGATAAAATCTGTGTATATTTTGGCTATAATTTATTCTCAGTACTAGAATAATTTCAATTGACTTCATTGCTTAACTTTATTACTTTTGTTTAAAATATCATTTTTTATAAGAAATTTCTTTCAACTCTTTAATCAATATATTTAAATTTGATAAAGATAGTACACACCATACAGATATAAGCCAAATTTGTGTATTTTTTTTAACTATCTCAATCATCCTTCCAAATTGGAAGGAGTACATCCAATGATGTACTCGAACTTTATTAAATATTGTGTTTCCAGTAAAAAAAAAAAGCATTGTGAATTTTTGATTGAATATACTGCCTTACTCATAATATTGCTGAAAGTAGAAATTTTTGCTCTCAATCAGGCTTTGATGAGAAACAAATTCCCTGATTGTAATTTTATATTTCTGATTTTGTGAAGAATTTTCAACAGCCTAGCTTCCAGCTCTATACATTTTAACTCATTTGCCTCTTCCCGCCTGCTTTTGGGACTGGGTTCCATGATTCCCATTCATAACACAATGCAGGCCTGGCTTTGTGTTCCCCCAGCAGGTGAGTGGGAATGGACAGCAGTGGGACTACTCCCAGAAACTGTCCCCAGCTAGCATACAGAAGTGACAGGGACCACATAAAAACATCCCACTAAATAGAAGTTAAAACATCCCTAACTCAGCTTCCCCTTAGCTGAATCTCCAAAATGCCATGACCAAACAAAAAGTAGAGGGAATTTGGAGTGGTAAGCAACAGTTTTCTTCAGTAAATATTAACAAAATATATGACTTTTGCAAAAATTGTATAAAAATAAGAACATGTGAACACACAGAGAGGGCTCATCCCAGATTCCTGGAAAATGTTCTGCAAGTGAGCAATTTTGAAGCTTATTCTTTATTTATTTCACAATAAACCTGACTGCAGTGGGAGGAATTCTGAGATAGTTTCTCCAAGACTCTCAGCCACTGGTGTACAACCCTTCTCCCAGTTAATTAGTATACTATTCTAGGTAACTGCTATGAAGCGATTTTGCAGATATCATTTAGGTCTTAATTCAGTGAACCTTGAGATAAGGGAGGTTATCCAGGTAAGCCTAAGCTAATTGCACCGGCCCTTTAAAATCCACATATTTTCTCTGACCAGGCACAGAAATGAAAGTCAGAGAGACATGCACTAGCTCACCTGGAAGAAGACAAACATAGGTTGTAAACTACCTGCGGGGCGTCACATGGTAAGGAACTAACAGCAACCTCTATTTGCTGCGAGTTGACTTCGGCCAACAACTAGAAGAAAAATGGGGATCTCCATCTTGTAGCTTCAGTGAAATCAATTCTGTTGACAATCAATGCGCTTGAAGTAGAAACTTGAGCTCAAATGAGACCATGGCCCCAAATCATATTTAAATTTCATCCCAGTGAAATTCTAAGAAGAAAATCTAGCCACACTACGCCCAAATTTCAGACCCACAGAAACTATGAGTAATAAATCTGTGCTATTTTAGGCTGCCAAGTTTGTGGTAATTTTTAAAATACCTTTCTTAGCAAGAATTAGGCATAGGAAGTAGGTTATAAGCTGGAGATATACAAACTCATACATGCAAAACCAGGGTGCGAGGGAAAGCGCAAAACGAGATGGAGAGGACTTTATTTACCACAAGTAAATTTGGTTTAGGGATAACTGGTGGGTGCATGGAGACTGGACCCACCTCCCCATGGATGTGAAAGCACCTCAGAATCACGAGTCAGGAGTGCTGGTCTTCAGAAGGCAGAGCATTGTGGGTACCCGGATTCTGTAAAGGCTTCTTTGAGCACAGCCAACACGGAAGTTTGAGGGGTACAAAAATAATGAACAAGTCAAATAGTGTTTTTTTCTGTGTGATTTGCACACAGACTCTCCAGGTTTCCTCCACAAAGTCTTTGCACAATCTATCAATTTAAGGGGATTTTGTTGCAAGTGAATACTCCGTGGTGAGAGTGAAGAGACATAAAATTGGTTTCAAGTTTGGGATGGGGCCAGTGCAGAGGAGCGTGAGAACCCCTTGTACCCAGGAATAATTAACATCCTTGCTCTTGGACAAGGATGTTCTAGGCATCAGCTAACTTCAATCATGACCCCAAATTGAGAGTACAAAAGAATTCTGAGTAAAATATTCATAACAAACACATGTACCTGTAGATGTTTGAAAAAGGACATGCTGTGAGATCAGAAGTGCCATCAGGGAAACAAGGTGGCATTTGCTTTGATGAATTCTCTAAGGTTCAGGGTTGGAACTCTGCTTTCATCTCAGAAGACTGATTTATGCAGCAGATGAAGAGGGTCTGTATCTCTGGGGAGAAGCAGGGGAGGGAACTACTCGGTAATCAAGCACCTGGAAATATATTTACACAACAATGTAAATTGACAATAAAAATATAATGTCAAGGGTACTGGTATATTTCTTTTTTTTTTTTTTTTTTTAGAAGGAGTCTCACACTGTCACCCAGACTGGAGTGCAGTGGTGCAATCTTAGCTCACTGCAACCTCCCTTTCCTGGGTTCAAGCGATTCTCCTGCCTCAGCCTCCCTAGTTGCTGAGATTACAGGCACTTGCCACCACGCCTGGCTAATTTTTTGTATTTTCAGTAGAGATGGGGTTTCACTATGTTGGTCAGGCTGGTCTAGACTCCTAACCTCGTGATCCACCCACCTAGCCCTCCCAAAGTGCTGAGATTACAGGCGTGAGCCACCACGCCTGGCCGGTCACTGGTATATTTCTATTGGAATGCCCAGCACCATTCTCTTCCCTTAAGTGTATTCACCCAAAAAGTTGAATATAAAAGGAAGTGGCCTTGATAAGCTTGGAATTAGAGCAAATGAAGTCATGGTAATGCTCCCAATGTTTAATAGCATCAGGATCTAACAGCCACATACTGCCGTCTTCATATCAGGGGTGCACCTGCCACTCTACCTGGAGTTGCATATTTCTATCCTAGAAAGTCCTTCTGCTACATTTTCTGGGTAAGTAGATATGCATTAGCACTGGGACTGCTTCTCAAATGTGATACTTTCCTCATTGTAATTGTGCTTCTAGTGAAGGATTTATCATATTATATTATTAAATGATATGCTCACTTAAATTATAAACTTTTTGAGGCAGGGGCCTACACTTAACAGTATTCATAACCCAGCAGCTAGCATAGTCTCTGACACATTCATAGATCCCCAGTAAATGATTGTGAATGAATAACCTAATAATGAATGACAGATGAACGAATGAAGTCTATGGGTGCTATTTTATAGACAGTCATCTTTTTTTTTCACTCATCTTTTCATTCTTCGTAGGGCTTGATATATTTCATTTTTTTCCTCTAATCAAATACTGAGATATTTGGCATCCATTCTATAAGGATTCTGTAGATGTGCTCAGTAACTTGTAATTTTAAAAGTAACTAAACATCTTTGTTGTAACATCTTTAAAGTGCTCTTTAAGTGTACGGTGTTAGCAGAGTTGCTTTCAACGTAGATCCACTCCAACCTAGCTTATCTTGGTTGTACACATACTGTTCTATATGCATATTTACAAAGGCACAGTTCAATTAGAAATTTATTTTTTAAATGCATAAAAGAAATACCAGTACTAATAGGGAATGTAAACCTTAAAGTAGCTCAAATTTTGAAAGTTAAAAAGTTGCTTTATCCTGGTTGTATCTTTGGAGGGCATTTGATACAACTTAAAGATAAGCAAAACAAAAAAACCTTACAAAAATAATTCATTGCTCTTTTGTCAGTTACTACTATTTTAATGAAAAAATTAGGTTCTAACATTTTTTATATTGTAATAACTCAAAAAGATCTCAGGAAGGAGTTAAAGAATGACCATGAGATACACCTTAGTTACTCCTCAAGTCTGTAAAAAAATTCCAGGATTTGCCTTTACCTATGGTCAAAAGAAAGAATAAATTGTGTGTCATTATTTTCCTTTAAAATGAGGTTTATCCAAGACACTGCCATTGATGAGAAGGGTCACTCCCGCCATGCTCTTCACAGATATTTGTGGATTACCTATTGGGCAACTATAAAATGAATCAGATATTATTACCACTCTTAAGGGACATAATCTAGAAAAAAGAGATATGTTTATGTAAATAAATGAAGAGTATTTCAACCCAGTTGAAGTCTATATCCAACTAGATTATCATTCAAGATAATGCAAAATTTAGACATTTTTCAGATAAAGATGTGACAGTTAATGACTCAAATACTCTTTCTAAAAGAACTTTTAAAGAATACACTTGGTAAGAAATTGAATTCATAAGGGAATATGATGCAAAAAGTTGTAACAAGAAAAGAGGCTGGTAAACTAATTGATAAATCTAAATAAGAACCTTTTGGCAACTACCAGTGTATTCACTACCTCCATGTGATCAATTTTTTAGCTCCCACACATGAGGGAGAATATGAGACATTTTTCTTTCTGTGCCTGGATTATTAAAAACCTAATGCCCTCCAGTTCATACAGGTTGTTGCAAATGACAGGATTTTATTTTTTATATGGCAGAATAATATTCCATTGTGTATATGTACCACTTTTTTTATCCATTCATTCATTGATGGAAACAGCTGCGAAATAAAGTTGGGTGGGCCTGGTGGTGGGGGGCAGGTAGATAAAGAGGGCTGGTTAATGTATAAAGCTATAATTAGATATTAATAGAAGGAATAAGATCTAGTGTTCATTAGCACAATAAGGTGATGATAGTTAACAGTAACTTACTGTATATTTCAAAATAACTAGAAGAGTAGATTTAGAGTATTCCTAACACAAATAAATAACAAATATTTTAGGTGGTAGATATACCAGTTACCCAGATTTGATCATTATATATCACATGCTGGTATCAAAATGTCACAGGTACCACATAAATAAGTAAAAATATTAGGTATCTATAAAAATTAAAAGTAAAATAAAAAGAATATTTTGAGAGAAAATAATGGCTAAGAAGTAGGAGAAGTTAAAAATAAGTTGAAACTAAAATATTGGACTGAAATACAAATTTATTAATAAATAAAATAACAATTGAAAGAGAAAATTAAGTTTTACAAAAAAGAAATTCTCAGTTTTGATTCTCAAAAAATCCAGCTATAAGCTGCTTAGAAGAGACATGTCTGAGGTAAGATGACCTACAAAGATTAAAAGTGAAAGGTGAAAATAAGATATGAAGCAAATCTTATAAATTAATATTAGTATTAGATAAAATAAATAAAAGTAGTTCCCAACTTAAAGATAAAATGAATACTCACTAGAAAATTAAAATTTTGAATTTGAATACAACATAATCTTAAAATATACAAAAAAGTTTGAGAAAATTATATTTAAAAATTGGAACACACAAAATCAGTGGAGATACTGACATAATTCAGAAAGTTGGCAGGATAAGCAGTAAAACAGTAATAAAAATACAGATTTGTAAACAACATAATGATTAACATTTATTTAAAGGAAATATACCAAGTTTACATGCCAGTTTTAAAGAATACAAATTATTTTTAAACATGCATGGTGGAATCTTTATCCCTTCCAAAAAAGATTTTAATATTTCTCTCTCAGAAGCTTGACAAGTCAAGCAACAACAAAACTAGTGAAAATATAGAAGTATTGGACGACATAATTAATACTCTTGATTTAAAATAAACATAAAGAAAAATTCACTTTACCTTTATATAGCACTGATTAGTTTTCAAGACATATGGGACTTTCACAAAATCTGACCAGTGCATAAGTCACAAAGTTAGTCTCAATAAACTCAATGATCTCCACCGCTGACTTCACCCTCAAAGTCCCATCTTATATGAACTTCTTTTACAACAAATGGCCACTTGGAGATTTCATTGCCAATAATAATTTAGTATCTGTAATTTATCATTTGATCTACACAAATCATTTCTTCTACCTGATTTCTCACCTTCTGTTTTCTTATAGTCTACCTAGTTGTCATGTATTTTTTTTGTTTAATCCTTTCCCTTACCATTAATCTCTATCTACAATCCATGTTCACTCTTAATATCTCATCATATTTCATAATACATGCCACATATAACCTTCTCTTTTATGCCAACTACTTCCACCTTGGTTATGGTATTTCAACAAGTTTAGCCTTTCTCCCTCTAGACTTCCTCTCCTCAATACGTCTTACATTAAACTACCAGTGCACCTTGCTGTTACAGCTTTTTAATCTTACCACTTAACTGTTCAAATAATGAGTTGTTTCCAGCATTTATGGGACAGACACTGGACCTAGACTCTAGCATTAAAAAATATCCAGTAATTCCACAGATGCCACAAATGACCTTTCCAAGTTTATATTTCGTGATGTTCCCATGTGGATACTTTCTCTAGAGAGTCAGAAGCATGGAGCAGTCTCTGCTGTGCATAGTGTACACATTTCTGTTTTTGATTTTGTTTTCACCAGTTTTTTCCCCACTATCAATGTATTTCCCACTCCTCTTTACATTCATCTTTCAAGGTCCAAGTTTCTACTTGACGTATCATCTGAACACCTCCTCCAAGGGATACAGCTACCTCTTCAACTCTTCCAGCACTTATTGTTTATATTATCAGTCTATGCCTTCTTTGGAGTCTGTCGTGTGATCTCTTACATTGTATTAACCACAATATCATTCCATACGTTTTTCTTATTTATTCTCTAAGAAGATGAACCTATAAATGGTAAAACGGAGAATGTCAGAGGTGAAAGGCGATGTTTTCTTTATTCAACAATTCTTACAAGTTCTTACTCTCACAAACCTGTAATGATAAACATCTCAGATATTGTATCTGCCTTCATGGGTTTTACAGACTGGTGAGAAGAAATACAGGATATAAATAATAATCAACTTGGGGTAAGAGCTCTGAAAGAGAAGTATATTGTATGTACAGAAAGTATTAACAAGGAAGGATATTTTAAATTGAAAGGGGGAAGGCATGGTAAGGGAAGGTTTCTCTGACATTTAATAAACGTTTAAGTATGTATAAATCTCTTCAATCCAAATTTTAAAAAATGAATATATTGTCAGAGAGACATAAGATTCAACCAGTTTTAGAACTCTGAATGTGTGTGATTTTGAGCAAGAAAATATCACAGGGAAGATTAAGAGATTAACAGCTATAGGTTAAAGAAAATAGTTTATTTAATCCAAATAAGACGTATTTCAATAAAAAAATATATTTCTCTTCAGGGACTGGTAAATAGTTTTCATACATTACTATCATTTAATACTTCTCACATTTTTATCAAAGGAAGGGGTATTTCCTACTTTTTACAAAATAGCACAGTTATATTGGAGATGTAACAAGTCAGTAAATGTTGGTTATATTTCTGTGTGTGGGGCAGGGATGAGGTACTTAGAAGGTACTTAAATGTGGGGGGTGATGTCTACCAATGACCAGCAGAGAGGGGCTCTCACAATCTCTTCTGTCACATTCTTCAACCCTTTTGGGAACACTCATATGCCATGTCCTGATTTATACTAAGGTTACTTGTTGCATTTGCATTAAGTCAGGTGAGATCTTAGAAGAGAGCATAGAAGAGAACATAGCAGTCAGATGACAGGTTACAATCCATTAACAATGTCCTTTACACTCCTTTAGCGATGTCCTGGATCTTAAATTTCCTCAGTCATAACATTGGGGATTTTTAGGCCAAGATTATCATTAAAGTCTTATGTAGCCCTGAATGTATACTCTCTTATAATCAATCAGATGCTTATAATCAAGTTTGCTCTAGAATATAAAACAAAAGGAGAAAGCACTAAAGAGAACAAGTCACAAAAATGAAGAAACAAACTTTGGAAGAGAAACATGCATAATAAAATTTATTACAATTGAAGTTATAGAAGTATTTGTTGAATTGTTGTTTTTGTTTTTGTTTGTTTGTTTGTTTGCCCATGGGTATTATTCAAAAGAGGATGTCCTATACGAACTGGTAATTTTTTTCTCTAATATTTCAAGGTAAGTCTGATCTCTGGGATTATCCAAATTTGACTCTAGTATACAGAATATTCTTACACTCTTCATCAGCTTGTGCAAATAGCATAAGGGTTTGCAATTCAGTCACTCTCCTAGACCTTTGAAGCCTAAGAAATGTGCTCCAAATATCATTGAGAATAAATATTTAATTAATCTATTTTCCTGAGATTGCTGTGAAAAGATGTCAGACTCAGTCATCTCCAAGATTTCATTACTCCCATATCTAGGTCCTAGGCTGGGATGACTTAAACGGCTATGGAGATGGAACTTCTGGGGCTCTTTGGACAAAACTCCTTATCACTATGTAGCTTCTCAATACGATTCCTTCAGCATAACAACTTCAGAATGATTAAACTTATGTGATGGCCCAGGACTTCAAAAATTCAAGGAGAGTGAGAAAGAGAGAAATTGAGATTGAAGGCCAGATAGAAATTAGCAGAAGCTAATATTCAGAATCGCACAGCATCATTTCTATAAAGCCCACACATGTTCACGGAGAAAAAAGCTGGACCCAATTTCTTGATGGAGGAATGTTAGTGTCATATTAAAACAAGAGCCATTTAAAAAAAATATATGCTACTATACTCACAGTTCATTAGCCATAAGTGGGTACATGACCCCATCCACTCATAAGGAGGCAAAAAAGAAGCACCAGATATATGTGTTGAGTCACACTAATATTGACTTTATGAGCCCCCCTCACAGACTTCCTTATGATGCACTGAAGTGCTAGGATAACGATATGTCTTGTTGGTTGGGATTTATGGATTTATACTTTATTTTTTATTTTTTTGGAGGGTCTGGGCTTTATTTATTTTCTTTGCTTTTTATTTTTATTTTGACCCTTTTTATGATTTTTATTTTTAATTTTTGTGGGTATATAGTAGGTGTATGTGTTTATGAGGTATTAAGATATATAAGATATTTTAGTACAGGCATGCAATGCATAATAATCACATCAGAGAAAATTTGGTATCCATCCCTTCAAGCATTTATCCTTTGTATTATAAACAATCTAATTATACTATTTTAGTTATTTTAAGATGTACAATTAAATTATTATTGACTATATTCCCCATATTATGCTATCAAATACTAGGTCTTATTCTTTCTTTCTATTTTTTTTTTTTGTGCCAATTAACCATCCCTACCTCCCACACAATCCCCACCCCACCTCCCTTCCCAGCTCTAGTAACCATCTTTCTATTTTCTCTTTTTTTTTTGAGGCAGAGTCTCGCTCTGTCACTCATACTGGAATGCAGTGGCATGATCTGCACTCACCGTAACCTCTGCCTCCCAGGCTCAAGCAATTCTCCCATGTCAGCCTTCCCAGTAGCTTGGACTACAGGTGTGCACCACCATATGCCTGGCTAGTTTTTGTATTTTTTTGTAGAGATGGGTTTTGCCATGTTACCCAGGCTGGTCTCAGACTCCTGAGCTCAAGTGATCTGCTTGCCTAGGCCTTCTAAATTGCCAGGATTACAAGTCATGAGCCACCACACCGGCCCATTCTTCTCTATCTGCATGAGTCCACTTGTTTTTATTTTTAGATCCCACAAATAAGTGAGAACATGCAATATTTGTCTTTCTGTGCCTGGCTTGTTTCACTCAACATAATGACCTCCAGTTTCATCCACGTTGTTGCAAATGACAGAGTCTTATTCTTTTTTATGGCAGACTACTACTCTATTATGTATAAGCACCACATTTTCTTTATCCATTTGTCTGTTGATGGACACTTAGCTTGGTTCCAAAACTTGGGTATTGTGAATAGTCCTGCAACAAACATGGGAGTGCAGAGAGTTCTTCCTTAAATTGATTTCCTTTATTTTTGGTATATACCTAGGAGAGGGATTGCTGGATCAAATGGTAGCTCTATTTTTACTTTTTTTATGGAACCTCCAAATGGTTCGCTATAGGGTTGTACTAACTTACATTCCCACCAACAGTGTACAAGGGTTCCATTTTCTCCATATTCTCAACAGAATTTGTTATTGCCTGTCTTTTGGATATAAGCCATTTTAACGGAGGTGTGTTAATTTCTCCTTGTAGTTTTGTTTTGCATTTCTCTGATGAACAATGATGTTGAACACCTACCTTTTCATATGTCTATTTGCCATTTGTATGTCTTCTTTTCAGAAACGTCTATTTAAATATTTTGCCCATTTTAAAATCAGGTTATTTGATTTTTTCCTGTGGAGTTGTTTGAGCTCCTTATATATTCTGGTTATTAATCCCTTGTCAGATAGGTAGTTTGCAAATTTTTTATCCCATTCTGTGGATAGTCTTGTCACTTTATTTTTATTGTATCCTTTGCTGTGCAGAAGCCTTTTAACTTGATGTGATCCCATTTGTCCATTTTTGCTTTGGTTGCCTGTGCTTGTGGGGTATTGCTCAAAAAAGTTTTGCCCAGACTAATGTCCTGGAGACTTTCCCCAATGTTTTCTTGTAGTAGTTTCATAGTATGAGGTCTTAGATTTAAGTCTTTAATCCATTTTCATTTGATTTTTGCATATGGTGAGAAATAGGGGTCTAGTTTTATTCTTTTGCATATGGATATTCAGTTTTCCCAGCATTATTTATTGAAAAGACTGTCTTTTCCTCAATGTACGTTCTTGACACATTTGTCAAAATGAGTTTACTCTAGGGGGTGGATTTGTTTCTGCATTCTCTATTGTGTTCCATTGATCTGTATCTGTTTTTATGTCAACACCATGCTCTTTTGGTTACTATAGCTCTGCAATATAATTTGAAGTCAGGTAATGTAATTCTTCCAGTTTTGTTCTTTTTGCTCAGGTTAGCTTTGGCTATTCTGGGTCTTTTGTGGTTCCATGTAAAATTTAGGATTTTTGTAGCTATTTCTGTGAAGAATGTCATTGGTATTTTAGCAAGGACTGCATTGAATCTTTAGATTGCTCTGGCTAGTAGAAACATTTTAACAATATTGATTCTTCCAATCCATGAACATGGAGTATCTTTCCATTTTTTTGTGCCCTTTTCAATTTATTTTATCAGCATTTTACAGTTTCATTGTAGAGATATTTCCCTTATTTGGCTAAGTTAATTCCTAAGTATTTAATTTTACTTGGCCTTTTTTAAATAGGATTTCTTTTTCAGATTGTTCATTGTTGACATATAGAAATGTTACTGATTTTTGTATATTGATTTTGTATCCTGCATCTTTACTGAATTTGTTTATCAGTTCGAATAATTTTTTGTGGAATTTTTAGATTTTTTCCAAATAAAAGAGTACATCATCTGCAATCAAGGATGATTTGAATTCTTCCTTTCCAATTTGGATGCCCTTTATTTCTTTCTCTTGTCTGATTGCTCTAGCTGGGACTTCCAGGACTATATTGAGTAACAGTGGTGAAAGTGGGCATTTTTTCATGTTCCAGATCTAAGAAGAAAGGCTTTCAGTTTTTCCCCATTCAGCTGTGAGTCTGTTATATGTATACAGCTTTTATTATGTTGACACATGTTCCTTCTATATCCAGTTTTTTTGAGGGTTTTCATCATAAAGAGATGTTGAATTTTATCAAATGCTTTTTCAGCATCAATTGAAACGATCATATAGTTTTTGTCCTTCTTTCTGTTGACATGATGTATTACACTGATTGATTTGCATATGTTGAATGATCCTTGCATCCCTGGGATAAATCTCACTTGGTTATGATGAATAATCTTTTTAATGTATTCCTGAATTCAGTTAGCTAGTATTTTGTTGGAGATTTTTGCATTAATGTTCATCAGAGATATTGGATTGTATTATTTTTTTTATGTGTCTTTTTCTGGTTTTGATATCAGAGTAACACTGTCCTTGTAGAATGAATTTGGAAGTATTCCCTCATTTTCTATTTTCCAGAACAGTTCTAATAGGATTGGTATTAGTTCTTATTTAAATGTTTGGTAGAATTCAGCAGTGAAACCATGGGGCTTGGACTTTTCTTTACTGGAAAACTTTTTATTGCAGCTTCAAACTCATTACGTGTTACTGATCTGTTCATGCTTTGGATTTCTTTGGGGTTCAGTCTTCATAGGTTGTATGTGTCTAGCAATTTATCCATTGCTTCTAGACTTTCCAATTTATTGGCATATAGTTGTTCCTAGTAACCACTGATGATCCTTTGGATTTCTGCAATATCAGTGGAAATGTTTCCTTTTTCATCTCTGATTTTATTTATTTGGGTCTTCTTTCTTTTTTTCTTAGTCTAGCTAAAGGCTTGTCCATTTTGTTTATCTCTTTTTTTAAAAAAGGACAGCTTTATATTTCATTGATCGTTTGTGTTGTATTCTTAATTTCAAATTCATTCATTTCTGCTTTGATCCTTATTATTTTTTTCCTCTCCTAATTTTGTGTTCAGTTTGTTATTGCTTTTCTAGTTTTTTAAGATGCTTTATTAGGTTGTTTATTTGAAGTTTTTCTTCTTTCTTTATGTAGGCACGTATATCTATTCATTTCCCTCTAGTCCTGCTTTAATTATATCCTATAGCTTTGGTGTATTGTGTTTCCATTATCATTTGATCCAGTAATTTTTTTCAATTATTTTCTTAATCTCTTCATTGACACCTGACCACTGAGAAGTATATTGTTTAATTTCCATGTATTTGTAGTTTCCAAAATTCCTCTTGTTAGTGTTTTCTAGTTTTATTCCATTGTGGTCAGAGAAAATGCTTGATATTATTTCAGTTTTGGGGGGTATTTTAGGACTTGTTTTGTAACCTAACCTATGGTCTATCCTTGAGAATAACCCATGTGCTGAGGAAAAAAATGTGTATTTGACAGTCATTGAATGAAATATTTTGTAAATATCTATTAGGTCCATTTTCTCTACAGTACAGATTAAGTTAGATGTTTCTTTGTTGATTTTCTGTCTGCATATCTGCCCAATGATGAAAGTAGGATGTTGAACTCTCCAGCTATTATTTATTGGGCTCTATCTCTTTCTTTACCTCTAATAGTATTTGCTTTATATAACTGGGTGTCCAGGGTTTGGTGCACAATTATTTACAATCATTATATTCTCTTGCTGAACTGACCCCTTTGTCACTATATAATAACATTCTTTGTCTCTTTTTATAGTTTTTATCATGAAATCTATTTTGTCTGACATAAGTATAGCTACTCCTGCTCTTTTTGGTTTCCATTGGCATGGAATATCCTTTTTCATCCCTTTATTTTCTGTCTATGTACATCTTTATACATGAAATGTGTTTCTTGTAGGCAACAGACCAATAGATCTTGTTTTTTTATTCATTCAGCCACTCTACATCTTTTGACTGGAAAGTTTAGTCCATTTGCGTTCAATGTTATTATTGATAAGTAGGGGCTTACTTCTATCATTTTGTTATATATTTCCTGGTTGTTTTGCAGCCTTCTCTTGCTTCTTTCCTTCCTTCCTGTCTTCCTTCTAGTGAAGGTGATTTTCTCTGGTGGTATGCTTTAATTTCTTGCTTTTTATCTTTTTGTGTCTCCATTGTATGTTTTTGATTTGAGGTTACCATAAGACTTGCATATACCATCTTATAACCTATTAATTTAAACTGATGACAACATAACACTGACTGCATAAGACGAAAAAAGAAAGCTAAGAAGAACTCTATACTTTAACTTCATTCTCTGCTTTTTAACTTTTTACTGTTTCTCTTTATGTCTTATTTCACTATGTCTTGAAAAGTTGTTGTAATTATTTTTTTGATTGGTTGATCATTCAGTCTTTCTACTTAAGACCAGAGTAGTTTACACACCACAATTACAGTGTTACACTATTCTTTTTCTTCTCTGTGTTTCCTATTACAAGTGAGTTTTGCACCTTCAAATGATTTCTTCTTGCTCATTAACTTTTTTTTTCTCAGATTGAAGAACTCTCTTCAACATTTCTTGCAGGATAGGTCTGATGTTGATGAAATCCCTCAGCTTTTGTTTGACTGGGAAGGACTTTATTTCTCCTTCATGCTTGAGGATATTTTTGTCAGATATACTATTCTAGGATAAAAGTTTTTTCCTTTATGTCATGCCACTCTCTCCTGGATTATAATATTTCCACAGAAGTCTGCTGCCAGATTTATGGAAGCTCCATTGTATATTATTTGTTTCTTTTCTCTTGCTGCTTTGAGGATTCTTTCTTTATCCTTGACCTTTTGGAGTTTGATTATTAAATGGCTTGAGGTAGTCTTTTTTGAGTTACATCTACTTGGTATTCTATAACTTTCTTGTGTATGAATGTTGATACCTTTCTCTAGGTTTGGGAAGTTCTCCGTTATTATCCCTTTGAAAACCATTTCTACCCCTATCTCTTTCTCTACCTCATCTTTAAGGTCAACAACTCTTAAATTTGCCCTTTTGAGGCTATTTTCTGGATCTTATATACAGGCTTCATTGTTTCTTATTCTTTTTTCTTTTGTCTCCTCTGACTGTGTATTTTCAAGTAGCCTGTCTTCAAGCTCATTAATTCTTTCTTCTGCTTGATCAATTCTGCTATTAAGAGACTCTGATGCATTCTTCAGCATGTCAGTTGCATTTTTCAATTTAAATTTATTTGATAGAATTCTAAATTCCTACTCTGTGTCAACTTGAATTTCTTTGAGTTTCTTCAAAACGGCTATTTTGAATTATCTGTCTGAAGGGTCATATATCTCCATTTTACTGGTATTGGTCCTTGTTACCTTATTTATTTCACTTGGTGAGGTCACATTTTCCTGGATGGTGTTGATGCTTATAGATGTTCGTCAGTGTCTCGGCATTGAAGAGTTAGGTATTTATTGTAATCCACTGGCTCTAAGCCCAGCCTATCCCTAAGAGTTGCCTGGGAATTGCAGTCCTTATGTCCTACCTAGGACCCCAGAGCACTTCACCTCATGGTGGTGAGGCTTTCTGAGAAACTCAAATTCTAACCACTGGGATGGGCAATTCCTCACTGGCTAGGGCTGGCCCATCACTCCCCTCCTGCATGGACACTGGCTGAGCCCAGCACGGCATCTTCTGTGTGTAAATAGTTGTTAAAATTTGTTATTCTAGCAGGAAGAATGAATGGTGTCAGCTTCTCTTCCACCATCTTGCTTCACCCACTGAGTTGTACTTTAATAGTTTGGTTTTTGCCTTGTGACCAACAATGCTCAAAATGAAAAGTAGCCAGCTATGTAAGATTCATGTGTGTATTTGCCATAGAAATATAGTTGAGAATGTTATTTATCACATCAGTATGGCCTATGTAAAACTTCTCTTGAGTTATTTCTTTTACATTTAAAACCAGCAGAAAACTTCTCTCTATTCAAGTACTGGTTGCTTCCTTCTTTCTAATAATGAGGACTATGCCATTTATCTATCATGTTGTCTTTTGACTCTGATGCCAGGAATTTCAGAGCCAGTTCTGAAACTTAGCCATAGTGACTGTGTTGAGCATTACTAAGCTTAGCATACTATGGTTTTCTGTTTTCAATATTCCTAATTTTGCATTTGTTTTTTCTTAGCCTTGTTAGTACATATGTTGATGTACGTCATGTTAAAGCCTTTGGAAATAAATGCATATAGATAAATTCAATACATAAATAGCATAAGTTGGAATATTACTCAGCAATAAAAAGAACAAGCACACAACAAATTGGATAAATTATTTTTAATGAATCGCAAGGGCATTAGTTGAGTGATAAAAGCCAGTCACAAAAAATCTACATTCTGTATCATTCCCTTTATATAACATTCTTGAAATGATGAAACTATAGAGACAAACAACAGATTAGTGGTTAACAGGTATTAGAGTGGTAAAAGGTAGGGTATGGGTGTAACTACAAAGGAGTAGCATGATGCAGTTTCCCGTGAATGTATACTGATTACAAAATTTGTTAAATGTTTAAAAAGAAATCTATGTACCTGCTGCACCCACACATGCATAGCCTCCCTTATTATCAACATCCCCTTGTAGAGTGGTACATCTGTTACAATTGAGAGAGCATATGAAAAATCTTTAAATTTTCTTCTCAATTTGGCTGTAAACCTAAAATTGCCCTAAAAATATAGTTTATTTAAAAAATTCATCAACCTGTACATTTTACATGGGAATTTTATTGTACATAAATTATACCTTAACTAATATTGATTAAATAATTCACAAGAATGCCATTATCTGCTAAATAATGAATTGATTGATTACATTGATTAGCTATTGGAGGGACCCTAGGGTTGAGTTCCTCAAGAAAATAATTATCCTGAAGATAAGTTGCTTGCAGTTTGGTTGGTCAAATCATCTCATGAAAAGCCATAAAGACATTTACAGTCAGCCCACTCATATAAGTGAATATAGTGCTGACAGCATAAAGTGTAAGCGGCTGACCTGAATCAGATGGGGTTTATCTTCTGGATACAGAATGATAGAAGTGCAAATAAGCAGAAAGGAAAGCTCTCAGAGTGAAAACAAAATGCTTTATCTGCTCAGCCAGCAACACCAAGGCCAGGATCCAAGTAGATGAGCACAGGTCACCAAGACCCACAGACCACGTAGGCATGCATAGACACCTCTTAAGTGAGAGAGGGCCTGTGCAAAACCCTGCACCCCTGCCACCTATGATTGTTCCAAAGCCATGAATAAGTACCATGAGGAGTTTGTCACTTGCCCAGACCCTTGAAGGGAATGGGTGATGCTCACAACCAGAGAGTTTCATCTACAGTGCAGCCATTAGGTCCATCAAATGAGGCGACAATATTAATATGTAATTTTTAAGCTATCCCCAATACTCTCTTTGAAACATTTCTTGTTAATGGGCTATTTAGAGAGAGTATCTGAAACTTTTGAGGCCCAGGACTGTACCTGCTGCCTTGATGGCACTGAACCACCAGCTTCTGAGCTGCAATTAAATGTTTCTTCTAGAAACTTTTCAGTCAGTATAGATAAAAAATGTATTGGTTTGACTTGATTTCTAAAGATTAGGCTTTGGACACAGGAAAATGTAGTGCTGTGTTTCTCAAAGTGTGGTCCCGGCCCCAGGGATTCCCAGTATCAACTGTAAATTTCAGTTCCAGCCCTGCTGAATCTCAGGAGGCAGGGCCTGGGAAGCTGCATTTTAACAGGAATCCACAGTACTGTGTATGCTAAGAATCACTGGTAGAGTGCAATGGAAAGAAGCAGATTGGTCAAAAACATTTTCACCAATAGTGTTTCATCATCCCCTTTAGTAACTTGTAGATGCCAGGTAGAACAAACCAGATAGAAATTCGCTCTTTTCCCCACCACACTGCAGGAGCCAAAAATTGGAAATCACCAGGAGGCAGGTAGATGACAGCAGAGGACCAGAAAGGGGCCCAGTATTTCCACCTGGGTAGTAGTTGGCTTCTGTGTGACATAGCATTACTAAATTCTAAAAAATCTTTGAAGTGCACATGGCTCAAAAGAAACTAATAATGTAATTCTAGAAGTCCACATTTGTTTCCTTAGATACATAACACTGCCCAAACAATTTGGTTGCAATTTTGAGGCAGTGGTTTCACAGTTACTTGATTAAACTGTGGTGCATTTTTATAAGAAGGAGACGGACTGATAGCACTTGAAGGTTTCTGCAAGTACCACAATAGAAAATTATAACTTTGCTTGCTTGTAATGATATTTTTTAGCTCATTTCTCCTGTTTATAAATATATTTCCATCTATTATTCCCATAAGATTTTCCTCATGATCACAGGGGCTTCTTTATCAACTAAGTTAATATACAACTTTTCTGAGACAAAAAAAAACAGGAAAGAAGTGAGTGTCACATTTAGCTTTTGAGAAAAATGTGTCATCAGCAAAGATGATGCCTCTACATTATTGACAAGAAATACTTCCACACACCATGAGCTTTCCTTACAGTTGACTGTCCTTCCCAAACCCCTAACATCTTCGATTAAGTAAGCCAACGTTAGGTGCAAAAGGGAAAGGGACTGAGCTATGAGATTCAAAGTAAGCAAGTAAGCAAGAAAGAAAGCTGGAAAATGCTGATGAATCACTGTGTATTCTGAAAGGGTGAGGTCATGCATTTTTTCCCATGAATAGTTATCTCCCTTTTTACTATGGACTACATCATCCATTTTATTTGGGATTATTTTGTTTGGGTGTCAGGGACATTTGTTCCTGTGACCACCCTCCCCCCATAGAAACCAACATTTTATCTATAAACACAAGACACTGTATCCTTTGAAGCAGGATGGCTCCCCTGGAGCCCCCGGAGCTGCTCAGCTGTTGCCCTTGACCTTAAGAGAACTTTTATTTTTCTCTCCACTTCTCAGCCCAGATTCTATTTTCATGCCAACATGACATTGTGGCCTTTCTTATGAAGGGTTTGCCAGTTGTGCTGAATTGGCAAAATTGTACCAAGTATTTGATATATATTTAATACATGTCATGTTGAACTGTAAAGAATTACTTTTGTGGAATACATTGCCCTTGATAGAGCAGGCAGCTTGATCTAAGCCAGTTTAAATATGTATGAAAGTGTGTGTACATTTATTAAGAAACGTTAATAAACTAGAAAGCTTTATCTTGTTCTTTTATTTTCAGCTTTAGATCTAAAATAGAAGCAAAGCCAAACAGAGTGATTCATTTAATACAAATTAATAGTTACATATTAATTTGTTGTTAATTATTATCAGCAAGTGTGTTACTTTTAAAAAATAACAGAACACTTGAATATTTTTGGTTTTAATTTGGGGAGAAGAAAGCTACTCAGAGAAGCAAAATAAAATAAAATAAACATGATTACAATGATCTGTTCCTGAAAAGAAATTCAGACCCTGGATTCTACTAATATTCCCTAGATGTCTGCATTATTGAGGCCACATATTTTGTTTTGTTTTTTGGGGGAATGAACTTTTCATGTTATAAAAGTCCAAATATCTGTTTATTCTTTCCTAAAATGAAGCAGAGAAAACTGCTTGGTGATGAAGGTTGTATGTAAATACACTTCATTCTTCCTTTGTGCCTTTTAAAAATAAATTCTGAAATGCTCATTATATGCCATGTAGAAATGCAGTCTTTGAAACACCATTATCATTCAATAATTGCAAAGGTGACCTATTTAACTAATTTTTGAGAAAGTACTACTTTCCCTGTGATAATATAAATAATGTCTCTAGAAAGATGAATTAATATATTTTTATGGTTTATAGAAATGTGAGTAACTAAAATAATAGTTTGAATTATGAAAACTGATTTCAAAATTCAATAGAAATTAACATACTTTTCTGTTAGGGAAGTCATTTTCAATGTTAAAGTAAAAAGATTATCAAGAGATAATTCTGATAACTTTTGATGATCATACTATTCTGGATGTCATCCATATTCTTATCTAGGTCCATATACCATCCTTCCTGGTTCTACCCTCTGTTGTAGAAGGCTGACCTCTATGGACTGCATCACTGGGCTACCTTGACCTTTGGCTTCCCAGTGGGTTGGATCAGTGAGAAGCCCTGGCAGTAGATCAAATTGGAGGAGAGAATGTGGTCACCCTTCTTACCAAGTGGCCACTGGTTAGCTGTGTCACTCTGCCAAAGGCCAGAAGCTTCCCAGGCAGTCCCATTGATACATCAAACTTCTCCAAGTTCTGGTGACCCCTTTCTCCACTTTAGGCCTAGGGGTAATAACAGCTACCCACCACTGCTAGCCCTGTGTGTGCTGAGCCATCCCTTGTTTTCTCTAAACCCTGGCTCACCCATTTGTAAAGAAAAGGGTTATCTTTATTAAAAATCTCTTAACTACGGTATTTGAAACAGGCATTTGTTTCTATCCAAACCTTATCATGACAGACATATTGATTATCAGAATTAAGTTCAAGCAGACCTTACAGAGATTAAAAAAAAAAATGGAAACTTCGCATCAGTTCTAGTTATTTTTTTCCATATTCTCAACAACCTAGGCACATTTATCAAAACGTAGCTGTCTTTTTTAATGAAATGGTTAATGTTCTAATAAAAATATATTCCATTTGCTATGGTTGGCATCATTACAGTGCTTTTAAAAAGCAGATTTTATTACTTTGGTTAAAGAAAAATATTAAATGCTGTGGAGAAAGGCTGTAAAAGCAGTGGGGTCAAAATATCTCCAAAATATACAATTTATTTTATTTTATTTATCTTATTTTTTAAATGTACTTTAGATTTAGGGGGTACATGTGCAAGTTTATTACTTGCGTATTTTGTATAATGGTGAGGTTTGGGCTTCCAGTGAACCCATTGCCCAAATAGTGAACATCGTACCCAATGGACAGTTTTTCAACCCTCTCCCCCCTCCTCCCTTCTTCTATTTTGGAGTCCTCAGTGTCTGTTATTTCCGTCTTTGTGTCCACAAAACATACAATTTAGCTAGAACTATTAGCCTTTCCATCAGTTCAAGTGTCTGCTTCATGTGGAGGATAAGAAATGTTTTCTTCATTGCTGTATTCCAAGCACTTAGCAGGGGTTGGCTCATGGTAGATTCTCAATAAATATGTATTGAGTTTGTAAAGAAATCAAAACTTACTTTATTTTCTAATATAACTGAAAAGGAGGATGTAAAAATATAAAATCAGAGTCTAATAACTACTTTACATATTTATTTTAAAAATTAGATTATACCTATCTGTGATATAAATTTCTCTACATAATCATTATTACATTAGAAATAAATTTAATTGAGCCATCATGATAAGGGGATTAGATTGAATACCCGACTCTGAGTTCCAGAATTGAATAATAGGACCTCATACTTAAAAGAGTTCTGCAACAAATCCAGCATAGAATTGGAAATCCCTTTAGAATTTGAAAATTGAGACCAAGAGAATGTAAGTGAATCATCCAAGATCACAAATGATTTAAAATTTAAATACTTTCCAACTTTACAGGCAAGTGTAAGCCCCTGGATTTTGATCTGTAGCCTCCTAGAGAATTCCAGCTGCCCTGTGGACCAAGCACTCAGTCTATGCTCTGAGAAGTGGATACTATTTGGGAGAAAAGGACCTTTGAAGCTACTAGAATATCAAATTGTGCAAGGGAAGGGACACAGGGTGAGGTAGTTGTCTCACCCTCCTCTCTTCTCCGGACCTGCAGAGCAGGGGCTGATCCCTGGTTGGCTCCCGGCTAGATTCCCAAAGACTTTAAAGGCTGATTGGTTCCCAGTGAACTTCTAAGAAGAAGTCGGTTCACTATTGGGCGATGGGTTCACTGGAAGCCCAAACGTCGCCATTATACAAAATACGAAAGATGAGAGAGAGCTGAGACAGAAGATACCAGACACAATACTATTCAGGGGTAAGGGAGAAGCCCAGTTATCCTTTTTGCTGCTCATTCCATTCCTCTTTGTCCCTCTGTTCCTCTTTTCCTCTTGTAACTCTCTCTCATCTCTCTTTTTTCACAAACTTCTCTCTGTGCCTCTCTTTCTCTCTTATCACTGACATTCTACTTCTCATTAAGAGCTTATTAGACCTGTACCATTACTCCTTCCACTGATAATGTCAGTCATATGTCTCTCTTTAACTGGTAGATTGGCAAATGGAATTCAATTTACTTTTACCAACTTTTGTTGAAGGCCAAACAGTGTTTCTAGGAATAAGTCACAGTTGCTAACCTCAGTGACTTTAAAGTCTAGGCAGACGGTTAAGACCTTAGGCAAATAATGGTCCTTCAATTTTCTTAAGTAGGAATAGATTTGATCACATCTACCTGAGTGAACCAGAACAAGCATATGAAGTAAGTAGGTAATAATTGAATTGAACAATTATTTACCACAGTAGGTAATTAGGCGGAGAGACCTTAGCTTGTTTTTTCAATTGTTAGTGTGGAAGAAAATACTAGATAAGGAGGATGAAACTAGTTTGGGGAGAGATTTCCATGCCAGGCTCCGAAATTCAGAGATGATTAAGTAGTTAGCGATGATTCTTTGAAAATATATTTAAATATAAAAGTGACATACAGTATTTGTTACATGTAACTTAAGTGACCCAAACTGACTAGAATCAACTAAAAAAAAAGATAACTCGTGAAAATAAAACAAAAGCAGATGGAAAGTGGGGCACACTGCTTGTTTGTGTGGTTGCTTGCTTGTGGTTATTTTTTATCTATCAACGTGATTAGTTATACGACATATTTTGAGAATCATACGTTTTGCCAAAAATTAAAATAATTAAAAATTGAAATAAAACAAACGAAATTTAAAAAACATAGAAACTTAAGCCTAGTATAATTTTAAGAACTACAAAGAAAGCAAGCATTTATTTAGTAAATATGCAAGAAAATAATCAGATTCTGCTCCCCTTTCATTCATTCATTCATTTTTCTCAACAAATAAATACTAATTGTCTGTTTTGGCCAGAACTATTTCAGGGATGAAAAGGTATCCCTTTCTTCCTTACTTTAGAGAAATGTAGATTTTGTGGTAGAAGCTCAGCATATCTAAAGACACCCAAATAGAATATATTCTACACCACTTTGAAGTAGTTTGAATGTCACCTGAAACAGAATATTACTTCTAATCCATTTCAGGCCATCTGTTTTTTTTTTGTTTTTCACTTTTCTCTTATAGACTAAATATTATCATAGTATTAGCACATATAGTATATATCAATCTATATAACATATGGTATTGGGAAACATTTTTACTAATAGGGATATTTACAAGAGAATTATGTCTCATTACGTATGTTCACAAATTTTAATAAACTCCTGTTTCTGCCCATTGCCAAAATGTTTCCTATCCTCTCAAGAAATAAAACTGTTACTTTGTTTTTGGTTGAACTCATAGAATATTTTCTTTTTTAGGGTAAAATTATTACTTTTCTTACATAAGTCATATCCTAAAGTCATATATTAATATGTTGAATTCCATACCTCACCAACTGGGATATAAATGATATAAATTATGTTTGAAGTGGAAAAAAAGCTTTTAAGATGGGCTGATGGCCATTGTCTTAAATATTACTTTCCCAACACCAGGGGTTACACCTGGAAACTGTTCATCATAGCCAAAAAGGCAGGGCTCCTTGGGATGTGGCTCATCAGAATGACTAATACAAAGTCACTTTTCTCATAAATCTGCCTATTCTCCCACCATCTGTTATTTGCATTTTTCCAGAAAGTTAAAAAAATACTGATGGAATGTTTTGACCCAATTGCAGTTAAATTCACATGGTTTACTCTTTGAGTTCCCAAGATGACATTTCAGCCAAGCCCTATAGTGGGGTGTTGCATCAGAAGATCTTCTATTATACAATGGGAATTCCAGGTGAGACATCTAGAGGCAAAAGGCGGAACTGCTTAAAAATTCAACTATCATTAGTAATATTTTGTTTCATATCAATTTTGAGCTACAAAAATCATCTAAAAATATGTACCCATCACTGAATTACTACCCTCTGTTCAACTCATAAAACTTTACATGTTTTAGCATGCCAGACATATGAGCTTAGTAGTTTTTTTTAATTTACAATGATTTGATAGAATGATTTGCATAGATTTTAAACTATCAACACCAAAGCATATTTCCAATTCAAGGAAAATGTATACATATAGAATACATATTATGTGTTATGTCTAGACATGCACACAGACATTTGAGCTTGGACAAAAGCAAGGTCATGCCTGTTTAAAGCTATTAATCTAGATGATGTTTCATTAAAACCAAAGGCATATGTAACATTTGTAATAAAAGCCAAACAAACAAATAAAAACTTTATTTGCCTAATTACATCTAAGACATTCTACTGGATACTGAGCTAATAGTGGTAAAAAAGGCAGAGATGGTCTCTGCCCTCATGGAGTTTATAATCTAGTATGAAGAGAGAGAGACTTCAAAAAGCAACAATAACAGGATGGATTATTACAAATTACAGGAATTGCTATGAAGGAAAGCAGAATATAAACTCATGGAACTGTAGATGTTCATTGACAGAGTGGCTTTAGACATCATCTAGTGATCAAATGTGATATTTCACAAATAAATAATATATTATTTGTGATATAATTGTGATATAGTCTAAGGTGATTATGGGATCTGTCCAAGGTCACATAACTATAGGGGGCATACATCAAATAAGACATAGAGAAAATTGACAGTTGATTATTTTTATTGCAAGAAGAGTTTGAAAATTTTTAATTAATTTTTTATTGACATAATAGATGTACATAATTCTGGGGTATATGGGGTAATATCATACTTTCATATAATTTATAAAGATCAAATCAGTGTATATTAGGGTTCTCCAAAGGGACAGAACTAATAGGATATATGCATATATGAAGGGGAGCTTATTATGAAGAATTGACTCAAAAAATCCCAAGGTGAAGTCCCACAATAGGCCATCTGCAAGCTGAGGAGGAAAGAAGCCAGTAATGGCTCAGTCCGAGTCCAAAAGCCTCAGAAATAGGGAATCAAACAGTGCAGCTTCAAGGCCCAAGAGCCCCCCGGCAAATCACTGGTGTAAGTCCAAGAGTCCAAAGGCCAAAGAACCTGGAGTCTGATGTCCAAGGGCAGGAATAAGGGATGGAAGCATCCAGCATGGGAGAAAGATGAAAGCCAGAAGACTCAGCAAGCCCTCTTCTCCCACCTTCTGCCAGCTTTGTTCTAGCTGCACTGGCAGCTGATTGGGTGGTGCCCACCCACATTGAGGGTGAGTCTTCCTCTCCCAGTCCAGTAACTCAAATGTTAATCTCCTGTGGCAACACCCTCACAGACATAGTCAGACCCAATACGGCTATTTAGGCATCCTTCAATCCAATCAAGTTGACACCTAATATTAACTGCCATACAGTGTGATTGGGTATACATCACCTTAAATATTTGTCTTTTCTTTATGCTAAAAACATTCAAATTATTCTTTTCTTGCTATTTTGAAATAAACAATAGAATCATGCTACTCATCTATCAAATGTTAGGTCTTATTTTTTCTATTTAACTGTATATTAGCACCCATTAATCAACTACTCTTCATTTTTCCTCCCTTCTACCCTTCCCAGCCTCTGGTGACCACCAATCTACTTGCTATCTTCATGAGATCCACTTTTTTTTAAGTTCCCACATATGAATAAGAACATGAAATATTTGTTTTTCTGTGCTTGTTTTATTTCACTTAATGTAATGACCTCCAGTTCCATCCATGTTGTTGCAAGTGACTGGATTTCATTTTTTTATGGCTGAACAATATTCCACTGTGTACATATACCACATTTTGTCTATCCAGTCATCCACCGATGGGCACTTAGGTTGATTCCATATGTTGGCTGTTGTCCCTAGTGCTGCAATAAACATGGGAGTGCAGGTATGTCCTCTATGTATTTTCTTTCTTTTGGATACATACCCAATAGTGAAATTGCTGAATCATATGGAAGTTGGATTTTTAGTTTTTAAAGAACCTCCATACAGTTTTCTATAGTGACTGCACTAATTTACATTCCTACCAACAGTGTACAAGTATCCCCCTGTCTTCATATCCTCACCAGCACCCCTTATTTCCTGCCTTTTTGATAAAAGCCATTTTAACTGGGGCGAGATGATATCTCATTTTGACTTGCATTTCTCTGATGATTAGTGATGTTGAACACTTTTCATTGACTTCTCAGTCATTTGCATGTCCTTTTTGAAAAATATCTATTCAGATATTTTGCCAATTAAAAAGATCAGATTATTTGCTTTTTTTGGTATTGAATTGTTTGAGTTCCTTATATATTTTGCTTATTAATTCTGTCAGACTGATAGTTTGCAAAGATGTTCTCCCATTCTGTGGGTTGTCTCTTCACTTTGTTTTGTTGATTGTCTCTTCACATGTTGTTGTCTCTTTAAGGTCAGCCACTGGTTTCTTTCTTTGTCCATTTAAGGAGGTCCCTGTTTGCTGTAGTTTCTTGTGGATGTATGTCTATGTCTTTGCATTAAAGGATGAGTTATTTATTCCAGTCTTCTTTGTCTGGCTTGTTTTGGTTTTTATTGGGTATGTTTACTTACATATTCTTTGTAATTTACCTGTTGCTTTTCTTTCTTTTCCTACAAGGTTGATGCCTCCTTTTAGGCCCTAGATGCTGCTTTAAGCTCACGTTTGCCTAGGAGCTAGTAACATATCAAACTGTGCCCATCTTGAATGGCAGAGGTCCCAAAGGTAATATCCTGGTAGTGTGGGAAGGCCAGCTAGGCATTCCTGCCGAAGGGCCTGTAGAACAACCTTCCTGCATCATTCTGCTGTTACATGGACACTCTGATCTCACTTCTCCTTTGGCCAAGTTACAGAGCAAAGTTTTTGGGACTGGGTGTGATAGTGCTGCCTCCCCACTTTGTCTCGGAATGTCCCCAGAGATATTTCTGTCTTCAGGCACTAGCAATGATTCCTGTGGGTTGAGGCAGGGAAAAGTTTCTGCTAGGGAGTCCAAGATGCTGGGGAAGCTGGTTGTCCACCTTGATCCCACTTTTTCCAGTGTAGAACCTGTGAATTAGGAGGAAATTGTCACTGTACTTTTTCCTGGGCAGAAAAGGGATAGGGGACTTGTGGATACGGGAGTCTGATTCTGTTCTGCTCAGAGTTTTACATCTCTCTGTGACACCAGGAACTCTCTCATTCTCATGTTTGAGTTCTGGGATATTGCTCATGATAATTGCCATGTGGTGTATTTGTTTTTGGTTTTCGGTGGGGGCAGTAAAACTGACTTGTTTCTGTGACGCCATTTTGGAACTGGAAGTGAAAGATGGTTAATTTTATATACAAAAATAGTCTATATTAAATTTAAATAACCCTTGATTTGCCTAGCTTTTCTGGAGTAAAATGAGATCAGAAAAGCAGTAGAGGAAAAGATTCTCCTTGGTTTACAAATACCAAAAGATAAATAAATTTGGTGATCCTTTTCAGGAGGTTTATCAGTCAGGCTAAGTTATATTTTGATAACAAATAATCCTAAAATTTTAGGGCAACACATCAAGAAAGGTCCCTCTCTCTCATGTCCTATGTGTTTCATAGGTTGCCTGTGTCTGTACCCCGTTTCATCTTCACTTCTGGGAACCAGGCTGATGGAGAAGTCTTCTAGCAGAAGTACTATGGGTCATGATGGCAGAAAGAAGAGCAAACTTGGTGGACCATGTGCTGGCCCTTGATGGGTCTACTCAGATGGGTCACGTATCTCTGCTCACAAGGTGAGTCCCTGGTTTCACCTGAGTATAGTTTTATTGCCAGGAGAGGCATCAAGTATGGGAGAATAATATACTACCTACCACATGCATGGAGTATATATGTTTTTTATATAAAGACTCTAAGGGGTGCAATATTTTAGTGAAAGGAACACGCTGGCTGTTTGTCTGGATTAGTTCTTAACAGTTATTTACTCCCTCAGTTTGAATCTACTTTCTGCTGGTAATAGCTCACTCATTTTTTGCTTGTGGAGGTCCTTCCTTCTCTCTTAGCTCAGGAGATCTAAGTCCCACCTCCAACTTTAAGAATGAAATATCCACTTTATATGCCATCTAAGCCAATCGCTACTTTATATTCTCCTGGCCATGAGGATTGGGTCAGAAGTGGGGACTTTATCTACAGCAAGTCTAGTTAAAGCAATTTTCATGCATTTTGTGAAGCCACGGGTAGATGGTAACATAAAAGAGAACTTTTTCCTGTGGGATCTGGACCTTGAAGCATGTGAAGCAGAAGCTGCTGCAGTCACCATGCTCATACTCAGAGCTCAAGGGTGAAACCCAACATAGGGAAGAGGGGACTATTGACCTGAGATGTGTAGAGAATCAAAACCCTTGCAAAATGTCTGGGCTCCTGAACGCAGCTATTCCTGAATACAGCATTGCTCTTAGGTTTTATAGTTATTGGGGGGTTTCGTTGTTGTTGTTGTAACTAATTTATTTGATTTGGGCTTTCAACGCTTGCAACTTGAAAAACATAATGTATGTTTTGGGAAACTTATTCTGAGTCTATGCCTTCTTCTCTGTTTAAAGAAATAAGAAGAGGATAATTGAATTAGATGACATCCAGATTTGGCATTTTATAATTTCATAATTTAAGACACCTTATTTCATGATTAAGATGTTAATAGAAGAACATTAATGTTTATATCCAATTGAAATTGGATTTCTAGCACATCTCTAATAATGTTGGTGACAAAAGTTGCTCTTTTCCATGGTAATGCAGCTTTATTCTATGACATGGGTACTTTACAATTACTTCTCAAGGGTCAAGAAATTATCGCAGAATAAATCTGCTAATACAGTTTTAATCATTGTTGAGTCACTAGCTTGAAAGTTTCCTAAGTCCCAGGCCCCTTCAATACCACCTCTTCCCCTATTGGAGCTATAATAAGGTAAGAAGACAGTATATAATACATGTAACATACAAAATGTATGTTAATTGACTATGTGATGGTTAAGGCTTCCAGTCAACAGTAATCTATTAGCAGTTAAGAAAATGTTAGTTAAAAAATTGTAAGAAAGAGAAAGTATATTTACTTTTCATTCAGTGGAAGTGAATCAGCATAAAGGCCTTCATCCTTGTCTTCGTGTTGACTAGGCTGAGGAGGAAGAGGAAGAGGAGGGGTTGGTTTGGTTGTGTCAGGGATGGCAGAGGCAGAAGAACATCCATGTATATATGATTGGACCTGCACAGTTCAAACCTGTGTTTTCCAGGGTCCGCTGTACAGTCACATGTCACTTAACAACAGGAATATCTTCTGAGAAATGCATGATTACATGATTCTGTCATTGCACGAACACCATCAAGTGAACTTACATAAACCTAGATGGTACAGCCTGTTGCACATCTAGCCTATCAGGTAAAGCCTATTGCTCCTGGCACAGACTTGTACAGCATGTTACTATTCTGAATACTGAAGACAGTTGTCACACAGTGGTGAGCATTTGTGTATCTACACATATTTAAACGTTGAAAAGATATATCAAGAAAACAGTATAAGAGATAAAACATGGTACAGCCGTATAGGGCACTTACCATGAATGAAGCTTGAAGAACTGGAAGTCAGTGACTGGTGAGTGAATGTGAAGGCCTAGGGCATTACTGTATATGACTGTGGGCTTTATAAACATTATACATTTAGGCTATACTAAATTTATTGAAATATGTTTTTCTCTCTTCAACAATAAATTAACCTTAACTGACTACAACTTTGATACTTTATAAACTTCTTAATTTTTTGAACTTTTTTGACTCTTGCAATAGCACAGCTTAAGACACAAACACATTGTACAGCTGTACAAATATTTTCTTTATATCCATATTCTTTAATCTTTTTCCCGATTTTTGAAATTTCTCATTTTTATTACATTTTACTTTTTAAACTTTTTAAAATTAGAAACGAAGACACAAACATATCCATTAACCTCAGATAAAAAAATGTACCACTGTTTTCCATCTTCATATCTTATCCCACTGGAAGGTCTTCAGGGGAAAAAACATGCAAGGACCTGCCATCTCCTGTGATAACAATGCCTTATTTTGGAATACCTCCAGAAGGACCTGCCTGAGGCTGATTTTCCACCTAATTTTTTTATAAGTAGAAGAAGTACACTCTAAAATAACAATAAAAGTATAGTATAGTAAATACATCGACCAGTAACATCGTCATTTATTATCATTATCAAATATGTCCCCTACACAATTGTCTGTGCTAATTTTATATGATTGGCAGTGCAGTAGGTTTGTTTACACTAACATCACCACAAACACATGAGTAATGCATTGCGCTACAACGTTATGATGGCTACAGCATTACTAGGCGATAAGAATTATTCAGCTTCATTATAGCCTCATGGGACCACTGTCCTATCTGCAATCCAACATGGACTGAAATGTCTTTATATGACACATGACTATAGCCGTTTTTGCAACTACATGAGGAGACATTAAGCCCAGTAACATGTTACATCCAAACCTGGTGGCAATTCAATTCCACAAACAATACTAAGCTCTGGTACTGAGCTTTACATACGTGAAAGTGTCAGGTTAAATATGATAGGGACATGCAGATAAAATCAGTTCTTTATACTCAGTGAGTTGGCACTGTCTCGGAAGATAAGGCAAGCATCAATAGATAGAGATGGGTTTCAAGGTGGAAGAGGTCCTACATTGTAAGGGAAGAGGAACTGAAAGTATTTCCTGGAGGAAATAAAAATTGAAGCAGATTTCGTGAAGCTAAAAACTCAAAATGGTGTTGATGATAATGATGATAAACAAGCAAAAAACAGAAACAGCTAAAATAATAAGGAATGTTTATTAAAGTATTACTTACAAATTCCAGTAATAATCCTATGAAGATCATATGATTAAGTCCTCGTAATGACATTGAGAGGAGGTACGCTTTCTTCATATTATGGTCAAGTACTGCTACAGCCCAGTGTGTTGAAATAACTTGTCTATAGCTACACAGCTAGCAGTGGAGTCAGGATTCATATCCAGGTTTATCTCATCCTAGAGCTTGAGCACTCATCTCACGTCTTGTCTCCTTGCCTTGGTCTAATGCTCCTTCTTCCTTCTCAATGTGTCCCATGCTCACCCTGTTCTGGGCTCTAGGGCCTCTGAAAGAAGGAAACTGTCCCGGCTTGCTCTGTCCTAGGACTCCAACAGTCATAACAGAGTTATATTGATGCTGACTATGCTGACAAAGTGGAGGTGACCCCACGAGGGCCAATGTCTTACCAAGGACTGGTCCAATCCAATAACAGAGCCGAAGGGTGGTCCCAGGGTATTCTGAAACCCCTTGCGGGTGGGAAATTTCTTCCCTGCTTCTTAATCCTTTACCTTGAGCTGTTAAGTATCACTTACGCTCTCAGCCAGTTGATGTAGGAGTCAACTAGTGGTGAATGCCCCACCAAATGATGCTGAGTCCATTTGTTTCAAATATTTAAGTAAGGGGAAGAACTAGAAAATCACTTCTTCATATTTTCTGAAGTGATAATACTTGTATTAGAATATGAATGGTGTTGAAAGTATGATGTCCAAGAATATGCCCTGAAAATCTTCCCAGTTTTTTATGTGCTAATCTTAAAATTCTTAAGGAGTGCTGACTACATTGTGACTATAATTTAGGTGTTTCTCTTGGGAAATTGCATTTTAACAAATATCTTTGAAATAATCTTGTTGTACTGTAGCATTCTGGTTATAAGATTTTCAAAGAACAATAGATTTATTAGACTAAGAATTTTGTGAATTAAATCAAGAGACTGTCATGAAAAATTGCAGTGTTTGGTTTTGTTCTTTAAAGACACTGAAGGCAAATAAGTCTTCACCTCTTCTGAGGTGACCACTTCCCCATAAAAGTTTACCTTCTCTGTTGATTGCTGAAACTTGAAGGTCTTCTGGTTTTCAGTCTTATTTTTATATGATTCTGTTTGTCATTTAATTGTTTCAGCTTAGAATTTGCCTGTGGGCCCTTTGAGTTGTGACAAAACAGCTGGCACATGACAAGTTGCTAGAGTTAACAGCCGCCCGTCACACTCCATTGCCAACTGTGACACCAATGATGAACGCAATTCCAGTTTAAAATGGACCCATTTTTTAACCTCGGAAAATTGTCTTTGTGATTTTGAGCTGTCAAGAGGAAAAGAAAATATCCACAGTAACCTATATCTAATTTGTCATTTCTTTAATGCTTTTCTCATACTGCTTTTTATTGATAACCAAAAGGTTATATAAATTAAAAATATAGATTTAAGAAGCATATGAAAAAGAAAGCACATTATTAAAGAACCACATGGAAAATATGGCACATTTTAAGGGAAAAATATGAATACCTTATCTCACACTTCCTAGGACATGAAATATCATAATAAACTAAGTAAAATACCATTACAAAGTAGACTATAGGACTGGGCATGGTGACACATACCTGTAGTCCCAGCTACCTGGGAATCTTAGGCTCAGGCAATCCTGAGCTGCAGTGCACTATATTCATGCCTATGAGTAGCTACTACACTCCAGCCTGGGCAATATAGCGAGACCCCATCCCTAAAAAAATCACATAAAATAAAAGTAGATTATATGTAAGAAGGTATTAAAGAAGGTTGCAAAATTTTAATCAGAATTTATATTATATTGTCATATTTAAGTCAAAGATTGCTACACTTGATGTCTTACAAGTCACCAAATATAAATCACTCATCCTTAAAGATTAAAGTTCAAACTTTCTAATACCCTATTGTGATTAATTGGAAATTAAACATCTAAGAATCTGTTCTGGTTTTTTTTTTCAGTATGAAACAAGCCTTCTACAAGAGTCCAGTAGAAAAGTAACACTTCACACAAAAAGTCATACTATCTTTACTACATGAGGATGAAAAGATAAATTTGAACAACACTGTAACAAAGCAAAAGTTAGAATTTGAGTGATATAGAAATAGAAAAATGAGAAAAGAACAAAAAGTAAATGACAAAGAAACAATAACAAAATGGAATGAGCCTTAAAAAATGACCAGATGTATTATGATTTAAAATATTCCCGTATAACCCCTTTGGTTTGTTCAAACTTTATTTTAAAAGTTAGAAACACTCAAATTCAATCATAAGGCAAAATTCCCAGTTACTATTTATAAGAAATATAGCTAATCCAACATGGTCCAGAAATAGAAGAAATGATGAGTTAAATAAGACACTACAGGCATAGAAAGGAAAAAATGAAGTAAAATAAACATGTCACGGTAAAAATTAGGGAAAGAATATATTCAATCACCACAGGGCTTACCTATACCGATAAAAGGTCCACTCCACCTTGAAAATATAGTAGCCATGCATATTGAAATACTGAGTAACTAAGATTAAAGTGAGAGGTTGTCCAAGATCACAGAGTGTATAAATCATAGAACTGGAACTTATACCACATTTCCTGTAGCTGAAAAGTTAATGCTCTTTCCAAGCTGATCAAGTTTTCAAAATATGGTTAGTCATGGATGCCCCAGTTAGATAAATTTCATTAACATGACTTCATGTGTGCACACTTTAAGGCTTCACGTGTAGCAGGACAACCTGTGATCATTTTTGGAGATTAAAAACACTATTACCACCAGCCAGCTGCAGTGCAAAATATGGAAATTTAGCCTCTGAGATCCTTTCCCATTTCTTTCTCGACCCCGAGTCCTCCTGTGCCCCCTCCAAATGCCCTCCTGTAATATTCCTTCTCACCAGGCACTCTCACTGGCTATTGTAAACTATGCTTTTTAGCACCATCTCTGCATCATCTCTTGTGCCCTTCATGAGAAAATTTTGTAAATGTTTTACCCTAGTCAACTACACCTAGGCAAGGAGAGACTCTTAGAACATCAGCTGGTGGCACAGGGCTGCTTTTGGTTCTCTGCAAATTCAAGGCTTCTTACTGTAGAATACAGATGTCCAGTCTGTTGGCTTTCTTGCCCCACACTGGAAGAAGAATTGTCTTGGGCCACACATAAAACATACTAACACTAACGAAAGCTGATGAGCTTTTAAAAATTTCAAGAAAAGCTCTTAGTGTTTCAAGAAAGTGT
The DNA here is from genome assembly GCF_000001405.40 of Homo sapiens. NCBI lineage: Eukaryota > Metazoa > Chordata > Mammalia > Primates > Hominidae > Homo > Homo sapiens. The sequence goes on along the minus strand of NC_000002.12, from coordinate 225,879,323 downwards.
ATGAATTTTTGTTGGGCTTCATTCAAAGCTGTCCTGGGCTCTATGAAACCCGTGGGTCATGGGTTGGACAAGCTTGCTCTAGAATGAGCAAAGGGGAGCCTGAGAAGCTGGGAAGGGAGAAGTCATTATTCCTAGCGTAGGACAGAGAAGGAGCTCACCTTTCCTGTGCTCAGTATATTAGGAAAACCAAAGTGAGTATGCACACTTCACTTGATCCCCAGAATGTTCCAACAGGTATTTCTTTCAGTATCTAAAGTAGCCACCCCCATCAGCCTAACCCCCTTAACTGCAAAAGTTTTTCTTCATATTATTTGTTTTCAATGTTACATATTTATTGTTTTAAACAGTCTTCCCTAATATGAGGGCAAGAATCATGTCTGTTTTGTTCACTGTGTCTCCAGGACACTGGCACGTAGTAGGGACTCAACAAACATTTGTGGAAGGAAAGTTGGAAAGAAGGAAGAAAGGAAGTGAGGAAGGAAGGGAGGAAGGAAAGAAGGAAGGGAGGGAGGAAGGAAGGAAGGAAGGAAGGAAGGAAGGAAGGAAGGAAGGAAGGAAAGGGGATGAAATGAAACAAAATGAAAATAAATGGAGAATCTATTTTTTCAGTGTGCTTTTCTGGAATAAGAGAAAATTCTAAGTTTCCACATAAAACTAATGATCTCTATTTTTCCACAATATTTTACTACGCTTTTTTAAAGTAATTAAGTTTGTTTTACATGTGAATGCCTTCCTGAATGCTTGCCTAAAAAGGAATCAAAACTAAATTACTTCTATAGCGGAGATATAGCTACCCTTACTAAGCAATCAGTTTCCTTTCACATGTTTTATATATAATGTCAAAGAATACTTCAAAAAAAAAAAACAAATTAACTTGAAACATCATGATAAGTGGTATTTTTCTGCCAGATGCTGAAGCAACCACTAAGAGCATTTCTTATCTTCTTTCTTATTGACATACACTTTAGGTTAGCTGTGTTCATGGCATGTACATTGATATAAAAACATGTTACCCTTGTGTAAAGGGTCAGTGAAGCACATGACTTTTGACAGGTAGCTGCCTTCAGTTTAGTTCTCTAACCATCTATAAAATACAGTAAATTTAAATTTTTATGCAAAACAATAAGGGGGTGGAGAGAAGTTAAATTGTTGATATTCATGTATCAGAATGTCTTCCAGATAATAGCAAAGATATTATTATAGCTTGTTCTTTTGCCCAGAGGGATTCAGCTACTTTATAAAATGATCCAATCAGTTTTCCCAGAATCTTTATTAAATAGCCAATGCCATTAGATAGCAAATGATTGATTTCTATTGGAATGCATCTTAAGGCACTTTTCGTTAATGGATGCTATTTACCTGGCCTCTTTAGGTTAAATTAACATAATATCATGTATTATAATCAGACAAAGTCCTTTTAATTCATATTTCTATCTAATGTGGTTTTCTAAATGCTTAATAAAGAAAATAAAATGTTAAAAATTACTAGGATGGTAATCAAAAACAGATTCATGTGAGATGAGAGAGGGTCCTGAGCTCCAGGTGAGGAACTCCCCCAAGTTGATACCTTGATTTCAGCCCGTGAGACCCTGAGCAGAGAACCCAGTGGAACTGTGCCTGGACTTCTGACCTGTAGATACAGTGATATAATACATGGATGCTAGGTTAAGCCATGAAGTGTGTTATTATTTCTCATGCTGCAATATAGAATTCTTTGTGTACATGAGTTTAATCCTACAGACTTTTGGATGTTTGACCATTTTTTGACGCATAAAATAATGGTAATTTCATAGAGTTCAATAACAAATAATCATGCTGATTAGCAATTTGTTGTAAGACTGAGACTCCTAGCAGCTAGAAGCCACTTGCAGTTGCCTGCCACGAAACCCTCCCCATAAGCAATTACATGGCAGTTTGTTTCCGCAAGGCCAGCGGCAGAATATGTCTACTTCTATGTACAACCTCTAGACCCTCTTTTAAAGGACTCACCTGATTGAGGAGTGGGGTTCACCTAATATAATCTCCTTTTTGATTAACTGAAAGTCAACTGATTTAGGACCCTAATTTCATCTGCAAAACTCTTTCACCTTTCCTATAATCTATTGGTTAGAAGCAAGTGACAGGTCTCACCCATACTCGAGGCAAGAGGATAACACCAGGAGGTGTGTCATTATCATTTAAATTACTCTCACTCAGAAACTGGTTAATTTGTTAATACAATGTGTCTAAGAAAATGATCTGTAATTAATTATCCAGAAAATCAAAGTCTGTTTGTCTCTATCTTTTTGTTTCTCTCTCTCTCCATAGTTCAGCTGCTATTTATTTTAGTCTGTATATGGCAAGCAGTTTTTCCCTTACACAACTTTGTTAGTTGTAGATAATTCTTATTCTTTACCTCTTCACTACTATAAAGTCTGTAACAATTTTATTGCTGAGATATGTGGGAATTTTGCTGATACACCTTCTGCTAAATGCCTGAGGCTACTTACTTATGCCCAGAGATATTTTGTCTCTTTACATGTTTATGGGGCTTTATATTTTGTTCACATTGCTTTGGTGTGCTTGCTTCCTTAATTCATTTATGTATTCAAAAATGTTTCAGGAGCCTACTCTGTGTCAAGGGAGATGAATATAGGCATCTCAAGAGTGGGGCTTAAAATCTAGTAGAGGAGACAGATATTAGTCAAATAATCATACAAAAATGGATAAATTGTGACTGCGACAATAGATATCAGAAAAAAAAAGTCCATGGCTTTACATTTGGACAATCTGCCAAATCAGAAAGTCCGGCTGTATTTCCCCGAGTTAAGAATGTTTGAAGTAGGTCTGAAAGGTGAGAAGAAGGGATAAGGCTAAGTGGAGGGAAATGAACATTATGCACATGGGGCAGGACATGTGCCAAAGCCCTGTGGTAGAAGGGAGTGTGATGAGGATGAGGGCCTGAGAGTAGCCTGGAGTGAAAACAAGGGTATAGGACAAGGCTGGAGGAGAAGCTGGGGACCAGATCCTACAAGTCCATATTAAGTTCCACTATTCTGAGAGCAATAGGACATTCATTCAAGAGTTTCTAGCAGGGGAAGTAGCGTGCTTCAATACAGTTTTATGCTGGGCAGTGCAAGAAATTAGAGGATATTCAAGGTGCCTCTGCTTAGATCAAGTAGGAGGCTATTTATGACCCATTCTGAGAAGGGATGATAGGTAGAACTAGGATAGAAACAAGGAGATCGACAAAACTGGATGGATTCAAGAGGCATTAGCAAGGTAATATTGATAGACTTGTTGATGGGTTGGATGTAAGGTGGCCAACTATTCCAGGTTTCCTGGAACTGAAGGAGATTGTGGAATATTAGTTTGGATGAAGGACTTTCAGCGCTAAAACTGGGAAAGTCCATGCCAAACCTGGCTGAGTTGGTCACCCTAGAAGGGAAAGTGGAGGGTGATTGTATCGGGCTTGAAAGTGCTTCTACCCATTTGGGCAGAGGAAATAATCTCCAGAGCTATCTTCCACTGGGAAAAAACTATGGGCATCGAGCAATTGTGTACGTTGTATTGATAAACATTTTCCAATAACTTCTTTCCTCTAACTTCTTAGTATTTTACTGCTCAACCGTTTTGTCTTCTCTTATCTGTGAGTTATAATTCATTCATTTATTCAGTCAATATTTTATGGAGCTTCTATTAAGCCTGTGGAGCTGAACATTCTAATTAGGATTCAAGGGAGGAGACAGGCATATATATTAGAATGTCAGATTGCAATAAGAATTATGGAAAATGATTCCCCATGATGAGGATTCCCAGGTGATATGGTTTGGCTCTGTGTCCCCACCCAAATCTCATCTAGGATAGTAGTCCTCATGTGTCAGAGGAGGGGCCTGGTGGGAGGTGATTGAATCATGGGGGTGGACTTCCCCCTTGCTAGTCTCCTGATGGTGAATGAATTCTCATGAAATCTAGTTGTTTAAAAGTGTGCAGCTTCCCCCTTCACTTGTTCTCTCTCTCCTGCTGCTATGTAAGACATGCCTTGCTTCCCCTTTACCTTCCGTCACGATTGTAAGTTTCCTGAGGCTTCCACAGCCATGTGGAACTATGAGTCAATTAAATCTCTTATCTTTTTGTATTACCCAGTCTCAGATAGTTCCTTATAGCACTGTGAAAATGGACCAATACACCACGAATAGTAGTGATTGAGAGTTTACTTTTTTTTTATTATACTTTAAGTTTTAGGGTACATGTGCACATTGTGCAGGTTAGTTACATATGTATACATGTGCCATGCTGGTGCGCTGCACCCACTAACTCGTCATCTAGCATTAGGTATATCTCCCAATGCTATCCCTTCCCCCTCCCCCCACCCCACAACAGTCCCCAGAGTGTGATATTCCCCTTCCTGTGTCCATGTGATCTCATTGTTCAATTCCCACCTATGAGTGAGAATATGCGGTGTTTGGTTTTTTGTTCTTGTGATAGTTTACTGAGAATGATGATTTCCAATTTCATCCATGTCCCTACAAAGGACATGAACTCATCATTTTTTATGGCTGCATAGTATTCCATGGTGTATATGTGCCACATTTTCTTAATCCAGTCTATCATTGTTGGACGTTTGGGTTGGTTCCAAGTCTTTGCTATTGTGAATAATGCCGCAATAAACATACGTGTGCATGTGTCTTTATAGCAGCATGATTTATAGTCCTTTGGGTATATACCCAGTAATGGGATGGCTGGGTCAAATGGTATTTCCAGTTCCAGATCCCTGAGGAATCGCCACACTGACTTCCACAATGGTTGAACTAGTTTACAGTCCCACCAACAGTGTGAAAGTGTTCCTATTTCTCCACATCCTCTCCAGCACCTGTTGTTTCCTGACTTTTTAATGATTGCCATTCTAACTGGTGTGAGATGGTATCTCATTGTGGTTTGATTTGCATTTCTCTGATGGCCAGTGATGATGAGCATTTTTTCATGTGTTTTTTGGCTGCATAAATGTCTTCTTTTGAGAAGTGTCTGTTCATGTCCTTTGCCCACTTTTTGATGGGGTTGTTTGTTTTTTTCTTGTAAATTTGTTTGAGTTCATTGTAGATTCTGGATATTAGCCCTTTGTCAGATGAGTAGGTTACGAATATTTTCTCCCATTTTGTAGGTTGCCTGTTCACTCTGATGGTAGTTTCTTTTGCTGTGCAGAAGCTCTTTAGTTTAATTAGACCACTGCTCAAGGAAATAAAAGAGGATACAAACAAATGGAAGAACATTCCATGCTTATGGGTAGGAAGAATCAATATTGTGAAAATGGCCATACTGCCCAAGGTAATTTATAGATTCAATGCCATCCCCATCAAGCTACCAATGACTTTCTTCACAGAATTGGAAAAAACTACTTTAAAGTTCATATGGAACCAAAAAAGAGCCTGCATCGCCAAGTCAATCCTAAGCCAAAAGAACAAAGCTGGAGGCATCACACTACCTGACTTCAAACTATACTACAAGGCTACAGTCACCAAAACAGCATGATACTGGTACCAAAACAGAGATATAGATCAATGGAACAGAACAGAGCCCTCAGAAATAACGCCACATATCTACAACTATCTGATCTTTGACAAACCTGAGAAAAACAAGCAATGGGGAAAGGATTCCCTATTTAATAAATGGTGCTGGGAAAACTGGCTAGCCATATGTAGAAAGCTGAAACTGGATCCCTTCCTTACACCTTATACAAAAATCAATTCAAGATGGATTAAGGACTTAAACGTTAGACCTAAAACCATAAAAACCCTAGAAGAAAACCTAGGCATTACCATTCAGGACATAGGCATGGGCAAGGACTTCATGTCCAAAACACCAAAAGCAATGGCAACAAAAGACAAAATTGACAAATGGGATCTAATTAAACTAAAGAGTTTACTTTTTATTTCTAAATAGTGTGTCCGAGAAAAGCCTAACTACAAAGGCAGCAATTTGAGCAAAGCTCTAAAGCACGTGAATGATTAGCCTACTACATGGAGAGGAGCATTTAATTAGAGAAGAAAACAATACTAATTCCTGAGGCAGGAATCTGCCTGGAAAATTTGAGGGCTTACAAGGAAATCCCAGGGTTCAAGCATGACAGCAATGGGCTATCCATAGGATATGAAGGGCAGGGTGATACCGTGCATGCAGATTGCACAGTTCATCCTGATGAGCTGTCTTGACGGAGGCCACAAAGAGTACAAACTATACTAGGTCATTTTCTTTTTAGTAATACCATCAGTGCTTGTCTAAACCAGCTCTACACTTGATTATTGAGGATATGGTGATTTCTTTCTGCCTTTTCGGCTTTGCTCCAAAATGATATTTAACCTATAAGCTGAGTCTTTTCTTCTTTTCTTCTCTCTTACTTTGTGTGTGCATGTGTGTACGTGTGTGTGTGTTTAAGATGGCAGAAAAGGGACAAATGTTTATTATGGATTTCTACATGCAAGGCACTATCCTAGGCAATTTTCATGCATTTATTTTCATAAATTAGAATAGTTACAAAATTATCACAATATTAGAGATGAATAAGCTAGGAGTCCAAAAGGTACTAGTACGCACTTGCAGAGTAGAGTTTCATATGCAAACCTTTGTATGGTACTAGATGATGCTATGATTAATTTCACCTATGATGTATATGATGCTAAAAATGTTCAAAGGCAAAATCAGTGAATAGAGAGAGCTAGCTTTCTTAATAGGTATAAAGGCGCATATTGGTGGGTAAACAATTTTATCTGGCATATGGTTCAATGTGCCAATGAAGTTCAGACTTGAATAAGGAAAAATAAAATGCAAGCTATTAAAAAGTTGGGAATCTCTGCAAACCAAGGGTATTAGTCTATTTTCATGCTGCTAATAAAGACATACCTGAGACTGAGTAATTTATAAAGGAAAGAGGTTTAATGGACTCACAGTTCTGCATGGCTGGGGAGGCCTCACAATCATGGTGGATGGCGAAGGAGAAGCAAAGGAATGTTTTATATGGCAGCAGGCAAGAGGGCTTGTGCAGTGGAACTCCCATTTGTAAAACCGTCAGGTCTCAGGAGACTTACTCTCTACCATGAGAATGGTATGGGGGAAACCACCCCCATGATTCAATTATCTGCATTCAACCCACCCTTGACACATGGGGATTATTCCAATTCAAGGTGACACAGCAAAACCATATCACCAAGGAATAGAACCTTTCACATTGTGGGGATTCATTGGAAAGGGGAGTGGTCATGAGAAAGGCTCAACCCACAAGCCTTAGTGGTCCTTTAACTCGGGCAACTCTAAGTCAGTGCTTTTAAAATTTTATCTGTTTTTCTCTCTGTTTATCATTAATACATTTTATCATTAATACATTTTTGTTAACATTAATACATCTTTATTAAGTTAGTTCATTTCTGTTAAGTTAGTTTCTTTGATGAACTAACTTGTCAGGATGATCACTGATAGCTTAAAAAACATTGAAATCTTACATCCTGACTGTGGTGGCAATTTCAAAAATAGCCCTATGTGACAAAGTTACACACACACACACACACACACACACACACACCCCTACAAATAAGTGCACATAAAACTGTGAAATCTGAATAAATCAGTGGATTGTACCAAGGTTAATTCTCCTGCTATGATATTATACTAGAGTTATGCAAGAAGTTTTCATTGGAGAAATTTTGTGAAGGGCGGAGGGATTTCTCTGTGCAGATGCTCCTCAACTTACAGTGGGGTTACAGCCCAATAAACCCACTGTAAGTTGAAAATATTTTAAGTCAAAAATAAATTTAATACACTTAACCTACCGAACATTATAGCTTAGCCTAACCAAATTAAACATACTCAGAGTATTTATATTAGTCTACAATTAGGCAGGATCATGTAACAGAAATCCCATTTATTTATTTATTTATTTAGAGACAGAGTTTTGCTCTTCTTCCCGAGGCTGGGGTGCAATGGCATGATCTTGGCTCACCGCAACCTCCACCTCCTGGGTTCAAGTGATTCTCCTGCCTCAGCCTCCTGAGTAGCTGGGATTACAGTCATGTGCCACCACGCCCAGCTAATTTTGTATTTTTTTGTAGAGATGGGGTTTCTCCATGTTGGTCAGCCTGGTCTCGAACTCCCGACCTCAGGTGATCTGCCTGCCAAAGCCTCCCAAAGTGCTGGGATTACAGGCATGAGCCACCACACCCGGCCCACAAAGAGCCTATTTCATATCTCACACAATTTATTGAATACTGTACTAAAAGCATATCGCTTTTACACCATTGTAAGTTAAAAAAAATCATAAGTGGATCCATCATGATTCAGGGACTGTCTGTATTGCATTCAATTGCATGTAAATATACAATTACCCCAAAATAAAATTTTAATAAATTATTAAATCTTAGAAACCAACATTAAAGAATATTGTTGGAATCAGACTTGACAACAAAAACTAGCAGAGGCATTTTAATGTTCCAAGGATATGACTTTTAATTTGTTGGCCAATATGTCTTTTGTTTAAATTAAATTAAAAATAACATTTACCAGAGCAACCAATAGAGAAGGGTTTTGTTCCTTTCCTTGGTCATGTATGACAGTGATGGAATATTTTTGTTTGCAACTAATTGTTCCCAGTAGACATTTTCTTTCTTTTTGACTATATTATACATATATTAATTCTATATGCACATCTAATATGCTTACTGAAACATAAAGGAGCTCTTTTTTTACTTCTTTTTAAATTCTTTTTGAAGTATCCATAGAAACTTAAAGTATAATAGAAAATAAAATAAATAAAATAAAATAAAGTATCCATAGAAAAGGAAAAATGAGCATAGGCAATAAATGTGTGGTTTGTGAGTTCACATCTTTAAAAATGAAGCATGTTATAAATTTAATATGTAAAATACTTTTTAACATGATGTCAATCAACCCATTTTAAATTCCAAAACCACAGAATATTCTTTATCTGATACTAAAACAAGTACCCTTTAGGTAGGTATATAGCTTGAATGTTGCAGTGGTTAATTTTATGTGTTAATTTGACTGGGACGAAGGGTGCCCAGCTATTTGGTCAAACAATATTCTGGGTTTGTTTGTAAGGGTATTGTGGATAAGACTAACATTTGAATTGGTAGAGTGTGAAACGAAAATTTCTCTCCCTGTGTGTGTGGGCCCCATTTAATTAACTGAAGAACTAGATAGAACAAAAAGATTGGCCCTTCTATGAGTAAGAGGAAATTTCCTTCTGTTTGACTGCTACAAACTGGGGCATTTTTTCATGCCTTCAGACTCAAATGGAAATAACCACTCTTTTTGGGTCTCAAGCCTGATGGCATTTGGACTAGAGCTACACCATAGACTCTCCTGGGTCTCCAGCTTCCTGACAACAGATCTTGGGACTTCTCAGTCTCCATAACTAAGTGACCCAATTCCTTATGATAAACTATGTATCTGTATATCCTATTTGTTCTATTTCTTTGGAGAACCCTGACTGATACAAATATGTACTATATGTAGGTAATATTAAATTCTTAAAGGTAAAAACATATAAGCTTTTCTGTATATATGTGTACATTTATTTCATATACTATGTCCTTCTTGATGTTCTGCTCACTATACCAACAATACATAAAATAATGAGCATGAAACAAGTATGGCAGAAATTTAATCCCCATCCTAAAGCAATTTTCATTTTAAAAGAACAGATATTTTGCATGAAGTAGGAAGCAAATGTAGACTATATATATAATTTATATACATATATCACATATATCATGTATATACATATATATCACACATATGAATACATATATACTATAAGTTTTTAGATATAAATTTACATGTATACATAAAATGCTTAAAAATGTGATACAAATCAAAGATATTGCCAGATTAAAATAATATTTGATAGGAAAGTCTTCCAGATGAACAAATAATAAAACTAACTAAAGTGGTTAACTAGAAAACTACAATAAAACTAGAAAACAAATTACTTTCACAAATTATTTCATCAGTTGTCTGAAATGATGGAAGACCTGGAGTTGTGACTGAGGGAGCTTGAGAAATGGAAGTCAGAGAGCATTCCAGCCCGATTAACTTGTAAGATAGAAATGTGGTTTCAGGAACCAGCAGATAGTGGAGGTAGCCAAGGAAGGTGTGGAGGGAGGGCTGATAATACGAAGGGGAAGAAACAAGATGGTATTTAAAATGCCACAGAATACATCACTAAAACTCTATACTCAGCCTCTAGAATGGCTTCACCACAGAGTAAAACTACAGAAGACTGTTTGAGCAGTTTTTGCTGGAATATTCTGAATATTAACGACCTAAGTGAGTGCCAGGTGCCTATCAGCTGAGCATCACATCTGGTTCTGATTATTAACATGTCCTTATCTGTTACCATTCTTGGATAGTGAGTACTACCGGGGGCTTCATGACTTCTTAGTCTTTGAGTTGGGATTTTAAAATACCTGGGTGTTGGCGGGTGGTTCTCTCACTCTACATGTAGCACACTGAGATGCAGAGAGTTTATTTATTAGCAAATCTGCTTACTGAGAGCCTAGAGAGAAGCTTTTCAGAAAGTCCAGAAAAAAGGAATGCAAAATTGTAAAGGCACGGAATGTTCTGATGTGCATCCACAAAGTATACTTTCCTAATTTATTGAAGGCAAATTAAACTGCCTGCCTCCAGTGCTCCTGAGGCTGTGGTAGAGATTGTGACTTCAAGGTACAGTGATCACAGCTCCATGGTTACTAGGATGCAGGATCCAGCAAGCCAGAGAAGAAAGCAGCTACCTTTCTGCTGGAAGAAAAACCAAAACCTCCGGGCAATGATGATTGTTAATACTGGAACTGGATTTTAGATTAAATGGTGTAATCTAATGGAGGTCTTTATAAGCAGAAGCAGGTTTAATATGTACAGGAGAGTACATATTAAATAAGGTAGACTATAAATTAAATGACTCTTGTAAGTTTTTACCATGGCCAATTTAGTTTCAATTATTGATAATATAAAAAGCCCAAATTAATGTATATGATAGAAATAGACCACTGTTGCTCACTCCTTGATCTTGTTTGTGGCTCTCAGTTACCTACAATTTATAGTCACATTTCATCAGCATAGACAGATATCCTAACCTGTTTTTCCAACCTTCTAAACTCTCCCCCAAACTTACTTTCTTCTCCAACACCACATATCCACTCTATAATAGCATTCTTAGTTGCTTAATAATTAGTTCTTTATATTGTATGTTCATGTTGTTTCTTGGTAGCATTAGAGATTGAATTTGTATTTCATGATGCAGCCTTAGCCTTTATTCTCTCTTCTCTTGATACTTCTAGTCCCAAATTCCAGCTTACGTCCTCAGGGAAGGTCCTAATTCCCCACTGTCCGTGATTCTATGTAATTCTTATGTCACTTATTTTCATGATGTCTTTGAGATATCTGCATACCTCTCTTAACAGTGAACTGCACAAAGGCAGGTAAAGACTATATTTTGCTCATCTTCCAATTATTGTTTAATAACCATGATGCATATATAAAAGCATTAGCATGATGTATATTTTCAAAGAGTTGCTTAATTGCATATGCATATTCAATATGCTTATTGGCACATTCTTTCAGAACACCTCCCGGATAACCCACATCATTTGGCAAGGTAAATCATAAATTCTACTGTGGAAGTGTCCGTGACTTTTTCTCATTCTTTCTAATCTGAGTGTCTAAGGCTTCCATAATTTTTACCTAGATTTGAAAAAATTGTCTTCTAACTAGTTTACATGTCTTCAGAGATTCCTGTTTTTAATACATCTTTTACAAAGTTATCATAGTTATTATTTTCAGGTGATTAAGATGTATCCCTGTCTTGTTCAAACAAACAAACAAACACAAATAAACTTTGATGTGTTTTCAGTAGATAATCAGCAAAGGAGAGATTGATGACTGGGGACGCAATGAACTAAAAAGTTAAATCAGACTTACTGGCAACCAGTGAAAGTAAGGATAAGCCTTGCTGGCAATATTCCCATCAGAACATAAATGATGCTCAAACCAGGACACAGACAAAGCCATGGTACTATCACAACATGACTACACATTCCTCACTTCTGACCAACGTGAGTAATTGCTGGTTTTTTTTTCCATTACAACACGAGCCCCATTTTGATCTTCCCACTGCAGCGACACATTTATTAAGATACCCAGTCACAAACTAGCCTCTGTTACTTCACAGCGCCCTATTCAGAACTGACTTTGTCTTCCCTAATTCCTTCTTAAAGTCACTGGACATAAATCCAAGACTTATAAAGGGTCCCTCCTTAATCCCACTCCATAGTCCTGTCAACTTTCCTTTGGAATGTGTTCACCATTGTTGCAGTCAGATAAGTAAACCTAACTCTGTTTAGCTACAGCAATGCTCCTGGTGGACTTTGTTTGTTGAACCTTGATGGACACATTAAGAACCTTACAATTACAAGTTATAATTTCACCCTCCCATCCCAGGGTACTTTCTATTCCCACAGAGATAGTCATGGTCCATAATGAGACTTAGTCCTGATGAAAGAATATTACTCATGGGTGGTGTTTGCAGGCAGAAAGGGTCAATCAATCTACAGAAATAGTAAGCACGGTATTTAAGGCACTTGGTCAGTTATCAAAAACTCCACCTTTCTGTCCTCTGGTCATGGATCTTAAGACTTCGCCATATCAAAAATATGCTCTTCCCTCACACATGATATACTTTTTTATATGATATTGCCATGCACATTCTCTCCTTTACCAATTTCATCACCAATTCTCTATGTGTTGACTCTCCGTGTAAAGCCCAGCACAACTCTCATCTTTTCTGGGAAATTGTCTCCAGTTCCAACATTCAGAAGGACCCACCTTTTCTTTTAGATCCCATAGCACTTTAGACTTTGTGTATATATCCATTTCCTGGTATGGATTATGAGCCCTTTGGGGGTTACGAGCCCACAATTTTTTATTATTGCCCAATATAGTTGCTTGACTATAGGGCTGCTCAATATGTATTTCATGGATTTGCCTCAGAGGCATTGACCCATATAACCAAATTCCAAGACACTAGTTAATAATCCAGGATTCTAAGTTAGCATTTCAACATAGGAGTCACATCTGGCTTGAAAACTTGAAGTCTAGCTTCCCAAACCATTTTTGATAGGAAAGTTGCCTGAGGAGGCCAAAAGATTATTTACATATTCATATGCAAATATTACCATGGAGCACCATGCTACAAAGGAGATGAAACTTTTTGGAATTCCGGTTCTAATAGATCGTATGATATCCTAATGTACAGTCTTCTTCCACTCAGGAATATTGCTAGGGAAATAACTGCTGCATTCAGCCAAAAACCAGATCATTTGCTTCCCTGAGAAAATTAGAAAAACACTAATGTTCTTGATCTTGTGACCCCACCACTCTAGAAGATTGAATTTATTTGGTTGAACCACGTAACATTTCCATTTTTTGGTCAAAAATGATCAAATATCATCAACACCATATGGTCAAAACCAATATATACTTCCTAACTCTAAACTGTGCCATGACAATTGAGCTGATTAACTTGCAGCTTCTTTTTGTTTTATTTTACTTTGGATGATGTGCTTTCATCATGAAGACTGAACTTAGTTGTTCCCTATCTCCTTAGCAACAGATACACACATCATTGCATAATGAGGATTCTTCCTGCAGATGGTGAATCTTAACCAGTTTATTTTTACAGGTTCAAACCAAGAGTTATTTTTTTTTATCTTGGCCTTAAATTCACTAATAAGACCAAAACCACCAGACTGACTATAGTTACCATTTTAGATACTTTAATCATAGTGCTGATGTAGGAATATATTATTAAAGTTTAAAAATTGGATCTAATCGTGATGCACAATGCACTTTACTGCAGCAAATCTATCCTAGGTCACTGCCCACATAATATAGTCTTTTTATAAAATATCAAATAGGGCTTGTTCCGATTAAAAATTATTTCACACATATAGTGATCTCACAGCATGCATACTAAGAACGGAGCTGTAGACAGCGATCAGTGTACTAGTCCAAGATGGTTGGTAATATCAACATTTAAAAAATCCTGTATAACAATGTTTGTAACACTAAGTGGTACACTTTACCTATTGTTGGAAATTTAATTTTTCTAAATTGTACCACCTGGGAAATATTGCCACTTAGGAAACTGATTACCACTTAGGTATCTTAACATTTACAGATTTCCTTTATTTAATTTATTTGCTATTTCTTTCTCCTTTCCTCCTTAGAAATCCTTGGCTCAAACATTTCAGTTTATTTTTCATCAATTATAACTGTAAGTTGAAAGGTGACAGAAAAGTCGGTATAAGCAAGTGAGATGGTGAAAGAACAGGAAGTCCTAACTGACATATTGATGGAAAATGATGAACAAAACATCAATATACAATGCGAAATAAAAAATGGGAGTCTTAATTACTTTGTAAGCAACTGTGCTGCCAATAATATCCCAGCTTCCCACAGTCCACATCAGCACATTTTAAAATATATTTCATTTTTAGTTTTTGTGGGTACATAGTAGATGTATGTATTTATGGGGTACATGAGATATTTTGATACAGGCATGTGATGCATAATAATCACATCATGGAATATTGGGTATCCATCCCCTCAAGCATTTATTCTTGTGTTACGAGCAATCCAGTTATACACTTTTAGTTATTTTTAAATGTACAATTACATTATTTTGACTACTGTCACATCAGCATTTTTCAAAGACTCATATATTTAAGTTTTTGGAAGTTTTTTTTTAAATAAAACATTAAAAACTGGTTTTAGATTTATAGAAATCTTGTGAAGAAAGTACAGAGTTACCAGCTATCTCACACCTTGTTTTCCTTTTTTTTAACATCTTAAAGTAGTATATTTTCACAAGTAATAAACCAATCATAATAGGTTATTATTAACTAAAGTCCATATGTAATCTGTTCTTCCTGTTTTATTTATTTATTTAATTTATTTATTTATTACCCTATGTCATTTCTCTGTTACAGAAACCCATCTGCAATACTGGATTAAATTTAGTTTTCATGCTTCCTTAGGCTTTCCTCCACTGTGACAGTTCCTAGGACTTTCCCTGTTTCTGACGATGATAGTATTGAGGAGTATAGGTCAGATACCTTGCGTAATGTTCCCAATTGGGATTTGTCTGCTGTTGTTCTCATGATTAGGCTGCATTGTTTTGAGAAATAAGTGCTATTACATATTATCAGCTTGATTTATTGATGGTGAGTTCATCTTGATCGTTGACTGAGTGAGAGTTTGTCAGTTTTCTCCACTGTAAAGTTACTTTGTGTCTTAGTTCATTTTGTGCTGCTGTAACAAAATACAGAAGACTGGCTAATTTACAATAAATATAAATGTATCAGCTTATAGTTCTGGAGGCTGGGAAGTCCAAGATGGAGAGGCCAGCACCTAGCAAGTGCCACTTGTTGCATCATCTCATGACAGAAAGACAAAAGAGAGTGAGAGAAAGGTGGGGGAGGAAGAAAGCCAAAAGAGAAACCCATTTCTGCAATAATGGTATTAATCCATTCAGGAGGGAAGAACCTTCATGGCCTAATCACCTCCTAAAGTCTCACCTCTTAGTACTGTCAAATTGGAAATTAAGTTTCCAACACATGAACTTTGGGGGACACATTCAAATCACAGCACTTCTTTATCCTCTTTCTGTATCGTACTCTTTAAAAGGACATGACTATGTGCAGTCTGCACTTAAGAAGTGGGGCGTTTAGTGTGGGCCCTTCTTGAGAGCATAGTACTTACATCAATTATTTATAATGATTCTGAGTAGGAGGTTTGTTCACACTCCTCCATGAATTTGTTTATTCAATATTTTTTGTAAAAGTCTAGACTCATGGCTATTTACTTTTTACTTTGGTTTTAATCCAATACTACATTATTTATCTTATTGCTAAAATTATTCTAGCTTTGGCCACTGGAAGCTCTTTTACTTGGCTCCTGTATCCCTTTGACATAGCCCATCATATATCATATGTGCATTTGCGTGCATGCACATGTGTGTGTATGTGTATTTTTTGAAAGCACTTCATCACTTTTTCTGGCACTGCAACATGCTCCAGGCTCATTTTGTGTACTCTCTAATCCAGATCTAGAATAAATAATTTCTCAAGGGGTCCTTGGTTCTTTTTTGTTGAAGAATGGTATTAGAAACCAAGATATGGTCAGAAGTTGTGCTCATTGCTACTGGATCATAATTGCTTCCAGACACCTTTAGCTGAAAGAGCAAGGAAATACATATGTGTATACTAGCTCATTTACTTACACATATGTATTTTTTCTATATATATTCTTTGTGTATTTACATTCTATAACTGTATATTTATAGAATATATATTTCTATATTGATATATCTATATTTATATTAAGTTAAACATGTTTATATTGATGTTTCCAACACTTAATGCATTACCACATGCATTATACTAGTTTCTTTCTTTTGCTCATCTGTAACCCTCCACTCCAGCATGAGAAACCTAACTCCTACCATGTGCCATTTTTTAAGCTAATTGTTCAGTTCCTGCATATGTGCACAGTGGTTTCAGAATTGTTTACTGATATATCCCCATGGGAAATAACTTTATCAAACAAAGTGCAATATTTATGTCCCTTTACTCTTTGTTCTATAGTCTCCATTCATTTTCAGTGTCACTTAGAACTCTTACCCCCAACCCCTTCAGAGAGATTATTTACAGCATTTATAATATAGTCCCATGCTTTTGTCACAGTCTGCCTTCCATTTGGGATCCCCCAACCTGCTAAATGAAAATTTAAATATGTATATATTAAGGTTAATTTTTTCACTGTGTAGTCTTATGCGCTTTAACAAATACATAGTGTCATGTACCCAACATAATGGCATACAAAACAGTTTTACTGATCTAAAAAGTCCGCTATGCTCTATTTATTCAACGCTTTCTTCTACCCAAGTCCTTGGCAATCACTGTTATTTTCTCTGTTTGTATAATTTTACCTTTTCCAGAATGTCATAAAAGTGGAATCCTGCAGAATCCAGTGTTCAAAATGACTTCTTCAGTTTATAAATATACTTTTAATATGCATCTATAATTTTGCATAGCTTAGTGGCTCACCTCTTTTTATTGTTGAATAGTATTCCATTGTATAGATGTATCACAGTTTACTGAATAACATCTTGAACAACATATTGAAAAACATCTTGAATAAAACTGCTATAAACTTTTGTATGCAAGATTTTATATGGGCATAAGTTTTTTAATTAACTTGGTAAATACCTAGGAACACAATTGCTGGATTATGTGGTAAGACTGTGTTTTACTATGTAGCAAACTGCCAAACTGTCTTCCAAAGTGACTGTACTGTTTGCATTCTACCCAGAATAAATGAGAGTTCCTGTTACTCTGCATCCTTGCCAGTCATAATTATTATCAAGTTTCAGGGTTAAACCATCCCAATAAGTATTTCTCAGCATTTCATTGTTGTTTTAATTTGCATTTCTCTAATGACAAATTATATTGAGCATTTTTTTGTGTGTCCTTGTTTGTCCTCTGTATATCTTCTTTGGTAAAGCGTCTATCCAGATATTTGGTTGGGTTATGTGGCTTCTTATTGTTGACATTAAAGATTATTTACATATTCATGTACAAGTCTTTTTTCAGAAATATATTTTGTCACCATTTTCTCATAGACTGTGGCTTATCTTCTTCTCACAACAGTTTCTTTCACAAATGTGAATTTTAAAATTTAATAAAGTCCAAACTATCCATTTTTATTTTATAAATGGTTACAAAATTTTGTGTTATACAATTTTGTGTTGTATCTAAAAATCCATCACCAAACTGAAAGTCAACTACACTTTGTTATGTTTTCTTCTAAAAAAAAGTATAGTTTTAACATTTACATCTGTGATCTATTTCCAGTTAATGTTTGTGCGATATGCAAGGGCTATGTCTAAGTTCGTTTACTTTTTAAATTTTTATTTATGCATGTGGATTCCAATAGTTCCAGCACCATTTGATTAAGAGACCATCTTTTCTCCATTGAATTGCCTTTGCATCTTTGCCAGTTATTTGAATCTCTTTGGGTCAATTTGTTGGGTTCCTTTGATTTAAAGGTCTATTGTTTCACTATTACCACTGTGTCTTGATTATCATAGCTTAATAGTATGCCTTGAAGTTGAGGTGTAAGTTGCCAACTTTGTTCTTCTTTTTCAAAATTGTGGTTGTTATTCCAGTTCATTTGCCTTTCCATATTAATTTAAGAATCAATTTGTTGATATCTACAAAATATCTTTCAGGAAGTTTGATTAGGATTACATACATTCTATAGGTCAATCTGGGAAGAATCAACATCTTAATATTGAGTCTTCCAGTTTATGTACAAGGAATTGTCCTCATTTATATAGATCTTCTGCGATTTCTTTCATCAGTGTTCTATAGTTTTCTAATGATATGGTTTGGCTGTGTCTCTACCCAAATCTCATATTGAATTGTAACTTCTGCAATCCCAATGTGTCCTGGGAGGGACCCGGTGAGAGGTAATTGAATCATGGGGGCAGGTTTTTCCCATGCTGTTCTCATGATAGTGAATAAATCTCATGAGATCTGATGGTTTCATAAAGGGCAGTTCCTCTGTACACGCTCTCTTGTCTGCCACCATGTAATATGTGACTTTGCTCCTCCTTTGCCTTCTGCCATGATTGTGAGGCCTCTCCAGCCATGTGAAACTGAGTTCATTAAGCCCTTTTTCCTTTATAAATTATCCAGTGTTGGGTATTTCTTCATAGCAGTATGAAAATGGACTAATTCATCTAAAAACAGATTTTTGCACATATGTTGATATATTTGTACCTAGACACCTTATTTTGGTGCTATTGTAAATGATATGTAATTTAATCATATAATTGTTCAATGCTTGTATATAGGAAAGCAGTCTAGTTTTGTATAGCCTTCTTTTATGTTATACTCACTTATTAATTCAAGAAGTATTTATGTAGATTCTTTGAAACTATCTATATAGACAATGTTATCATTGTCAAATAATGATAGTTTTGTTTCTTTCAAATCTCTAATTTTTTTAAGTTAGCCTGGGGCTTCCAGTATGATATTGAATAACAATTGTCAGAGAGGATATCTTTCCCTAGTTTCCAATCTTAGAAGGAAAGCATCCAGTCTCTCACCATTAAATATATTACTTGTAGAGATTGTTGTTCTTGATAAAGTTGAGAAACTGCTCCTCTATTCCTAGGTTGCTAAATGATTTTTCATGAATGGATATGAGATTGTATTGAATGGTTTTCTCATGTCAGTTAATATAATCATATAACTTTAACTTTTCTTCTTTAGCCTGTCAATAGACAAAGAACATTAATTTCTGAAAACTGAACTAGCCTTACATACCTAAATAAATCTTTCTTGGTTGTGATGTAAATTTGTATGCATTGTTGGACTCAATATACAAAAATTATAGCAGATAATTTTGCATCTATATTCATGGTAGTTATTGGTCTATAATTTTATTTTATTTTTTCTTGTAAAGTCTTTGTCTTGATTTTAGTGTTAGGGTAATGCTGAGCTTAAAGTATGAGTTAGGAAGTATACCCACTGGTTCTATTGTATGGGACAAATTGTGAAAAACAGTGTCTTTTTTTTTTTCCTTAAATGGTGGGTACAGTTCAAGAGCAAAACCACCTGGGCCTGATGGATTTTTTTTCTTTAGTTTTTAAATCACTTATTTGTAGTGTAAATATTAGCCTAATCGGGTTATCAATTTCTCTTTGTGTGAATTTTGGTATTTTGTGTGTTTCAATAAATTGGTTCATTTCATTTAAGTTCCACTAAGTTATCAAATATGTGGGTATAGAAATGTTCATAGTCTTGTCTTGTCTTTTCTTTGTTTGAGACAGGGTCTTGCTCTGTCAACCAGGCTTGAGTGCGCTGTTGGCTCACCACAGCCTCAACCCCCCAGACTCAATCGATCCTCCCACCTCAGCCTTCTGACTAACTAGGACTACAGGCACAGGTCACCATGTCAGGCTAATTTTTGTATTTTTTGTAGAGATGAGATCCCCCTGTGTTGCCCAGGGTAGTCTTGAACTCCTGGGCTCAAACGATCAGCCTCTCAAAGTGCTGGGATTACAGGCATGAGCCACCGTGCCTGGCCAGTATTTTCTTATCCATTTTATGTTTTTACTATCCATGAGATCAGTGTGGATGGCTCATCTTTCATTTCTACTTTTGATTATTGTGTTTTCTCTCTTTTATTCACTATCAGCTAGAGTTTTATTAATTGTTTTATCTTTGCAGTGAACTAGATTTTGTTGATGTTCTTTACTGTTTTCTTAATTTCAATTTCATTGATTTCTGCTCTAATTTTTATTTCCTCCATTTTGATTGCTTTTGGCTTAATTTGTCCTTTTTTTCTCTTATTTCTTAAAGTTATAGCTTAAGTTATTGATTTAGGATTTTTCTTATTATCTTCTTAATTAATATATACATTATATATATATTTCCCTCTGAATACTGTTTTCACTGAATCCCACAGATTTTGATAAGTTGAATTTTCATTCATTGAGTTCAAGATAATTTTTACCTTTCTTAAAATTTCTTATTTGACTTATGGGTTATTCAGAACTGTATTTTTAAATTTCCAAATATTTGATGATTTTCCAGCTACCTTTCTGTTATTCATTTCTTTTTTAATTCCAATGAGTTCTAAGAACATATTTTATATGATTTATTGTCTCTTAAATTTTTAAAGATATGCCCATGGCCCAGAATATGGTCTATGCAATTGTTCCATGTGAACCTGAAAAGAGTAGATGTTCTGCTGTTGCTGAAAAAAGTGTTCTATAAGTGATAAATTTGAAATATTCTGATGCCTACACTACATGTTAAGCTGTATAGAATTATTGTAAGGCAGACCAGGATAAGTAAGTAGTATATATTGTAAGTTGTAGCACAAACACTTGTTTTTTTAAAAAATATATAATTGATAATCTGAGAGAGTAGATAAATTGGAATCATATAAAGTGCTTACTAAAACCAGGGAAAGTGAGAAAAAAATTTAGGAGGAAGAAACAAGGAGCATATGGAATGAATAGAAAGCAGTTACAAACATGGTAGATATTAATCCAACTATCTCAAATTCATCCCAAGTGTTGTTATAACATTGCACTCATTGATTTCACTTATCCACGTGACTATAAACACAAAATACAATGCTATTGTTATTACTTTGAACAAGAAGTTGTCTTTTAAATCTGTTAAGAAAATTGAAAATAAGACTTTATTTTACTTCCTTATTACTTTTTCAATGTTCTTCCTTCCTTTCCATAGATACGGATTTCTGACATATACCGTTTTTCTTTGGCCTGAAGAAATTCTTTTAAAATTTCTTCCAGGAAAGGTATGCCAGAGTTAGAGTTGTTTTTGTTTGTCTAAGAATATATAATTTACTTCACTTTTGAAGAAAAATGTTGCTGAATATAGAATTTTAGTTGATTTGTTTTCTAACTCTTGAGATACTTCAGGCTAGTCTCTTCTTGCTTGCATGGTTTCAAATAAAAATTCACTCTAGTTCTTGTCCTTGTTTTACTGTAGTTAAAGTGTTTATTCCTTCTGGATTCTTTAAAGAATTTCTCCCTGACTTTGATTGATTGTAGTTGGAATATGATATACTTAGGTTGTTTTGTTGGTTTGACTATTTTTTGGTATTTATAATTTTGGTGTTCTCTGAACTTTCTGAATATATAGTTTGGGGCTTGTCATTAATTTTGCAAATTTCTTAACCATGATTGCTTTGTCTCATCATATTGTGTTTTCTTTTCTTTTGTGGCATGACTTTTAATTTTCTTGTTGAAACCTGAACATACTCTTTGGATTACAGGGAAGTAAACTTGCATTTATTGTGAGGATATTTGTTACTTTGGCTAGATGTTAGGTTGCATTTATACAGTGTTGTAGTTACATATATATAAGGTTCCAAATTTTTTTAGTGTCATTGTTTTTGTTTCCTCTTTTAAGTTTGGGCTTTCTCAAATACTTCTCCTCAGAGAAGCTCTTTCAGCAGCAATTTGTTTTTATTATAGTTGAGCTGTGTTACATGGTGGTAAAGTGCGGGTGAGGAGAGCTTTTATAATGCTATAATTAAATCTTCAAACTTTTAGTTGGCATCTTTCTCAGACCTATGACCTTCACAAGTGTTTCTTCAGTGTTATAGCTTTCTTCTGCGTGCCCTTAATTCTTTCCCTGGCTGCTACATTATTGATCTTTTTTTTTTTTTTTTTTTGAGACAGTTTCACTCCTATCACCCAGGCTGGAGTATAAGGGTCAATCTTGGCTCACTGCAATCTCTGCCTTCCAGGCTGAAGCAGTTCTCCTGCCTCAGCCTCCCAAGTAGCTGGGACCACAGATGCATGTCACCGCACCCAGCTAAATTTTGTATTTTTTGCAGAGACAGTGTTCTGCCATATTGCCCAGGCTGGTCTTGAACTTCTGAGCTCAAGAGACCTGCATGCCTCGGCCTCCCAAAGTGCCGAGATTACAGGCATGAGCCACCACACCTGGCCTATTGATCTATTTTCTTGAAACTCAGACCCCTGGTAACTGTATTTTTTCCCTCATTATATATGATAAGACACACTAGGACATATCATAGTCAAACTTATAAAAAATAAAGACAAAACAATATTTAAAGCATCCAGAGAAAAATAATATCTTATTTATAGTGGAAATAAAATGGAAAGTTAGTTTCCAGCTAGAAACCATGAAGGCCAGAAAGAAGCAGGGTATAATTTTTCAAGTGCTGAAAAAAAATAAGAAAATAACTGTCAACTCAGAATTCTATATCTAGCAAAACAACCTTTATGAATGAAGAGAAAGCAAGACATTCTTAGATGATTAAAAAAAGGGAATTTGTTATCAGCAGACCTTCTCTTTAAAAATACGGCAAAATGAAGTTCTCCAAACAAAAATGAAATAATAAAAGAAAGAATG
The DNA here is from genome assembly GCF_000001405.40 of Homo sapiens. Taxonomy (NCBI): domain Eukaryota; kingdom Metazoa; phylum Chordata; class Mammalia; order Primates; family Hominidae; genus Homo; species Homo sapiens. Next base: position 225,856,290 of record NC_000002.12, on the reverse strand, counting down.
TTGGAATATTTTGAAGGACGAATGAGTGAAAAGAGGAAAAATATGGTAACACAATAGATTTTTCTTTCTTCTTGAGCTTTCTAAATTATGTTTAGAGTGAAGCAAAAAATTATAATACTGTGTAATGTGATCCTCAGTGTTTATACAGTATTTAAGACAATTATATTGAAAGTGGGAGGGAGTAATGATCTCTGCACTTTACTGAAATTATTAAAATATTGGTTGACTAAATAAATCAAGATGGAAGTCTAAATAAATATTCAGCTAACTCAAAGGAAAGCAAGAAAACAAAAAACATAAATAACAGAATGAAGCAAAATAAAAAATAAATCACTACACTTGATCCATAACACACAAATAATTACATTAAATATAAAAGGACTAAATACATCAATTAAAATACAGAGACTGAGATTGCAGTTTGGTTTAAAAAATGAACCAACTATATGCTATCTACTAGAAATGCACTTTAAATATAGTGATATAAGTAAGTAGAAAATAAAAGGAAGGAAAAAGATATATAATACAAACATTAATCAAAAGAAAGCAGAAGTGACTACATTAACTTCAAATAAAGTAGATTTTAAAATAAATATAATTATCAGAAACAGAAACATGTTACACCATTTTAAAGGGTGAATCCACAAAGAAGACACAAAGATAGAAAATATGTATACACAAAGCAACAGGTTTGCAAAATATGTGAAGTAAAACTTATTGAACTGAAAGGAAAAATAGACAAGTCCACAATTACAATTGGAAACTTAAACATTATTCTCTTAAATGTTGATAGAACAATTAGAAAATTAGCAAGGATATAAATAAAAACACTATCAACTGAAAGATCTAATTGACATTTATAGAACATTCCATGAAACTATAGCCAAATACAATTTTTAAAAGTACCTATAGAATATATACTTAGGTGGAACATGTTATTTGCCCTAAAACAAACTTCAACAAACTGAAAATAACTGAAATTATACAGAGTATCTTATCTGACTACTATTAATTGAAAATAACAGAAATACAGATGAAAAATATCCAAAAACTTAAAAACTTAATAGCATACTTGTAAGTAACCCATGGGTCAAAGAGATAGTCTCAAGGGAAACTTTAAGAACTAGAAGAAAAATAAAAACTAAAAGAAAATAAAAATATGGCTTATCAAAATTTGTGGGACACAGCTAAGGAGGTACTGAGAGGAAAATAAATAGTATTAATTGCATACATTAGCACAGGGAGAAAATCTTAACCATTTAAGCACTAACCTAAGGAACCTAGAAAAAGAAGAGCAAAAATTAGCTTAAAATAAGCAGAAAAGGGAAATTGCAAAACATAAAAACAGAAATAATTAAATTAAAAACAACAAAATAGAGAAAAGCTAATGAAACAAAAAGCAGGTTCTTTGAAAAAGACCAATAAAATTGACCAAATTCTAACGAAGACTGACAAGAAAAAAAGAAGGAATACTCTAATTACCAGTATCCTAAATAAAACAAGATGTCTCTACAGTTCTTTAAGACATCAAAATGATAATAGAAAAATGCTTAGAGCAACTTTATATACATAAATTTGCCAACTTATGTGAAATAGAAAAATTTATCAAAATACAAATTAATACATCTTACCAGATATGAAGTAATTTGAATAGACCTATACCTATAAAGGAAATTAATTTATTATTTTATTTTATTTTGAGAAAAAGTCTCACTCTGTAGTGCAGGCTGGAATTCAGTGGCATGATCTTGGCTCACCGCAACCTCTGCGTCCCGGGTTCAAGCAATTCTCCTGCCTCAGCTTCCAGAGTGGTTGGTATTACAGGCACACGCCATGGCACCCGGCTAATTTTTTGTATTTTTAGTAGAGATAGGCTTTCACCATGTAGGCCAGGCTGGTCTTGAACTCCCAACCTCAGGTAATCTGCCTGCCTCGGCCTCCCAAAGTGCTAGGATTACAGGCGTGAGCCACCACGCCCAGCCTAATTTATAATTTTAAATATCCTGAAAAAAAAACTTTCCAGGCCCAGATGGTACCAAATAATTTTACCAAATAATTAAATAAAAATTAAGACAAATCTCATATAGTCTCTTTCAAAAAAAAGAGGAGGGAATGCTTCCTAACTTATTATAGTAGCTTATGTTACCTTATTACCAAAACCAGACAGATAGCACACACACAAAAAGAAAACTACTGACCAATACCTTTCATGAATATACATCCAAAAATTTTAACACATTATAAAATATGGTTCAGTAACGTATGACCAAGTGCGAGTTGTAGCAGAAATGAAGGCTAGTACAGTAGTTGGAAATTATTGTGATCCAAAATATAAGCAGACTAAAAGGAAAAAAAAATCATAAAATTTTATCAATTGATAAAAGGAAATATTGACAAAACTCAACACTCATTCACAATGAAAAGTCTCAGGAAACTAGAAATAGAAAATTTCTTCAACTTGGTAAAGAATATCTACAGAAAAAAATTAGAGTAAGGAAGTTAGAATGTTTTCTCTTACCACTACTATTCAACATAATAATAGAAATTCTAGCCAGCACAATAAGATTTTAAAGAATAGAAAGCACATAGACAGGAAAGGAATTTTTTTTAAAAACTGCCTACATATAGGCAGATAACATAATAGTCTATGTAGAAAATCCCAAGGAATCCACAAAAATCTTCTAGGACTCAGTGAGTTCAGCAAGTTCCCAAGAAAAAAGATAAACTTACAAACATCAACTGTATTTTTGTATCCTAGCAATTAACATGTGGAAACCAAAATTTAAAATACAGTACTATTTACAATAGATTGAAAATAAAATGCTTTGGTATACGTCTAATAAATATGCATAGGACTTCTATGCTGAAAATGAGAAAATGCTAATGAAAAAATCAAATTAAAAAATCAAATAAATGAGAGACATTCCATTTCCATGGGTATTAATAAAGATGTGACTTCTCAAATTGATATACAGGTTTAATGTAATTCCTATCAAGTCTCAGAAGATTTTTTTTTTTGCAAATGAGACTATTCTAAAATGTATATGAAAAGGTAAAATAACTAGAAAGGCTAAAATAATTCTGAAAAAAAAATGAAGGGAGAGGAATCATCCTAACTGAATTTAAGACTTATTATACAGCTACAGTTATCATATGGCTACAGTTATATGACTCCTTATTACATGGTTGTGGGGTATTTGTGGAAGGATGTCCATATAGATCAATAGAACAGAGTACTGAATCCAGAAATAGATTTATATAAATATGCCCAATTAATATTTGACAAAGGAGCAAAGCAATTCAGCAGCAGCTGGATTGCTTCCCCAATAAATGATACTGAAGAAATTCAGCATCTACAGACAGAAAAAGTAGACCTCACACTTTATACAAAACCTAAACTTCATACTTTATACGGAAATTAACTCAAGGGCCGAGCGCGGTGGCTCACGCCTGTAATCCTAGCAGTTTGGGAGGCCGAGGCGGGCTGATTATAAGGTCAGGAGAACGAGACCATCCTGGCTAACACGGTGAAACCCCGTCTGTACTAAAAATACAAAAAAAATTAGCCGGGCTTGGTGGTGGGCGCCTGTAGTCCCAGCTACTCTGGAGGCTGGGGCAAGAGAATGGCGTGAACCTGGGAGGCAAAACTTGCAGTGAGCCGAGATCACGCCACCGCCCTCCAGCCTGGGCAGGCGACAGAGCAAGACTCCGTTTCAAAAAAAATAAATATTAAAAAAATTAAAAAATTAACTCAAAATGTATTATGGAGTTAAATGTAAAGCCTCAAACTATAAAACATTAAGAAGATAAACTAGGAGAAAATTTTCACACTGTAGGTTCTGCACTGTGAAGACTTTTGAGATGTGAGACTGAAGGCACATTCTGTAAAAAAATCTAACTGAAATTTGTCATAACTAAACATTTTTACTCTGTGAAAGACATTGTTAGAAGAATTAAAGGATAAGCTACAAGAGGTAAAAAATAAATTGCCAATCACATAGCTGGCAAAAGACTCACATCTAAAATGTATAACAACCCCATCAAAAAGTGGGCGAAGGACATGAACAGACACTTCTCAAAAGAAGACATTTATGCAGCCAAAAAACACATGAAAAAATGCTCATCATCACTGGCCATCAGAGAAATGCAAATCAAAACCACTATGAGATACCATCTCACACCAGTTAGAATGGCAATCATTAAAAAGTCAGGAAACAACAGGTGCTGGAGAGGATGTGGAGAAATAGGAACACTTTTACACTGTTGGTGGGACTGTAAAGTAGTTCAACCATTGTGGAAGTCAGTGTGGCGATTCCTCAGGGATCTGGAACTGGAAATACCATTTGACCCAGCCATCCCATTACTGGGTATATACCCAAAGGACTATAAATCATGCTGCTATAAAGACACATGCACACGTATGTTTATTGCGGCATTATTCACAATAGCAAAGACTTGGAACCAACCCAAACGTCCAACAATGATAGACTGGATTAAGAAAATGTGGCATATATACACCATGGAATACTATGCAGCCATAAAAAATGATGAGTTCATGTCCTTTGTAGGGACATGGATGAAATTGGAAATCATCATTCTCAGTAAACTATCACAAGAACAAAAAACCAAACACCGCATGTTCTCACTCATAGGTGGGAATTGAACAATGAGATCACATGGACACAGGAAGGGGAATATCACACTCTGGGGACTGTTGTGGGGTGGGGGGAGGGGGAAGGGATAGCATTGGGAGATATACCTAATGCTAGATGACGAGTTAGTGGGTGCAGCGCACCAGCATGGCACATGTATACATATGTAACTAACCTGCACAATGTGCACATGTACCCTAAAACTTAAAGTATAATAATAAAAAAAAAGAACTCCTGAAATTCAACAGTTAAAGAAAAAAGTCAAACAATCCAATTAGAAAATGAACAAAAGACATGATGACAAAAATAAGCCTAAAAACAGGTGTTTAACATCATTAGCTGTTAGGAAAAATGAAATATCACTGCACTCCTATTAAAACAGTATACAGTTGACCCTTGAACAACAAGGTTTGAACTGTGTGGGTACATTTATGCATAATTTTTTTTTCAATAAAAGTTACAGTAAGTATGCCTGCTTCTCCTGCCTCTCCTTCCACCTCCTCCACCTCTGCCACACTGAGACAGCAAGGCCAACCCATCCTCTTCCTCCTCTTCCTCAGACCACTCAACACGAAGACAATGAGCATGAAGACCTTTATGATGATCCACTTCCACTTAATGAATGCTGAATATATTTCTTTTTTCTTAAAATTTTATTAATAACATTTTCTTTCCCTCGCTTACTTTACTGTAAGAATACAGTACATAATACATATAGCACACGAAATATGTATTAATTTATTGTTATTGGTAAGACTTCTGGTCAACATTAGGCAATTATTAGTTAAGTTTTTGAGGAGTCAAAAGTTATACATGGATTTTTGACTACGTGGAAAGTCAGTGCCCCTTGCCTCCATGTTTTTCAAGGGTCAAATGTATAAACACACACACACACATGCACACACACATGCACGCACACATGCATGCACAACCAAATACCAAATATTGGTGATGGTGTTAAAAAACTGAATCTATATCCATTGCTGGCGGGAATATAAAATGGTACAACCACTCTCAAAATACTTTGGAAATTTCTTTTGAAAACACTAAAAACACAATTATCATACACTCAGCAACTGCATATCTAGACATTTATCCGATAAAAACAAAAACTTATGTTCACACATGAACCTGTGCACTATTTTTCAAAACAGCTTCATTTGTAATAGCAAAAACCTGAAATGGCCAAAATGTTTCTCACTAGGTGAATGTTTAAACGGTGGGTCATCTATGCCATGAACTTTTATTCAGCAATTTAAAAATAACAGAATACTGACAGATATAACAATTTGAATGGCTCTCAAGGATATTCTCCTGAGTGAAAAAGGCCAATCCCAGAGTTGCATACTTTATAATGTAATTTCATTTATATAAGATTCTCAAAATTACAAAACTACACATGTGAAAAGTAGATTAGTGGTTGCCAGGGATTAGCAATGAAGAAGGGTGGAAGAATGTACGTAGTCTTAAGGGGTAGCACAAGAAAGGTCTAGCGGTGACGGAATAGTTCTGTATCTTTATGAATTGATTCCATAAATATGCACATTTGATAAAATTTTTTAGAATTCTGCACACACATTTTGCCAATGTCAATACTCTTGTTTTGATCTTGTACTATTATTATTTAAGATGTAACATTTGAGGGAAGACACTGGACAAGAGTACATGGAATATCTCTGTATATACTATCTTTGCAACTTTTGTCTATCTGTGATGATAAAATAAAAAATTTAAAAGTTATAAAATATTTTCCTATGGCAAACTTTCAAAAGGCACTTATTAATTCAACAAATATTATTAAATGCTTCTTTTGGCAGTTATTACTGTAAATGACAGGAATTTATCCATGAATAAAGCAAAGTTGCCATTTCGTTGGAGTTTCCATCCTTCTTGGGGGACACATAAAATTGGTAAATAAGCCTATATGTGATATATTTTGTGATTAAAGTTGCTATGAAAAAAATAAAGCAGAGTGAGGGGATAGAGAATGCTGGGCCAATGTGATAAGGTATAATTGATCTGAGTCCCAAAGGAAGGACAGGCACACCTTATTTTATTGTGCTTCACTTTATTGCATTTCACAGATATTGCATTTTTTACATGTTGAAGGTTTGTAGCAACCCTGCAGATAGTGAGTTTATTGGCGCCTTTTTCCAATAGCGAGTGCTCACTTCATGTTTCTGTGTCCTGTTTGGGTAATCCTCACACTACTTCAAGCTTTTTCATTAATATGGTATCTTTTATGATAATTTGTGATCAGTGATCTTTGATGTTTCTATTGCAGTGGTTGTGGGGCACCACAAACTGTGTCCATGGAAAATGCAATCAATAAATGTTTTGTATGTTATGACTGTCCCACTGACTGACCGTTCCCCCATTTTTCTCCCTCGCCTTGGGCCTCCCTGTTCCGCCAAACACAACAATATTGAAATTAGGCCATTTAATAACCCTACAATGGTCTCTTAAGTGTTCAAGTGAAAGGAAGAGTCCCATATCTCTTACTTTAAATCAAAAACTAAAAATGATTAAGCTAAGTGAGCAAGGCATGTCAAAAGCTGAAATAGGCTAAATCTCAGCCTTCTTGCAACAGCAAAGTCATGAATGCAAAGGAAAAAGTTTTGAATAAAATTAAAAATTCTACCCCAGTGAACATAAAAATAATAAGAAAGCAAAACACCCTCATTGTTGGTATGAAGAAAGTTTTAGTGGTCTGGATAGAAGGTCAAACTAGACACAACATCACTATAAGCCAAAGCCTAACCCTGAGCAAGGCCCTATCTCTCTGCAATCCTATGAAGGCTGAGAGAAATGAGGAAAGTGCAGAAGAAAAATTTAAAAGCTGCAAAGTTTAAACCTACAAAGGTTGGTTCATGAGACTGAAGGAAAGAAGCCATCTTCACTAACATGAAAGTGCAAGGTGAAGCAGCAAATGCTGATATAGAAGCTATAGTAAGTTACCCAGATGATCTAGCTAAAACAGTTAATGAAGGTGGCTATGCTAAATAACAGATTTTCAGTGTAGACAAAACAGCTTTCTACTGGAAGAAGATGCCATCTAGAAATTTCACAGAGAGGAGAAGTCAATGTCTGGCTTCAGAGCTTCAAAGGAAAGGTTTACTTCATTTTTAGGGGATAATGCAGCTGATGTTTCTTAAGTTGAAGCCAATGCACATTTATCATTCCCAAACTCCTAGGGTCCATAAGAATTATGCCAAATCTACTCTGTCTGTGCTCTATAAATGGAATAATAAAGACTAGATGACTTCATATATGTTGACATCATGGTATACTGAATATTATAAGCCCTTCGTTGGGGTCTACTCCTCAGAATAAAAGGATTCTTTTCAAAATATTAGTGCTCATTGACAATGCGCCTTATCTCCCAGGAGTTCTGATGGAAATGTACAAGGAGATTAATGTTGTTTTCATGTCTTCTAACAGAACATTCATTCTGAAGCCCATGGATCAAGGATTAATTTCAACTTTCAAGCCTTATGTAAAAAATACATTTTGTAAGGCTATAGTTGCCATAGATAGTGATTCCTCTGATGGGTCTTTGTAAAGGAAATTGAAAACCTTCTGGAAAAGATTCACAGTTCTCAGTGCCATTAGGAACAATTATCGTTCACAGGAAGAGGTCAAAATATCAACATTAACAGGAGTTTGGGAGAAGTTGATTTCAACACTCATGAATGACTTTGAGGGGCTCAAGACTTCAAGGGAGGAAGTAACTGAAGATGTGGTGGAAGTAGCAAGAGGAGCAGAATAAGAATGGAGCCTGAAGACGTAACTGAATGACTGCAACCTCATGATGAAATGTTAGTGGCTGAGGAGTTATTTTTTATGGATAAGCAATAATAAAAGTTATTTCTTAAGATGGAAGCTATTTCTGGTGATGATGTTGTGAAGAATGTTGAAATGAGAACAAAAGATGGAGACTATTACATAAACTTAGTTGATAAGGCAGTGGCAGGGTTTGAGAGGATTGACTCTAATTTTGAAAGGTGTTCTACTGTGGATAAAATGTTATCAAATGGCATCATATGCTACTGGGAGAACTTTGATATAAAGAAGAGTCAATCAATGCAGCAAACTTTATTGTTGTCTTATTTTAAGACATTGCTTCTCCATCACTTAGCAACTACCACCCTGATGAGTCGGCAGCCATCAACATCTGGCAAGACCCTCCGCCAGCAAAATGTTTACAACTTTCAAAAGGCTCAGATTATCATTAGCACTTTTTAGCAATATGGTATTAAGTACACACCTTAATTAAGGTATATACATTGTTTCTTTAGATATAATGCTAATGCATAGTTAATAGACTATAGTACAGTGAAAATATAATTTTTATATTCACTGGAAAGCCAAAAATGTTTGTGACTCACTTTATTGCCATATTTTCTTTATTGAGATCGTCTGGAACCAAACCCACAGTATCTGTCAGAGTAGATGTGGAAAACTGGGATACAGCCTGTAACACTGTTGAATTCTGAGCACCACTGATCTCACATTATTGAGCAGAAGTAAGGCTGGAACGTACTCTCCAGTTCCAGTTACAGCCTCACTGAACAGATTTTTAAAATTTTTTAATGAATAAATAAATTCATACATTTTATTTGTTTTTAACATGTTGATGACCTTTAGTGGATATATATAATTTTTATAATAAAATGCGTGTATGTGCTAAGAATATGGCTTACATGTGGCTCAACAAATAATCTGATGATGATAAAATAATTATGATAATGATCTATCTCAAAAGGTGAACCCTTGAAGATTACCAGCGGAGGCAACTTTGAAACCTGCTTCACCACCATATTATCAGTACCCTTAGGAGGACATGGTAATGTGCTAGGGGCATCTCAACACCAGATAAACATTACATGTCTCCTAGAGCATGAAAATTGCCCATAGTCCTATAAAAATAGCAGTATCTGTCACAGAAATAAAAACCAAACATGGGTCATTCATAGAGCTGAACACAAGTATCTGTTAATTTTTTAAATAGACTACAAGGTCTAGAGTTTTTTTGCACTTGCAAAAAATCTGCTTAGATGCTACCCCCTCAAAGTTCTGATGAAAATGTACCTTTCTAGTTCTTCCATAGCTGGGAATATTTATGTTTGAATAAGTCTTCCTTATGAAGTTTAAAGCTTGAAAGCTCAGACAGAACAAGAAATTGGATCTTGCCCAAGATACAGGTAGCATAAATTAATAGCTCTTTTTTTTAAGGTCTTCAATTTTGGGAAAAATCAGCTCCACTCTTCCTTCCCCCGCCCGCCACATCCTTGTGTTGTTTAGGTCAAGATTTAAACTGTCAGGGCAGAGAGTTTGCTGAGCCAACCTGTTCACAGCCCCACTGTTTAGTGGTGCTCTTGGGCACCTTTACTGGTAGTTCGGGAAAGGTATCATTTGCACCTCTGAATATATGTCAGACTTCTTTTAACTACATCAAGTTACTTCACATTGCCTTCTGATTTTCTTCTACTAGCTCCATAGTTCAGTCAGTTTAGACTTACTGAATAGAGTCCATTATTCAACCAAGATTGTTTTGTGTCGTTAGTCTTTTGCATACTTAGATTTTTCACGTATTTAGTTACTGAAAACCTACAAGGATGTAACCTACTGCCAAATAAGATTGAAGTTTATTTGAAAAAAATTTTTAGTCAAGTCATTGAACATCTGTTATATGCAAACTCAGTATGTTATCATGAAGTGCACTTTTACATTCAGAGTACAGCATATTAATGACATACACATATAATAAAGTAAGCTATTTACAAATAGACAATATGTAATAGATGTGCTTTGTAGCCCGTCATATACTAGAGTTGAAATTTCTTCATGCCTTACTTTCTTTAGCAGTAAAGTAGAATATACACTGTACCTTGGTACAGACTGTCTAGCTACTCACCAAATATACCCATTCCTTTTGGGTGCAGAGCTAGGCAACACTTTTCCAGCCTCCTGTGCAATAAGATAAGGCTATGTGACTGAGTTCTATGATGTATGCCACTTCCAAGCCTGGCCAATAAAATTATCCCATTTGATTCTCTACTATTTTTTCCTTCATCCATTTGGTGGATTGTATTGCCTACAAAGATCATTGGAATCCACGTAATTTGTATATGACTGTGCCTCCTTCAGCCCGAGTCACCTGAAAGACTGTATAGAAAATACACCTTGTTCTGCTCCCAAGTACATAACTGTGCTTTACATGAGTGAGAAAAAAATATCTTTGTGTAAGGTACTCAGATGATGGGATTTCCCTGTTATAGCAGTCAGCTTCCTTTTAATTAATGCAAATGCACACTACATAGGGTTGTTGAAGGCTTATTTGAGATAGTACTCACAAAGCGCTTCATAGAGTTCCCAACACATACTAAGACCTGCAATAAATGTTACTGCTATGGCTAGGTAATCCATATTTAGCTGAACAGGAAGAAGACAAACCATATCCAATTATTTCCCTAAAGATTACTAGGAGTTACGTATCTGAATACACTTTAGCTAATTTATTTTAAATTTGCTATTCTAGGTCAATGCTGAAGCTTACAACTACCAAGAGTTAAAAAGTCAATGTATGAAACTGAACCAGAATTACCTTTAAAAAAACACAAAAGTCTAAGCATCATAGTTCATTCCAAAAATTTCTTCCAAAAGCTCTTTGGGGCCTATAATTTTTTTTTTATTTATTTGTATCCAAATAAAACTTCATATAGAGATTGATAACTATGAAGGCAAATTGGTATGAAAATAAATCATAAATAAGTCATCCTGGACTTTTATTTTTTAAACTCATGTCACGGGGCTGGGTGCCATGGCGCATGCCTGTAATCCCAGCACTTTGGGAAGTTGAGGTGGGAGGATCACTTGAGCTCAGGAGTTCGAGACCAGCCTAGGAAACATGGTGAAAGCTCATCTCTACAAAAAATACAAAAATTAGCTGGGTGTGGTGGTGTGCACCTGTAGTCCCACCTACTTGGGAGGCTGAGGTGGGAGGATGGCTTGAACCCGGGAAGTAGAGGTTGCAGTGAGCTGAGTTGATGCCACTGTACTCCAGCCTGGGAGACAGAGCCAGACCCTGCCTCAAAAAAATAAAATTAAAAAAAATTAAAATTAAAAACTCATTTCATGAGTACTGAATTTAAAAAGACAAAACAAAAATGAAACATCTTTCAAATCATCAACTTCAATACTTTCATGAGCTTACAGCTTCCTAAGAAAATCTACAAGTCAAAATTTTTTATTAAGTGATCATCAACAATTCCAGGCTATTTGCCTAGATTTTGAGAAAATATTTTTACTGCCTTTATTCATCATCATCTAATGACAGAGAGTTGGAGAGAAAAGTACCTGGTCAGATGTCAGCTTAAGTTACATAATTCATTTTCCATACGTGAACAAGAAATTAAATTCCAAATAGGCATGCACTATTCCATAGTGAACAGATCCAAATTCCTAATGATACTTCCACGTCTGAGAAATACAAGTATAATTTTTCTAAAAGGAAGATGGTACTTGATGTAATTCTATTTGTTAAGATATAGAATTTGGCATAAAATCATCATCTCAATTGTGCCTCACGCACGTGGATTTGGCTGCTTGATAGCCCTAAGACCTTGTAGGTGGCTTTAAGTGTTTAATTAGAGCAATGTGTGGCCATAACTCTGATCTTGGAACTACTCATATTACAAAAATATATAAATAATGTAATCAAAATTATGTTTTTCATAGTTTTCTATGCTTACACAATTCCTTGTACAAATATAATTAGGATGACCCTCACATTTTATTCTGTCTGAGCCTGTAAACATTTTGAGAACAGGCTTGTGTTTTACTGGTCCATCTGTGACCAGCAAGTGTTCAAAACTTGGAACGAAATCTTTGTCTAACTCAATGTTTATTTATTGAATGAGAGAAAGACATTTATCTGAATAATCTGTTTCATAGAAACTCCTTTGATTGCAGAGATTGACTGTGAAGCTCTTTATGAAAAATGATATTTATTTTTGTTTGTTGGAAATAGTTAAATACTACCTGGGACCAAAGTAGAATTGGAAATAAAAGGCTTTGCTTGGCAATGTTCTGTTTGATTCTTTACACTGTCTTTTTGCCTAAAATTAAAAGAACTGTTCAGAAGATAAAAAGATACTAACCTGATCCTATTAATTTATAATAAGTTGCTGATACTATAAATCTAGTGACTTTGATACAAGCAATAGATCCTCCAAAACCTAACATGTACCTTAATCCAGATTATATATTAAAAAGACTTTTTTCTATCTTTTAGTAAATTTGCAGTCCTTTAAACAGGATAAAGTTATAACTTTAATGTACTTTATGAGGTTCACCTAGAACATTATTTTAATGTTTCTAAGGACACTGTGTTCTTTGCAGGGTCACAGTGACATGAACAAAGCAGCATGAATGACTAATAGAGAAATCTGTGGTGCCTCTGCACAGATTTCTCAATGTGAACTGCTGGATTTAACATCGGAATTCAAAACAAAATCTGTTTCTGATTAGATACAATTAAAAAGTTTGTTTTGTGTCAGGTACAAACCATGACCCCAATACCCACCCCTGCTCTGCTTTCTTGGAATTAGTGAAATTCAAGCTTTTGTGTTTATAAAGATTACAGTAAAAAATTAAGTCACTTGTGTCACAATTTTCTGGATAATTAAACAAGCAAACAAAGCTAGGAAATGAAGTAAAAATCATTGGAATGCTCTTTTAACCATTTGATTATATTTGTTCTAAAGAAAATGGTATTTTAAAAGTTTGCCTTCATTCTGAATACTAATTTGCAGTGGCGTGGTGAGTGACTATTATGTGTATGCTTTTGTATTGGACTAAAAGAGTCAGTTCTTAACTTGCAATTAAAGCAAATGGTAAGAGCTTCCTGATGGAGTAAATTCAGCATTTTAGCGGTGGTTGTGGATTTATCAGCTAGCTCCCAAGCCTGAGCTTTTAGCATGTTCTTCCCATAGGATTTCAGATCTTCGTATCATCAGACAGCATGGAATTCTGAAACCAGAATCCCAAATTTTCAGCTTGAGAGTATTAAACTTTGTTATTTTCTGTTGTTTTTGAAATTATTAAAAGTGATGTTACATTTCCACCCTGATATGTATGTAACTGTACAGATGTGGTCAAATCATACATATGCTTTTAATGCAGTACTTTAAAATATGTTTTTGCTTATATTCTGTCTTTTCTTCTCCTTCCTGTCCATCCCCCTCTCATCTGGTCTCCCATAGCCCATGTTAATAACATAGAAAGTAGCCTTTTATCTTTCTCATGCTCAGTAATCATTTCAATGATTATTTGATTTCAATTGATTCAATTGATATGAAATAATGAATATATATGTGTTATAAATATTTGTGATTTCTATTTTCCTATAAACATGCATATAGATACAGGGTTTTGATCATCATTTTAAAGAAAAACAGGATAATATGAGAGATCTATTTTACATTTTCCTTTTTTCACTCACCAGTACGTTGTGGACATATCTCCAAGTTAATTGCTACATAGAGGGATGCCAAGGGCAAGGGAGTGGCAGGGAGGATTTACACTGGTGGGGAGCAGTGTATTGTCTTGACCTCCTGGCCTCAAGTGATCCTCCCACCTTGGCCTCCCAAAGTGCTGGAATTACAGGCATGAGCCACGGGGCCTGGCTGAGAAGTATATTATCAGAAAGATTGTTTAGAATTACCAGCAGCATATCTTGATATAAATAAGCAGAGTGTCTTCTATTTGGGTAAATGTTTTACAGACAGAAAGCCTCCTTATAACCATTATCTAGGAGGACTGCTCTCACCACCTCTACTTAGTACACTGAGTGTACACTTACCCCTCATTCATTATTTTCAATAGCTGTATAATATTCCAGGACGTATATGTTTCATAACTTATGTTGTGTTTCTCTCTAATTTGGCATTCAGGTCTTTTTCTTAAAAGTAACTATAAACTCTAGCCCTGCCCTGACTCCAGAAGATTTGGTCATGAATGTTTACAGTGTGCTTTTCATCGGATATTTCTTTAACCTCATGGATGGCCTAATGCCTAAGTGTTCAACCTGGGACCAGATGTCCCTTTCATAGAAAACTTGTTTATACTGGCAGACACCCATGTGGTTCTTGTCTGATCTGTGTCCAGTTTACTCCTGCCAAGATAGTCAGTGTCTAAGAGAACACTGATCTTGAAAAATGTTGGGTTTGCAGATTGGACACATAGGAAGCAACTCAACAAAACAAATACAACAACAGGAGTAGTTTACTTACAGATCCTAGAAAGAAGAGGGCAGCATGCCTCAGGGGGCCAAAGTAAAGGGCAGAGCCATTCAGGACATGCACACTCAACCACTGGGTGGGGGAGCCAGAGACAGATGGGCCTATGAACCATGACCTTTATTGGGGTGTGAGGTATTATTATCCAGGCAGGTTTCCTGCAGGAAGTTCTAAATGGTGAGTTTAGAGCAAGCAGGCACATGTTCAATGGAGTCACAATGACTGTGGCATATCTATACAGTCCATACAGGGTATAGAAACTACGTAGGTTATGTATGGTTGTCCCACAGAGAGATGGTCACCAGGAGACAATTTTATAAAAGTCGGTTGATTATACTGAGGAACTGGGAGGAGGTGGAGGAATGAAAACTGTCGAGGGTAAATAAGCCCTGCTTCTGGTACAGGAAAGTTAAAACCATATTCAAAATGGATGCCAAGGCAACATAAAATTATAGGAATTTACTTATTGAACTTATTAACTTGCTTTCCTACTGAAGGTCATTCACTTTTCTTTTCTTTTTTGTCATGATAATAATACTCTAGATACCTGTGTTCCTATGTTCTGGTGCTTTTAGCTGTAAAATAAAGTCTCAAGATAAAATTACTTGTCCAAAGGAATATGTATTTTTAATTCACATTATTAGAATATTTCAAAGATGCTCTATGGAAAGCTGAAACAATTCCATTCTTACCAGCAATAGGTGTTTTTCCTCTTTTTTATTTAAATTACTGCAATGGATATAAAAACCTTGTTATATTATAGTTTACATTTCCTTGAATTTTATTGAGCTTCAGCATTTCATTTTTTCATACGTCTGTAGTCTCTTGAAGTTTGCTCTTCTATATTTACACTTTTTGTATTAAGTTGTCTCTTTTTAGTCAAAAAAGTAATAGCCTTTTGAATATTATATATTGAGCTCTCTGCATCAAAAATATTTTCATCAAATGTTTGTATATAGAATTAATTTTGCTATCACTTAGTCTGTAACATGACAAAAGCCTGTTTGAAACATATTTAAAGAGGAATTAAAGGAGAAAAAGAAATAAGCTGAAGTAATACAGAAGAATTTAAATTATATTAATATATGTCCATTTTTTAAAAAGTGTATCTCCTGAGTTCCCAGTCTTTGTTAAGAAGGTTTCTCCCATTACTAGATAGGTAAATATAGCCTCTCAGATTTTCTTACTATACTTTTACTTGTAATGTTTATTTATTTACTTTTACCTACCCCTTGACAAATAGAGTTTAAGATTGGGGTCTGTCACAGGTTAGAATCCCTAGGAAGCTGACTCTAAGCTGAAGACCACTAGCACAAGCTTTGTCAGGGAGTGCTATTGGGATCATTACCTGCAGCGAGGGAGGAACAAATAGAGTTGGACAGAGAGAAAAGTTGGATTACCATAATGTCTCATGAAGACCTCAGTCAGATCCACGGAAGCTCTGAAACCAGGATGGCTCTTCAAAGGTCTTACTAAGTATGTCTCGCTTGATTTTAATCAACCTAGAGTCATCTCAAAGTCTTCCTCACTCACATGCTTGCTGGTGATGCAGGCTGTCAGCTGGGACTTCATGGAGACTGGCAGCTGGGACATCTACACATGTCTACTCTATTTCGCCTGAGTTTCCTCACAACATAGTGGCTAGATTCCAAGCATGAGTATCCCTTGGGAGAGAGCAGAGGAACCATGTTCTTTTTTAAACCTTGTCCCAGAAGTCACAAAAGTGTCTCTTTAACCTCATTCTGTCTGTCAAAGAAACTACAAAATCTCCTCTTGATGGGAGAGTGTCAAAGAATTTGTAGACATGCTTTCAAATTACCTCATTTTTTCACTCTTCTTTCTTCTTGGGCTTCAGTTAGGTATTATTTATTGACCCATCTTCAAGTTCACTGATCCTTTCCTGTATTGTATCCAATCTGCTGTCAAACCTATTTAATATTCTTCATTTTTGATTTTGTATTTTTCACTTCTACCATTTCTACATTTCCATTTGGGTTTCTCATATTTCTGTGAATATTGTGAATCTTCTCAAGTATATCATTTAACATATTTTACAGTAGTTATTTTATAGTTCCTATCTTGTAATTCCAACCTCTGAGTTGCCTCTGAATCTTCTTTAGTTGACTGTTTCCTTTCTTGACCATATTTCACATTTTCTCATTTAAAAAAAATACGGCACATTGAAAATTTGTCTCCAGAAAGAGTCACACTTTTTTCCCATTCAGGCCAAATGAGTGATTATTGGAGCTGGCTGAAGAACTTGTTATAGCTTTAGTTTGATTCAGTTCATCACTAGATACAGTGTTTCTGGTCAATGTCAGGACCTTCTCTCTAGCAAGGCCTGGGGACTGAGCACTGACAAGCTCCCAGAGATCTCTGTGTGCTTTACAATGAAGAAGCCTGTTTTTTTGGTTGCTAGAGACTTCCCTTTGCTCTCCAATTTCCAACTCTGATATTTTGCTCTAAGCCTTATGAAGGAACTGCCTTATAGTCCCTGAGTGCTCAGAACTCCTTAGAGATGTTTCCCCAGTTCTCCTGTGCCATGTTCCTGCTTTTGGTAGGTGAAAGCTAGAATGTCTCAAATTGCTTTCTCTCAACTCTCTTTTCCTGCCATAGTGTCATAACTGAATGTGGGTTCTGTTGCTCGCCATTTGCAGAATCCAATTGACAAGAGTGAGGTATGGTAGAAAGAAGGTGACCTTATTTCCAAAGCTAGCAAAGGGGAGGTGGCTGAATTCCCATCCAAAGCACAAGAGTGAGGTATAGTAGAAAGAAAGTGACCTTATTTCCAAAGCTAGCAAAGGAGAAGTGGCTGAATTCCCATCCAAAGCAACCACTTCAAAATTTTTGGGGGAAGGCAAGAGTTTAGAAACAGAAAACTTGATATGCAAGGGATGCAAGAATTATGCCAAATACAATACCTATGTGTTTTGTTCTGGTGGCTATCTTGGGTGTCAGATCACCTGGAACATGGGCTGGCATCATCTCAACAATGGCTGGGTTGTTGGCTAGCTGCCTTGAGGTAATCACTGGAATTTTGCAGCTGGGTCTCTAGGCTTGGTCCGACTGTCTCAAGATTAGCCCCTGGAACTTCTAAGAAGGCACATAATTAGATACTAGCCTGCAGTTAAATAAATGTAAAGGGAGTATATGCAGTGAGAAAGGGAGCAATATGGAGCTTATTTTAAGGCTAAGTGAAAAGACTTCTACAGTTTGCTTCAAGGTTACATCTTGAAACCCAAGAGAAAGGTGTGTGTGGGGGGAAGCTTTAAAATGCATTTTCAACTTAAGCTGCCTGGTTACAATCTTAAAGGTAGGTGAGGGACTTGAGTACCCCAGATGGATTCCTCTCACCTCTCTTCAACACTCTTCCTCTCTCTTGTACATCCATTTAGGAAACAATGGCTCTGCACTTGGGAGAGGCCCCATGCATCTAAGCAGGATTTGTTTCATCCACTCCCTTCTTTCCAGTGTCTGGCATACCAGCCCCTAATAGTTGTTGAAGACCCAGGGGAAAAAACCAAAGTGTCATTTTTTGCTGGGCTCCTCAAAATTCTACTCTGGCCCTCCATCCATAAGCAGCCATACAAATTTGTTAAAAACTAAAAGTTTTTCTGTTTTATCCTTCCTCTTGTCTGTCATAAAGTCTTCCCCCTTCTCGTGAGTGAGGATGGCTTCTTTCCTATGTGAGAAGAGATTTCATTTTTAAAAAATGTAATCAGCTTAGGTTTTATTGCATTCTTTGCTTTGTCACAGGTTTATACAAATCTGTGGGTGTGATACTCATCCATGCTGCTATGGCTGTTAGGAGGAGAGTGACTGTTCTTACTGTTTTCCATATTCTAACTAGATAGCTGACCTCATAAATGGAATGATTATTTCCATTATTGTCAGTTTCCATGTGTGCTTAAAGATTACATTATTCCAGTTTTCTTTCTTTTTTTTTTTTTGGCTTTTCAAAAGAAATGTTGGGTTGGTTTTGTTTTAATATTTTTGTCACAGAAAACCTACTTTCTTGTGTCACATACTACCTCCCCACACCAAGCAGACAGGTTTCCAACTTCATTTGAATGATGTACTGCTGCTTTGCTAGCCTGATGAGATTTGACGGGGGGAGACCTCTCTTGAATACTTGTGGGTCAGATATTCTCCTTTGTGTGTGCACTTCACTCCCTGATTTTTACAAAAAGGTTTGTTGTATGGTTCTTTTATTCATATTTTAAAAACATTGGAATGTATAGAAACTAGCAGATAGTTAGACACTACAAATAACTAAGTCCCAGTGCAATGAATTATCTTTTGTGACTTGCCTCTGAGTTAGCAGTCCTAGAGACCAGGACCACACAGCTAAATGTGCTGATCCTTCCAGGTCTCCAACAAAGGCCAGGAAAGAATGTTGCACTCTTAAATGTGGATCAGAAGACATAATTCACTGAAGTTTCTATATTAACAATGGGGTGTGATCCTTGGTATTGGCAGAAAAGGAAAAATCAATATGACATAATGACCTTTTTGTTTTACAGTTTTTTTTTGTGAAATGACTTTTTGTTTTACAGTTTTTTAAATCAAGTTTTTACACAGAAGTGTCATTTTAGAAGAGATAACAATTAACAACTCCAGCTCCTACTGGACATTGCTGAATATACGTTTCTATTAAAAAGAACCAGATACAGTGATTTTGATCTGCTGTATGTGTTTATATAATTACAGAACACTGATTGAACAGACCATGTAAGTTCTTGGAGGTGTAATTTCTTCTTATTGGAAATGAAATATATAGGAGTGGGAACTTTTACCTGAGGTCACTGGACTCAGCTTTAGAATCCTGGAAGACCAGGATGCAGTTTTCTCAGGAGAGATAATTGATAGTGTGATGGTTAATATTGAGTGCCAACTTGATTGGATTGAAGGATGTAAAGTATTGATCCTGGGTGTGTCTGTGAGGGTGTTGCCAAAGGAGATTAATATTTGAGTCAGTGGACTAGGAGAAGCAGACCCACCCTCAATCTGGATGGACACAATCTAATCAGCTGCCAGCATGGCTAGGATAAAAGCAGGCAGAGGAGCATGGAAGGACTAGACTAGTTAAGTCTTCTGGCCTCCATCTTTCTCCTGTACTGGATACTTCCTGCCCTCTAACATGGGAGAGTTCTTCAGCTTTTTGGCTCTTGGATCTATACCAGTGGTTTGCCAGGGGCTCTTGGGCCTTCAGCCACAAACCAAAGGCTGCACTGTCAGCTTCCCTACTTTTGATATTTTGGGACTCAGGCTGGTGTCTTTGCTCCTCAGCTTGCAGATGGCCTATTGTGGGACTTCACCTTGTGATCATGTGAGTCAATACTTCTTAATAAACTCCCTTTCATATATACATCTATCCTATTAGTCTTGTCCCTCTGGAGAACCCTGACTAATACAGATAGCTTTCAAGAAATGTTCAAATAAGCCCATGGCTCAATAAATGGTTTGGAAATACTATCAGTATATTTGGATGCTAGATTGTCCCAACGTGATTTCTTTGTATATATTAACAGGCATTAATAGTAAAACATAATCTGTGCTAATGTCTTCTAAAAATTAATAGTCATTGGAGGCATACCATGTTCTGGGAATTGAACATGTGCTATTTCATGCAGTCTTCATGGTATGAGAAAGTGGGAGTTAATACCACTCTCATTTAATAAATGAGAAATTTGTGGCTCAAAGAAGTCAGGTTACTTCCCATGGCCATATGATTTGTTAGCTGTGGAGTTGGAATCTGAGGCCAACTCTTGCTCCATTCAAAAGCTCTTATGAGCTTTGTGCTTGAAGTGTTTGGGGAGGAAAAGTTACCATATTAACGTCTTTCTGAAATAAAGGAAATGGGCAAAATCATAAGTAATCACAAATCTATACATATTTATTGAAAAGATAAAATACTAAATTGGATTCCAGCATCCTTGGGAGATCAGGTAAACCTAGTTATCTAAACAAATACTTGGTGTCACTGATTCGGCCTTAATCTATTATTCTTAACTTTGCAAAGAATTTTTTTAAATGTCCCTCAATGAGGCAAAAAAATCCAAGTATCCACTGCTTGCTGTAAGGAAAATTCTAGATGTTAATGATTCTGCAGGGTGGCATAGGCAGGAACAGGAGTTCCCTCCTAGTATTTAATTTTTAGATACTGTACTTTAAATACTTTAAAGAAGACATGATTACTTTGGGAATATAGACATGAAATTAGGGTGATCCACACAATCCACAGCTTGAATACTCATAGAAGATACAGTAACGAATAGTAAGGAATAGTAAGTGAGTGGATATACACGTATTATTATCAGGAGAGGCATCCGGGGTATTATAAATTGAGGCAGTAAAATCCTTTCAAAAGGCAATTTGGAACTTGTTTGAAAAGCTATAAAAACCATTACACCTTTTGACCCAGTAATATCTCTCCTGAGATTTTATCCTAAGGAAATAATTTAAAAAATAGAATACAACTATATGCGTAAACTTATTAATTACAGAATTTACTCTACCTGTGAAAAAACAACCTAAAACCTAAAAATCAAACGATTGATGAATAACCAATTATGAGAAATTAAATTTAAAAAAATAGCCAAAATTGCAACTGCAATTTTGAAGACTGAAGCAACATAAAAAATACATGAGATGGATTTAATGAAAATAATGACTACCAAATTGCAGATATTTAGTGATTAAACCCTTTTTAAAAGGTAATTAGTTACACTTGGATAAAGACTTTAAGAGAAATAGAAGGAAAGGGAAACAGTTGTGTATCATGACAGTGGAATTCATGGCAAAATCAGTCTCCTATTGGCATGTCGTTTCCTGATGCTATTAGCAAAAAGTATGCAATAACTGAAAATCAGCAAAGGTCTTATGTGTATTTATACCTCTGGTATTTATCAGATGTCTGCAACAAAGGCCCAGTGGTTACAAGTGTTCATGCCAGAGATATTTTAAAACTTGCCCTCTATATTTTGGTGATTTTGAATTATTTGTTTTGTTAGGATAAATAATATTGAGGATTATGGATTTTTTTTATTATACTTTAAGTTTTAGGGTACATGTGCACATTGTGCAGGTTAGTTACATATGTATACATGTGCCATGCTGGTGCACTGCACCCACTAACTCATCATCTAGCATTAGGTATATCTCCCAGTGCTATCCCTCCCCCCTCCCCCAACCCCACAACAGTCCCCAGAGTGTGATATTCCCCTTCCTGTGTCCATGTGATCTCATTGTTCAATTCCCTTATTTCTTTCTTTTGGGTCTTCTCAGCCTCATTTATTGCAAACTCTTAAATGTGTGATTGTTACATTTATTTCAAAGGGCATCATAAATCACTTTAAGCTTAATGCCATTAAACGAAAGTAAAATTCTGCTATTACAAAGTTTATATACAAAGAAACACTAGGATACATAATATCAAAAAAGATTGCTTCTCTTGATCTGTTTCAAGGTAGAATTGTTTTGGAAAAAAATAAACATAAATACAACAACTTTCAAGATAGTAATTTCCCAAATTGTTTAATGATATTTTAGTTTTATTCATAAGAGCAAATTTAAGCAAAATACTATTTAATTTTATTATTATCTGTACAGCTCAGCTGCACAATACATTATTCAAAACATACAAGATTTTTCTATAAATATTTTCTTACAGTAAGAGGGTTTAACAAAGTATCTGGGTGCAGTGGCTTGTGCCTATAATCCCACCACTTTAGGAAGTGGAGGTGGGAGTTAGATACTTGTCTGGGCAATAAAGCAAGACTCTGTAGTTACAAATAAAAAAATTCCTTAAAAAATAAAATAGAAAAGTGGACATTTTTAGTGAAAATTTAGATATTTTGACTATTTGTGTAATATTAGACATATCTAAATAGCTAAAAATGAGTATGGTTTTCCTAACTGCATATGCATTAAGTACTTTTAGTTATTCCTCATTTCCTATTGGGTTAGTAGCTAAATCCCTGAGTCCCTACTTTAGTATGTTCCATTTTCAAACGCATTTTGTGAAAGCATGAATATAAGCCTATATACATTCTTTTAAAATTATTTATTGAATATCTAATATTTTCAGGGTACTATATCTCTCTCCTATGCTTACAGGAGAAAAAAATCCTTTATGTTGTATTCAAGGAACCTCAAAATCTATCCTCATGTCCTTTGGATCTCCCATAAAACTTTGCTTTGTGTGGCCAAGAGGTGGTACTTGCTAATCATAGCACACCACTTGCAATTTCTCATATCTGTTTCTTTGCAAGCTTAAAAACTTTACACACACCTAGTAAATCTCCCTTCTCTGATCTCTGGGTATTTAAATCCTCTCTATTTGTGAAGGCCCAACTAAGCCCTTTCTTCTACCAGAAGTCTTTCCAGAAAATTCTGCTGTAATTGATTTTCTCTTCTCTGAAATCTTATGTCACTGCAATTTGACATTACTTACATTGTTGATGTATTATTATACACTCAATGCTGCATACTTTTACTCTTTGCATGTCTTTATTTCAACAAGCAAATTATTAGGACTACAAAGGCAGGGAACTAAAACCCCAGACCTAGTAAAAGTAGGTACATATGAGCAACCAATGCATATGTGAATTAAATATTTGCCATCTGCTTAGGACACATTTGGCATTGGCTTAAAAACTCAGCCATCTCTGAGTTCTATCAAACTTTATCTAATACTCCATTACAATACATTACCCATAAATGCCAAAATAGTAAAACCATCTTGTATCCTGTCCCTCTCTCAGAGGCAACGTTCTTGGACCCAGAGGTACAATCAATCCATGTGTTATCTTTTTTGTATACCCCAAACATAAGCATGGCTTTTGTCATGGAGAAGTCAGCTGATATTTGCTGAACTTCACTTCCTTGGAGTATCTTATTATTGTGCATTAATTTAAAAAAATGCATAGTACCCTCTTGGAAGTCGAGTTTAGAAACAATAAATTACTGTACAAAAAGAAATGAATAATACAGAAAAGGAAGAAACAAAAATTTCTCAAGAGTTCTCTTTATGTAAATGCCTTAATATACATTATTTTATTACTAACAATAATGCCTACATTTTTTGAGTGTTTAATATGTGCCAAGAACTATTACAAAATCTTTACATGTAGCATTCTATTTGATTCTCACAACACCATTGTGTAGATACAATTATGCACAGATGATGGAGCTAAGGTAGCAAATATTTGTAAGTGGAACAGTTGATCTTCCCAAACAGGCAGTTGGACAGTGTAAATGCTGAAGAAATTAAATTTTCCAGAAGATGGCAAATAACAGAGAAAGGGTTACATTTAAAATCAACTTAATTAATTTGTAAAAGGAAAGGTAATGATACGAGTTAATCCCTGAAAATCATATTTTATGTATGTTTTAAATTGTTTTTCATTAAACCTGTTATGGTTTCATTGAGGCCAACATAAAAATAGATTTTAGAAGAAATATGAGAGGGCTTCAGAAAAGTTTGTGGAAAAATTAAATTAAAAGACAATAAAACATATATAATTTATTTCTCAATATAAGCTTTATCAAGATCAATACACTTTTGTAAGCAATAGTACAAACCATTTTGTCAATCCCTAAAATAACTATGGGACCAGGAAAGTAAAGATGTCAATGCAATGTTTGTTATATTACTAACTGAAAAAAACTGGTTGCCCTTTACAGATTTTCTTAAGATTAGGAAAAAAAAAAAAAGAAGTCAGAAGGAGACAAATAAATCAGGATTGCAAGGTGGATGCCTAATGATTTATCATCAAAACTCTTGCAGAGTTTCCCTTGTTTTATCAGAAACATGAGCAGGAACATTGTTATGATGAAGAAGGAATCTCTGGTGAAGCTTTGTTTTTGCTGTTTTCCTGATAAAGATTTGGCCAACCATCTCAAAACACTCTCATAATATGCAGATATTTATTGTTCTTTGGTCCCCTAGAAAGTCAACAAGCAAAATGCCTTGAGCATCCTCAAAAACTGTTGCCATGTAACAAACCTGTATGTTCTGCACATGTATCCCAGAACTTAAAGTAAAAAAAAAAAAAACAAAAACTGTTGCCATGTCCTTTCCTTTCGACCCATCTGCTTTTGCTTTGACTGGACCTCATTCAGCTGTTGGTAGCCATTGCTTTGATTGTGCTTTATCTTCAGGATCATACTGGTAAAGCCATGCTTCTACCCTGTCACAATACCATAAAGAAATCCTTCAGGTTCTCAATCCCACTTGTTTAAAATTTCCATTGCTTCCATTGCTGATAGACTGCTTTTGTCTGCAGTCTATCTGGGCATAACAGTTTTGGCACCCACAAAGTGGAAGTTTGCTCAAGTTTAATTTTTCAGTCAGGATTATGTTTACTGAAACAATCGAGATGTCTATGGTGTTGGCTATTGTTTTTGCTGTTAATCGTTGGACCTCTTCAGTTAGGGCATGAAAAACATGAATTTTTTCCTTGCAAATAGATGTTGATGGTCTGCCACTGCAGGCTTCATCTTTAACATTGCCTTGTCCCTTCTTAAAATGAATAATCCATTTTGTTGTTGTTGTTGTTGTTGTTTGTTGGTTGTCTTTTGTTTGTTTGCTTGTTTGTTTTTATTTTACTTTAAGTTCCAGGATACATGTGCAGAATGCACAGATTTGTTGCATAGGTTTACATGTGCCATGGTGGTTTGCTGTACCTATCAACCCGTCATCTAAGTTTTAAGCCCTGCATGCATTAGGTATTTGTCCTAATGCTCTCCCTCCCCTTGACCCCCACCCCCTGACAGGCCCTGGTGTGTGTTGTTCCCCGCCCCATGTCCCTGCATTCTCATTGTTCAACTCTCAGTTATGAGTGAGAACATGTGGTATTTGGCTTTCTGTTCCTGTGTTGGTTTCCTGAGGATGATGGCTTCCAGCTTCATCCATGTCCCTGCAAAGGACATGATCTCATTGTTTTTTATGACTGCATAGTATTCCATGATGTATATGTGCCACATTTTCTTTATCCAGTCTATAATTGATGGGCATTTTTGTTGATTCTATGTCTTTGCTATTGTAAATAGTGCTGCAATAAACATACGTGTGCATGTGTCTTTATAGTAGAATGATTTATATGCCTTTATATTTATATATATTGCTATATATATCCAGCAATGGGATTGCTGGGTTAAAAGGTATTTCTGGTTCTAGATCCCTGAGGAATCACCACACTATCCTCCACAATGGTTGAACCAATCTGCATTCCCACCAACAGTGCAAAAGCATTTCTATTTCTCCACAGCCTCACCAGAATCTATTGTTCCTTGGCTTTTTAATAATCACCATTCTGAGAGACGTGAGATGGTAACTTATTGTGGTTTCAATTTGTATTTCTCTAAAGATCAGTGATGATGAGCTTTTTTTCATGTTTATTGGCCACATAAATGTCTTATTTTTAGAAGTGTCTGTTCACATCCTTTGCCCACTTTTTGATGGGGTTGTTTGTTTTAGTCTTGTAAATTTGTTTAAGTTCCTTGTAGATTATGGATATTAGACCTTTGTCAGATGGGTAGATTGCAAAAATTTTCCTCCATTCTGTAGGTTGTTTGCTCACTCTGATGCTAGTTTATTTTGCTGTGCAGAAGCTCTTTAGTTTATTTAGATCCCATTTGTCAATTTTGGCTTTTGTTGCAATTGCTTTTGAAGTTTTCATCATGAAGTCTTTGCCCATGCTTATGTCCTGAATGGTATTGCCTAGATTTTCTTCTAGGGTTTTTATGGTTTTGGATTTTACATTTAAGTCTTTAATCCATCTTGAGTTAATTTTTGTATAAGGTGTAAGGAAGGGGTCCAGTTTCAGTTTTCTGCATAGCTAGCCAGTTTTCCCACCACCATTTATTAAGTAAGGAATCCTTTCCCCATTGCTAGTTTTTGTCAGGTTTGTCAAAAATCAGATGGTTGTAGATGTGTTGTGTTATTTCTGAGGTCTCTGTTCTGTTCCATTGGTCTGTATCTGTTTTGATACCAGTACCATGCTGTTTTGGTTACTGTAGCCTTGTAGTATAGTTTGAAGTCAGGTAGTGTGATGCATCTAGCTTTGTTCTTTCTGCTTAGGATTGTCTTGGCTATATGGGCTCTCTTTGGTTCCATATGAAATTTAAAGTAGTTTTTTCTAACTCTGTGAAGAATGTCAATGGAATAGCATTGAATCTATAAATTACCATTTTCATGATACTGATTCTTCCTATCTGTAAGAATGGAATGTTTTTCCATTTGTTTGTGTCCTCTCTTATTTCCTTGAGCACTGGTTTGTAGTTCTCCTTGAAAAAGTCCTTCACATTTCTTGTAAGCTGTATTCCTAGGTGTTTTATTCTCTTTGTAGCAATTGTGAATGGGAGTTCATTCATGATTTGGCTCTCTGCTTGTCTATTGTTGGTGTGTAGGAATGCTAGCAATTTTTACACATTGATTTTGTATCCTGGGACTTTGCTGAAATTACTTATCAGTTTAAGGAGTTTTTGGGCTGAGACAATGGGGTTTTCTAAATATAGAATCATGTCATCTGCAAACAGACACAATTTGGTTTCCTCTCTTTCTATTTGAATACCCTTTATTTCTTTCTCTTGCCTGATTGCCCTGGTCAGAACTTCCAATACTGTGTTGAATAGGAGTGGTGACAGAAGGCATCTTTGTCTTGTGGTAGTTTTCAAAGGGAATACGTCCAGCTTTTGCCCTTTCAGTATAACATTAGCTGTGTGTATGTAATAAATAGTTCTTATCATTATGAGATATGTTTCAACAATACCTAGTTTATTAAGAATTTTTAACATGAAGGGACATTGAATTTTATCAGAGACCTTTTCTGCATCTATTTAGATAATCATATGGTTTTTGTCATTGGTTCTGTTTATGTGATGGTTTACATTTATTGATTTGCATATGTTGAACCAGCCTTGCATCCCAGGGATGAAGCTGACTTGATCATGGTGGATAAGCTTTTTGATGTGCTGCAGGATTTAGTTTGCCAGTATTTTATTGAGGATTTTCACATCAATGTTCATCAGAAATATTGGCCTGAAGTTTTCTTTTTTTCTTGTGTCTCTGCCAGGTTTTGATATCAGGATTATGCTGGCCTCATAAAATGAGTTAGGAAGGAGTCCCTCCTTTTCAATTGTTTGGAATAGTTTCTGAAGGAATGATACCAACTCCTTTTTGTAATCTCTGGTAGATTTCAGCTGTGAGTCCATCTGGTTCTGGGCTTTTTTTTGCTTGGTAGGCTATTAATTACTGCCTCAATTTCAGAACTTGTTATTGGTCTATTCAGGAATTTGACTTCTTCCTGCTTTAGTCTTGGGAGGATGTATGTGTCCTGGAATTTATCAGTTTCTTCTAGATTTTCTAGTTTATTTGCATAGAGTTGTTCATAGTATTCTCTGATGGTAGTTTGTATTTCTGTGGGGTCAGTAGTGATATCACCTTTATCATTTTTTATTGTGTCCATTTGATTCTTCTCTCTTTTCTTCTTTATTAGCCTAGCTAGTCGTCTATCTGTTGTGTTAATTTTTTCAAAAAAAAAAGCTCCTTGATTCATTGATTTTTTTGGAGGGTTTTTTATATCTTTATCTCATTCAGATCTGCTGTGATCTCAGTTGTTTCTTGTCTTCTGCCAGCTTTTGGATTTATTTGCTCTTGCTTCTCTAGTTCTTTTAATTGTGATGTTATGGTGTCAATTTGAGATCCTTCCAGCTTTCTGATGTGGACATTTAGTGATATAAATTCCCCTCTTAATAGTGCAAGAGCTGTGTCCCAGAGATTCTGGTACATTGTCTCTTTGTTCTCATTAGTTTCAAAGAACCTCTTGATTTCTGCCTTAATTTCATTGTTTACCCAGGAGTCATTCAGAAGCAAGTTGTTCAATTTCCATATAGTTGTGTGGTTTTGAGTGAGTTTCTTAATCCTGAGTTCTAATTTGATTGCACTGTGGTCTGAGAAACTGTTTGTTATGATTTCAGTTTTTTGGCATTTGCTGAGGAGTGTTTTACTTCCAATTATGTGGTCAATTTTAGAATATGTGCTATGTGGTACTTAGAAGAATCTATATTCTATTGATTTGGGGTGGAGAGTTCTGTAAATGTCTATTAGGTCCACTGGGTTCAGAGCTGAGTTCAACTGCTGAATATCCTTGTTAATTTTCTGCCTTGTTAATCTGTCTAATATTGACAGTGGGGTGTTAAAGTCTCCCACTATTATTGTGTGGGAGTCTAAGTCTCCTTATAGGTTTCTAAGAACTTACTTTATGAATCTGGGTGCTCCTTTATTGGGTGCATATATATTTAGGATAGTTAGCTCTTTTTGTTGCATTGATCCCTTTACCATTATGTAATGCCATTCTTTGTATTCTTTGATCTTTATTGGTTTAAAGTTTGTTTTATCAAAGACTAGGATTGCAACTCCTGCTTTTTTTTTTTTCTTTCCATTTGCTTGGTAAATTTTCCTCCATCCCTTTATTTTGAGCTTATGTGTGTCTGCACGTGAGATGGGTCTCCTGAATATAGCACACCAATGGGTCTTGACTCTTTATCCAATTTGCCAGCCTGTGTCTTTTATTTGGGTATTTAGCCCATTTACATTTAAGGTTATAATCGTTATGTGTGAATTTGATCCTGTTATCATGATGCTAGCTGGCTCTTATGCACATTAGTTAATGCAGTTTCTTCAGAGTGTCATTGGTCTTTATATTTGGCTGTGTTTTTGCAGCAGCTGGTACCGGTTTTTCCTTTCCATATTTAATGCTTCTTTCAGGAACGCCTGTAAGGCAAGCCTGGTGGTGACGAAATCCCTTAGAATTTGATTGTCTGGAAAGGATTTTATTTCTCCTTCTCTTATGAAGTTTAGTTTGACTGGATATGAAATTCTGCATTGAAAATTCTTTTCTTTGAGTGTTGAATATTGGCCCCCACTGTTTTCTGGCTTGTAGAGTTTCTGCTGAGAGATCCACTGTTAGTCTGATGGACTTCCCTTTGTAGGTGACCTGACATTTCTCCCTGGTTGCCCTTAATATTTTTTTCTTCATTTTGACCTTGGAGAATCTGATGATTGTGTGTCTTGGGGTTGATCTTCTTGTGGAGTATCTTAGTGGTGTTCTCTGTGTTTCCTGAATTTGAATGTTGGCCTGTCTTGCTAGGTTGGGGAAGTTCTCCTGGATAATATACTGAAGTGTGTTTTCCAACTTGGTTCCATTCTCCCTGTCTCTTTCAGGTACTCCAATTAATTCTAGGTTTGGTCTTTTAACATAGTCCCATATTTCCTGGAGTCTTTGTTCATTACTTTTCATTCTTTTTTCTCTAATCTTGTCTGCATGCCTTATTTCAGCAAGGTGGTCTTCAAACTCTGATATCCCTTCTTCCACTTGATCGATTTGGCTCCTGATGCTTGTGTATGCTTTACAAAGTTCTTGTGCTGTGTTTTTCAGCTCCATCAGGTCATTTATGTTCCTCTCTAAAATGATTATTCTAGTTAGCAGCTCCTGTAACGTTTTATCAAGGTTCTTAGCTTCCTTGCATTGGGTTAGAACATGCTCCTTTCGCTCAACAGAATTTGTTATTACCCCCTTTTGAAGCTTACTTCGATCAGTTCATCCATCTCATCCTCTGTCCAATTCTGCACCCTTGCTGGAGAGGTGTTGCAATCATTTGCAGAAGAGGTATTCTGACTTTTGGCGTTTTCGGTGTTTTTGTGCTGTTTTTTCCTCATCTTCATGGATTTATCTACCTTTGATCTTTGAGGCCAATGACCTTTGGATGAGGTTTTTATTTTTAATTTTTTTTTTGGGGGGAGGTCTTTTTTGTTGATGTTGTTGTTGTTGCTTTCTATTTGTTAGTTTTTCTTCTAACAGTCAGGCACCTATTCTGTAGGTCTGTTGCAGTTTTCTGGAGGTCCACTTCAGTCCCTGTTTGCTTGGGTATCACCAGTGGAGACTGCAGAACAGCAAAAATTGCTGCCTGCTCCTTCTTCTGGAAGCTTCGTCCCAGAAGGGCACTGGCCTGATGCCAGCTGAAGCTCTCCTGTATGAGGTGTCTGTTGACCCCTATCAGGAAGTCTCTCCCAGTCAGGAGGCACAGGGGTCAGGGACCCAGTTGAGGAGGCAGCGTGTCCCTTAGCAGAGCTGGTGCGCTGTGCTGGGAGAATCCCCCTTGTCAGGATCAACCATTCTCTTCAGAGCTGGCAGGCAGGAAAGATTAAGTCTGCTGAAGCTGCCACTGCAGTCGCCCCTCCCCCCAGGTGCTCTGTCCCAGGGACATGAGAATTTTGCCTGTAAGCCCCTGCCTGGAGATGCTGGATTTCCTGCAGAGATACCCTGCCCAGTGAGGAGGAATCCAGAGAAGCAGTCTGGTCACAGCCGCTTTGCTGTGCTGTGGTGAGTTCCATCCGGTCCAAACCTCCCAGTCTGCTTAGCACTGTCAGGGGGAAACAGCCTACTAAGGCCACAGTAATGGCGGTCACTCCTCCCCCAACCAAACTCAATAGTCCCAGGTTGACTCCAAACTGCTGTGCTGGCAGCGAGAATTTCAAGCCAGCGGTTCTTAACTTGCTGGGCTCCGTGTGGGTGGGACTCGCTGAGCAAGACCGCTTGGCTCCCTGGCTTTAGCCCGCTTTCCAGGACAGTGGACAGTGGACAGTGAGACTGGAGTCTCACTGGAGTTCTGCACTGCTGGAGTATGAAAAAACTTGCAGCTCAGTGCCTGCCCAAACAGCCGCCCAGTTTTGTGCTTGAAACCCAGGGCCCTGGTGGTGGTAAGCTCGCGAAGCAATCTCCTGATCCTCAGATGGCAAAAATCCATAGGAAAAGCATAGTACCTTGGGCAGGTAGCAGAGTCCCTCACTGCTTTCCTTGGCTGGGGGAGGGAGGTCCCCAGCTCTGTGCACTTCCTGGGTGAGGTGACACCCCACCCTGCTTCTGCTCACTCTCCATGGGTCGCACCCACTGCCTAACCAGTCCCAGTAAGATGAACTGGGTACCTCGGTTGGAAATGCAGAAATCACCTGCCTTCTGTGTTGGTCTTGCTGGGAGCTACAGACCAGAGCTGTTTCCATTCAGCCATCTTGTCCCCTCCTCTGAATTAATGGCTCCTTTTGTAAACTGCTGATTCTTGGGGGCATTGTCTCTATACACTTTTCATAAAGCATCAATGATTTCATCATTCTTCAATCCAAGCTTCACCATCAATTTAAGGTTTGTTTTTGTTCAATTTTAGCAGAATACATGTTGCTTTCACAGGGGCTGTTTTCAAACTAATGTCTTATCCTTCTCACTGCGTCAAACTAGATCCTGTTCTGGCATATTATAACCAGTTAATATGAGCTTATTTCAGTGCAAAAATATTTTGAAATCCATGCATAGTTTCTTCATAATACACATTTTCCATGAACATTTTGAAGACTCCTCATATACTTTTCCAATTCTTAAATATTTCACATTATTTGATTAAAAATCAACCTGGATTTTGTGAATTAGACATTTTTTTTTACAGATTGATTTAAACCACACTCAAGGAATGGCATGAATCAGGATATTAGTGAAAAATTAATTATAAGATTTATTTGCTCTCTAGAGTGTTGATAAGCAAACACATTTTTGTTTTTTTAAAATCTAAAAATAGCGTTTTTAGACTTCAAGGAAATACTGTTAAGTAGGTTTATTTATTTTATTAGCAGTTATAAATGACTAAGCAAATCAAACTGATATTTATTTGACACTTCTTATGTTTAGTTGATAAAATGAGTCTGTTTCCCATTAGAATTTTTATAGCCAAGTATATAATTGTACCCTATGGTGTAAAATAATTTTAGAAATATCCAAAAACATCACAGCAACATCTACTGTGTTACTAATGGTTAGAAATTTTGTATTCATTTAAATGTACTTAAAATAAAATGAATAACCATGAGTTTATTCAATTCTTGACTAAAAGATGCTAAATTATTCAACTTCTACCCTGCAGTGATACCTTGATTAATATATCCTCTGGGAAGAAGGCTCAGGATCATTTATATCAGCTCAACTGTTTTATCCTAAAACATCAATTGGAAGATGAAAGAAATTGTCTTCCTAATGGAATGTCATGCGTCAACAAACCAGAGGAAGGGTTTTTGTTATTGTTTGTTTACGTATGTGCTTTTTCTTTTTTTTCTTTTTCATGCACCCCTGGAGTAACAATACCTTTTTTCTGACTTGTTCTGAAAACAAACCCAATTTGGTCCTTTTTGGAAAAAGAGATCACAGTGGCTATAATGACAGAATGAAAAATTTGTGATTTCTCATCTCTTTTCCTTCTACCTCTGACCCCCCCACCCTTCTCATATCAGAAAGCTACACAGCTGATAGAAGAGAAGGAATAAACTTAGCACTTGTAGCTGCACCCCCAAATCCGCATGAGGCTATATAAAGACAGCAAGTTCTGGAGTCAGACAGACCTGGTACTTATATTTTAATGTTTATTTTATTTACCAAACACTTATACAGTGCTAGTTATGTCCTTGGTACAGTTCTATATACTTGGCTAATGTGAACTAATTTAATCCTTATAGTAATTCAAATAAGGAAAATACTCTTCATATACCCATTTTATAGAAAAAGAAACTAAGGCACACAAGGGTTAAGAAACATGCCTAAGATCACAAGCCAGCAAGTGACAGAGGCTGGATCCAAGAAATATAGTTGGAGTATGTGATCTTTACCATTATGTACCTGAGGCTGACTCTCCAGATCTTAGCCAAACCACTTAGTGGCCAGGCCCTCTTGGGCACTTAACTTTTCTGAGCTTCTATTTCTTCACTTGAAAAACAGGAACAGTATCTACAGCCAGTGGCAGTTGTCAAAGTGCATATGACACTTTCTGATGGTCCTGTTCCTTATGATAATCTTCCCAGAACAGATCTGCCCAGCAATGTTTCCTTTTCCAAATACTGCCACACTCAAGTTTCAGCTGGACCTTGCCACCATACTTTTGATTCAAAATCGCATATGTATTTGGGGATGGTGGCACATTCAACATTATTAAAGTTAGTATTTAATGGCATTAATACTAGTAATTTAATGGCATTAATACAGTAACACATATTATATTCTAAAACATGTCCCAATATTTCTTATTGATTTTGCACATCTCTCAGTAGACTGGTAGCTGCGTCAGCATAGGAAAATGTGTCTGATTTATTCTAAACTCTATCCAAAGCCCACAGAGGACCTGGAAAGTGGGAGGAATTCAAGAGGTATAATGTCATAAAGAAGTGAGCGAATGGTTTTCCTACCACCTATAAAATTTCCATCAACAACATGTGCTAGTAAATGCATCCTCATTAACAGGCATGTTATCATAATGATAGCATTTCCAAGGAATGATAGCAATACAAATGAGCCAGAAGAAATGTGTAAAATAAAATTCAAAATTGTGCAAATGGAAAAACAAAGGCATTTGGCAAATTCTTAAGTTATTAATGTGCCAAATTAATGTTTATTTTTTCTTTTAAGAAAAAATATGAATTACAGTGGTAAAAATCAGACCTACTAACAGAAACATAAATAAACCCCAAACAACAACAACAATCAGCTATCAAGATCACAAAGCAAGATGTTTAAATGACATTTTTGCAGCGCCATGTTCCTGTCTGAGCACCATGAGATAAAACTCTCAGAACCACATGCTCTGGAGGCCACCCTGTTCCAGAGAGCTGAAAGTCAAGGAAATCCCCATATGTGATTACCAAGCATCTTAAACAGAGACATCTCACATTAAATTGCATTCAGGAGACAAAGGTTTGTCTAGTACAGCCACTGCTCACAAATGCTCACAAATGGCTTCCATATGGTGATGTCTTCAAGGCAGTAGGATCCTTGGTTCTTGCATGTGACTCCCCTTTCTACAACTTGAATTCCGAACTGAATTAAAATTAAAGCTTAAAGGTAAAATTGTCATTTCTCTTCTATTTTTATGCTAAAATGTTTTATGAAAAGCAGGCCTTTTTTTCTTAGTTTGGAGAATTGTATTTTTATTCATTCATATGCTAACAAGCTGGATATAGAAAACATATCACTATGCTAAGTGTGAGACAATATACTGACTTTCCATGTAAAAAAAGAAAAAAATGAAGAAAAGTACATGAAACCTTTCTAAAATGAACAGTGAACCTACAGAAGGAAACTCGAATGCGTTTACAAAATGGGCTTGAAGGCAAAACCGAAAGATAAATGTACGGGTTTAAAATTACTCGTGGGCAAGGTTCCCATCTTAAATATTTGAAGTATTCAGGCCTCCAGGCACCTGTTCAAGTTTGTGCTGTTTCTCCCCCCAGGCAGCTGCCTCACTTGCCTCTGCCTCGGGCTGGTCCTGAACGTGGTCCAGGATGCATCTCTGATGAGCAAGTTCAGCTGGTGCTCAGTGACAGGTGTGGGTCCTGATTGCCTTCAACAGTGTGGCATGTTTCTTAAAGAGGGAAACAAAGCCATCAAACACTTGCTTCTCAAACCCAGCTTTTTAATGTGTGAGCTCAAAATAAAAGCATACACTAGTAAAATAATAGGCCTATATCAGGCCTAAAGAATACCTTTTTAAAAAGAAAACTAAATAATGGACAACTGTGGTAAAGCAAAGAGCTGACATCACTGGTGGGATTTGAGGCATTCTATAAGGTCCAATAGCTCACAGGACATGCCTTTGTGAACACAAAAGCCTTGAATCCAGGTAGATGATGGACCCAATGGTCCAGACTCATGAAGAACTACAAGATCCCACTATGTCAGCCTCCAGGCTTCAGACTGTGGGTCACTGATGACATGGGCATGGAGAGCACTCTCAATAAGGTATGAGGCTAAGAGTGATGGCTCCACAACTAGATGCCCATATAACACTCCTAGTTCCATCCCAGAACACAGTGGGATTTTTCTGTGTGGCAGGATTCAGCAAACTATGACCCATGGGCCAAATCCAGCCCACCGCCTGTTTTTATATGCCCATTGTACTAGTCCATTTTCACACTGCTATGAAGAACTGCCTGAGACTGGGTAATTCATAAAGGAGGGAGGTTTAATTGACTCACAGTTCAGCATGGCTGGGAAGGCCTCAGGAAACTTACAGTCATGGTGGAAGGTGAAGGGGAAGCAAGACACCTTCTTCACTAGGCGACAGGAAGAAGTGCCGAGAAAAGCGGGAAGAGCCCCTTGTGAAACCATCAGATCTCATGAGAACTCAATATCATGAGAACAGCATGGGGGAAACCAATCCATGATCCAATTACCTCCACCTGGTCTCTCCCTTGACATGTGGGGATTATGAGGATTACAATTCAAGATTTGGGTGGGGACACAAAGCCTAACCATATCACCTGTAGCTAAGAAATTTTTTTTTGCGTGTCTGAAAATAATCAAAAGAAGAATATTTAATGGCATTGAAAATTATATGAAATGTAAATCATAGTTGCTATATATAACGTTTTATTGGAACACAGCATGTCTATTGTTTACATATTGTATATGGCTGCTCATGCACTAGAGTGACGCAGTAGTTGTTACAGAAACTGTATCATCCACAGAGTCTAAAATGTTTACTACCTGACTCTTTAAAGAAAATGTTTGCCAGCTCCTGGTGTAGCCACTTATCAGCTGTGGTAATGGGTAATTTACTAAGACACTACACTTTGAGTCCAGCTTTCCCATTTGTAAGGGTATATGAAAACTTGGGGGTTGTTGTGAATGATACAGGAGATAAGGCGTCACAAAGAACCTAAAATAATGGCAACAAATGATTGTTATTTCTATTCTTAAAGAAATGGGAGGGAGATAAGTATTTTCTGGTCTCTGTTGTGATTCTAAACAATGGAAGTGGCCACCAATCTCCCTTAGGTTTCAAACTGCCTGGCTGTGTTGGATGTTATTGTTGAGTTCTCAGCAGCTGTTGCACTATTTTTCCAATATGTAGCAACATTTGGTTCCATAAGTTTTAGGAAAGAATCCTGATTAGTCTTAAATAGTAGGGACACTCTTTCCTCTGAGTCAATTAGAGAGGGGCACTTTTAGTTGTCTCGGTGACTAGAGGGTGCCGTTGACACTGAGTGGCAGCAAGCAGAAATGCAAACGATTATGCACAATAGAGAAATGTCCCATCAAAAAAGCCCACAACTCCCCTGATGAGTGTCACGTAGGGTAGCGCAGCTCAGCTTGCCACATGTTTGGGCAAGTTAGGCCTTAGCCAAACACCATGTCTCCAATCAGCACAGATTTCAGGACATTTTCTGGGAATTGTGGACACCAATGTTCTCTCTCATATACAGTGTGGTGAGCAGTTGTGAAGTCTAAAACCTCTTTATAGCATTTTATGAACATAATTTCATGACCAGGCAATCCAGTTTAAGAACAAAGAAACAACAGAGAGCAGAGCCAAACCAGAAGAATCAGACAGGAACAAAGCAGCTCTCTAATTAAGCCATGCATCTAATCAAGCCACACCTGTTCTATTTCCTACCCGTGAGCTTCTCAGAACTTTAGAGTTTAAGTTACACTGCACTGGATTTATTGAAACTTGCTGACAAGATCAACTACTATAAATGGGACCTGCTTGTAGATTCAGATTGAAGGTGTTGCTCAGGTGATCCTAGTTTAGAGCAATAGCCAGAGAATCGGGACACAGTGATTCAGAAGTGTGCTACATTTTTATGTCAGGATCCATTCACAATTTATAAAATATCTCATATATATATCACTTAACAAATTCAATTTTTTACTTAGCGCCACTATGTGC
The DNA here is from genome assembly GCF_000001405.40 of Homo sapiens. NCBI lineage: Eukaryota > Metazoa > Chordata > Mammalia > Primates > Hominidae > Homo > Homo sapiens. The sequence goes on along the minus strand of NC_000002.12, from coordinate 225,818,573 downwards.
AAATCTCTTTGCTCAAGCTGTAGGAGATGCAAAAATGAATGAGGCACATTACCAATCCTCAAGGAATAAATTACTTCATAGAGAAAAAAACACATAAACTACACAAGATGTTAAAATAGGTGGCAGAATAAAGTTATATGTGAGCTCTGCACAACATTAGAGCCAGAGAAGAGAGGCTATTGCCCTCCTCACCTGATTCTCACAACAGCTCTGTGGGGGAGGTACAACAAATGTTTTTATCCTCATTGTTACATATTTGGAGATTCAGAAATGTCCAGTGTGCCTGGGCTAATTGGTGGCTCTTTAATTGTGCTCAGTAATTCTCTCTGGAAGCCCAATATCTTTTCTATTCCTCCATGCAAATTCTTCACAATAATAACACAGAAAAGGGCTATTGTTTATTAAGTACTCATAAAGGCTCATATTTTACTCTGTTTTGTGTTACCATAACAGAATACCACAGACTGGATATTTTACAACAAAAAGAAATGTATTTCCCGCAGTTCTCTGGAGTTTGGGAAGTCCGGTATCAAAGTGCCAGTGTCTCGTGAGGGCCTTCTTGCTACCTCATACAGTGATGGAAGTTAAAAGGGTAAGAGAGGGTGAGTGAAAAAAAGATGGAACTCGTAGCTTCAGATCTCTTTATAATCAGCATGAATTTGTTCATAAGCATGGACCCTCATGACTAACCATCACCCACTAGGCTTCACCTCTCAACACTGCTGACTAGAGATTAAGTTTTCAGCAAATGAACTTTGGGGCCACATTCAAACCAAACTGGCTCACAAAGAGAAATCAGGCATATACTGTCAAGTTATAAAATGAGAAATGTGTAAAACAATAGGGAGAAATGGGGACTTTGAAAAACCAGAGGCCACCTGATCCAATTAGAGGAAACTACCACTCAGATCATGATTGGCCAATATTGTCAGAACTTTCCATTTGAAAAGAGATCCAGAAATATAATTATATGAGGAATCTCATAAAGTATTTTAACAATTTCATCAACCCCTGTTACTTCTTTCTCCAAAATTCTTGCTCAGCCACTTCCTTCCATGTCCTTGTGATAGCCCCTAAGTGATCCTCTAGATTCCAGTTGTATCCCTTTTTATACACCTTCTAGAGAGCAGCCAGTGATCAATTTTAAAAGTAAAGGTCATCATCATTCTATTCACCTCATATACTTATCAGTCAGGATTCAATCGTGAAAGTCTGGCCATTATGGGCATTATGGGAATAATTGACTCATTAGAAGGGTTAGACCTTGGACAAATGTGTGAGGAAATGGGGATGAGAAGGAGTCTAGAAGCTGAAGTAAAAAGCCATAGAAAGAGTCACTGACCCATCACAAAAAGCCCTGGTGTAGGTGGAAACCTAAATCTGTGTGTGTGTGTGTGTGTGTGTGTGTGTGTGTGTGTGTGTGTGTGTGTATGTACATGTGCTTGCATATGTACATGTGCACATGCTTGCAAATATGTTTGTATGTGTGTATACATGTAGCTGCCCAGTGGGTTCATTTTGTTTGCTGCCCAGATACAGTCAATATAGACAGGTGAATTGCAATAGAGAAAGAGTGCACATAGAGCAGGCCAAAGGGAAGATGGGAGTTTTAATTATTACTCACATCAGCCTCCTCAAAAATTCAGAGGCTAGGGTTTTTCAAGGATAGTTTGGTGGGCAGAGAGCTAGGGGACTGGGTGCTGCTGATCGGTTGGGGATGCAATCGTAAGGGTGTGGAAAATAGTCCTCATGTGTTGAGTCTGCTTTTGGTTGGGTCATCCAGTCAACAGAAAAGTGGAGGCCTGAAAGGACATCTCAAAAGGTCAATCTCACGTTCTACAATAGTGATATTATCTGCAGGAGTAATTGGGGAAGTTGCAAATCTTTTGATCTCTGCAATAATGCCTGGTGTTCATTTACACCTACATCTTAGCAGAATTCAGGCCCCTCTCATCCTCCTAACCTGGTCATCTTTCATTAGTTTTACAAAAGGTGTTAGTTTGGGGAAAGGGCTATTATCATTTAAACTACATTTCTCCCAAAGTTAGCTTGGGCCAACCCCAGGAATAACCAATGGAAGTTTGGAGGTTAAAGGCAAGATGAGGATTGGTTAGGTCAGTCTCTTTCACTGTCATAATTTTTTCATTGTTATGATTTTTGCAAAGATGGTTTTATACACATATATAATTTTCAATGAATACTTTTATTTTTTTATGAAGTCCTAAGTTATATAATTTATTCCATTATGAAGACATGTACATTTACTAAGATTGATAATTATGTAGACATAGATATAAGTATATTGATATTTTCACAAGAAAGTTCAGACCTGAATATCAGATGAAATTCTGACTCTGGCACATGATATAAGCAATATCGCCTACAGAGTTCAGCCTCCACACAGCTCACTTCCAGCAGCAGGTACTAGATATTTAACATTTAAAAGTAAATGGCCAGCTCACTCATTAGTTTCTGAAGGCATCATCATAGAGATCAATCCTTATAAAAAGACCAACATTTCAAACCACAAAATTCATATCAAATGGTTAACAAATTAGTTACTCCGAGAAGGGAAGCATTCTTCCAAGAACACGTTTAAGCTCTTCTACCTATTTGTTGTTTGTAACCACAAAGTTCTCTTATTCACAAACTAGAGAGAGTCACACCATCTGACTTCAGGTATTCAGGCTTTGGTCTCATGAGCTTTTGTACACTTTATTTCCTGATATGATGAGAAGAAAAAGTTGCACCTAACCTTCTGATGGGACACTTAGGATTGCAATGCTATTAAAGACTTGAGATCACTGGGGGAAACCTCAGGAACAGCCTGATCTTATGGGTCCTCACACTGCTCAGAGGGAATTGTAGAGGATTGCATTTGTCTTCATGAAATCTCATAGTGTCTGATACAACCTGTGCGCATAATAAATATTTGTTGAATAAACTATTAAATAGAATAAATAAAAAAGAAACAGATGTTGATACAAATATGAGATTCTATAGAATTTGGAGCTTTGCTCTCTGGTGTGGCTGAGCAATAATAGAATATAACACCAAGGTGCTTTCCATCCTTAACGCTGAAGTGTTCCTCCAGGAAGCAGAGCCTGGGTTGCTGGTAATAACCTTTGAAGAGCACCAAATATGTTCACAGCACTGAGATAACGCTGGCCATTCTGGTGTACAAGTGGCATACACGGGCTCAGGCAATCTTCTCTATATACATTGTGATTCTTCACATACTAGGTACTTGATCTGGATGTGGTGCTCTTCTTTAACCAGCACAGCCATTGTTAAGCCCAGGCACCCTTGTCAAGACTGGCTTTCATATATTGCACTCTTCAGCATGCTGTTGTAGGCACTGCCTTAATCTAGCATTCTCTCCACCAAGTCAAACATGAGACACACAATGAAATAACAGGTCAGAATTCAGGCAAAGTTATTTTTTCTTAATATTTATCCACAGAGAAGTGTAAGAGAGAAGAAAAAAAAATTGTAAGAACAAAGCTTGACACCTTTCAGATGAGTGAGAACTAAATTAAATTCTCTTCTTGTCCCTCTCATCACTACAAATAGTAAACATCCAAGAGCTCTAATGTCTTTGGACATTAAATTACATGCATGTCAAATTTTGTAACTGATTATAACTCATTTCAAAATAACACAGGAATTTCTCCACAACTAAATAATTGTTACTGTACCTTGTGAATGCCAAGTGGAGAGACAAAAAGAATGACAATCTTACAGATAATGTGGGTAGCAGAGCAAAACCTGTTTATGCCTGTCAAGCTGTGTAACTGATTCATTTTTTTTCCTTTTAGACATATTTGAAATTAAATCAACACAAAAATATGAGAGGAAAAATCTGTCTCCTAGGGTTACTCAGCATAGATAAAGCATAATACAGGAGATTGGGATCTTCTTTACAGATTCTATAAGACTGTCTGCTCAGACTTGTCTGCACAAAGATTACTGGATGAAGTTGGTTTTAAAATGTCAGTAAAGTAAAACAAACACTTGTAGTTCTTCATCAGTTGCTCTATCCAGATTATAGTTTTTTATATACCTGAAACTATACCCATTATGCCTCCAACATTTTTCAGGTATTCCCTTCTACGAGGAACTGATAAGTTCTACCATTTTTGTTTTCTGCCTCTTGGTAATTTCTTCTAAATCACTGTGGTCTTTAATTTTATCATTTAAACAGCATTACTACTCTTCCTTCTCTATATTGTTATCATCTGTTTAATTTTCTTCTCCTTTTCTATATCTCTTTCTCTTTCTCCTCCTCCCCTCCCCTCTTTCTCCTTCTTGTCTTTCTTCTCTCTTCTCACTTTCATTTATCCCTTACTGATGGTCTACAAGCTTCTGCATGATTGGCTCTTCTTTGTCTTCTTCAACCCATTTTTTTTCCCTCATGATATTCATCTCTAGCCTTAAACTTATCATTGTCCAACTCATGTGCTTCATATTTGCTATTCCTTGTGCCTAGAATTCTCTTCCTCAGGTTGTCTTCTTTCCCATCAAGGCTACAATATGTAGCTATGCATAGCGTGCAGAAAAACCCCAGGGGTGATACTAAGATTATGATGTGACTAGCTTCTCCAGAACTTGCAATACAGTGGCATGGTTTTCTGTTCTAAGGAACTCGGCCTATGTATTATATCTTTTTCCAACTCTGACCGATGAGATATAAAATGAAATTTAAAAAATAAAAATAAGGCAAAAATGACAAATTCCTATCCAGTTTCTCATACTACTTTTGGAAACGGGAAAATTTTTCTTCAACTTTCTTGCCCTATTTTTTTTAATTGGTGATTTATAAATTATTATTATCTTATGAGTTAATGTTAATAAAGAATAACTCTCTATACTAGTCTTCCATGACTCAGCTAAAAGAAGAAAGTAGAGCTAAATACATTGACATGGGAAGATCCCCAAAACATATATATGGAGAAAACAAATTACAGCATCATATTATTGCACAAGCTGAATTATGTTTGAAACAAACCCACAAATTCTTAAAACTATACATATGTGTATGCATATACATACACAAACATATATTTTATATCATACATATGGGAAAGCAAGGGTGTGTATAAATATAGCAAAAATTTTGAAGAATGCACATAAATTTTTGGTGGAACACTGGCTAAGGCTGTAATTGAAGGGGGTTTCACTTTTTGCTATATATCCTGCCCTAGTTTTTGTATTTTATGGTGGTATATGCATCTATTCATGTATTACTATGTAATAAACAGAAGGTAGAACACATGTTTATATTTCTCATCCCTATTATTTTATATATGGCATTTCTCTGTGCAAATTTTTCAGTCTATACCTGCAGCAGAAATAATGTGGGAGAAAAAACAAACTTTTTTTATTTTATTTTTACTGTCACATGATATAGGACCTGGGCCATGATAATCATTCAGTAAATGTTAATTGATTATGTTAAGGAGTAACTAAATAAGTGATTGATTGAATACAGATATTAAAGCTCCAATCTCTATAACATAAGCCTATCATCCTTATAGTTGACTAGCAACATGATATCCAATACAATCTAGTAGCTGTGGATGACCAGCCTTAATGAGGTTCCCGGAAACTCACTTTTAGTTTCTATTTAGTTTCTGTATTAGCCTGTTCTCACACTGCTGATAAAGACATACCTGAGACTTAGCAATTTACGAAAGAAATTTCGAAGTTTAATGGACTAACAGTTCCACATGGCTGAAGAGGCCTCACAGTCATGGCAGAAGGTGAAAGGCAGGTCTTGCATAGTGGCAGATTAGAGAAGAGAATGAGAATCTAGCTGAAGGGGTTTCCTGTTTTAAAATCATCAGATCTTGTGAGACTTATTCCCTATCATGAGAACAGTATGGGGGAAACTGCTCCCATGATTCAATTATCTCCCACTGGGTCCCTCTAACAACACTTGGGAATTATGGGAACTACAATTCAAGATGAGATTTGGGTGAGGACACAGCCTAACCATATCAGTTTCCATATCAGTTTTGTAGGGTTGAACTGTGACTAGAAAAAGAGGTGAGATGTTGTGTACTAACTTGAAGATGGCAAGATCAGTTGGTTTTCCAGGAGCATATTAGAGAAAATTTAAATGTCTATATCAATTTTAGTCATACTCTCATGAAGACTATTTGGAATGACAAATTCATTTTATTTTAGTGGACTGCCTTATAATCCAGTATTGCTCTGGAGGTGATGGCTGTGATGAGAAAACTGCTGAGGCAGGCAACCACCCATGTTCAGCTGGATGAGACTCGCTTTACATATCCAAGTATTCAAATTTCTGGCTCACTGTTAGATAAATTATGCTGTTTACCTATCAGCAATGTTCCTCTCTTCTTAACATATCAAATATCCACTCTCTGGGAAAGAGAAATGGCAAGTTTTAATGTACCGTGGACATCAGTGCTGTCAATACTGTTCAGAAATTCTTGAGAAAACCCATCATCAGATACCTTTCTGGAATCATCTGTATTCTGAATAAAACTGTGAGAGTTATGTGCTAGTAAATGATAGAGCCAAATGTGAATCCAGGTCACCTAACTCCAAAGCCATTAAATATTAAGTAATGTTAAGTAAGTAAATAGTCATCAAATCAGATAAAACTTAAAATGTTTGACAAAAAGCTATTATAGTCAAATCACTGTTCTAGAAGTAACTGGTCTCTGTGCATTTTAGTAGAGTAATTCATGGTATGGATAATGGTGGTGCTATGCTCACTGATGCCATAAACATGTTCAAAAAGTTGAAAAAATTGATGCTAGATCAAGAAGTACAACCCTATTGATATGGTTTGATTGTGTCTCCACCCAGAATCTCATCTTGAATTGTAATCTCCATAATCCCTATAATCCCCATGTGTCAAGGGAGAGACCAGGTGGAAGTAATTGAATCATGGAAGTGGTTACCCCCATGCTGTTTTTGTGGTAGTGAATGAATTATCACAAGATCTGATGGATTTATAAGTCTTTGGTAGTTCCTCCTGCATTCATCCTCCTTCCTGCCGCCTTGTGAAGAAGGTACCTTGCTTTCCCCTCATCTTCTGCCGTGATTGTAAGTTTCCTGAAACCTTACCAGACATGCAGAACTGTGAGTCAATTAAACCTCTTTCCTTTACAAATTACCCTGTCTCGGGCAGTTCTTTATAACAGTGTGAGAAATGGACTAATATGCCAAGAGTAATAGTGATTGGGAGTTTTAACACGCTTATGATTATTATCCATTTTTAAAGTGTCCAGAAATGGCATCAATATATGAGGGGCCAAGTTCATTCTTATGAATCTTCATGATAACATCACCCAAATGTATGACACTGAAAGTTTTTTATGATTTCTTTTTTATTAATGTTATTTGGTTTCTCAGGCTATAACATTCAGAAAAAAATCTGCTCATGTATATGAAAGTCTTCATAACAGGAAAAGTGTAATAATAAGCATTGAAATTTCCTTCTGTGAAACTTACATCTCTATATGTAGAAGGTGGCCTTCTCATGCAGTATACACATGAATAGGCTATCTGATTAAAACAAGAGAAACAGCCATGCCCAAATCTCACCATATCTGAGTGCTTTGATGGTATATTTGGATGAATGTGTTCTCCCCAAAATAATTAAGAAAAAATTTTACTTGACAAACGCTTAAAACATCTAATATGAACCCCTTCTTTTAAACAGAAAAAATAAAATCAATGGCAAAAACTGGAATAAATATCATATATCATATATAATACACATGTAAAGTGTGTGTGTGTCTGTGTGTCTGTGTGTGGTATAATGTGTGCTATAAGGATAGCAGGTTAGATATAAAACATATAAGCAGAGGGGACATGAAATGCATTCAGACTAACATGGTTATCATTAAATGTTTTCATATTTTAAGAGGGGTTGAAAAACATACATATTTTTTACTAAATGATATCTGGACCTTTATAGAAGGGCTTTTCAAAAAGGCCTTGGAAAATGTTTATTATGAAAAAACTATGCCTGGATTTCAAAATTTTTTACACCAAAATAAATTCATACTACCTTGCTATTACATGTTTGAACAGGATCTACTTTGAAGCACCAAGCAGAATGATGTATCAGTTTGAAAAGGGCCCCTATCAGGGCAACGTGTATTCTGCTAAAAGAGAAACAAGAACAGACATCAAACTGATGAAGCTTCAATGGAAGAATGGTTAAATCATCGATGCTTTATGAAAAGTTTATAGGGACAATGCCCCCCAAAAATCATCAGTTTGCAGATGGATTATTTGTTTCAAGAAGGGATAAGACAATGTTGACGATGAAGCCTGCAATAGCAGACCACCCAATCAATTTGTGAGGTAAAAGCTCAGGTTATTCCTTGCTCAGCTGAAGAGGACTGAAGATTAACAGCAGAAACAACAGCCCATACCATAGACATCTCAATTGGCTCAGCCTACACAATTCTGATTGAAAAATTAAAGTTTAGCTTATTTTCCATTCAATGGGTTCCAAAACCATTGCTCTCAGATTAGCTGCAGACGAGAGCAGAGCTTCCAATGGAAATTTTAAACAAGAATGATCAAGATCTTGAATCATTTCTTTGAAGAATTGTAACAGGAGATGGAACGTGGCTTTACCAGTACAATCCTGAGAGCAAAGCACACTCAAAGCAAGAGGTAGAAGTGGTCCAGTCAAAGCAAAAGCAGACCGGTCAAAGTAAAGGTCAGCTTTTAGGGATGCTCAAGGCACTTTGCTTGTTGGCTTTCTGGGGGACCAAAGAACAATAAACTTCTGCTTATTATGAGAGGATTTTGAGATGTTAGCCAAAGCTTTATCAGAAAAACACCCAGGAAAGCTTCACCAGAGAGTTCTGCTCCACCAGGACAACGCTCCCGCTCATTCTTTCATCAAACAAGGAAAATTCTGCAAGAATTTTGATGGGAAATAATTAAGCATTCACCTTACCATCTGATTTGGCTCCTTCTGACTTCTTTTTCTTTTTGTTTCCTAATCTTAAAAAATCTGTAAAGCGCACTCATTTTCCTTCTGTTAATGATGTAAAAAAGACAGCATTGATATGGTTAAATTCCCAACACCTTCAGTTCTTTAGGGACAGACTAAATATCTGGTATCATCATCTATAAAAGTGTCCTGCACTTGATGGAGCTTACATTGAAAAAATTATATTTTTAGCTTTTAATTTTGTTTCCCATGAACTCTTGAAGCTCCTTATGCCTCTATTATATTATTATATTCTAGTTGTAAAATTAATTTACTTAATAGGTAATAAATGTTTATTATTAAAAGAAAAATTTAAGGGTATTTAAGGTTAAAAGAGGAAAGAATTGTTACCAACATGCCTTCCAGCCCTCCCCACCCCCTCAGCCCCTGCATTAGTCTCTATCCTTGGGGAACACCATTGTTCCCAATTCTGGACTTTGACTTGCAGATTTTCTGTGCATATACAATTGTCTGTCAGGACAAAGGAAACCTACTTATTTTATAATATTTGAGTTTCATAATATTCTATGATATAATATGTTGCATTTTACTTTAATTATTAGTTTACTTAATTCTTTACTGGAATAAAATTTAGTGCTTTTGTATTACTGTTGAATATCTCCATCTGCAGTGCTACTCAAAGTGCTACTCAAAAACTTTACCTTGAGATAAACTACCACTGATCTGCAACAAAAGTATATAACTTAAGCATTAGTATTTAGAAACTGTAATGGCAATTGATGTTGTTGCAGTAACAAAGGATATATTCACTGTATTTTACAAAATTATCAGCCTACAACAGACTTTTGGGGGAAAACCCAATGGTTACAGTTTGAGAAATACAGCACTTAGGCTCATGAACAATGGCTAATACAGTGTAAACACTAAATAATATCTGTGGAAAGAATAAATATGAATATATATTCTTACATTTAGAAAATTAAAGCCTCTATAAGCAGTTATTATTCTATCAAAATGTGAAATATGACCAAAGGAACAGGATAGAAGTTCATCTTTAATTGAAATGAAATTAGTTTTATTTTGTACTAGTTGGAACTGATATGTAGGAGATTATGTTCCACAACCATTTAAATAATGTGACTAATGCATTATTTAAGCTAATAGAGAGCACTGCTACACAGGACTGGATTGCCAAGTCATACAGAAATCATAGCTCTCACAGGATATCAAGCTTTATTAATACAGGCAATCAAGGATATCTTGCAATTAAGGATATAAACAATTGAGAGGGTCAGAGGAGCAGGAGGAAGCTTGGGACATTGAGGACATCTCTCCCTGTCCTTCCTTCCTGCATCAGACACAGACTCTCTGGCCCAGTCTCTAAGTTGAGGTCATTACCTCCCACCATAGAGAACATTTAGTTTATGAAACTCATTCATTTTATATCCCAGTTTTCATGACATTTTCCAGGGAATCATGCCTCATAAATACATACATTTCCTCTTTATTTACTATAAAAAATGCTTAACCAGGAATATTCGATAGATATGAACTCCTTACTAAAAATGTTATTAGTCTGTTTATCTGGAAGTCTGGCTATCACATTGATAAGGCAATTGGATAAAGTCCGTTGACTTCTTTCCTTCCTCAGGGTGTGTCCTCCATTAAAGAGACTGTATACATTGTAGACTAGCCACCTTAGCTCCTTCCTCCCCACAGACTAAAGTCAATATTTGACAAATATTAGAAGTCTGTACAAGTGGTCTAAATATCAACTATGTCTTGACAGTTGGAAAAAATGTAACTAAACATCATAAATGGTAACTCACTCTTTGTAAAATGATTGCACTAATGGCTCAATTTTTACACCTCCGTGAATCCACACCCATTGGTAGTGCTCTCCCACGCTGATTCAGGTTTTGGCCATCTGACTTGCTTTGGAATTAGAACATGTGATGTAAACTGAACTTTGAAAACACATTCAAATTTTCCACTCTCCCTGCGACCCCTGCCATGTGAAGAAGATTTGGCTGTCTTACTGGAGGATGACAGACAACATAAAGAAAATCCACTTCATCTTAGCTGAGGCCATCCTAAGTCAGCTGCATTGAGCAGGTCAAGGTTAGAACAGCAAAGTGGCTCAGATCAGCAAAACATCCTAATCAGCCCAAAAGCTGTCCTGAAGGAGAGAGAGAGCGAAAGAGCTAGAGCGAGAGCATGAGAGAGAGAAAGAGATAGAGTGTGCACAAGGGGGAGTTGTTTTAAGCTCTGAAGTTTTGAGGTGGTTTGTTACACAGTGTATTAGCTTCCTAGGAGTGCACTAACAAAGTGTAACAAACTGGGTGTCTTAAAATAGCAGAAATTTACTCTCTGACAATTCAAGGGGGCCAGAAGCCCAAAGTCTTTTTGACATTTGGTTCTTTCTGGAGGCTCTGAGGGGGAATGTGTTCCATGCCTCTTCCCAGCTTCTGGTGATTCCAACAGTCCTTGACTTGGCTTACAGATGCATCATTTCAATTTCTGCCTCCATTGTCACATGACCCCCTTCCCTGGGTGTCTGCCTCCTCTGTTTGTGTCTCTCTGTGTCATGCCTCTTCTTATAAGGCCACCAGTCATTGGATTTAGGAACCATCCTAAATTCAGGAGAATTCCATCTCAATATCCTTCAATAACGTTTGGAAAGACCGTATTTCCAAATGAGGTTGCATTCAGAGGTTCCAGGCATGAATTTTTGGGGACACTATTCAAAGAACTACACAGAACAATGACTAACTGTATTGGAATATGTTGTGATTAAATAGGTACAATAATTAAGCCCATAATTAACTGAGAATGAATGAAGTATGAAACAGATTGCATACCAGGCTCCTTAGCAAAATCTCTGTATACTCAGCCTTTCCTCCAAAATGTTCCATTTACATTGCTGTCACTGAAAACTAGATGTTTCTTGCTTTTCACCCTGCAAGTGGCAAGTATTTTTAACTCTAACACTCCTCCTTTGCCTGGAGGTGGGGGAGCTATTCTCCATGCTTGTTATTGCCAGAGGCAGACCACTTTGCTCTCTCTATCATCTCTTACTATTCCAAGTTTGAATCTCCTATTATTATGTCTTGCTTACTGAAATTATCTGCCAACTCCATTAACTTTCTTTCATTCCCCTCATATTTGAGCTTCTTGTTCATTATCAGTCTTAAACCCTCACTGCTAGTCTAAAACTTGGTGATTTTAAATATCTGCATAGACAGTTCTTCCTATATCTTGCCCATTCAGATTTTCCTCAATAAATTTTGTCCACTCCTATCTCAGCTCGTCATAGAAATACCATTAGACTGTGTCATTACATTAACCACATCCCCTATACAATCTCAATTTTATACAATCTCAATTTTAAGCAACCAACTAACATTTTCTATTTTCTATCTCACTCTTTCAAGTCCTTAAATCCTGAAAATCCATTCACTACCCAGAATCTTTGATCCATTGATTCTATACATTTTCTTTCTCCCTCAGTTTCCTTCATGTACTCACTGCTTTTTTATGCAGTCTAAATTCCAGAGTCTGTCATCATACTTATGCACTGCATAAATCCCTAATTATCTTGCTACTATGTCATTTCGTTGTATTTGATGGCAAAACAACACAATTTTGCTCATTTGTGTCTGCAGCTACACAGCTGAACAAGGGTGGAGAAAACACACAGGCATGCCGACTTTCCTCAGGTAAATTTTGTGGCCAGTAACTTCAAGTGAGACCTTGGCACTATCTAGCAATCATATCAAATTTACCTGGTTCATTCACTTCCATTCTCCACAGCTTGTATTGCTGATTCACCTCTGTCCTCAATCTGTTAACACGCACACCTTCATAATCACTCCCAGTTGACAACGTGGCCTCATATTTTACTGAGAAACAATCAGTGCAAACTTTCACAATACCCTACCACCACCACTACCCACCTACCTGCACACAGGTAATGGCCATTATATGTGCTTCTCTCCTCTTACTATGGATAAGCTCTTCATGCTTCTATCCTTAGTCACCTCTTTATTTGTGCACTAAATCCTTTTCTATCTCATTTTATGAAAATAAGTTCAATTCAGCAAATCTTCTCCTGTTTTTCCTGCATCACCAGATTTCCCTGGCTATTGGGTATTTCACATCAGTATAAAAATATGCTGTTTTGGCCTGGTGTGATGGCTCACGCCTGTAATCCCAGCACTGTTGGAGGCCGAGGCAGGTGGATCACTTGAGGTCAGGAGTTTGAAACCGGTCTGACCAACATGGAGAAACCCCATCTCTACTAAAAATACAAAATTAGCAGGGCATGATGGCACATGCCTGTAAACCCAGTAATTCGGGAGGCTGAGGCAGGAGAATCACCTGAACCTGGGAGGTGGAGGTTGTGGTTAGCCGAGATCATGCCATTGCACTCCAGCCTGGGCAACAAGAGCAAAACTCTGTCTCAAAAAATAAATAAATAAAAATAAAAATAATTTTTTTTTAAATATGCTGTTTTGTCGTCTTCCATCCTAAAACAAAACCTGCATTACCCCAGTTTGTATCCTATATTCCCAATTCCCTTTATAACAACACTCTTCTAAAAGTTTTTTATATACTTTTTGCTTCTAATTCCTTCTCTCCAGAGATTGAACTGCCTGTTTAACATCTCTACTTGTGTGTTAAATGTACATCTCAAACTTATCTCTAAAACAAATCTCCTGATATATTGCCCAAAGTTAATCTATCCAGTCTTCTCCATTTTAGCAAATAGCTATTCCATTTTTCCAGTTGCTTAGGATACAATAAAACAAACAAATACAACTTGGAATCATCCTTTATTCTCTTTTGCTGCATAGTCAACCCATTAGCAAAGGTTCTCAGCTTTTCCTTCAAAATATATCTAGAAATGAATGTCTTCTCAACACTTCCACGAGTGGCCCAAGATTTTAGTACCTCTCACATGATTATTGAGGTTTCCTTATTCCTGCCATGGACCTCTGTGATCTACTGAATAGAGTAGCCAGAAGGATCCTCTTTCAAACATAAGTTGGACGATGTGTCTCCTCTGCTGAAAACTCTCCAATGACTGTCTGCCTATTTCATTCATAGTGAAAGCCAAAGTCCTCACAAAGCCCCAGTGTAACCTGGCTTTCCATTTTCCCTTTTATTTAATCTTCTACCATTTTCTCTCTCTTAATACATTTAAGCTACTTGGCCTTTGCCCTTTCCATTCCTTCTGCCAAGAATGGTATCTTCCTAGTTATTCACGTAGTTGGGTCTCTCGTTTCCTTCAGGTATTAGATCAAATGTTACCTTCGCAGATATGACCTTTATTCCCATCTTATTTAAAATTATACTTTAGCTGGGTGCAGTGGCTCATGCCTGTAATCCTAGAACTTTGGGAGACCAAGACAGGAGGATCCCTTGGGCTCAGGAGTTCGAGAACAACCTGGACAACAGAGTGAGACCCCCATCTCTACAAAAAAATAATTTAAAAATTAACTGGCTATGGTGGTAAATGCCTGTAGTCCCAGCTACTTGGGAGGCCGAGTTGGGAGTCTCTCTTGAGCCTGGCAGGTAAAGGCTGTAGTGAGCTGTGATCATGCCACCCACCACTGCACTCCAGCCTGGGCAACAAAGTGGGACCCAGTCTCAAATAAATAAATAAATAAATAAATAAATAGATAGATAGATAGATAGATAGACAGACAGACAGATAGATACATTGTACTTCTCCAGCATACCCCCTCCCCAGTGCTTTACTTTAGACAGGGATTTTTGTTTCTTTTGTCCACTGTTGTGTCTTTCAGAACAGTGATATTAAAAGTTTGGCATTTGTTACTGGTCCAAGACATGAGAAGTATAAAGAAACATTTAAAAAGGTTAATGTTTTAAATTAATAAAATCTGCCTTTTGACAGAGTAGTTTTATGTCCTTTGAATCCAATAATTTTTTTAAAAAGGCTTATAATTTGTATGTCTTTTTAGATTTACTTTTAAAAATAATTCTGTTTTATTTTATTTAAAAAAATGTATCATTTGGCAATAAATTTAGAATTTTAAAAACAAAACAAAACTGATCTTTCTCCTGAGATAGTTTTAGAATTATTGCCCTATAATATTAGCTGATTGAATCAATGTCTTGAGTGGCATAAAACCACATGAAGTTTCTAAGGCAAAATACATTTAGCAAAATGAGAACAGTAAAATATTTTTAAATGCATTTTTAAATGGTTTATTATTTTTATGAAATTCTTATGTCATGATTAATAGGCAGATGTAATACAATACCCAATAAACATTAATATTAAGAAATGTCAGCTTATAGAAATTAACCAATGGATATAATTATACTGTTTTACCATCATTTCAAATTTGGCACTTAGGGACTCATTGCTTTCTTCAGCATTTTCATATACTGGTTAAAGGTATATAACAAAATAATTTTTTTCTAAGAATGTATATATTTTTTCATTGATTTATTTCCTCTTTAAAAGTTAACCAATTTGTTTCTCTTACATATTTATTAAAACAAACATGTTTCCTTGATATTTAGCATATGTATAGGATAATATGTTGTAGCATGTTATATATCCCGTTTTTAAATGTCTTTGTGATTTCTTATTTATTTGAGAATTGTCTATTATTTTTTAAGTGGACTTACATATAGTAATTTATTGGTAAATGCTTCCTGAAGATTAGTTGACTGAATGAATGGATTACCCAACAGATGAATTGTTATCTCACAGACAGTTTACATTCAGGTAATGGTAAAACCATCTTTTACCTGTAGAAATGAAACCCTCATAGTAAGACATACTTTCTTAAAGAATTTTGTTATTCCAATCTAATATATTATGAAGGTATTTTACACAAACATGATAGTATTTTGATGCAATTTGAAAATTATGCTTTTACCAGTGGTTTAGAAAAACTGTGTATTAATCTGCAAATGTGAGTAACCATTAACATGTTTATGAGAATGGGTCTGAAGGAACAAGTCCACTACAATATTTTAAAACACTATTGAAATTGTTGCAAAAAGGGATTCAGCCTATACTTGATATTTAAGTAATCTGTTAATTAGCATCCTGTTTGGCTATAATACTTTTGGTTAGTTTAGAATACATTAATACAAGCGTCCTTTGTTAATTAAAGGTTTAGTTTATTAACAATAAACAAGACTGTATTAGTTCATTCTTATGCTGCTATGAAGAAATACCTGAGACTGGGTAATTTATAAAGAAAAGAGGCTTAATTGATTCACAGTTCTGCATGGCTGGGGAGGCCTCAGGAAACCTACAATCATGGCAGATGGCACATCTTCACAGGGCAGCAGGAAAGAGAATGAGTGCCAGCAGGGGAAATGCCAGACGCTTATAAAACCATCAAATCTTATGAGAACTTACTCACTATTACAAGAGCAGCATGGGAGAAACTGTCCCCAATGATTCAATTACCTCTCACTGAGTCCCTCCCATGAAACATGGGGATTATGGAATTACTATTCAAGATGACATTTGGGTAGGGACACAAAGCCAAACTATATCAGAGATCTATGGCAAATCTAAGAAGACATTAGGACCAAAATATTAAATCCTGTGTAAATTTGTTACCAAACTTTATAAATATGAATTACATTTCTCATTAATGAATAAATATCTAGGCCATTAATATCTTTGACATATATTTCATTCTCTTCATGCTCATAACCTAATCCTAAAAAGTATAAATCTCTAAAATATTAGCAGTCATTTAATCATTGTTTTTGAATGGTGTGGGACTAGCTCTGTGCAACAGGAGATACAAAATCTTATAAGACATTGTTTCTGGATTCTGATAACATAGAGGAAAAAAAGGGTCATAAAATTTTTAGAGATTTATTTTCAACATGAGTAATATTGGATTCACATATATTGAGTTTATGAAGCAAGAATCTATTAGCCAGCAGGTGCGCCATGGGAGAGTGTTTTGGACCAAATTGTGTCCCCCAAAATTCATACGTTGAACCCCTAAACCTCAATATGTTGAATTTGGAGATAGGGCTTCTAAAGAGGTAATTAACGTTAAGTGAGGACATAAGAGTTGAGCCCTAACCAAATACAACTAGTGTGCTTGTAAGAAGAGGAAGAGACACCAGGATGATGCACTTGCACAGAGGAGAGGCCATGTGAGGACTCAGTGAAAAGGTGGCCATCTGCGAGCCAGGGAGAGAGACCTTAGGAGAAACCAAACCTGCCAACACCTTGATCTTAGACTTTCAGCCTCCAGAACTGTGAGAAAATGCATTTATGCTGTTGAAGCCTACAGTCTATGGTACTTTGTTATTGCAGCCCTAGCAAATTAATAGAGAGGGAGGAATTTCACTGAAGCTCAGATATTGGAAGGCTAGAATGCTATGCAGGGAGAGCTCCTTCATCCCAGAAATGATGGTCCTCCATTGTTTCTGCTTAGGAAATGATATCCACCTCCACCTACATGCTGACCAGAAGCCTGGAGCACAGCCTTATCTCTTCCATTTCCCTCACTCAGGTATGAAATCTTGCAGTAAATATTTTCATCCTACCTCTTAGATATCTTTTAAATTCTGTGCTCCTCTTCATTCTCATCACCATGAGTGAGTCTAAGCCTTTATGGTCTCAACTCAGAACCACTTCCTTCTTTCTGGCTCTCAAACACCTTGGGCTTCTAAGTGACTTTTTTTTCAAATGCAAGTGGGGCAAGACTTTGTTTGCAGCCTCTTTGGGATAAGATGTAAAATCCTTAGTTTATCCCATATTAATCTGATCCTCACCTCTCTCTTAAGCCATCTTTTACCCTTGTACCTGTGTTCACTCCAATTATGATGGAATCCTTCCATTCTGTGAAGATACAACAATCTCTTGACCCTGCAGATCCTCAAGTCAGCTGTTCTCTCTGTCCTATGAAGTCCTCTCATGCTTCTTTAATTTTAAGTCTCAGCCACATATTGCTTCCACCAGGAGGCCCCGTGACTTCTTCCTGGTCTCTTACCTACCCAGAACAAATCGGTGTTCCAGTTATTAATCATTTGGTACTTTCTAATTTTTTTCCCTTAGCACCTGCTTTATGTTTATATAATTATTTTTAAGTTGACATTTCCCCTCTCACTGAAAATTCCATAAGGGTAAGTAACTAATCTGTATGTTCACTATTTTCTTACTAGTATCTAGTAAATATTAATTAAGTAAAGAAACAGTGATTTTAAAAAGGGGAAAAAAGTGAGGCTTTGATCTGACATTAAATTGGGGCTTTCTATTACCTCTCCAACAATTCTAGACATTGGGACATGCCTCCTTCTCAAACACTCCACCAGTCACTCCCCACAAAGGGTCACCATCTGGTGAACAAACCCAACTGCAAACAGATAGGGAGCATCAACACGTGGCCCCACTGCCTGCCTTGGAAAGCCAGGCTCTCAGCCTTGACTCAATGGGTCATAGAGAATGAGACAAGTCAATGGTCCTTCCAACCTGAACACAAAAGGAGCAGCTCCAGAGAAAGCAACAGATGTTGATCCAGTCTTGCCTGGGATGGGGGTCATGAACTGGCCAGTTTACTTTCCCTAAGTAAGTAAGAGTGAAAGGTTGTTCTTCAGCACTTCTGAGAAAGGTGAGGTAGTGATAGAATGCTTTTCTTTACAGGCTGATATTGTAATGTGAGAAGAATGGGGAAAGTGTTTCCTCTCGTTTAGGGGAGAAACAAGTCCAGATCTGGATCACAGAGTGAAAAAGGACAATTATCATAAATGAAAATGTAGAGGGAGGTAAGAAACTGACTGAAAGTGTAACCTGGGAAAGGCCAACACTTAGGGAATAGGACTAGAAGGACATGTTCATGAAAAAAATATATATTGACCATGCCAAATAACTTTTATTTAATATTTCAATGCCAAAAGAGGATTGACATTGATAAGAATCACTCTTTAAGAGAATGAAAATACTTTTTAGATCAAACGATGCTTTCAGCATGCATGAAGCTATGTTTGCTGAGAGTCTGCGGGGGAGAGCTGCTGTTCCTGCTGAGGTACAGTACACATTGTTATTAAATAAAGCAAACAGGTGTTAAGCACCCAGTCATTCCTGCTGCCTCAAGAATTATCACACCCACCATTGAAAATGTCATACTCAGTTTTGAGCCTATAATTCATATTTACAAAGTTATTATTTGAACTTCTTTGGCTTTCTGTTAGCACTGCTTCAGAAAAATAATTACTAGGTGCCTGAATAAATACAGAGATATTAATGAATCATTCAATAGTATGCTGGAAAAATAATGGAAAAAATATTTTATTTTTTTAAACAGACAGAATTATATAGGCAAATCAATCTTTTAGTGTGAATAGATTCCTGAATAATGCTATTCTGGTCAAAGATCTTTTGCCAGATGGTTAACACTATTTCCAAATTTAGAACACATGAGATTCTTTGGTTTCTATATTATTTAGGGTATAATTGTGGCTACTCTAACTGGGTCTCCAAATGAAAATGGCTTAAGCAAGACAGTTTATTTTGCTCCTAGGGGTTGATTCTGGGAAAGGAGCCTCGGGCTTATGTGGTGGCTCCATGATGTAGAGAATAGGAACTGAGCCTCTTTCCATCGAACTACTCTGCAGTCCTTGGGTACTGTCCTAATTCTCATGGTTCAAAGTAGCTCACGAACATTTCAGCCAGTGTGGAAGGGGAAATGTAAGAGGAGGCCATGTGCCCTTTAAAAAAGGTATGACTTCATTCTGCTCACCTCCCAGGTTGCAGAGTTAAGTACCATGGATAAACCAGACTACAAGGGAGGTTGCCAAGTGCTCTCTTGCTTGAACAGCCACTGGGATAGCAAAGACCCAAAGGCCCTATTACTACCAAAAGGGAGCAGAGCAGGGATCCTGGGAGACAGGTCACAGTAGCCACAACAATTGCTTGCTCTAAATGAATGTTTAACTTTCTCAACCAAAATCGTCAACCCTGGACCTGTAAAAGAAAAAATAGTTTGTACTTGACTATAAAAAAATATGAAATTGTGTAGCAAATCAATTCACAGCTGATAAATTTGCAGAAAAAAATTAGATATAAATAAAATTTAAATTTAAATAAGTTGGCAGAAAAACAATGTATAACATATATGCTAATGAAGGTTAAATATATTTACTATCCAACAGATTCACATGAATTGATAGGAAAAAGGCATCCATCACAATATAAAACAAGTCCAAGTGGCCAAAGAAGCATAAAAATATGGTCAAACCCACTAGTGAGGAACAGTAAATCATAGGAGTAAGATATCACTCCATACTCATTGTGCTGAAAGATTAAATAAAAGCTTCAATACCTATTCTGGCAGAAATGCAAGAAAAGGACTATGCCTGTTTACTGTTGGGGAAAAGACAAATTGTTGTAACTTTTTGGAAATTAATCTGGTAACACCTAGGAAATTTTAAAACACATATACCTTTTGATTCCACACCTTGGAATCTATTACATAGATACAAAGAACTGACTGGGAAAGGTACTAAGGTACTTAGGGCACCTTAGTTTGTAGTGATGAAATCTAAAAAACAGTGAATGACCTTCACTGGCAAGCAGTGAATAAATTATCAAGCACCTATACCATGGAATGTTATACAGGCATTAATAAATGTGGTAGAGCCATAACAATTGGCTGTAAGGAATTCCCATGAGGTATTCTGTGAAGAAAGAAAGATGCAGAAACTACATGTGTATGCATGTACACGTATGTTCTGTAAACAGCTCTTAGAGGTTTAATTGTGCCCCTCATGAAAATATATAGAAGCCATAACCCACAAAACCTATGCATGTGACATTATTTGTAAATCAGGTCTTCACAGAGGTAGGAAAGGTCATATTAGATTAAGACGGTCCCTAAATCTAATATGACCAATATCCTTATAAGAAGAGAAGAAACACAGACACACACAGAGGAAAATGCCATCTGAAGACAGAGACAGAGATTGATGTGGTGAATCTGCAAGTCAAGAAACATGAAGGACTCCTGGAAACCACCAGAAGGCAGCAGGATGACATGAGACAAATACTCCTTCAGAACCTCTGTACGAGAACAATCCTGGATTTGGAACTTTGTACCTCCAGAACAGGGAAGGAATGAATTACTGTAGTTTTAAGCACCCAACCCTAGGAAAACAACAGAACACCTAAATATCCTATATTTTTCTATATGATCATGGGAGAGAGCATGCAGGGGAAGAAGACAAAGAAAATATGGCAAAAATGAAGTTAATGAGGATTTTATAAAATAAGAACCAAGTAATTTTATGTAAATGTGTATGGATATAAATGTTTTAAATTAACAACCTAAAAATACAAACACATACAAACACACACTCCTTCACTTCAACTATAAAATTTTGACTATGATGGTACTGTATTTGGGTGAATGGGCTTGTCTTCTTTTTGCTTGCAGCCTTTGAATAAGATATAAATAAATAACTTCATCTTTTGATCATAGACGATACCTAGAGACTATAATCCTTCCTTTTTAAGATTCTGATCTGAAATCATATTGAGTTAGGAACGATATAATGCCTTGTAATATATAACCTAGTGCCTTACAAGAGTATCCTTCCATTTCTTCCTCCCTCTTCCACTATATTATAAAATCTATAATACATTGTTATTATATTTGCTTTAAACAGTCAATTATCATTTCCAGAAATGAGAAAATGCAAAGCAAAATCTGTTTTATTGATTTACATATTAATTATTACTGCCATTTTTCTTTTTGTAGATCTAAATATGCAAGAGATTCTTTTTAACATTGTTAATATTTAATATTTTAAAATATTTAAACAAAAAACTATGGAAGAGAAAAATTCAAAAATTATATTAATCAATGATTTCTTATTTCAGAATGAAAAAATATTTTATCATTTATTTAGAAACTATATTGTGTGAAACACTTTTGGGCACCTTTAAATTTATATTCCATAAACATTTAGTCTTATAGGTTTTCAATGGAATATTGGTTAAATAACATTCACAAATGTCTAAAATAAATGATTATTTCATATATCAAGCTCACAAAAGAACAGATTTCTGTGAAAGCAACTATTATATTATCATTAATCCACACCATGATGTTTGTACATCACGGTGAATAATTCTTCAAGCATTATTCAGTCCTCTTAATAACTTGTAATGGTAGTTTATTTGGATTGAAAACCTATCTTTCCTTTCTCTTGCTTTTACTCCTAGAATATTTATGAATATCTCTTCTTTTACTATTACCATTCTCCTCCAGCATATAACATTGTTGTGCTTTTAGCCATATACCGAGTATATTTTATGCCATTAAAATAATGAAATACAAGTATACATAAAGTTTCCCTTCTGGGACTGACCTAAATCTATGCCACCTAACTGCAAACTGGTTAGTTCAAGAATGTTCCTCCAAAGACAGTGATGTTTGCATGTTCGTAACCTGCAGGAAAGAGATGTTAGCCTGAACTTTTTTATTCTATGAATGAGGGTTCTGAACAAAAAAAAATGAATCAATAAGAATCTAAAATTGTTTCAAAAATTGAACATTAATATGCTTAATGTTCAAAGTAGCCAACAAAATGAATCAACAAGAATCCAAAGTTGTTAAATAATTGAATATCTGTACACTTCTTTTTTTTTTTTTTTTTGAGGTGGAGCCTCACTCTGTCACCCAGACTGGAGTGCAGTGGCATGATCTCAGCTCTCTGCAAGCTCAGCCTCCCAGGTTCATGCCATTCTCCTGCCTCAGCCTCCCGAGTAGCTAGGACTACAGGCACCTGCCACCACATCCAGCTAATTTTTTGAATTTTTTTTTTTCAGTAGAGATGGGGTTTCACCGTGGTCTCGATCTCCTGACCTCGTGATCCTTCTGCCTCAGCCTCCCAACGTGCTGGGATTACAGGCATGAGCCACCGTGCCCAGCCTACACTTCTCATATAGAAGTGCTATTACAACTACAAAACAAATAAACAAATAACTAGAAATTAGAAATAAAAGTGAATACACCAAGTATCAATGACTAAGAATTTCTTTTAACAATTACTGAATGCACTACTATGAAAGTATTACTACACAGGTATATTGTAGATTTCAGAAGATCAAAGTATTTTCCAGATTTTTAATTGATTTTGTTAACTTCCCTTTAATGTAGGGAAGGAGCAAGCATTCACTTCATTATATGATGTGATTTTTAAAAAACTGGTCCAGTGAATATTCAACAGATTTGCTGCCCAGAGTTAACATTTTTTGTGTGTGCGTGTGTTGGTGACCAGTCATTTTCCAAGCAGAGTTTTCACATCAACATAAAAATCCAAAGAAATATTACAAAATCACAGTGTAGGATTACAGCATATATCAATCACTCCTATTACCATAGAAGGCTATTAACATAGCTGAGCCATCAAAGCTACTACTTACGTTATTCTGTCACCCAAATTGTTAAGGGGATAGCACATGAATTTCACTAGGATATTTTATGACAAACATCTTTTACTATGAGGAAAGGTCAATTATTGGTCCAGCAAGAAAGATTTCTATCAGCTGCATGTGGAACTCCTTAAACATTGGATGCATTAGCAGAGAGGAGTGATAACCTTTAAAAATAAAAGACCTAGATGATCTGATAGCTGTAGCAAGAATCAGTGATCAAGATGTCCCCTGAGTATTTTGAAGTAAAAATATTTTAATGGAAGTACAATAATTGATCAAAGAGACACTCAGGTCTCCTGGGTCTGGAGTGAGGCTATTCCAAGTCCTTAAATCTGCCATAAAGCTCTATTGGACACCCAGGGGGACACTCCTGACAATTTATTTTAGTTTAATTGAATTCCACAACCTTAAATTACCAGAGAGAACCTAGCCATATTTGATTGCATTTTTTATTTCTGATTCATTTATGGATAAATTCAAATTTTTCATTATTAATAAATTTGTGATAAGCATCAAATAGCTAACAGCTATGTCATTGAATAACTCCTAGAAGGGAGTAAAGTTTATCTGCTAGAAGGGTCTGAATTTTGTCATCTATGCATGTTTATAATCCTTGGTTCAGGTTCTTAAAATACTCTCTCATTGCCTGCTCAAACACTAGTTCAAACCATCCTTTATGTTTGTATGTTTCATGACTTTTAAAAAAATTATATATTGCTTATGTAGTAGTGATATTAACTCACAATATTAACAAACCACAAATTAATGTTAGCCTGCTAGCATCTGAATAGAAAAAATGAGAGACCTCTCTAAAATTACTTCATATTTTCAGGCATCAGCAAAACAGTTGAGGAAAGAAGTAAGTTTATTGCCTTACATAGTATGGAGAATCTTCTTCCAAATAGCCTGCTCAAGTATGCAATAGTTTCCAGTCACACCATAACAAATGTCTGGAACAGAGCTGCCATTGATTTTATTCTTCCAGCTAAGCAGAGGAGAGTATGTTTTCAAAAAAGAAAGAAAGAAGGAAGGAAGGAAGGAAGGAAGGAAGGAAGGAAGGAAGGAAGGAAGGAAGGAAGGAAGGAAGGAAGGAAGGAAGGAAAGAAAGAAATTAGGAGCCCAAAACGCAAATGTTTAAGGCATTTTAGGTTTTAAAAATACATTGTGCTAGTGGTAACTAACCCCAGCCCCCATCTCAAATTTGCCTCCTTTGAGTCATCCAGCTGATTAAAAATAATTTATTGAACACCCACATAAGCCGAACATGTTGAAAACTCACTCCTCCTGTCTCTGCAAAATTCATGGCTAAAAGTACAAATCTGAAAACTGCAAGAATCTAACAGAAATGAAGGCCCTTTGGAAATCATTTCTGGTTTCCAAACATGGATGTTCATAAACTGTTTTAAATTACTTTTTACAAGTTACAAATTTCATACAGTAAAACTAGCCTATTTTAAGGGCTCAGTTTGATGAGTCTTAGCAAATGTACCCAGTTTTATAATCACTCTTATAATTAGGATACAGAAGATTCTATCACCCCAAGAAGTTCTCCCATGCCCCATTAAAATCAATCTGCTCACCTCACCCCTAGCCCTAGAAAACACCAGTATGTTTTCTGTCACTAAAAGTTTGCTATTTATGTAACTTCATATAAGTGAAATCATAGCTTGTATAATAATTTGTTTCTGGCTTCCTTCACATAGCATAAAATTGGATCTTGCTACTTTATCCAGTGTGAACAACCTTTATTTTCTCATGGGAACACTTAGACTATCTACATTTATTGGAAATTATCCATATGATTACTATGTTTTCTATTTGTTCCATACATTCTTTGTTATTTTTTTCTCTGTCCCTGCTTCCTTTTATATGAATTGAGTATTTGTAAGTTTATGCTTGCTGCTACTTTTATCAGCAATACTTCTTTTTAAAAATTTTTCGTAGTTGCTCTGGGTTTACAATGTACCTGTTTAATTTTTTATAGTCTATATTTAAATAACATAATGCCTTGTAATATGTAACCTAGTGCCTTACGAGAGTATCTTTCCATTTCCTCCTCCCTCTTCCACTATATTATAAAATCTATAATACATTGTTATTATATTTGCTTTAAACAGTCAATTATCATTTCCAGAAATGAGAAAATGCAAAGCAAAATCTGTTATATTGATTTACATATTAATTATTACTGCCACTTTTCTTTTTGTAGATCTAAATAAACAAGAGATTCTTTTTAACATTGTTAATATTTAATATTTTAAAATGTTAAAACAAAAAACTGTGAAAGAAAAATTCAAAAATTATATTAATCAGTGATTTCATATTTCTGAATGAAGAAATATTTTATCACCTATTTAGAAACTATATTGTGTGAAGCACTTTTGGGCACCTTTAAGCTTATATTCTATTAGTAAGTGTAATATAATATTTGCTTAATTTTCAGAAAACCCACTGTACCTAATTTATAATATCCTGTTTAACAGGGAAGAAATAGACTTACAGAAACTACTTAACTCAAATAACTAACTTATATAGCTAATCAATAGTAGATCATGGTCAAGAAGCTACATCCATCTGACACAATAGTTTGTATTTTTTATTTGATTTGATTCCCATATTAGTTGATATTTGCAACTCAGAGAATTTATGTAATGTGTCCATGGTCAAATACTGGTATGTGGCATGAGGAGAATTTAAAATTTTGCCTACTTGATTACAAACCTTTTTCTAGAATCCATTAAATTATACTAATATTCAATCAACTTTAAAGACGTGATCATCTATCTACAATAAAAGACAATTAATAAAATTATGCATTATAGTTCTATGTACATTTCTAGTATAACCTCAAAGGAAATTATTTTAATAAATTCTTTTAATTTGATGTCATCTAGAAGCAATTATAATTCTGATTTCTCCCCAAATATCCTTGGAAGCATATTAAAAACTAATTATTAAAAAATCAAATACCACAAGAGGAATTAAAATTAATATCAAAGTATATGTGAATTTTAAAAGATCAAATGAGTCTTTCAGCTCTTCCAAATGTATCCTATTAATCAAAGTAATTCTTACCTGACTTTTGGCTATAACTACATTTCATTTAGATTGTATTTTAGAAGGTTAAAATTCCACTAGTTTAAATATTGCTAAATTATTTTTTAAAAGTAAAATTGCTCTGAAAATTAATTAATAAGATAGAACTGTATGTGGCATAGAAGAAACCTAATTTAAAAAGCTGGTTCTCTTAAAGATTAATATATCAATCAACTTCTAGCCAGGCTAAACAAGAAAAGTGGTAAGAGTGTTCAAATTAACAGTATCAGAAATGAAAATAGCATCATCACTACTGATCCCACAGATGTTAGAAGGATAATAAGGGAAAGCTTCAAACAAAACTATGACTACATATTTTAATAACTTAGATAAAATGGACAATAACCTGAAAAATACAAACTTCCAAAATGCATACAAGGAGAAAAGAGTGACCTGACTAGTGCTATGTATGTTAAAGAAATTCAATCAATAATTAATAATTTTTCCAAAAAAGAAAGAACCAGGCCCAGATGGATTCAATGGTGCATTCTACCACACACCTATAAAAGAAATAACACTAACTCTCCACAGACTCTACCAGAAGATAAAAGCAGAGGGAACACCTCCTAACTCATTCTATGAGGCCAGCATTTTCCCAACAAAACCAGATGAACACATGAGTAGAAAGGAAAACTTTAAAGAATAATATCACTCGTGGGTAAAGATGCAAAAATTCTCAACAAAATATTAGCAAACAGCATCCATCAATGTGTACAAAGAATTACATACCACAAATGAGTGGGATTTATTTCCAATACACACACTGATTGAGCATTTAGAATTTAGTCAATGTGGCCAGGTGTGGTGGCTCACACCTGTAATCCCAACATTTTGGGAAAGCCAAGACAGGCAGATCACATGAAGCCAGGAGTTCAAGACTAGCATGGCCAACATGGCAAAACCCCCTCTCTACTGAAAATACAAATATTAGCCGGATGCGGTGGCACGTGCCTGTTATCCCACCTACTCAGGAGGCTGAGACAGCATAATTGCTTGAACCTGGGAGGCAGAGGTCACAGTGAAAGGAGATTGTGCCACTGCATTCCAGCCTGGATGAAAGAGCAAGACCCGTCTCAAAAAACAAACAAACAAGCAAACAAAAAAGTCTAGTCAATGTAACAAATCACATCAGCAAGCTAAAGAAAAAGCATATGATCGTATCAATTGACACTGAAAAAGCTAAAAAAATTCAATATCCATTCATGATTAAGAAAAACCACTCAGCAAACTAAGAATGGTGAGAAACTTCCTCAACTTGACAAAAAAACACCTCATCTACAAAAAAAACTGTAGCTAATATCATATTTAATGGTGGGAAACTTTCCCATTAAGATTTTTTCCCCTGAGACCTAGAATAAGGTAATGATGTCTCTTCTCACCACTCCTATTCAGGATGGCACTGGAAGTCTCTGAAAATAAAATAAGAAAAGAAAAAGAAAAATATACACATATACACATTGGCAAGGAAGCTATAATACCAAATGTATTTGCTGGTGATATTATATACCAAAAAATTAAAAGAAAAAAGAAAAAACAACAACCCCGAAATTAATAAGCAAGTATAGCAAGATCATGGAATAAAAGGTTCACATATGCAAGTCAATAGCTTTCCTATATATGTGCATCGAACTATTAGAATTTGCAATTAAATAAAACTACCATTTACAAGAGTACCAAAACAAAGAAAAACAAAATAAGACATTAAGTTATTAGGCATAAATCTAACAAAATATTCACAAGATCTATTTGCAGAAAACTATAATACATATGAAAAAAGATTATCTGAAAAAGTAAAAATATAT
The DNA here is from genome assembly GCF_000001405.40 of Homo sapiens. NCBI lineage: Eukaryota > Metazoa > Chordata > Mammalia > Primates > Hominidae > Homo > Homo sapiens. The sequence goes on along the minus strand of NC_000002.12, from coordinate 225,790,264 downwards.
TAGATGTTCATGGATTAAAAGACTCAATATTGTTAGGATGTCAGTGTTTCCTAACTTGATCTATAGATTCAATGCAATCTTAATAAAAATCCAAGTGAGATATTTAATAGACTCTGATAAATTTATTCATAAATATTTAATCAAAGACAAAATAATTAACTAAGATTTTGATTGAAATTTTATTAAATACATGGATCAAGTTGTGAAGAACTGATGTCTTGACAACATTGGAGTCTTACTGTCCATGTTCATGGAACATCTCTTCACTTAATTAAATCTTCTTTGATTTCATTCATCAGAGTTTTATAGTTTTCTTCATAAATATTTTAGATTATTTTAGACTAATACCTAAGTATTACTTACTTGGTGCTAATATAATGACAATTATTTTCTCATATACCAAGAATAAAAAATTGAAATCCCAATTGTCAATTATTTTCTTAGATACCAGAAATAAATACTTGGAATTTCAGTTGTTCATTCCTGGTATCTAAGAAAATAATTGCCTTTTAAATATTAACCTTGTGTCCTGCAAGCTGGCTACGATCATTTAGATCAAGATTTTTGGTTTTGCTTTTTATTCTTTACGATTTCCTACATAGACATTCATACAACCTGTGAATGAGGACAGTTTTATTTTTTCTTTCCTAAGCTTCTGTTTACATTTTTTTGAGTCCAGGTTCTCCAGATAAATAGAATCAATAATGTATACATACATATACACATGCACACATATACTCTGTTGATTCAATAAGTGTTTTCCTATCCTTAGACTTGAATTGAAATATCTGCTCTTCTTCAGGTGGAAACTACACCATTGGCTCTCCTGGGTCTCCTAGACCACCAGCTTGTCAACTCACATTGTGGATGATTTATATACATATATATGCTCATATATGTATGTATGTATGTGTGTGTGTATATATATGTATATGTATGTGTGTGTATATAAATGTATATAAAATAAGGAATTGGCTGTCATGTTGTCTTAGTCTGTTTGTGCTGCTATAAAAATATATACAAAATACTATAGCTTAGATAGCTTATAAATGTCAGAAATTTATTTCTGAAAGTTCTACAGGCTGAGAAATCCAAGATCAAGGTGCCAGCAGATTCAGTGTCTGCTGAGGGCCCTTGTGAGTGTCAACTTGATTGGATTGGATTGAAGGATGCAATGTATAGTTCCTGGGTGTGTCTGTGAGAGTGTTGCCAAAGGAGATTAACATTTGAGTCAGTGGACTGGGACGAGCAGACCCACCCTCAAGCTGGGTGGGCACCATCTAATCAGCTGTCATCATGGCTAAAATAAAGCCGGCAGAAGAAGGTGGAAAGAGTAGACTCAGCTAAACAGTGCCATCTATGAATGAGAACTGAGGCTGTATTAGTCAGGGTTCTCTAGAGGGACAGAACTAATAGGATGTATGTGTATATGAAAGGGAGTTTATTAAGGAGAATTGACTCACACGATCACAAGGTAAAGTCCCATGAGAGGCCATCTGCAAGCTAAGGAGCAAGGAATCCAGTAGTAAATCAGTCCAAGTCCTAAAACCTCAGAAGTAGGAAAGCTAACAGTGCAGCTTTCAGTCTGTGGCCGAAGGCCTGAGAGCCCCTGGCAATACACTAGTTTAAGTCTAAGAGTCCAAAAGCCAAAGAACTTGGAGACTAATGTTCCAGGGCAGGAAGCATCCAGCGTGGGAGAAAGATGAAGCATGGGAGAAAGATGAGGCCTGGAAGGCTACCTTCTTTCAAGGAAGAAAAATCCCTGGTGATCTCCTCAAGTCCACAAATCTTGTGGAGTACGTTTTCTGTTTAAACCAATGTTGGTGTTCGTGCTTCTCTTCACAGCTCTTTCTTTTGAGAATTCTTCAAAGGAAAGACATAATTACATGCTATTTTAACTTGCTTGGATATTTTAATACCTACTAATCTCTGTTTTAGGAAAGGTGCTAAATTGAAGGAGAAGAACAGAAGGGAAAATGATATTCTGGAGTTACTATGATGAACAAAGGAGCAATCGAACGCTTCATAGTCTGTCTAAATAAAAAATTCAGTAGTCAAATCATAAAATTCTATGTTCATCCATAGAGAATCTGTAATCCATATGGAGCCTTTGCCAATTTTATTTAAAACTTCATTTAGGCCAAGTGCAGTGGCTCACACCTGCAATCCCAGCCCTTTGGGAGGCCAAGGTGGGAGGATTGCTTGAGCCCAGGAATTTGAGACCAGCCTAGGCAACACAGGGAAACCCCGTCTCTACAAATAATTTTAAAAATTAGCTGGGTGTGGTGGTTTGTATCTGTAATCGCAGCACTTTGGGAGGCTGAGGTGGGAAGATGGCCTGAGCCCATGGAGGTTGAGGCTGCAGTGAGCTGTGATGGTGCCACTGCACTCCAGTCTGGGCAACCAAGCAGGACTCTGTCTCAAATAAATACATACATACATAAATACAAATAGATGTATTTAAAGGTTTGTAATTTTTGTGGCGGTCAGGGGATGTTTGCCAGAGGCAGGAGATGAAAGTGACAGATGGGGAAAGGGAAGATAGTAACCAAAGGGTGCAAAGTTTCAGTTAGACTGAAAGAATAAGTTTTAGTGAACTTACTGCACAGCATGGTAACCACAGTTAATAATAATGCATTGTGTATTTCCAAAATGCTAGAGGAATACATTTACAATATTCCTAATCACAAAGCATGTTGATAAGGTAATGGACATATTAATTAGCTTAATTGAATCTTTCTACAATGTATACGTAGATCAAAACATCACACTATAGCCCCTTAAGTATACACAATTATTATTTGTTAATTAAAATACAATCTAAAAATTTAATTTTAAAACAACCTTTGAAAAGGAATCACATAATTATAATCTATAGTATACAAATAAATAAAACAGCAATTTTAAGGAAAAATTTTGTAACTGATTTATAAAGCAGAAAATTTAGGTGTATTTTCTTCCATAAAAGTATAAAAGAGTTCTTTTAGTTAAATAATCTTAAATATGTATAAAAAGATGTTTCACTTTAAAATGTCAATGTATTCATGTTTTCTGAGATACATCCAATTGTAAAAAAAAATATTTGTACATGTAATTGCTAACATGATAATTAGCATTATACTCCTTTTTAACCTATAAGAAATGAATTTATTTCTACTGAACTTGCATAAATTATATTATTATGGGCCATGGTGTTTTTATGGTCAAGTTTAAGGTTTCAGACCACACATATGTTTATCTGTCAAGTTTGGCTTCACCTACTCCTTTTCAGAGAGAGAGAGAGAGAAATCCTACACAAACCTGAATATTTGCATATTGTAAAATGTCTTTTATCTCAAAGTGCTAACCTGTTATATACTAATGAATAAGTATATGCCTCAGAATAGCTACTTCAAAGAAATCATTGTAAACTGTTCACAATGGAGGCATTTAGAGTGCCTTTTTTTCCAATTGACAGTCAAGGCAAAAAATCATTTTAGATTTTTGACAAACAGATAAGGAGGTGCTAAAATAGCTTCAGAAGCTAAAACAATGTATAGGGAGAGATTTAAATAACACTTTTCATACTCATTTTTTAAAGAAAACAAAATATTTTCTGGGAATCGTTAATAGTAGCAAGAGATATTTCAACAATTCTGATGAATATACTTAAGAAATGGTTAAAGCAACTGCTTATCTTATTTAAGTAGGTTCTGGGATTCAGCTTGACTACAAGGAAATTTAGTTTCTTTTGTAAGATAGTGGAGCAAAACAGGCTCCAGAAATGAGAAATTGCAGACACTGCTTTTTTTAGGTCATAGTGGATAAATTATGAACATTAAATTTAAAAATGAAGCTGGGTCCTCCAGTGCTTTTTTCCCTGCAGGTTTTTCTTTTCATTTTAGTTGGTATTTATTTCCTCTTTTGAACCCAAGAAATTGCTAACATCTTCTTGGCCTTTCATATTAAAAGTATTTTCTTGTTCATTATCCATGCACTCCCATGGTCCACCTAAACAGCGTGTGTGTTTTTGAGAAGACATGATATGCTCATTGTAATAGAGTTAGGAAAGTTTCAACCTTTAGATACAGCAAGGCATTTCTTAGTGAAACATACCTCTTGAGTATATTATCTATGTCTCATAATCAATATGAGAATACCCTTTTAAAGCTGCTTTAGGCACTTTTACCTTGTTATTTGTCTTTGAAAGCTTTTCCATATATATATATATATATATAAAATATATATATATATATATATATATATATATAAAATACTGTATTTTTATACATACATGTATGTGTGTATATATGTATGTGTGTGTATGCATATATACTATGTGTGTGCACAAACGTGCATGTGGACTATTTTGAACCTTCAGTAATTGAGAGCTCTCAGGGCAATATAAGTTATAAATTTTTAGGTACCATCTTATTATATTTTAATATTTATATTATACTTTCCTGATCAATAGGTATTACAATACCACACATGCTCTCAGCTGATAAGTACTCTACTACAATCTCATCTTGACTGTGATTACAGTATCATGAGTATATGTAAATATATATATAAACTTATCAAATTGCACATGTGTATTGTATGTGGGCTAAGGTAGATCAATTAACCCTCAATGAGCTTGAGTAAAAGTGGTTGTGGAAGGGTTTGGGTGGGTGGGTAGCAGGGAAAGAAAATTTCTGTTCTGAAGGAAATATTTGCTATTTTGCTTTGAATGGTAGTTACAAATTTATTACACAGTATATTCAAGATATGAGTAAAAAATAAAATAAAAAACAATGAAATAACAAAAGAATGTAGAGATCACTGGAAAATGGGCATACTAAAAGGGCCATAAGTATCAGTGCAGCCTGAAATTAATGAGGACAAATTGCAGGGAAGGTCATTGGAAGAAACTATGGGCAAGGCATATCATGACCACTCAGGATTTGAAGAAAACAAAAGCAAAATTTTTAATTTAAAAGTACCAGAGATATATTTACATAGAACAGGGGTATCCTATCTTCTGGCTTCCCTGGGTCACATTGGAAGAATTGTCTTGAGGCGCACATAAAATACACTACCACTAATGGTAACTGATGAACTAAAAAAAAAAAAAAAAAAATTGCAAGAATCATCATGTTTTAAGAAAGTTTATGAATTTGTGTTGGGTTGCATTTAAAGCCATCCTGGGCTGCATGCAGCCCGCAGGCTGCGGGTTGGACAAGCTTGACATAGAGGATATGTAATATGTCTTTCATGACCAGGAATTCATCCTCTGCACCAACTATCTAAAGACATTAGGTTCCTAAGCACTGGATTCAGTGGGCAATGTGTGTACAACCTAGTACTAAAGTACTTGGAGATGTCAGTTTAAAGCTCTAGATACTCTTTAAGGGTTTCAAACTGATGATTTACTAAAATGTTTAGTGTCGGCAAGCTTACAAAGTACCACTTCTACTAGATATGAGGGATAAACCACCAGAAAAATAAAATCTATGGTTTAATTTATAAATTATACTCTAAGCACCACTAAGAAAACCCAATAAGACCTCTGATTATGTGATTAGTTTTGGTCTTACACAATTCAACAGCCCAGCTTAATTAATAATTACATTAAGTTGGTCAACTGTACCAAGTATTAGGAAAGGAATTTTTTTTTGCCTATGGTCTCTTGTGCCTAATACAGGAGACTGATTTATAATGGTAATAGACCTTCCTCCTTATGGATATTGTGTTGCTTAGGGACACATGTTATGAGTGCCTTAGGAAAAAACATCGGCAATTGAAAGGCTTTTGGGTATACATATTCTGTCATTTAGCGCCCAAAAAACAGTTTATATGGGAATCACAAAGGCTGATTGGCTAAGATTTCTAAGATAAATTCTAGGGTTTAATTTATAAATTATACTCTGAGCACCACTAAGGAAACCCGATAAGACCTCTGATTATGTGATTAGTTTTTGTCTTACACAATTCAACAGCCCTGCTTAATTAATAATGACATTAAGTTGGTCAACTGTACCAAGTACTAGGAAAGGAATTTTTTTTCCTATGTTCTCTCTTTGCTTCAGTTTCCCCTTCAGGAAAAAGAAAATTATAATAAGGGTAGCAACACAGTGAGGATTATAAGTATTACATATGTAAAGAGCTTAGACAAGTACCTGGCACACAAAATACGATATATCAGAATCCATTGCTATTGTCATCATGGACATTTTATTTCACACAAGCTAAATTAGTGAAGTGACCATGACTAAGGTGTTATGCCTATGTGGCATGAGTGTCAGACATACACTGTAGTCAAGTCTGGGGAGGAGAGAGAATTTGTAGCCATGCCAAAATGTGGCCCTAGCACTGCCATCACTAATATTTACATGAGAAGCTAAAATATGTGATTTGCATATTGAGTCTCTAAATTTCCAAGTTTTGGTTCAAATTCAGAAACCCATAATGCTCAAATAAAAAATATCTTCAGCTCAGATCTGCCCTTGAGTTTGTCATCTTTCAAACTCTGCTGTAAATATTTATATTGACTTTTTTTACGTAAGTGTTTACAAAGTTGATTTTTGTGCACAATCTCTCAGGAAAAAAGTCTTCTGTTGTTATATTACATAATATTTCTTATTTGTATACAAATGTATTTTCTGTCATTCCAGAAAATTTAAAGTGTAAGAGCTGGTTATCATAATTAGAGTAGGAATGCTACATGGGTGAGCTTAGTATAACACTTATTCTGGAAGGAAGGAAGGAGGGAGGGAGGGAGGGAAGGAAGGAAGGGGAAGGGGAAACAAGGGAAGGAGGAAAGGGAGGAAGGGAGGAGTGAGAAAGGAAGGAAGGGGGAAGGGAGGAAAGGGGGGAATGGAGGAAGGGGGAAGAAAGGAAGGGGGAAGGAAGAAGGGGAAGAAAGGAAGGGGGAAGGAAGGGAGGAGGAAGGGAGGGAGGAAGAAAGGAAGGAAGAAAGGGAGGAAGGGAGCAAGGGGGAAAGGAGGAAAAGTGGAAAGGGGAAAGGAAGGAGGGAGGAAGGGAGAGAGAAAGGAAGGGAGGAGGAAAGGAAGGGGGAAAGGGAGGGAGGGAGGAAGGGACAAGGGAGGAAGGGATGAGGGAGGAAGGGAGGAAGTAAGAAATGGAGGAAGGGAGAATGGAGGAAGGGATGAGGGAGGAGGGAGGAAGGAAGGGGGGAAGGAAGAAAGTGGGGGAAGGGATGAAGGGATAAAGTGGGAAAGTGAGGAAGGAAGGGAAGAAGGGAGGGAGGAAGGAGGGAGGAAGGGAGAAAAAAGGAAGGTGAAGAGGGAGGAGGGGGAAGATAGCAAGGGAGGAAGGAAGGCAGTAATGAAGGGAAGAAGGGAGGAAGGGAGGGAGGGAGGGAGGAAGAGAGGGAGGGAGGTTGGAAGGAGGGAAGGAAAGAAGGGAGGAAGGAAGGGGAAGGGAGGTATGGAGGAAGGGAGGACGGTAGGAAGCGGGGAGGGGAGAAGGACGGAAGGAGAGAAGAAGGGCGAAGGAACGAGCGTGGGAAGGCCACAGAGGATGAAGAGCACGACGAATGAGAGAACAAACGAGCCAAAAAGGGAGAGAGAAAGGAAGGAGGAAGGGAGGGAGGAAGGGAGGAAGGGAGGATGGAGGAATTGACAAGGGAGGAAGGGAGGAGGGAGGAAGGGTAAGATAGGAAGGGAGAAACAGAGGGAGGAAGGGAGGGAGGGAGGAAGAGAGGGAGGAAGGGAGGGAGGGAGGAAGGGAGGGAGGGCAGAAGGAAGGAAGGACAGAGGGAAAAAAAGGAAGGAGGAAGGGAGGGAAGGAAGGAAGGAAGGCAGGAAGGGAAGACAGAGAAAGGGTCTCTATGATAGAGAATACTAATCTTTGGATCTCTCAAAGATACTCGGAAGCAAAAAGCCCTTATATAACAAGTTTCTCTGAAAGAGTAAGCCAAAGGAGTGTCCTGGTATTGCAGATTACTTAGCCTCAGGATCAGGGGCTGGCTGTGCCCAAGTTGGGTGTGATTCCACTTCTCTTCACAAAGGTGACCTTTGTGACAGTCTGCTTCTGCCACTCATGGGCGGGTAATCAGATTCACAAGATTACTTTTTCTTAATATTTTTTCAATATGCCCCTAACTCCAAAAAGCCTGAGGGTACAAACACAATAAAGTCATTCATTCAAATCTGTAGTCAAACTGAAAACAACCTAATATAGTGTATTTCACACTGCCTCTTCATCTTGGCAGGCGATTAATAAGACAAGTTTTGCTTTATGTCCTAAAGATGAATAAACTTGGCCTAAAACAGCATAACACTCAGAGGTGGTTCACATTAGAAACTGTTTTGCTACCTTTTCCTCAAAACTATACCTTGGCTGCCTCAAATCTGTTTCAAAAAATAGGTAAAGTAGATGTGAATGAATAAACAAAATAAACAGCCAACTGAGGGATGATTTTCAGGGATACAAGTCAATCAGCTATTTTGAAAGAGCAAAGAGAAAATACACCTCTGGAAGCCAAGAATTAAACCACATGGGAGCCTTCATGACATCTGTCCCTGAAGAACATCTGCATCTATGTGGGAACTAACCAATTAAAGGTAGAACAGGCACAATGAGTACCGCTCTTTGGTGCACTAATCTGGTTTGGATTCTTATACCCTGACTGATGAAGTCTGCACTACCTGAAGATGTGCAAATCACTTTGATGCTTTCCCCAACAGCTCGTCAGCCTCAATCCAGGTAGATTCTGCTACCAGACAAACTGATGATCAGAAACAGGATTTATTAACCCAAAGTGATGCTAGGGATATAGACAGCAATGGCTGACACTGCCTTATAACCTTACAATCTTTCCAATGTTTATCACTTACACTATCTCAAAAGCTGCATGTGTAGATATTATTTGTCTTTTGAATGGTCAGCCAGAATGTACTTTTCAGAGTCTATCTGCTGAACTGTAACAAGATTTTATTGAATACGCACATAGGTAAGTAAACAAGACTTTGTAATAAAAATGTGGTTCTCGTCTATCAAATTCCCAGAGAATATTATGCAAAGCATAAATCCTCATTCTAATCATTCTCTGTCAAGCTTTTATCTGCAGTTTTTTATTGCTCTCTATGTGTCCACTTTAATTTAATGTTTCTTATTTACTCAGAAAACTGCTAAATAGGGATTATTAGAATCACATGCAAACAAGAATAACTAGGAATTAGTGATAATTGGGAAGCTTGCCTAGCAGTGGGCATTTAGGCAAATTATAATACCCAGATATCATATTTAACTTAGATGCTAGGAGATTTTTTAAATTAAATTATTTATTCTGAGTTGTGTTTCGAAAGGTGGACTGGCCACTTACTCATTTCCAGCTAGAAAGACTGTCTCTAGGGCAAACATTCACAAATTCACACAACTTTAAGACTCATGACGGACTTCCAAAATTTCCAGGCCCATGATAGATGGATGACACAGAATTGACAATGACAAGAAACAGACTGATAGGACAAGAAGCACTTTAACAGACAACAACATAAAATCATATAGGGTGCAAAATCTTTACTGCATTCCCTGAATTAATCTAATGCCACATTCTCAATGTGCTGATCAATTCAAGGACGGCAGCCCTATTTTATTTATCTTTACACACTAACACCTAGCAAGGTATTATTGTAAGACTGGGCAGGAAAAGTTGGTAGACCTGAAACTCACATAGTATTGCAGTTTAAGGACTTATTAACTCCAGCAAACCAGGTACCCTCACTCCAATGATACATGCACTCATTCAGATACAATAAATGGCTTCACAGTTTGTGCTTCTCCTGGGCTTGTGATTAAGGTGGAGGAGAGGTCTGCGACATCAGCTGTTTCACAAAGAGAACCTTACTGTTTCCCAGTAAGGTTCCCTTGGACGATCTTGCCATTACTTGGCATAGTGGATAGAAGAGTGACCCCCAAAAACATAGGTTCACTCCTCATTCCTGAAACGGGCTAATGTTACCTTGATTTGGAAAAAGAGTCTTTGTAAGAGTAATTAAATTAAGGATCTTGAGATGAGGAGATCATTCTTGATCATGTGAGTGGTCCTTATTTAAATTAAAAGTGTCCTTATAAGAAAAAGTCAGAAGGAGATTTGAGACAGACAGAAAAGGAGATGACACAAACAGAAGGGGAGGAGGCATTGTGATCACAGAGGCAGAGATTAAAGTGATGCGACCACAAGACACAGAATGCCAGCAACCACTAGAAGCTGGAAGAGGTCAGGAATGGATCCTCTAGGGACTCCACAGGGAGCTTGGCTCTGCTAACACTCTGAATTTGGACTTCTGGCCTTTAGAACAGTGAGATAAAAAAAATTCTCTTGTTTTAAGCCACCCAGTTTGTGGAAATTTGTTGGAGTGACCACAGGAAACCAATATGCTTGGGATTGTTCTCTGGTTTCAGCTCATAATGGTGCCAATGCATTTCTGTCCTTACAGAGGAACCACTCTCTTAGAGTGCATGAATTCCACATTCCAACTCACATGTATGTAAATTGTGTTCATTTAGGTCTTTCATTTTTAAAGAGTTCCAAGTTGGCATTGTTTTTTCTTTAGGAAATGCATGTTTAGCTCATGAGAACCTTGCAAAATGCTTCAGAGATGGACACCTTGGAAAACAAAGTCCTTGCTTTCTGCTGACTCAGAGGCTACTTTGGAAATTGACATTTTGACAACCATGCCTCCTCATCCATATCCATGCAGAGAATTGTGGGCAATCATTGCATACTTTCACTTGTATAGATCTTTGCCATCATTTTTATTTGTTTGTTTTAGGCAAGAGACACATTGTGGAAGGCTCTACAGCAATATTAGGTACTCAGTTCAATAATGACTGAATGCATGACGTGATATAATAAATAAATAAATATTCATTCAAGACATGCCTTCTTTATGAAGAGTTTGCTTCTTCAACACTCCTCTGTGAAATGCAATTTGGCTTGAAGTTAAGAGAATGGTCACCAAGAAGCAGAGTTAAATCTACTGCCCACCTGCTGTGCAATCCTGCAGGCATTGAAACTCTTTGCTTCAGTTTCCCCTTCAGGACAAAGAGAATTATAATAAGGGTAGCAATACCGTGAGGATTAAAAATGCTACATATGTAAAGCGCTTAGACAAGTACCTGGCACACAAAATACCATATATCAGAATCCATTGCTATTGTCATGATGGACATTTTATTTTACACAAGATAATTTAAAAGCCTACCTCTACTGGCTCAGTAGATTAGACATGGAATTGGATGGCGTCGCATTCTCTGGGAATGGGAACCCTTTGTTTTACTATAAATACCAAGAGCTCTCATCCTCAGTCTCTGATCTCCTGGGCTTTTGCACTACTTGGAGAAATTGCAGATTTTCTGAGTAGAAACACCACTTGTTGTTCATTTTGCATCTCTCTTTACAGCATAGAGTCCTGTCCCCTGTTGCTTTGTAAAGGTAGATCTCCAAATAAATTGATTAGATTAATTTTCTTCTTAAAACTTGTTCTTAATAATTGTTCAGTGAACTTGCTGTAGCTTCTTAGACTTTTAAAAAAGACTAACCAGCATGATGAGTGGTAATGATGGCTGCTTTTGCCAGGCCTATTTTTTGGTCTGTGCACCAAAAATGTGACTTGGGGCTGGTTTGAAAGGACTTTGAAGTGACAGAATAGCTTGAAAGCCCTGATTAAAGAGGACTTGTTTACAAAACAAACTTTAAGATTATAGGAAAACTTCCTCCCTGACTTTTTTAGGTCTTTGATTCGATGAACCAGATCCTTCTTTTCTCCCATGGGGTGAAGCTGACCTAGACCACAACAGAGAGAGTCTCGCAGATAAGCTTGCCAAATCCATGCCCGATACAATTAGTGGGAAACAAACTATAATCTTTAAAGAGCAGGTGGAGGAATGATGAATGAAAGCAAAATCCGTGTTTGGCCATATCTCCTGTTTTAGTGACCATTCATATTTTTTGCAAACGTTTAATTAAAGAGAAGACTTTTTTTAATTTTTCATCTTGGAGCTATAAATATGGTACTTCCAATCATAGATATTCTGGGAGCAGGTGATGAAACTAAAATGTCAAACCAAAAAGGAAGACCTTTGACTGTCATATAATTTTAAGACTTCTTTTCTCTCTCTATCTCACTTTTGTTATTTGTGCGTGTGTTTGTTTTGAAAATCTGACTGCTTTATTTTCAATGATATTTCTCATGGAACCACATTCTTCATTCCTGAGGGTCAGTAATTCTCAAAAGCTGCTCTCAGAGACAAGTGAATGGGCTGTTTTTCTCAGCATTGTGTTTCCAGCCTCTAGTCCACAGCATGAAATATTATACACACTCAGTAAATAGTTGTTGAATAAATAGAATAAAAGCCAATAGGATCTTGTCTTCAAGTGTGACCTTTTTTTTTTTACTTCCTTTTCACGTGCTAGCCATAAAAGCATTTCGATAAAGCTGTGAATAGACATTACTATTAGCACATGTAAAATTCTTTCTGACGGTTTCTTACATTTATTTACTCCATCTCAAATCTTGCCATTAACAGATTTTCTGTTATTTTTCAGAATTTTTGAGAATTTCTCTTGACTGCTTTATTCACTGCTGTCCCTACCACTCCACTTATTCACCATTGTATTAACTCTTTCCTTCTCTTCATCACACTTAGTGTGATAGGAAATGGGACTTTTACATGTTTATTGTCTGTTTCCACCACCGAAATGCAGTTCACTAGGTCTAAGTGAGCAGGGACCTGGCCTCTCTCATTCACTGTTCTACTGCCAATATTTAACATAGTTCTGAGTTCATCATAAGAGCTTAATAAATATTTGTTATAAATACATTTTTACATTGAAAACATAAACATTTCATTCAGTAAAGTTAATATTCATTTGTTAATTTCAGAAAAAGTTTTTCAAAATAGCTTTAAGTTATATTACATCCACATGATATTTAAGGTATATAAATTATTACAGAATATGAAACAAACATTGTGATTTCATCTCAACTTACCTATTTGATTTTCTATTATGGTTTGTTTTAATAAATAAGACTTTTCTGTGTTATATGTACTATGTTCAGACTGTTAACTAAAATAAGCCACAATAATTTGCATCAGAATAGAAATATCTGAGATAAACACTTCATTACATTTGCCTTTACACTTATAAAATTCATCTAAGTAGGTGTGATTAAAAGTTTTGATGTGTAGAAAATGATCTGAGGAAAGACCAACTGCAAGAAGCAACACATAAAATCAGAAAAGGGACCAAAAATTATATTTATTCACAGCTGACTTCTTCCAGTTTTGTGCATGTCTTAGTCCATTTGGGCTGTTATAACAGAGGACTATAGATCAGACGGATTATAAACAAGAGAAAATTATTTCTCACAGTTCTAGAGCCTGGGAAATCCGAGATGAAGGTGTCAGTAGATTCAGTGTCTTTGGAAGGCTCACTTCCTGGTTCATATCTAAATGGCCATCTTCTCATTGAGGCTTCACATAGCCAAAAGGCTAAGGGCACTCTCTAGAGTCTCCTTCCTATGAACACTAAGGATACTAATCCCATTCATGACAGTGAAGTCAAAATAACCTAATCAACTACCAAAGGTCCCACCTCCAAATATCATCATATTGGGGGATTAAGATTTTAACATTTAGATTTTGGGAGTACACAAAATTCAATCTATATCATTCCATCCCTGTCCTCTCCAAATTTATGTCTTTCTAACATGGAAAATATGTTAATTACATCCCAACAGTTGCAGCATTTGTTCCAGCATCAACTATAAAGAAAAAACCCAAAGTGTAATCTAAATATCATCTAAATATCATCTACATCAGATATGGGTGAGACTCAAAGTATGATTTAGCTTGAGGCAAATTCCTCTTCAGCTGTGAACTTGTGAAACTAAACAAGTTATGTGCATCCAAAATATAATATTGGGACAGGTGTAGTTTAAAGATATCCTTTCAAAATGGAAAAACAGGAAAGAAGAAAGAAGTAATGGATCCCAAGTAAGTCCAAACGACAAGCAGACTCCATGAGATTGAAGGCTTAAAAATAATCCTTTGTGACTTGATATGTTCTTCTCCAAGCAAGTCCAAATGACAAGGCAAACTCCTTGAGATCTAAGGCTTAAAAATAATCCTTTGTGCCTTGATATGTTCTTCTTCAGGTCCACTGGGCTGAAGGTCCCACCATTAAGACACACTAGGGTGGCAGTCCTGTTCCTGCAGCTTTGTTGGCTAGAGTTGGGCATTCATAGCTTTGAGTAGCCCTGCCTTCATTGGTTTTGGGCAGAAGTCATCTGGTCTGTTGAAAGGAAGGCAATGGTCCCTCCATTTGAAACTGAGGAGGTAGCCCTGATGATCTCTAAGTTACTTTTGGGCTCATTCATCACTTGTCTTAAGGAATAGCATCTGGTTTCTGTTGAGATTAATAATTAGGCCCATGGTTCACCTTCATACTTGTCTCCATATCAATGGGTTAATTGGCCACATCCTTAATGTTCTTTTCTGGACACACTTTCTCATGTTTTGCAATATGAATTGGTTAAAAACTTCCAAAATTTTAAAGTTCCAATTCCTTTCTGCTTAGCAATTCTGCCTTTAAGTTAATTCTCTTCTCTCTCATCTTACCATAAGCAGTTAGGAAGAGCTAAGCTGCACCTTGAACACTTTGCTTAGAAATCACTTCAGCTAAATATCTAATTTTACCACTCACAAATTGTAACTTTCACAAAACACTAGAACATGAACACAATTCAACCAACTTCTCTGCCACTTTATAAAAAGAATCTCCATTCTTCCACTTTCTAATAATGCTTTTTTTCAATTAAGAACTCATCAGAATGACTGTCCCTATGTGTACCAACACTCTGTTCATCACTATTATTATGGTTTGAGTCTGGTTTGTCCCCTCTGAAACTCATGTTGAAATTTTAACCCCAGTTCAGCAATGTTGACAGATAAGACCTTTAACAGATGATTGGGTCATGAGGGCAGGAGTAATAGATTAATGGGTTACCACAGGAGTGGGTTAGTTTTCAAGAGAGTAAGTCTGTTACAAAAGCCAGTCTGGCTTTCAGTGCACCCCTCTTGCCCCATGATGCCTTCCGCCATGTTATGATGCAGCACATGATCCTGACAGGAAGCCGACCAGATGTGGCTGCCCAATCTGGACTTCCCAGCCTCCAGAACTGTGAGAAATGAACCTCTTTTCTTTATAAATCACTGAGTCTCAGGTATTATGTTATAGGAACAGGACTAAGGCAATTACTTAAGTATTCTTTAAGAAGATTCAGGCCTTCTTCACAACTCTACTTTTATCTCTGAGCCTTCGCCAGAATTTCCTCTAAAGGTCTATTCACAGCAATATAGGGTTTCTCTATTATGCACTTCCAAACTCTTCCAGCCTCTACCCATCAGCCAGTTTCAAAGCTATTTTCACATTTTTACATATTTGTTACAGAAGCACAATCACTTCTCTGTACCAATTTCTATCTTAGACTGTTTGGGCAGCTATAATAAAATGCTACAGGTTAGGTGGATACTTTGCATGTGATAATGTAAATTCTGGTAGTCCAGCGGGGAATGTTATAAATGAAATGTTAACATCCCCCTAAAATTCGTATATTGGAATTCTAACCCCTTAGTACTTGATGATATTAAGAAGTGGGGCTTTTGGTAGGTAATGAGGACATGAGGGCTCCACCCTCATGAATGAGATTAGTGGCCTTATAAAAAAGACTTCTGAAAGCTCCCTTGGTTCTTCTACCATATAGGGACTCAGCCAAAGATGGCTGTGAACCAAGATGTGGGCCCTCACCACACACCGAATCTGCTGGTGCTTGATCTTGGACTTCCCAGCCTCAAGAACTGTGAGAACTAAATTTCTGTTGTTTATAAGTCCCCCAATCTCTAGCATTCTCTTACAGCAGCCCAAATGGGCTAAGACAGTGTATTTTGATATATTAAAATAGACTATTAGACAATAAAACTATAAATAATATGGTTTTATTGAAATGTAATGAAACTTCCCTAAGGCATTCAGCTTTAAAATTTTGTCATTTTAAATTTAACTTAAATCGAAAAAAAAATGTTCAAGAATCTTGAGACAGGATATTTAAAGAATTTACAGAAAAAAAAATTAAAGCTTTCTTAGTATAAGCTGTGATGGTAGTGAAAAACTTATTTTTCCTAACATACATTTCTGCATTTTTTTCTACCGGTTTTCTTATCCCAAATTATCATCACTCTGGCTACACCGTTCATGTTATTTTTTTCCTAAGTAAACATGTAATAGTCACATTGAATATAATACAAATTTTATAAAACATTTTTTAATGTTTTGAGTTGAGAAAATGTTTAATAAATGTTTATGATCTTTTTTATGATTGAAGATCATAAATCAGTGATATCCAATAATCATTATTGCTTTCTGCAATAATAAAAGTGTTTTATTTTTATTTGCCCAATATGGTAGCCACTAGCCACATGTGGCTATTGCAAACTTGAAATGTGGCTAGTGTACCTAAAGAAATTAATTTTTAATTTCATTTAATATTATTAATTTAAATTTAAATAGATACCCATGGCTAGTAGCTACCATGTTGGGCAGCACAGATATAGGTTATGGATTTGAAATATTTTTCCTGCTTTCACTTCCCAAACTCACAAAAGACCAATTTTAGAAGGGCCAATACAGTGTTAGTTCTCAATATTTCTGGAGTTCATCTGGCATAAGGACTTAAAGATTACCATTAAATTACAAACAAAATTATGTTTCTCACTTAAAGTTGCCCAGCCTCTGTCTTTTCTTTTTTCACGTGAAGGTTTTGTCTGGGTTTAAAAATCAGAGGGTCAAAGTAAGGCTGATTTTGCAGGATTCCATCTGGGAGTGGAAATAATGATGGGTGAGTGCCAGATATCTCAAGAAGGAGCCAGCACTCATGAGATCCACAGCCAAATTTACCAGATAAGGAAGAAGACAGAATGACAGAGAAAGAGAACCAGACAGAATAATATTAATAAAACTGTTTTGCTTAGCTAGGTCTGAAAAAAATGGTTTTACTTATATCAAACTGGGTAGGAATCTCACCATATGAAAAAAAAAAAGATATTTTTGGCGTTTGGGAGCAGGGGTTTTCATATAAGATAAGAATTTTAGTTTTTTGCCGGGTGCAGTATCTCATGCCTGTAATCCTAGCACTTTGGGAGGCCAAGGGAGGCAGATTGCCTGAGCTCAGGAGTTCAAGACCAGCCTGGGCAATACTGTGTAACTCTGTCTCTACTAAAATACAAAAAATTAGCTGGGTGTGATGGCGTGTGTCTGTAGTCCCAGCTACTCGGGAGGCTGAAGCAGCAGAATTGCTTGAACTCTGAACCTGGGAGGCAGAGGTTGCAGTGAGCTGGGATCGTGCTGCTGCACTGCAGCCCAGGCGACAGAGTGAGACTCCGTCTCAAAAAAAAAAAAAAAAGGAATTTTAGTATTTTTTAAATATGGAAAAAGTTGTTCTTTTACTTCCAGCAAACACACCTATTATTTTTGCTTCCTGTAAGTCATAAGGTTTGGAATAGAACACATTATATTCCAAATTGAACTACATGAATTCATAATTGCCTATTTTCTTAGATATCATTACCCACTTACCACACACTTGAATATGAAACAGAAATTAAATTTGTGGATTTCCTGTAACTGTAAAAATTGTACATTTCTAAAAGGGTTCAACTCACCACAGAAATTATCAACCCCTTTGAGCTATTGGGCCCCATTAATCTCTGCCATGTTTTGCAGATATATATCTGTCAGCTATGCTCAAAAGTTTGCTGTGCAACAAACACATGTATTTTACAAGAGAAAAACACCTTTGGAAACCACTTTTATAAAGAACACCTTTTTCTTCAGGCTCATTTTTGGAGTTTAGAACTCCAAGTAATGGAAATGGATCTGTCTGCTATTGTGTAATATAACAAATCCATAGGGGAAAATAGAATGAAATCAGAACCACAGAAAACCAGCTTCCTGCGCTCTATCACCCTCCAAAGGAAACAAGGTGATATATAATGCATGTAATAGAGTCTTGTGGGCCAAAGACAAATAGCACAGGCTGTACATTCCATTTTCACTCGAAAAGTTATATTAGAAATACCACCAAATGAGCAAACTTTTTAAATAACTGAAACAGAAACCAAGAAACAGTAGGTATATTTGAAGACAGAGATCTCTAGTAGATGCGCTAATGAAATGTTCATTGAAAGGGATTATAGAAAAGTTCCTCAAAAGTCAGTGACCAGCTAATTTATCATCCAAACTGAGGCACATTGGAAAGTGAAAGTTGGTGCTATTAATAATTAAGTGACTCTTCCAGACCAACCAAGACATGTGGCCATCCTAATATGAGTCTCTCTTACTTAGGCCATTATTCATCCTTCCTGGTGCCCCTCCATTACCCAAACACCACCATTTTTTTAAGACACTGTTTAATTCCTACTGTCACAGTAGTACTTTCACAAAGTCTTCAGCCCTCTTGGATATCTTCCTTGTTTATGCTTCTGCAACTCTTCTAATCAGTTCTACGCATTTATATTACATTTATCATTCACTTGTATGTTAGTTCTATTGCTATAATTAAACTGGAAGTTCCTGAAACCAAGCATTTTGCTCTATTTTTCAAATCTCTCTAAAGCCCAAAACAGTCCCCTGGAAAGAGTTACTTAACAAATAGTCTTCTTCTTATTAGTTTCCTATATTTTCAAAGCCCTACTCAGGTCTTTCTTCTCCTATGAGGCCTTCTCAAACCAAAGCAGAGATAGTAAGCACTCCTCTTCTTATGGACTGTGGATATTGCTGGCTAAAGCATAGCAATGCTTCATATATCAATACTGATTGCCTTACACAATGTGATATCTTTCCAGCTGGATGACAAGGGCATTGAGGGTAAGCATTATGTCTTATCCTTTTCCCCATCTCCAGTGTCTCTCACTGCACTTACATCTAGTGATGCTAGGAAACATCAAATATTGAACTGTAAACATCACAGTGACATACAGGTCATACGAAGCAGCGTCTAGCATACATACAGGTCATATGTAGCAGCATCTAGCAAGGCCAACTTAAGTAAAAATGGCCCAGATAACATAGAACCAACCTCGTCTTGAGTCATACATATAGCTCCTGCAGTAAAGGGGAGACGCTCTGGTCTCCCAAACACACTGGGACAAGCATAAAATAGGGTTGAAAAGGATAAGAAAAGATTGAAAGTTGTCCTGGCTAAAAATACAATTCTTTGTTATTATCTCCTGATCTTGCTTCAGTACAGGGCTAAAAGAATCCAGCCAGCTGCCCAGTCTGACCCTGAAGATGGACTCTGGGTGACCCAGAGTCACCAAAGCTCAAGCATGGATCAGGCGAGTGCAGTAAAAGGTGGTCCTAAATGGTGATCAAGGTGGAACTCCAGAGAGACTAGGAGAAGGGCAACTGTATGGCAGAAACCACATGAGAAAAGCTGGTTCTGGTGCCCCAAAGAAGGAAACTGTATTATTCATTTTCACACTGTTGATAAAGACATACTTGAGACTGGGCAGTTTACAAAAGAAAGAGGTTTATCAGACTTACAGTTACTCGTGGCTGGAGAGGCTTCACAACCATGGTGGAAGGTAAAAGGTAAGGAGGAGCAAGTCACATCTTATGTGCATGGCAGCAGGCAAAAGGAGAGCCTGTGCAGGGAAACTCCCTTTCTTAAAACCATCAGATCCCATGAGACCTATTCACTATCACAAGAATAGCATGGGAAAGACTTGCCTCTGTGATTCAATTATCTCCCACCAAGTCCCTCCCACAACACATGGTAATTATGGGAGCTACAAGAAGAGATTTGGGTGCAGACACAGAGCCAAACCATATCAGAGACTGTTGGAGTTAGGCTAGTATAAGGACCAAAAATCAAGGCAGGACACCGGACCACTGAGAGAACACTGTAGGAGAGGGGAGAGAGTGAACAAAGCACCATCAATGCCAGAACAGACTCATTCATCGCTTACCAGATAATGAGGGGAATCAGGATGTGATTTGAGCCCTGGCTGCAGTGCAGCAGCAGCAGCTGGGGCTCTTTTGAACCTATGATGATGGATGTAGGAACTGCGATGGCCTGGACACAGAGATGAAACCTGTTAATATCCCCAGCTGAGAAATACTAAGAGATAACATGAAACAGGAATGGAGAAGTCCATGGATAGAAGACGAGAAGACAGTAGGCTTTTCCTATGGGCATTCTTAAGGATATTAAGGACAGAAGAAAGGATAAAGTAGTAAGGTAAATGTTGGAAAAGCTGGGTTAAACAAAATTAACAGTTTTCTTTTACTAAATAGTCCCATGTGCACTATCTCAAGACATGGCTCTCTTATGCAGTAAAACACTAAAACATTATTTCTAAACAAGAGAATAGAACAGAGCCTGTATAGAAATGTTGCCTCAGGCACACTGGACCTGTGGAAGTGATAGAAAGTGGAGGGATGGTATACATGGAGCAAGTCCCTGGTTCCCTGGAGCAGTATTGCTCATCGTCTGCATTGCCTCCCAACACTTACTTGCTAGGAAAGTATTTGGGGGAATACTTTTAAAAATTAAAAAATATACAGACGTAGATTTCATAAAAATGTGTATGTGTGTATATTTACACACATACACACACATATGTGTATATATAGACACACATACATATATATGCATGTGTGTGTGCATGTGTGTAAGCACTGATTGTTTATTTGCCTTACCAGTCTCCCAATCAATTACTCAGTTTGTAGCACAGATAATAGTTGGCTTGTAAAAAAAGAAAGTGTGAAAACATCTGCCAGTAATTGTATACTGCATGAGTTTTCTATTCATCTCAGTAGTTTTTTCTTATAGTCCTTTTACTTTGTTTTTTGCTTCTTTGCTGCTAGAAAAAGTAGTCTAAGGTAGGCATTCCTGCAAGAAAACAGAAGGAATGAAATGAGTAATGCTAAATGATGAAGCAAGTTATACCAAGTTCTCCCAGCAAATAGTCACATGATGGGGAATGGTCTCATGTAGGCTCCCTTTGAAGTGACTCTGTGGTTACCACCCAACAAATTTCTTATATAAGTCATGTGAGAGGCTCTGCAGCACTGTACAAGGAGGCAGTGGCTTAAGGAGTATGGATCTGACTGAACCCAGCTCTGTCACTTAAGACTTTGTGCTCATGGATTTGGCATCATGGAGAGACACCTGGATATCTCCCTATGACCAAGGCATTTATTCTCCCAGCAGCTGCTAAGTGTGGGCTTCTGTGGGCTCTCACCTGAGAACACCCTGGAAATCGCCCTCCTCCAGAGGGAGCTCCTTCGCCCTGAGTTATGTCCCCTTCCTGGACCCTTTCATATCCAGTGACTGGTCAAAGCACAGGTGCAAAGGCCTAGACCTCTGTCCCCAAGGGAGAGAACTCTGAAGGCCATCCCAGCTCAAGGATCCCTGTGGCATCAGCTGAGTTCTACTGCCTCTGCGTCACAGCTAACATCTCTGCTCAAACCACCTACCCAACTCCCCCACAGGAGTTGTTGCTAAGAGTGTGTTCTAATAAATTTTCTGCACATGAACCTCAGTCTCAGAGTTAGTTTTCAAGAGAACTTGGTCCACAACAGCCGGTTCACTGACCTATCCAAGCCTCAGGACCCTCATCTGTAACATAATAGAAGTATTAATAGCTCATTGAGCTATTAATTGCATGGAGTGGTTACCATGTGTTGGGCTCTGTTCTAAGCATTTTTTAGGGATTATTTTAATTGGTCAACCACCTTATAATATACTCACATAAATCATTTAGTTGTCCCAAGGTCCAAAACCTAGTAAGTGGGGTTCCTGGGATTAATCTTATGACCCTGATTCCCTCACAGGACAATGGTTAAGATTGGAGAAGCATGTATATCCTATATCTGTCACAGTGCCTGAATATAGTATGTAATCAATAAATCTTCATTTTCTTCAATCTGCGTATACATCTAAGTGATGCAGGGTCACGAAGATGGCAGGAGATGACAGGATGCCATGATATGCATGGAAAGTCTGATCTCCAACTATAAGTGACCAGTGCTAATTTTCCAATGGTGGCACATGACCCTGTGGTAGGAACGGAAGTTTTAGAGTCAGATTTTTCACATTTGGAGCCTGGATCCTCTCTGTCTGCCACTTCGCTCTTCTGAACCTCAGTTTTCTCATCTATTAAAAAGGAAGTAATAATATTATCTACCTTGTAAGGTTGCTGTGAGGATCAAATTAATTATTACAGTGTTTAACATATTATCCGATGCATAGTAAAATTGAATAAATGTTAGTTGTTATTATAATTGTTATATTAGTTATTTATTATTGTAGTATTATAGTACTTTTTACTAAGGATTAGGCTTGTTTTCACACAACAGTAAAAAACTGAAATAATTAGTTTAAGTAAGATGGAACTTAATTTCTCTTTCTTGTAAAACAAGTCCAGTGGTGGGTAATCCTTTACTGCCTTGGCATAGCAGGTCCATGAAGGCACTAGGTACCTTTCAACACAGGGAACTACTAATCTTACTATTACCTCATGGTCCAAGATAGCTGTTAGTGCTCCAGCTATCACATTTGTATTCCAAGCTATATGCTAGAGAAAGAAGGAAAAAAAGATTATCCTTCCTTTGAAAAGTGTCCCACCAAAAATATTACTCCTAAATTTTATGGTCATTTACTAGCCACATGCCACATCTAGTATGTATAGGAAGCTGTGATATGTGGACTCTTATTATTGGCAGTGATGTGTTGGCTGAAATCAGGATTCTGTGACAGAGAAAAATGAAATAGATCTTAGAATTGCATCCAGCAGTCTCCACTGCAGGGGATGAGCTCTCGAGGCATCCAGTTAATAAGTTGTAACATTTTTCTGGTTGCCTTTAGGGAAAGAGACAAGTTGTTATTTTAGGTAATGCAAATATCCAATGTCAGTTAACTTAAAAACTGAGACTTTTAATTCTAAACCTAAACATTTTCATTTATTTCTGTCATAGTTATATTACTGACAATTCTAATTTATACAGCAAGTTTGCTACAGAAAATGTTATAAAATCATAAAGTAATCACACTAGTTCTTGCAGGTGTCTCATAAATAACACATTTAAAATATTAATTAAAGATGTCCAAAGCTTAAGATATTTATGTTTGCTATACAAATGCATTGTCATGAAGTTCACTGGAAACTAATTGTACGGAAAATAAATAAATAGGACCTTTGAATATTTGGGACTAGCCCTTTGACACCTAATATTAAGAGACAAGGAGCGAGAAATTGCCAGCAATATTTTCATTATGTACAATTAATAAGAATTAATAGCCTTGAAATTATTTGAGAAATTTACAATTTGAAAAAATTCTACTCTGTTAATTCAACTTACTTTCTTCACAAATACACATAAAATGTCAAAACAGCAAAGATGTTAACTAATAAAAAATGTGCAGAGGCAATCAAATACAGCTTATTTATAACAAGGAAGAAATCACATGAAAAGGAGCATGTCACTGTAACGGGAGGAACTGAATACTTTCTCCCATTCTAAGAATGTATTAGAAAGAAACCACCCACTGTTTTTCCACAGTTTTTTTAATCTGACTTCACCATGAAGCTAGCCAGTCAAAATATAAAGTTACGGGAACGTGATTTTCAGCTATACCACAAACCTGGAGAAACAAATGTTATTCTGAATCTATTATGTCATCATAGACAAGGATTACAAAACAGGAAACAGCCAAATGGCTGGTCGATCATTGACAAGGCTTTATTATTTACAAGGATGTAGTTTACTAAACGCATATTCTGCCCAGTGTCCAAATGTGTTCTGCATTGCTTCATTGGAACCCAAAGAAAATAGCTGGAGTAAAGAAATCATTCTGAACCACAGTTGCAGGCTTTTCAAATTAAAAAAATAAAAATTGCAAAGAACAAATATGAGTGTTTGAATTTCTGAGAAACAGTAGGCCTTGACTGACTCTACAGTAAAATGAAAACTACACACAGCTGATCGTCTTAACTTTGGATTAAGAGGCTCCCAAAATTAGACACAATGTAGATCACCTGATTGCTTTACATTTTCTTGTCATTGAGTTGAAAAGATTGGTTGGTGATTAGTCAGCAGCACCTGCCTTGGCCTAGTGGGTAATCAGCTGAAGAAAAGGTGATTTGTTTATATAATATTGTAAAGTATGCACAGCTTTTATTTCTTTTAACTTCAGTTAAAATGTAAGGCATGGGAAAAACATAATGTTCTAGGAACTCTTCCAACTGAAAAAAAAATTCCAAACCAAAGTTGCAAATATTATTTTTTATTCTGGCTCTTCTCTCTCTCTCTCTCTCACACACACACAAGCACATATGTGCACAGATACACACAGAGTACAGCGTAAAATTGAATATAAAGATCACAGTCTTTAGAATATTTGGGATGAAAAATAAAGCCTGAGGTTAAAGTTTCCGTGATTTTTAGACGTTACCTAGTGTGTTAACCCCTTTGGGCTTCTATAACAAAAATACAATAGACTGGATAGCTTTATCAACAAACATCTATTTCTCTAAGTTCTAGAGGCTGAGAAGTGCAAGATCAAGGTACCAGCAGATTCAGTGTCTGGCAAGAGCCCATTTCCTGATTCATAAATGTTCCTTCCTGCTATGTCTTCACATGGAAGAAGGGGTGAGGGAGTTCTTAGGGTTCTCTTTCCCCTCAAGACTTAACCACCTCCCAAAGATTCCACTTCCAAATACTATAACATTGGGAACTAGGTTTCAACATAAATTTGGGGGCATACAAACATTCAGTCAATAGCACCTAAACTCCCTGACTCTTAGCTGCTTCAATTGAGAAATTAGGATAACATCTGTATTAGTCAAGGTTCTTCAGAGATACAGAATCAATAATATAGGTATAGATATGTAGCTATAGATATATGGAGAGATTCATCGTAGGAATTGGCTCACACGATTATGGAAGCTGAGAAATTCCATATTATGCAAGCTGAAAGCCAAGAATGCCCTTGGTGAAATTCAGTCTGAGTTCAGAGCCCTAAGAACAAGGGGAACCAATAGTGTAACTCCCAGACCAAGGAGGAAGGCCTGAGAACCCAGTAAGAAGGGGAGTACTAGTGTAAGTCCCAGAGCTTGAAGGCCTGAGAACCAGGACCTCTGATGTCTGGGACCAAGAGGAGATGGACACTCTATCTCAAGAAGAGAGGAATTTACCCTCCTTCTGCCTTCTTATTCTTTTCAGGTCCTCAATAAATTAGATGATGCCTCACATTGGTGAGGACAGGCTCACTTCTTCCATAAATACCCTCATAGTCACACATAGAAACAGTGTTTTACCAGCTACCTGGGCATCCCTTAGTCCAGTCAAGCTGACACAGAAAATTAAACATCACAACACTTATTTTGAAGTCATGTCAGAAAATGAATAACATGAGCTTTGCAGTCAAAAAGGCCCTAGTTAAATCTTCCTCCTAATCTCTCTGAGCCTAGTGAGTCACTAGCACACAGGGTGCTATCCATCACCTTTCTTATTTGGTGTATTGCTGCAACTTTTACATTTCTGAGGCCAAATCAGTATCACAGATCCCACAAAAGAACATTTTTGTTGAAACCCAGCATTACCAAATGATCAACACCCCACAATCATGACATTTTCTCAGTCCCGTTAGTTACAGAGCTTTCCACCTGTTTGCGTCTACCAAGTATTTTGATCGTCATCTCTGGTTTGTTTTCTCCATGTCTCAGATTTCTGGTTGAATACCAGTCACGGTTCTTATTGGCGGCTATCCCACATTCTCTACAAAAAAAGATGCTCATGGACAGCAATCTCATCAAAGAAATGATTTGTTTTGAAGCAGTATTTGTCATATAGCTGTTTTTAATTAAAATGATCCCTGGCTGGGTGCAGTGGCCCATGCCTGTAATCCCAGCACTTTGGGAGGCCCAGGCAGGCCGATCACGAGGTCAGAAGATTAAGACCATCCTGGCTAACACAGTGAAACCCCGTCTCTACTAAAAATACAAAAAATTAGCCAGGCGTAGTGGCATGTGACTGTAGTCCTAGCTACTCGGGAAGCTGAGGCAGGAGAATTGCTTGAACCCAGGAAGCGGAGGTTGCAGTGAGCCAAGATCGTGCCACTGCACTCCAGTCTGGGCAACAGAGTGAGACTCCATCTCAAAAAAAAAAAAAAAAAAAAGATCCCTGATTCTCTTCAAATGCACTGTGTAAGGAAGGCATTTCCTCCTTGTTCTCAACTGTACTGTGCCTGCCACCTACAAGGTCAGGGACTACTAGACATGCTCATCCCGCCCCCACATTCCCAAGGGCCCTGTAGAATCTAAAGTTACCTCCACACCAAAGTAAAAGAAGCTGGTTGTGGCTTAAATCCATAGCCCTTGGGCATGGTGTTATTCTGGAATCTACCTTAGGAAGAGCAAGCCTAGAGCCCATAATCAGCAGAAATCAAAGCTTGACAATGTTTTTAAGCATCCTCTTTTCCAATTACCCCTTAATGCTGCCTATCCCCCATCCCACCCCCAATATGTAAAGTATTATTTCAGTACTATCAGAAAGAACATATATAAATAAGTGGATATGATTTTCTACATTATTTATGATTTCTTTGTCTTATTTAAGAAAGCTTTCCTTTTCTGTATTCTTAAAAATACGCTATTCTATAATTTTAAAAATTTGCTTTTCTACTTAGGCCATTAAACTATTAGTCGGTGCAGATCTACAAGATTTACACTTTGAAAGTAATCGCAAAAACTGCAATTACTTTTGAGACAGAGTTTCGCTCTTGTTGCCCCGGCTGGAGTGCAGTGGCACGATCTCAGCTCACCGCAACCTCTGCTCTCAGGTTCAAGCGATTCTCCTGTCTCAGCCTCCCAAGTAGCTGGGATTACAGGCATGTGCCACCACGCCTGGCTAATTTTGTACTTTTAGTAGAGACAGGGTTTCTCCATGTTGATCAGGCTGATCTCGAACTCCCGACCTCAGGTGATCCGCCCACCTCTGCCTCCCAAACTGCTAGGGTTACAGGTTGAGCCACTGCACCTAGCCACTTTTTGTATTTGAAATTTATGTGTAGTTGTGAGGTGAGAATCACGTATTATTTTAAATGGAAACATCAATGGAAACATAGGGTCAATAGGTTAAGGTGTTTTTTTGTTTGCTTTTTGTTTTTTGGGTTTTTTTTTTTTTTTTTTTGGTCACTTGTAGCAAACTTTTGTGTGTGAAATTTCTCCACGTAATCTAGGGTTTCAAAGGTATTGTGTATGTCTACGGTGTCCCATATCTACACGTTTATTC
The DNA here is from genome assembly GCF_000001405.40 of Homo sapiens. Classification (NCBI taxonomy): domain Eukaryota; kingdom Metazoa; phylum Chordata; class Mammalia; order Primates; family Hominidae; genus Homo; species Homo sapiens. The sequence goes on along the minus strand of NC_000002.12, from coordinate 225,762,915 downwards.
CCACTGCTGGTTTTGTGCTCCTCTTTTTTTTCGTAATAAATCAATTTGGGCAGGAGATGATTATTTTACTAGTCTCTAACATTTATTGGGTCCCGTATTAGTCAGGGTTCTCCAGAGAAACAGAATCACTAGGAAATATATATAATGGGAACTGGCTCGTGTGATGATGGAAGGCTTATGATTTGGTGTCTGCAAGCTGGAGCACCAGGGAAGCTGGTAGTGTCATTCAGTCTATGTCCAAAGGCCTGAGAGCCAAGGAAGCCAATGACATAACTTCCAGTGGAGTCCAAAGGCCCAAGAACCAAGAGCTCTGATGTTTGAGGGCAAGAGAAGATGAAATTCCACCTTGAGAGAAGAAATTAGCCCTCCCTCACCTTTTTGATCTCTTGAGACCCCCAATGGATTGGATGGTGCCCACCCACAGCGGTGAGGGTGATCTTTACTCATCCCACCAATTCAAATGCCAATCTCCTCCAGAAACCCTCTCACAGACATACCAGAAGGTCATGTTTCACCAGGTATCTGGACCTCTCATGGTCTAGGCAAGTTAAACCATCTTAGCTCCTCTAGGATTTGTTTTCTATTTCATTGCTTAGGGATCTAATTTTTATTATTTTCTGTGGGTTTACTTTATGCATTAGGCTTCTCTAGAAGGACAGGACTAATAGGATAAATTTATATATGAAAGGGAGTTTATTAAGAAGTATTGACTCAACCTGCACGTTGTGCACATGTACCCTAAAACTTAAAGTATAATAAAAAAATTAAATAAATAAATACATAAAAGAAGTATTGACTCACACGGTCACAAGGTGAAGTCCCACAACAGGCTGTTTGCAAGCTGAAGAGCAAGGAAGCCAGTTTGAGTCCCAAAACCTCAAAAGTAGAGAAGCTGACAGTGCAGCCTCCAGTCTGTGACTGAAGGCTGAAGAGCCCTTGGTGAACCACTGGTATAGGTCCAAGAGTCCAAAAGCTGAAGAACTTGGAGTCTGCTGTTTGAGGGCAGAAATATCCAGCACGGGAGAAAGATGGAGGCCAGAAGACTCAGCAAGTCTGCTCTTTCCATTTCTGTTTTTATGCTGGCAGCTGATTAGATGGTGCCCACCCAGACTGAGGGTGGGTCAGCCTCTCCCAGTCCACTGACTCAAATGTTAATCTCCTTTGGCAACACTCCCAAAGACACACTCAGGAACAATACTTTGTATGCTTCGATCCAATCAAGTTGACACTCAGTATTAACCATCACATTTTGTGTTCCTTTTCTAACCTCTTTTTGTTTGTTTTGTAGTGATAAGATCTTGCTATGTTGCCAGGCTGGCTATCCACAGGCATGATCATAGTGCACTACAGGCTTGAACTCCTGGGCGCAAGTGATTTTCCTGAGCAGCTGGGACTACAGGCATGTGCCACTGCACTCAGCAATCTTTTCTAACTTCTTAATTTTCAATTTTTTTTTTTTCTTCAAGCATATGGATGTAATGGGATATATTTTCCTGCAAGTACTGCTTTTGGCTGTGTCATACATTCTGTAAAGATGGTTCAATGTCACTCTGTTCCAACTACATATAGTTATGATTTTTTTATCACTCAAATTATTTTAAATAGCTTAAAAGTGGATTTAAAAAATTTAAATATATTTTGGAGTTATAGTCCTACCTATGTCTAATGTTACCCCTTTTTTCAGATATCATTGTCATCATATTTAAGACTTCCAAGATTTGAAGTATAGAAGATGATTTTTATAAATGTGCCATGCTCTTTGAGAATATGTATTTTCTAATTTTCTAGTGCAGCTCACTATGTATACACACATATATATGTATCATATTTATGTTGTATATATGATATATATGTGTATCATATATGTACCTACATATATGTAAATATATTCTATAGGTACATGCTCATCTATGTGTGTGTATATGTCTCTAGTAGGTAAAGATTATTATGTTTTTTGTTCAAATTTTCTTTATATTTATTATTTTCTAACCTATCAGTTACTAACAGAAATTCTGAAAGAATTTTAAGAACTGTTTACCATACCCCTATGATTTCATCCCCAACCAATCAACATTTCCCATTTCCTAGTCCCCTGCCTACAAAACTATCCTTGAAAACCCCTAACCTGCGAGCCTTACGGGAAATTGATGTGAGTAAAATCTCCGTCTCCTTCATGGCCTAGCTAACCTAGCCTCAATTAAATTCTTTCTTTATTTTAATACCATGGTCTGTGCAGTGGGCAGGAAGAACCTGTTGGGCAATTACATGGGCACCTAATGTAAAGTTAGTCTCCATGACAACTCATGGTGCAGGCTTGCCTGCTCAGTAAAGGCAATCTTTCCAAGATCCCCACTTTGGGAAGAGGTCTCAGTTCTGTTTCCTTGCCTTTTCTCCAGCTCAAACTTATTTCTCTTCTCCCTTCACAGGGGTTAAAATTTTAAGTACTAGAATAAGGGCTTCTCATGGCATAATCCCTTGATAAGCCACTTCAGCCCAACTCATAAAATTAAGCTTTCTTCTTCATTTGTACTTATTTGGAATCTCCAAAGCTATTTTTTATCAGTTTCTCCAGCATTTTTATGTGTTTTGTGTAGAATTAGAGTTTTGCCTTTGCCAGTGCCACCATTTCATCCAAACTGGAACTCTTCAGCCAATTCTTTAAGAATGATCATTCATTGCTGCCTACTATGCAGGAGAAGATAAATAACAGATGATTGCTGTCCTCACAATCTAGGGGAAGAGAGAGAGATTTGCCCTGAATTGTGTGTCGAGGAGCTTCATGGAAAGGCCTGAGGAGGCACAAAGAAATAAGTCATTAGCTGGACTGTGAGGATTGAAGAAGACTTCCCCAAAGAGAGATTTGAAATGACCTCTACAGGGTGACAAGGAGCCCCAGGGTGGAAAAACCAAGAGGAAGACATTGTCTTAAGAAGACTGAATGTGTAGCCTCAGGATGTCATATCAACACAGAGGTGAGAGTTGAGGCTGTAAGACCAATGAACATGGTCATGCAGAAAGCATGGGGTAGAAGGAGAAAAATTAATGACATGCAACTTAGGAGAAACAAAGTTGAACAGGAACCATCAAAGACCCTCATGTTCTATGGTTGAACAAAAACCTCTGTTGAAAGGAAGCTCCAATTTTGAGGGAAATTACAAGCAAAAGAGAAGGCCTTTGTGGGCCCAAATTAAGAAATGAACTTTCCTATTTGAGCAAAACGTCTTTTAATCTTCTATTCTCAATAAGGTGGTTTTAACCTTCTCATAACATTAATTGCAATGCTTAACTAGAGTTAAGGCTTATAGAAACCTCCTACATAATAAATCATAACTAAAGCTAGCAGAATATCACAGGTTTGGTTACTGCATGACAATTTCTATAATGGGCATTTTATTATTTTATTTTCTACAAGGCTGGAAATGTACTCACCTTTATTTTACCACATACACATCCCATGATCATCCAAAATGTCACTGTGAGCAGTCAGCAAAGAAAGGAAAAAACTAAACACGCATCTACTGAAACAAGAAAATGCCTAAAGGGTCTCTTAAACATCCTAAATCAGCATAATCTTCTCCTTTATCTTCAGAATTCCACAAGCTTCTATTATAACATAGACTCCTCTTGATCCCCTAAAGGTTTACAATCAGTCTAAAGTTTCCTCATTCTAAGCCCCAAAAGGGAATTTTACTTTTTAACTATCTGCACTAGACAAAAAGTTAATTCAAGGAATTGACTTCTGTGGCCTCAAGAATTGAGTAATAAACCCTCTTGTATCCATTAAGATTCTTTGAGAGTGAGAGTTCCCCCAAAGCACCAAAGGGCAATTATTGTAAATCTACCTGGACAGAGCTTTCAGCATAGGTAAAATTTAATTCTCAGCTTACTCAGAGGTGAAAAATGGCCTTACTGAGAAGGATGCCTTTTCTGAGACTCTGCTGGTTCCATATACAGCACCCACATTATACTACACTCCCTCTGACAACTAGCACAATTTGAAAACCACGATTTTCCCTGAACATATGTTATTCATGGTTCTCATGCAGCAGCGTTTACTACACAATAGGTACTAAAAAATGTTTATCCAGGAGAAAGCATGAATAACTGAGTGAAATACAAATCTTTTAGTTGAACAATAATTGAAGATGAAGAAGCAGTTTCAGGGAAGTTGGTGGTGGAACTGAGTCTAGGATGGACGTCTATATCTGACTTACCTTCATCACAGTCTGCTTCAAATGAAGGACAAACTTCAGTAGTGAAGGCGCATTGAATTTAGCATGTTCAGAACTTAGCTCATTCAATCTCAGACTTTAGCAGTTAAGCAAACACCTGAGAAGCTGATTTAAATTAAAATTAACTGATTTCATACCCAGATGTTATGATTCTGTAAATCTTGTATGTACCACAGAAATCTTTTTTTTTTGGAGACAGAGTCTCGCTCTGTCACCCAGGCTGGAGTGCAGTGGTGCGATCTCAGCTCACTGCAAGCTCCCGGGTTCACACCATTCTCCTGCCTCAGCCTCCCAAGTAGCTGGGACTACAGGTGCCCGCCACCAGCCCGCCACCACGCCCGGAAAATGTTTTGTGTTTTTAGTAGAGATGGGGTTTCACTGTGTTAGCCAGTATAGTCTCAATCTCCTGACCTCATGATCCACCTGCCTCGGCCTCCCAAAGTGCTGAGATTGCAGGCGTGAGCCACCATGCCCGGCCTTCTTTTTTTTTTTTTTTTTTTTTTTTTTTAATATGCCTGGTGATTCTGATGAGATACTGTGCCAGAGATATGGTGCTAAGCCAAATAAGCCACTGTCCTTATATCTACCATGAAAAATTTCACCACACACTACTAGAGAAAACTTTGTATAGCTGTCTTCGTTTTAGGAACAGGTATACTTGCTTAACATCAGTTATTGCATATAGAACCTTCTTCCATAGCTAGCTGACTCTAAACAATTTAAGCACTTCATTTGAGAATCAGTAATAGTTTTGTACTAACCAGCGGTACTAAACCATTTTCTGTCGCCCATGTATCTGAGGACATAATACTTTCATATCATTTGCAATGACATTTTCATTCGGTAAACAGCACAGACACTTGAGATGAGTCAGAAGAGGAGTAAGTATCATTTGAAAGGACCTTGCAGTTAATCCTAGTGCCCATTAACATTTAATTTGGGTTTTTTGTTCTGAATGAAGAGCTACCATGTGCTTTTAATATTTACAGTCATTCTCTTATTTTTCAGCTTTTCTGCTCTCTTTTCAATGCCTGGCTTAAATTATGCCTCTTCTCGGAAGTCATTTTATTTATACCTCTAAAATTATTCTATTCATTTATGCTTTTCAGCATTTTGTCCAAAACTCTGCATAATATAGCATATAACATATAACAAGGAATATTGGAACTTTTTGTTTACATGTACACTTCCTCATATGCTACAGCAGAAGCCTGTCTTACTCATCTTTACATTGTCAGCTTTTAGCAATGTAAAGCTAAAATTGTGTAGCCCAGAATATTGTTTCAATAAATATTCATGGAATAAAAAAAACTGGCAGACAGGCACATGCAAATGTTCTGGTGCTGATGTTAGAAACTCTCTGCACATACACAAGGATAGGCCTAGTCATTAGACTATGACAATAGACATAGACAAGGGTAACTGGATGAAAGATTCTTCTGAGTCTAATCGTCAGTAACTTTGTACTCTGCTAAACCTAAATACTTGAATGTCTTTTGGACGGTTTCAGTTTAAACATTATATATTGTAAAATTATGATAGCTTTACAATAATGATGTGTGTGTTGGATAAATTGTGCATTTTTTGATGACCTAAAGCAACTAGCATATAATGTTACTTGGTAAAGAAATGTTCTAGAGATTTACTTTAAAAACTGAAGATCCAATAACTTTTAGAAAATAATATTTCAGAAGAACAAAAGCCTTCTCAAACTCGTACAATCGTTGGCACTTTTCTCACCATGTACAAGGTTTGCAAATTTGTTTTTATTGATTAAAGTCTGCAAAGAAAACACATTTATTTAGATTGATTTGTGAAACTGGCTGCAGTAATGGAATACTGTACTACTTGTTTCAGTACTGGGCCCTGAAAGTCAATTACAGGGCACTGAGGACATTATTTTCCTCTTGTAAACAAAGGTTCTTTAAACTACAGAACATGCCCATTATGTTAGAGAATATGAACAAAAGTATTGCATTTAAAAAGGGTATGCCAACATTTTCCCACTTAGATTAGGTAATTGCCATAAAATTAATATTGGCTGATTCTGAATTTTCCAGTTATGCTCAAATGTATACATTACTAGAATAACAAAACAACAAAAGTCCTATGTTCACAACGACATTAACTTAAATGCCACTCCTAAAAATAAGAAAACTTTAAAGTCATTTCAAAAAATAATCTAAATTCTATGAAACGTCTTAGTCTGTGTAGAGCTAGAAAGGAATCTTCCCTCAGTGTGGGCCACTTGGCTGCAATGAAAGAATGTCATGGTCTTGTGGAATTTCCGGTTCTAGCCACTTAGATTTTGACCAACCCTCAATCATGCAGGTTTCACTAGTATTTACCAGGTTCTTTAAAAACAGATTTGTTCTTTTTCTGGAAAGATCATTTACAATTATATCCAAGGAACAATGCTTAGAGTTTATTTTTAAAAAGAAGAGGAAGTGTAGGTCAAGATTAAAGCATACAACCACGGTGAAGTCTCCACCCAAAGAGGCCCTTTGCATCCAAGTTCTAGGCCTTCTTATTATACTGCCTCATGGGGTGCTTTGGGGTCCTTTGTTTCTTCCTCTACAAAGAATGGAGGAAAATTCGTGGCAAAAGTAGGCTGAAAACCCAAACATGAACTTTTCAAAACCTTTGGGAAAATAGACCATGTAAATAGCTGATTTTCAATTAGGCTTTAAAATTCTCAAAAAGCAATCCCATGTTTGGAAAAAGGGTTGTCAGTAAGGATCAGTGTGTCTGCATATTAAAGTTAATGTCAAAAGGAGTGATAATTGGTAATGAGCATTATAGTTTTAAACAGCACCTGAGCTACATCTTTTTAAGAAGTACTTGCGAGGGCACCGCACGACATCCATACGCACAGGGCCTGCAATTGTACAAAGCAAACTTACCTATGGTGTTTCATTTCATCTTGTCATCAACTGTGTGACATAGGAAGGTAGGATTTATACTCCTTGGAGAAGTCTCTGAATCTGTCTTTCATCATTTGTAAGACTGTGATGATAAATAACAACTGTTCTAATTTTTTGTACTATAGAAAAGAATGAAGTGGTCTACATGACAGATAGCAAAATAAATACAATGGGAAACTAATGTACATTAATGTCCTTAAGATAAGGACAGAATTTGGGTTTGAAGACCATATATATATATATATATATATATATATATATATATATATATATATAAAACATTGAAGAACTGAAATACACCACATTATTAAAATTTATGTTACCTAAATATATATATACACATGTATATATATATATATATACATGTAAGACTATATATGTCATATATACATGTGACATGTATATATGACATATATATAAGACTTACATATATACTTTTATATATACTTATATATGACATATATACATATGACATAAGACTATATATATAGTCTTTATCTATAATCTATATATAGTCTATATATCTAGTCTATATATAGTCTTTATCTATATCTACAGTCTTTATCTATATCTATATAGTCTTTATAGTCTATATATATAGTCTTACATGTATTTATATATACACATGTATCTATATAGTCTTACATGTATGTATATACATATATCTATATAGTCTTACATGTATATATGTATATTATATATAACAAATATACATCTTTTATATGTTACATATATGTTTATATAACAAATATATAAACAAATGTGTATATAAACATATATATAACAAATATATATGTTTTATATATGTAACATATATATATATAACAAATATATATGAGACTATATTTATATGGTCTTTTCCCACTAATGTTTCACAGCCTGTGGAACTATAAAATATTTGTTTTATGCCTATTATTTCATCTTTAATCCCCTGAGAAAGAGTTTAATAAATGAATGGAGAAATGAACATAGCAATCTATCCAGAACAAGGATTAATTAGATATAGAGAAAGACCATATTCTGAGCCATAAAACAAGCCTCAATAAAATCAAAAGGATTGAAATCATGCAAAATATTTTCTTTGATCCCAATATAAGTTGTGTTAGAAATAAAACAAACAAAAATAGCAAAACCAATCAAATATTGGAAATTAACATACTTTTAATTAATCCATGAGTAAAAGGATAATCAATAAAAATTACAAATATTTTGAACTTAATTTTAATGCAAACACAATATATCAAAACTTATGTAATATAGCTAATGGTGTAAATAAAAAAATTTTGTGATCTTAAATGCATATATTTGTAAAGAAGAAGTGTTACAATGAATAATCTGAGACTGCATATTGAGAAACAAGAAAAAAATATCTAAAGCAGCGAGATGTTTGTATCTGGTATATGTCACAACTAAAATCAATTAGAACAAGATGAGCACACCAAAAGAAGAGGAAAAATGAATACCTAGAAACATGTAAAAAAGTGTCAAATTCATTGGTAAATTAAATGAAAATTGAAACCATAATGGGATACTGACATACAAGCTCCAGAATAACTAAAATTAAAATATTGATGATAACAAGTATTGATGAGGGTGTTCAGTAAATGAAATTCTTTTAGGTTTCTGGTAATGAGAAAAAAAATACACACCATCGTGCACACACACACACAAATTTGTTTAGCACAGTAGGGTAAACTGAGGAGGATTTCGTGGCATGAAGTAATCAAATTCACTACCAGGCAACCACCTAGTCACAAAGAGGACTAATGTGTTCAATACCAGGACATTTTATCTAAGCATATCAGTGTGCTAAGTCCACATCTTTTGAAAAGCTCTGTTCTTGGTGACTAAATTGTAATTTGAAGAAAGGGAAAATACATATTATAAAATACATGTTTATATAATATTTATGTAATTATATATTTTATAATTTGTATAATACAATTTATATTTATATATTTATATAATTTATATTTATATAATATATACAATTTATATAAATGTATAGTTTGTGTATAATATAAATATGCATACAAATATATTTATATATGTGTATATATTTCTATAGCATATACATTTTTCATTATTTGTAAAATAACAAATGCTGAATTTCCCAACTACTGTGCTGTATTAGAATAGGGAACAATCCTTAACAATCCCTAGATCTTTTTTTGTCTCATACATTGCCCATTTGAAGTGGAAGAAGCAGGTAACCCAGAAATGCTAACAGGAGCAGACAAAAAAGAAGTCGCAACAAAAGCCTTCTTTTTCTAGCCAAGAACCAGAAAAGAGGCAACTTAGCAAGACAGAAAACTTTTAGAAAATAACTGCTCTCCCTCAACCAAACACCACCGAGAAAGCTGTGGCCATCCCCACCTCATCCAAAACAGCAAAAGCTGAGTGGGGAGCCTCAACTTATCAAAATTAACATGCTATGAAAGATTCAGAATACAAAATATTTATCTTTTTTCAAAATTAACACCTCTCATTCCTTTCATTTGGAATCTTCAATATTATCCAAATATCATCAAGAAGCTAAAAAGGATTGAAAAACTGAAATAAACTAGATTATTAAATTTATATCACCTAAATATTTTAAAAAACATGAAAAAGACATAGCAAACTTCCAGACATATGGGCTAAAGTAGGAACTACCCCTACTACTTGAAACATATTAAAATTCAGAATATATGTAAGAGTTAAATTTTTAATATACTATGAACTCTAAAAAAGAAAGGGAGATCTTTACATGTCAGATAAAAACCAGGGATTTAAAGTCAGTGGTGCACACATAAGCTAAAGTTGAAGAGACGTGGGCAAAGCCAGCTTCTGTACAGATTTTAATAGGTCACGGCTGGATTTCAACCCTCCTGGAGAGAGATGAGGTGGGCCACAGATCTTTGCATAGAGGTTCCCAGATGCCTAGAAGCTATGCAGCTTTATCTTGCAATGCAGTGACAAAACTGTACTCCCAGAAAATGGGAGACAACAAAATAACATATGGTCAGTCTGATTTCATTAAACATGAGTCTTTCTACTCCTATTGTACACTGAGCAGGGGAAGGGACAGGTCCATTCACCTCTGTCCTTGGGCAGGGAGCTCTTTAGGATTTTCTCTTTTGGTAAGTGAGTGCTTGCGTGAGAAGAACACAGGTTTTTGGGTTGCCAGAGGCATATGTTATGGCAGGGGCTATTACTATCCCCAGAATATATTATCTCCTCTACATTTTTTTGTTGTTGTTAATAAATATCTTTCTTATCTCTCCTAGTTTTAGTTAAAGACACGATTTTGAGCTGAAGACCCATATTGAAGCTGCCTCCGTAGCTAACTGTGGTCATGGGACTCAGTGACTAGGAAGTTGCATGCGCTCCATGCTATCTTACTCTCTTCATTGGGGCTGAAAGGCAGCGGTGGTGCTGAGATCAACCTTAACTCATAGAGGTCAACTGAAATAATTGTTCTATCTTACTACAATTGCATATTTTGAGGGGATGTCTTCACTACAGCAACTTAGCCTAACATGCACTAATACAGAAAGAAGTAGGTATGAGAGTGGTAATAAATTTAATAATAATAATAATAAAATATAGAATAATGATAAAAATGAGCCATGAACTGACTCTTTGATATCAAGGTATTGAAAAAATAGTGAATGATTATTACACAATTTTATGTGATTTGTATACAAAAGAAAATTTCAGGCCAATCTCTTGAATATATGTACTAAAATCATATATAGCTATCTATATCCATGGAAATCTAGATGACAGGTGGAGAGAAAGACAACAGAGACTGTAGGGAGACAAGGCAGTGCTTGCCTCTATAAAGGGAATAAAAGGAATGCACTCAAGAGGTAGATAAAGTGCTAGGTGTGGTGGCTCATGCCTGTAATCCCAGCACTTTGGGAGGCCCAGGCGGGCAGATTGCTTGAGATCAGGAGTTCAGGACCAGCATGGACAACATGGGGAAACCCTATCTCTAGTAAAAATATAAACATTAGCTGGGCATGATGGCATATCCCTGTAATCCCAACTACTCAGGAGGCTGAGGCAGGAGAATTGCTTTAACCCAGGAGGCAGAGGTTGCGGTGAGCTAAGATCACGCCACTGTACTCCAGCCTGGTGACAGAGCAAGACTGTCTAAAAAAAAAAAAAAAAAAAAAAGCAGATAAGGAACACCTCCAGTTCTGTCTATAATGCTCCATACTTCTTGTTTGTAGTAACATTATAGAGAAATATTTTAACATTTGTTAATTTCTTGAAGAGTAGCTGCTGCACAGGTAATGATTACATTGTTGTCTTTTCTATACATCTTAAATTTAAATTTTTCAAAATTCAAAACAATTGGTAAAGGAAATAAAAACTGTAACTATAATAACAAACTTCTATATTTAGATGAAGGACACATGAGTTATCTCACTTGCATAAATTATATGTGCACTGTAAAATATAAGGATACTGATAATCTAAAATACAGCAGGAGTGACTTACAATTTCCATTTCCAATTCTTTAATGAATTATCTGCCTCATTTACTTAATATAAATGTAATTTTCAATTTGTGGAATTGAGAACGTCTTGTTAAACGGAATTTCTCTTGAGAAAACTTTTTTCCATCTCCCTTAATTGGATCTTAGTAATATTTTTAAATTTATTTTGAAGGTGTATAGTTTTCATTTTATCAAAAGCATACGGAAGAAAACCATGTAGGTAGCAAGGTATACATTCACTAGTTTCTCTATTTCTCCTCCATCCTTTCCAAGTCCCAGCTGCAATGGTCTGGCATAAGGTAAGAGGACCAATTACTTGCTATCATTACTTGTGTGGGTTGGGGAGCAAGAATAAAATTAAGGGTCACTTGGGTGTATGCTGTTGGTAAATTCCATGTCCTAATAAGAGACTGTGTGGTCCTAGGTGGCTGCTAATTCTGTCTGATATTCAAATTTCACTTGGCCCTGTCTACACACTTGAGGATAGCATTGTGTCTTTTGTTGGCCCTCAATAGATTAATGGGTTTTTGTTTGATTATTCTTCAAAGATAGTAACAGAAGCTATTCTGCACGAATCTAAAGTTCTAGCATTCACCAGAATGACTTAAGAACTAGTAAAATGCAGATTCCTTGTTTCTAACCAGAGATATTCCAACCAACACGTTGGGTCTGGGCAGAGATCTGCCGTTTGCATATCCCAAGGGATCCTCATATTGATAGCTCATGATATAGGAGACTGTGAAGAAGCCATGAATATGCAGGTAAAAGTGAGGTGTTGTTGCCTTTTTTTGGTTCTAAAGTTTTCTCAATTCCTCCTAGACCACCAGTCTATAGAATGGTCAGCTCTTAATGCTCACGTTGCCAAAAATCCAGAGGTGGGCTGAATTTTGCTATAGCTTTCATAGCAAAGTGTCAGAAACTGGTGGCTTAAAAAAGCAGAAATGTCCTCTCTTACTGTTCTGGAAGTTAGAAGTCCAAAATCAAGGCATGGGCAGGGCCATGCCACCTCCTGAGCCTTTGAGGGAAGATCCACTTTTGCTTCTTTCAGCTTCTAGAAGCCCTAAGTGTTCCTTGGCTTGTGGATGCATCACACTAATCTCAGCCCCAGTGTTCACGTGTCTGTCTTTTCTCTGTGTCAGTGTCTCTATGCCCTTGTATCTCTTCTTATAAGAACACCAGTCATATTGGATTAAAGGCCCACCCTATTCCAATGTGACTGCATCTTATCATTATATCTGCAACGACGCTATTTCCAAATAAGGTCATATTCTGAGATTTTAAGAAAGACATGAATTTCGGGGTGACACTATTCAACCCAGTCTACAAGCCTTAAACTATTTAATTACATATTATCTTAAAATAATGTTAAGTTCTTCACAAGAAAATGAGAACATACCCTTAATTTCCCAATTCCATTTCTTTTAGTTTTTTGTTTTATTTTTTAATTTCCAACTTTTTATTTTAGGTTCAGGGGGGTACACAAGCAGGTTTGTTACATGGGTAAATTGCATGTCATGGGGGTTTGGTGTACAGATTACTTCATCACACAGGTAATAAGCATAGTACCCTACAGGTATAGTTTTTTTATCCTCACCCTCTTCCCATCCTCCACCCTCAGAGTAGGCCTCACTGTCTATCATTCCCTTCTTTGTGTTTGTGTGTACCCAGTGTTTAGCTCCCACTTATAAATGAAAACGTGATATTTGATTTTCTGTTCCTTTATTAATTCACTTAGAATAATAGCCTCCTGCTCCATTCATGTTATTGCAAAGGACATGATTTTATTCTTTTTTATGGATGCATAGAATTCCATGGTGTATATGTACCATATTTTTTAAATCCAGTTTATCATTGATAGGCATTTAGGTTGATTCCATGTCTTTTCTATGGTGAATCATGCTGTCATGAACATATGCATGCATGTGTCTTTATGGTAGAACGATTTATATTCCTTTGGGTATACATCCAGTAACAGGATTGCTAGGTTGAATGACAGTTCTGTTTTAAGTTCTTTGAGAATCTCCAAACTGCTTTCCACAATGGCTGAACTAATTTACACTCCTACCAGCAGTGTATAAGCGTTCCTTTTTCTATGTAACCTCGCCAGCATCTATTATTTCTTGACCTTTTAATGATAGCCATTCTGACTAGTGTGAGATGGTATCTCATTGTGGTTTTGATTTGCATTTCTCTAATTATTAGTGGTGTTGAGAATTTTTCATATGCTTTTTGGCCACATGTATGTCTTCTTTTGAGAAATCATTTTATTAAGGTTATCTTTTATTCCTGTGTTAATTCTTTTTTAAGTTGTTTCCATTTGTCTGTTTTTCAGATGACAAAGCTATCATTCACTTTAGAATTACCTCATTGCTGTCTCTGCTAGATTTGGTACATCCTTAGAAACTAGGGATTGCTTCAGTAATACGTCTGTGTGTGCATACATGTTGGGGGAACAGACTAAAAATCCCCAGGGAAATCAACGCTCCATTATCCTTTGGTTGCCAAAAGAAAGAACTTTTGCAATGTGATGAATGGAGTGACCTTCAGAAGAGTGAGAAATAAATCTCCCTAACCTTGTTGAACAATGCAAGTTTGATAAGCATTGCCCATTAACTTTCTAAGAGAAAAAGCAAAGCCAAGTCATAACAATTCTGAAAAAGAATGATTTTTTTTTTTTCTAGGGCACACAAGGGAAACTCTTGAAATTCCAGGGAACTTTATTTACTGAAGCCAAAAGACTCCAATAGTCATGAATAGTGTCATCTCCAGAAAGGTCAGTTCTCAATGGAAGCATTTTCAGGGTGGAGAGAGGTGGTAACATGGAACAGCAATGAAAGTTACTCACAATTTAAATTGTTCTTGATTTTGTCTCAGCATCACATAACCTTATGCACTTTATTCTTTTCAAAGAATGGTGTTGAAGCTTCATTTAACTCAGAGAAACACCCTTCTTTTAAAATTTTTGTATTTTTTAAATTTTATTTTATTATTATTATACTTTAAGTTTTAGGGTACATGTGCACAATGTGCAGGTTAGTTACATATGTATACATGTGCCATGCTGGTGTGCTGCACCCACTAACTCGTCATCTAGCATTAGGTATATCTCCTAATGCTATCCCTCCCCGCTCCCCCGACCCCACAACAGTCCCCAGAGTGTGATGTTCCCCTTCCTGTGTCCATGTGGTTCTCATTGTTCAATTCCCACCTATGAGTGAGAACATGCGGTGTTTGGTTTTTTGTCCTTGTGATAGTTTACTGAGAATGATGATTTCCAATTTCATCCATGTCCCTACAAAGGACATGAACTCATCATTTTTTATGGCTGCATAGTATTCCATGGTGTATATGTGCCACATTTTCTTAATCCAGTCTATCATTGTTGGACATTTGGGTTGGTTCCAAGTCTTTGCTATTGTGAATAGTGCCGCGATAAACATACGTATGCATGTGTCTTTATAGCAGCATGATTTATAGTCCTTTGGGTATATACCCAGTAATGGGATGGCTGGGTCAAATGGTATTTCTAGTTCTAGATCCCTGAGGAATCGCCACACTGACTTCCACAAGGGTTGAACTAGTTTACAGTCCCACCAACAGTGTAAAAGTGTTCCTATTTCTCCACATCCTCTCCAGCACCTGTTGTTTCCTGACTTTTTAATGATTGCCATTCTAACTGGTGTGAGATGGTATCTCATTGTGGTTTTGATTTGCATTAGAGAAACACCCTTAATATGTGTTTTAATTTCTATAAGCCTTTGTTCTCAAGCCGCATGTCTCTTGTGTAAGCCTCCGTAGAGTCTTCAGGGTCTGCAGCCATCTCCTTGTGACTCACGGTTGCTCTATGTATCCAACATCACTATAATCTATTACATCACAGAAATTCACAAACTGTCCCAGAAACTCACATTTAACCAAGAAGCACTGTCACCCATAGTCGTCACTCAGTATCCAGGAACCATTGGTTCAAGGACCACCCTCATGTATATCTTCCTGTATATCTTAAATCATCCCTAGATAACTTATAATACTGAGTATAATGTAAATGCTATGTAGATAGTTGTATCTTTTTTTTAGTTTGTAGTATTTATTTTTCTGAATATTTTCAGTGTAAGATTTATTGAATTTTTGGATGTGAAATTCATAGATATGGAGAGACAATTGTATGCATGTTCACTGTTATATTGAAGTTTCCAGGATATTTCTGATGCTATTACTTCTGCGTTTTTCCTTTAAAGGATGGCTAAGGCACAGATACATCCTTACACCAAGCTTTCATGAAGGAAGTGGCTGTGCCCTTATACATTGTTCTTAACCATAATTTATAAACTTGGATTCTGAAGTATCTTCATAATGCTATCCAATGCTTTTGGTCAGAAGTATGTATATGTTAGATAGTTTAATAATTGTGGGCCGGGTGCAGTGGCTCCCACACCTGTAATCCCAGCACTTTGGGAGGCTGAAGCGGGCAGATCACAAGGTCAGGAGTTCGAGACCAGCTTGACCAACATGGTGAAACCCTGTATCTACTAAAAATATAAAAATTAGCCAGGCTTGGTGGCATGTGCCTGTAATCCCAGCTACTCAGGAGGCTAACGCAGGAGAATTGCTTGAACCTAGGAGGCGGAAGTTGCAGTGAGCCGAGATCACGCCACTGCACTCTAGCCTGGGCTACAGAGCAAGGCTTCCATCTCAAAAATAATAATAATAATAATTTTGGGTCTTGACACTAGTCTTGTATAGGCAAGAATTTTCCATTTATGGGTAGGAGAAGATGATCGGGAATATGTTTTTTTTTTTTTAAATAAATCTTCCACCAGCATTTTCAGGCCCCACTGATCATAAGAGATAGTTGGATATGTGTGGTATGAATTCACTCTGCCATGGAAAATGTTTTAGGCAATGTCAAATAAAAATAATTGTTAAAGAGATATGATCAAAGTTATTATGTGTTCTAGATAGCATGGTCTATAAACTAGTGTGTGATAATTCTAACTTCTTCCACATAGACCATTAAATGAATCAGTGCAAGTACAACGACTGAGTCCTCTATAGGTATTTGATAAAATATAAAGTAATATTCATTTGTAAGTTCCTTTACAGTAGTGGTTCTCAACCCTTGCTATGCTATCAGAAGTTTTTAAAGAGTTCAGAGGGTTGCACCAACCTGTGGTATGATCACACTATACAATACTGCTCAATATTCTCAATACAGTTTAAAGGAATGGTCTTCTGACACCCGCAATATGATGAATCTCAAAAGAAATATGCTAAGTGGAAACCAGGCAAAAAAGACTAATGGTCTCTGATTCCATTTACATGATATTCTGGAAAAGGCACAACTATAGGGATAGAAATCACTTTCAAATGAGATTTTACTGTAGTTAAAATATGTATAAGTCAACAAAGCTTGTGGAAAATTCAGATACTCAAGTCCTACCCATACAGATTCTATCTCAGTTGTGGAGGAACTCAGGCAAGGGTAAAATGTAAACACTCCCCAGGTGAATCTAATGCTGGGACTGAAAACTATCACTTCATTATGTTAATTTTAGACGCCCCAATCCATCGTGACTGTGGTATCACAAATCTTATTCAAAAAAGACAGCTACCTGAAGTATTCAAAATATAAACATTACCTCTTCTCTACAAATAGAATCATAAAACTTCCCTTATCAATGAACATACATTGATTGATTTATAATGCACTTATGACTAAATACAGTGGTTTTAAAAATATCGTTCCTTTGTGAGGATCACATTCAGGTATAATAATTAACTTCATTCAAGAATATTGGTGAACACTGGTAGTCCCTATGTAATACACAACACCACCAGACTAAATCCATTTACCTTATGATAACACATAATTTTGGTTTAATTCATACAAATGTGTCCGGAATTGGTGGGTTCTTGGTCTCACTGACTTCAAGAATGAAGCCGTGGACCCTCGCAGTGAGTGATACGGTTCTTAAAGGCGGCGTGTCCGGAGTTTGTTCCTTCTGATGTTTGGATGTGTTTAGAGTTTCTTCCTTCTGGTGGGGTTCATGGTCTCCCCGGCTCAGGAGTGAAGCTGCGGACCTTCGCGGTGAGTGTTACAGCTCTTAAGGCGGCACGTCTGGAGTTGTTCGTTCCCCCCCGGGGTCGTGGTCTCGCTGGCTTTAGCAGTGAAGCTGCAGACCTTTGTGGTGAGTGTTACAGCTCATAAAAGCAGGTGTGGACCCAAAGAGGGAGCAGCAGCAAGATTTATTGCAAAGAGCGAAAGAACAAAGCTTCCACAGTGGGGAAGGGGACCCGAGCAGATTGCCACTGCAGGCTCGGGCAGCCTGCTTTTATTCTCTTATCTGGCCCCACCCACATCCTGCTGATTGGTAGAGCCCAGTGGTCTGTTTTGACAGGGCGCTGATTGGTGCGTTTACAATCCCTGAGCTAGACACAAAGGTTCTCCAAGTCCCCACCAGATTAGCTAGACAGAGTGTCCACACAAAGGTTCTCCCAGTCCCCACCAGAGTAGCTGGATACAGAGTGTCCATTGGTGCATTCAGAAACCCTGAGCTAGACATAGGGTGCTGATTGGTGTGTTTACAAACCTTGAGCTAGATACAGAGTGCCGATTGGTGTATTTACAATCCCCGAACTAGACATAAAGGTTCTCCACGTCTCCACCAGACTCAGGAGCCCAGCTGGCTTCACCCAGTGGATCCCGCACCAGGGCTGCAGGTGGAGCTGCCTGCCAGTCCCCTGCAGTGCACCCGCACTTCTCAGCCCTTGGGTGGTCGATGGGACTGGGCGCCGTGGAGCAGGGGGCGGCGCTCATCGGGGAGGCTGGGGCCGCACAGGAGCCCATGGAGGGGGTAGGAGGCTCAGGCATGGCGGGCTGCAGGTCCCGAGCCATGCCCCGCGGGAAGGCAGCTAAGGCCCTGCGAGAAATCGAGCGAAGCGCCGGTGGGCCGGCACTGCTGGGGGACCCAGTACCCCATCCGCAGCCGCTGGCCCGGGTGCTAAGCCCCTCATAGCCCGCAGCCGGCAGGGCCGGCCCGCCGGCTGCTCCGAGTGCGGGGCCCGCCGAGACCACGCCCACCCGGAACTCCAGCTAGCCAGCAAGCGCCGCGCGCAGCCCTGGTTCCCGCTCGCGCCTCTCCCTCCACACCTCGCTGCAAGCTGAGGGAGCCGACTCCGGCCTTGGCCAGCCCACAAAGGGGCTCCCACAGTGCAGTGGTGGGCTGAAGGGCTCCTCAAGTGCCGCCAAAGTGGGAGCCCAGGCAGAGGAGGCGCCGAGAGTGAGCGAGGGCTGTGAGGACTGCCAGCACCCTGTCACCTCTCACTAAGACCCTTACGTGAGTCAAGATTTTGATGTAATCACTCAAATAGCCAAGGCAACCTTGATTTAACAGGAAATATCATACAAATCATCTTGTATTTAAAAGGCACCATCACCACCAGGACTACCACCCCCAGAACTTTAACTCTTGTGTGAGAAATAGGTTATGTCCATTCAAAACTAGAACAGATGGCAGGTACCAACTGGTAGCAATCATCTCTACAGCCACAGGGGGAGATAAAAGATTCCTCCACCTGTAGTGCTCAAACCTGGCTTACCCTCTCCTATTTTTCAGACAACAAATCCATCTACCACATGAACACAGGATTCGATTTCCTAATCTACAAATTTCATCTGTGACATCCCTGCCTCAAATCATTCCATGATGCCTCTTGACCTATAGGGTAAACACCAAATTCAACATGCGGTATAAAACTTGGCTTGATCTGGGCTCTGTCTCTTATACCAGCTTCATCCCACTGCTGTCCACTTTCCCCTCCCCAACATCCAAATGTGTTTCCACATCCCAAGCTTATTTAACACTACATTTAGGGGCGGTAGAGGGGAAAACTGAGAGTTTGTTGATCATGTATTAATTGACATTGAGCTAAGTGCAGGGCTGATTTTATAGGCTTGAACCTGTGCAGTAGCCCTGCTCTGAGAAAAACCCTACACTTGGTTTAATATTTTACTCTCACCATTTTGGAATTCTTAAAAGTTTTATATTTGACTCTGTGTTTTGGAAGTAAAATCCAACAGGACAATGGAGCATATGTGTAAATAGAGGAGATAACCCAGGTGGCGCCATGTGCTCGTGTAGTTGGGTCCAGCAACTGCAGATACAGGTATCAACACACATAGCAGTTGGCCCTGCGTGCAAGCTCAGACTCCAGGGAAATACTGGGAACCCCTCTTTGTTTTTGCAATGATGTTTTCTATGCCTGAAATGTGAATTTGCAACCCCTTTCATATTTGCCAGCTTATCATTCCTCTGCTAAATATTGGAGAAACTCCTAGGCATTCTCCAAGACTCAAATGGGCCCTTATTTCTTCTAAGAAGTCTTTTCCAAGCCTGCAAGAGTCCATTATTTCCTACTTTAAGCCACTGCTAGTCCTAGCACTAACCGCTATTCCAGCATGTATTATGAATATTATACAATCCTTCACAGGTATTTCAGCCCTCACTAAATTGTAGATCCCTGTAGGAAGTAACTCCTTTTACTAATCTCTGTATTCCTGATACTTAGCACAGCGCTCACTGCTCTCTCAGTAAGTGTTTATCTGAATTAAGCTGCTGGCTTTACTTAGTAAGTGGGCTTCCTGCTAATGGAAAGTGAATGTGTGGTCAAATGGTCCTCTTTATAAGCTGGGAAGGGTGTAGTCAGAGGAGAAGCTCTGTGTATTTGGAGAGTTCCAACCTTTCCAACAATCCACCAACACCCACTCTGATGAAAGAAGATGGCTATTTCCACAACAGGGAGCCTACCCTTTCCATGTACTCTGTTCCCTTTGCCTACCACTTATTCAGAGACCCTTTTATGTGAAATTAAACAATTTCTCAGATCCACTGGGGAGTAGGTTCCTCCCAGCTGATTGTATTTAATATTGCAGTGTTTACTTTCTGGCTTTTTGTTGAGTGTTTAAATCCAGGTGTTAACAATATGGATTTCTTCTGTAATTTCTGTTTATTTCAAGTGCAGATTTTCTTAAGCAGCTGGTGGCACATACGTAAACAAAATCAAAATATTTGTTTAAACTTTTCTAGGGTTTTGCATCTACTGGACCTAGTGATAGAAGGTATTTATTTTACAGATGACTGTGAATGAGGTAATAGAGATTGCATTGCCTGGGAAATATAAAACAATTGAAGCAGGATTTTTTAAAGAACATTAATGATTAGGGTATATTGGTATAATTATTGCAATAGTTATTGGCATACTGGCTGAATGAAGCTGAAAAAGGCATATATTGATATTGATATAGGTAACACATTTTATTCAGCACCCATTATGCAGGAATAGTAAGTTCAAATCAAGAAAATATGCCATGTGCTTTGGTAGCAGAAGAAACTAGGCACTCATTTTTGGGCCAGGTTGTAAATTTGTACATTATTTAGGCATAGCATATTCTTTAACTGATCTTAAATAATAACTGATCATCATGACTGATTTTCTTAAAATACAATAATCAAATTTTCTTCCAAGAAAGACTATTTGGGCCAGACACGGTGGCTGACACCTGTAGTCCCAGCACTTTGGGAGGCCAAAGTGGGCAGATCGCTTGAGCCCAGGAGTTCAAGACCAGCCTGGGCAACACGGCAAAACCTCGTCTGTACAAAAAAAAACACAAAAATTAGCTGGGCATGATGGTGCATGCCTGTTATGTTAGCTATTTGGGAGGCTGAGATGGGAGAATTGCTTGAGCCCGGGAGGCAGAGGTTGTAGTGAGTTGAGATCACACTGCAGCCCTCCAGTGTGGGCGACAGAGCAAGACTCTGTCTCAAAATCTATTTGGCTTAGTAGAAACGATGGGTAGCAGTTAAAGGCACAGCCAAAGCACATATGTAGACACAGGGTGGGCATGAGGGAGCTTTTCTTGGCCATTTTCTGAGCTCAGCACACCCATTACTGATGTGTCAGGCACAGGACTGGACACTGGAGTGCAGTGCAGAATGAACCGGGCATGGGTCTTGCCTGTGGCAGTGTCTTGATATGTATTAAACAATCAGAATTCTAATAAAAATTACACCTGGGTAAAATGCTCTAAAGGAGAATTATATGATGAGATTAAAGCCCGTGCTAGGAGGAGATGATGTCATCTGGAAATCTGGACGAGGGAAGCCGATAAAGGGAAGAGCATGTAAAAAGAATAGCAGGTTTGAGGGCTAGGGCTAGACTCAGTGGGGCTGACGTGAGGTGGGGCCATGGAGGGAGGCTGGGGCCTGTGGAAGACGTCAGGAATTTCAATTTTCATGTGAAAAGTCATGGGAAGCCCTTGCCCTTTTAGCAGCAGAGTAAACTGATCAGCTGAGCAGACCTTAGAAAGTCTGTCTGGCTGCGGAGGGGGGAAATATTGAAGATAAAAGGACAAGAGAAGCCTCTCCACCACCACATTGTTCTCAGAGGCTCTTATCTTAACTCAGCATCCAAATGCAATGGGCAACGTGGGGTCAATTGTGGATACTATTTTCTATTTATATATATATGCATCTATCTATCTATCTTCTATCTATATCTTTCCCTTCTGAAGACCTAGAATTGATCCATAAACATTAGTTAGTGGTGGAAAATATTCCCACCTACAATCTAAAAGCAACTCCAGGGACAGCAAGGCCGAGGCTTAGTGAGGTCACATAGCTGTTCAGCAGAATGTCTCTATCTTATAGGCCATGACCCCAGTATAAAAATGAAAACAACCTTGGGCGTTCCTTAGTTAACCTTGTGGAGCCTGGCAGCCATGCACAAGGATAGGCCAGCCAGGTTCAAGAAGCATCTGTGAGTGTCAAGGAATGTATAGAAATGTAAGCCAGATAAGCACTTGATTCGCTTTTGTAGGTTCTGACTGTGGGAGCACATATCTGTATGACTGCGTATTTGTGCTTCTTGCTAATCAAAAGCACCTGAATGGGGGAAACACAGAAGTCATTTCCTAATTGAGAACAGTTTGGGAATCTAAATACTGGCATTGATCCATCCCACCCTTCCTAATGAACTGCGTGGAGCTTTCCCAGCATATGGAAGAAGGAGTGGAGCTGCAATAACCTTCTGCTGAGCTAAACACCAAACATTGTGCCAGGCAGGAAGGATACAACTCATTCCTCACCCTGGATTGCAGGGATGTGAAGTCTTTCTGTAATGAATTACTACAAATGTTGATAACTTAAAAATAAGCAATTTTACTCCAGTATGATTACGTTTTGAGACATTTTAGTTCAACATCTATAAAATAATTGCCAAATTTATCTGTTGAGTTCCTTCCTTCAGCCTATATTTCTTGTACAACACATCAAAAGCCACGATCTAGACCAGGTTCTGGAGACACAAAGACAAATGACACACAGATCTTGCCCTAAGGAGCTTCTACACTAATGGTAGAGACAGACTGGTAAACAAGTAGGAAAGTTGATAGAAGACTGTGGTTGGTGTTACATGAGGCACAAGGTGGTAGGGGTGAGGGGAACTGTACACTTTATCTGAACCTCGTGGGTTTCCCTTGTCTTCTGTTCTCATCATCTATTTGTCTTATTGCAGGTAGCTACCCTTGCATTTCATCAGGGCTCTGCTTGCAAGAATCGCAAGGCAGATCAAGCCTAGCGGCCTAAGGTAAGAAGACTATTCCCCACCAATCTTCTAGGAAAGCCAAAGATAGGAGTCCAGTTATTCTCTAACCCTTCTCATTCTCTATCCTCCAACCCCAAGGATGACTTGCATTATTAGAAAGGGAAGTGAAATCATGTCAACAGAAAGTAAATTTAAAGCATATTTTTCACATTTCATGGGCTGCAAATCTCTGTCTTCCCAATCAATAAAGAAGACTCAATCCCTACCTTCTATTTTAATTGCTTATATAGTTGTATACCTATATTGTGTGTGTTTTAATTTATCACTGTTTACACAGAGCAAAGCAAATGAAATGATAGCTTCATAATTATAACATTATTATATTAATAATCATCTAAACGTTATTGCAAATGAATACCTTCTTAAAACAGTCAAGAAAATGTGGCAAAGTTCCTTCTAATTATTGCTTGGGGATAAAATATGAATAATGTGAATATCCTTGATGTAGAAGAATCAACAATGATCTATATATACACACGTATGTGATATATATTTTCTATATTAATTACTGCCTTAAATCTCTTGGCCTCTGATTTTTATGTGACCACTCCACCTCCCTTAAAATAAATCCACACATATGTATCATTCCTTCAGTTATCCTCTTCACTCCTATGTCTTGAAAACTGAGTGATGCAGGAGTAAATTATATTATTGCACAGTTTTGTGCTGATACATCAGATTTTTCTGTCTCATCTGGATCCTCAACACCATTTGTCAGTCTTTTATCTTATTCCAGTGATTAGCCCCCTTGATTCCATTAAACTTTGACTATGCTCCTCAAAAACCCTACACCAAATGCTCTTCTCTAACTCTAAGCCAATATACTCACCTAAATAAATCAATAGAGCATATCAGGTAGAAACTACCCTGTCTTATAATACTGCTCTCTCTGAACCAGTCTTCTCCTTCTCGATTCTCTGTTTTCATAAGCATATATCTTTCCTCTTTTTGCATCTTAAAGGTTAGTGATCTACAGAATTGTGTTCTGTCTTCCTTCTCAGTTGTCACTGGGTGGCTTTTCCCAGGAAAAGATAGATGTCACTGGACCAGAGCTTTGTTAGGGTGTTATCTGGGATTCAACACCCGTGGACAGGCAGGGAGCAGGAGTGGCCAGAGGGACCTTTCAGAGCTTCCCTAGGTTGGAGAGGGAAGAGCAGGCTTTTCTGTGTTCCTGTCAATCAATCACCAGATGCCTAGTTTGCTAGGAAGCAAGTTTGACCTTGGGAGAGGTGAGTCTCTCCAGTGGGAGAAATCTCTAGAAAGGGCTACATTAGAGGGCGGCAGCAACGCTCTCAGGAGTTGAATAGGAGTCTTTCATTCCTGAAGAGGGATCTGGACAGTGGGTCACATCATTGTGTCCACCACAGATTGCTGTCCTGGACACACACACAGACACACAAACGCACACGCGCGCACACACACACACACACGTGCTCACCATCACACACACCAAGACCTTGCGACTTTAGGTCTTGTCTGTATCTCAAATCTGACCTACTCTACCATGCTAGTATCCTCTTGGGCACTGAAGATGAAAGATTCAAGGTTTAGGAGGTGGTTTTCCTGCTCCCTTCCTCTTGGAGAAGGGTCATCCATGAGAATGAATCCTATGTTCAGGGAGACAACTTCCAGTGCAATCCTCTCTTTTCCTCAGCTAATTCAAGTGGTGCTTCTGATGCTTGGGACTGCAAGAAATCTTGACTAATACAGAAAATAACCACAGGCTGAGCTGAGCCAGATCCTGGTGGGTCATGATGCCCTTCAGGCTAGGCAGCACCTGCCCTGGAATCTGCCTTGTTTTGTGCAATGTATGGCTAACTTGTGCCAGTATGATTAATTCCCACCACATTTTCTCTACAGCCATACTTTCTTCCTCTTCTTTAATTTTATTTTAATACGTTGGGTTTAAATAGGGAAGCATTTGCATTTCTCATGCATTGACAGGATGATTCATTTCCCAGAAATGTTTATACCTCTTTTATCAGAAAGAAAAGACAAAGAAAGCTTTGGAATTAGTTTCCCTCACTTCCTTCCCCACTCCCAAGATTTAATTGCTCAGAAACACTCTTAAAAAACTATCTTTCAGCATATATAGCATATATATAGTTAGAGGGGAGGTTGGAGTAGCACATCTGACTTATCTTTTATAAGGTAAGAATTTAAAGGAATGTTGCTACAGAGGAGTGTGTGTGTGTGTGTGTGTGTGTACCTGTGTGTGTGAGTGAACATGCATGCATTGTAATAGGGGCTTTTTGGGATAGGGAGGCTCAGAAGTGGTCTGACTGTCTTAACAAGCCTTTTCCATCCAACAAACCGTCCATTCTCTTGTTAGAGGTTAACTGACCTCAGTAGAGCCTGCACAACCTCTATCTTTAGAGTTGAGCTAACATGAAAGTAACCAATGCCTCAGTAATGCTGATTCTTGAAACAACAAAGCAAAATGAGGTGGGAAAGGAACAACTTCAACTCATTGACTGACATTTAACTTGCATTCACTTTGAACCCAGCTGTCTCCCAGTCATTAAGGAAAACATTTTCCTAGAGTAAAGGATTAGAAGGACTTCATCCCCACTGCTATTATTATTTAATTCTGAGTTCCAGTTTACAATTTATTTCTAAAAAACACAAAACAAATAACATTGGTATAGAACTTCATACTGCATTTTTTCATGTACTTTTTTTTCTTTTCAGTGCTATATGATATTTTGAAAAGTAATTATTAACCTTCCCAGATTAGAAATTTTAAAACTTTAAAGGTCAAAGGAGGTTAAAATTTTAAAGGCCAAAGGAGATCAAAAGAAGTGCCCCAGATCACCAAATTACTAGAAAGGGGAGAGTTAATGTAACTTGAGTTTTCTGCCAGCAGCAACTAAAATTCATATAACACAAGCAGACAATAAATAAATGGGGAAAATTTGAGTTTCTCTGAAACAATATAAACCCAAATAAGCCTGTTGGCAATCTGCTCACATGAAAGAAAAATAAAAATAATATGTTTCTAAGACCTAGAGAGAATTCATTCAACAAATATTTATTGAGCCTTTATCATATGCCCACTTATTTTCCCAATGCCCAACAGCCTTGGCCTACTTGACAGCCTTTTTATAAAGTGGAATCCACATACCATTAACCCCTTTAGAGCCTGTGAAAAATGCCTGTTGTATCAGAATCCATAGGAGGAATATGCACCTTTAATATGTGGTCTAGGTGGTTTTTATGGATGATAAAGCTTAAAAATCCTGATTTAAGAATCTCGACTCAGATTCCCAAGTAGATTCAATGCCTCCTTTTCTTATTTCCAGTACACAAGGTAAAAACTTTCAGAGAAATGAGTGCCACTTTCTTTATCCTTCTATTATTTGCATTGAAATAATATTTTCACTCAAATAGTTCTCCTCTGAAACAATGAAATGATAGGTGCTATAATTCAGAGCCATAGAATCTAGTCACTAAACACAGCACTATCTGTCTGAGTTTGTTGGAGAAATCTACGAGGGTGGCCCAACTGCAAGATTTTTTTCTTTGGCAGCAATCCCATCAGTTTGTCTGACTAAAGTTTATGCCTATATTTTAATGACTCATATTCTCCTTCTGCTCTGTCCCATGAATTACTTGGCAGAATTTCTGCTGATTTGGAACATCACTTGTCAAGGAGAAGGTATCAGATTGTGTGTGTGTATATTTCAAAATGAGCAGATGCAAACGTCTGAACGATTTGCTCTTTTGCAGACCTCTCAGGATGACCTAATTTTCCTAAAGTCTTAAATTTAAAATCATAACATGCACTTCATGTTCTTTAACATAAGCTTTAACCTTTAAAATTTTCAAAGAATAAAATGACAAAATAACAAAATTGACAGGGAACTAGGGTGACAAAAATGCTGTGTACATCAAAGGAGGAAAGACGAAGGGAACTTTTACTGTTTAGCTCATGACGATCACTACTCCCTGACCTGTGAATTCTGCCCTCCAGAGATCTACTTCCCCTGGGAATGAATCCTGCATAAAGACCCATGTATGGAAAGCAAGGTGAGAACTTGGATCAAGAACTCATGAAGTATATAAAAAGATCAAAGCCACACAATATGTCTCTGACAAAAGTGCTAGACTATTTAACTATTGTTCATTAATAATATTAATCTCAAGTCCTTTTTTGCAATCTGAAATATTGCCTTCTTTCCACTTCAGAGCTTTAGTTATATGTCAGCTAGCCCCTTCACTCTTTGAGGTGTGGAGTGGGGCGGTGAAGTTTAGAAAGGGAGGGCTGAGTGGGAAAAAAAAAAGATGGGGGAGTTCCTCAAACCACAGGATGTAGAATCTTTTAGAACATGGAGAAGGGACATTTTCTAAAGTTCTATGTTCAATGCCAGGAATTTAAATTGCATCCTGCTATAATTGAAAATGTGTATGTCTAACCTAGGGTTTCTTAACCTCAGCGCTATTGACATTGGAGGTGGATAACTCTGTTGTGGAGCCTGACTTGTGTGTTATAGAATGTTTAGTAACATCTCTGGCCTCTTCCTCCAGATGCCAGTTGTCCTGTCCTCCATTAAGACAACCAAAATGTCTCAAGACATTGCCAGAGGTCCCCTGGGGGACAAAATCATACCCTGTGGAGAACCATTGGGCTAACTGGCCTGGATCTGCCACATGGGTGACCCTTCACATGTGAGGCAGTACCCAGCCTCCATCCGGCCCACCTTCCACCCTCAGGGAGTACCTGCTGCCCACTCCACCACTGCTGGTTGAGTCTTCCCTGCTGTTGGGCTCCAGCTGGCATCTTCTTCATGCAGCTAGTGCAGGCGAAACTTCTCAATAAAAGTTGGAGGTGGTGAAAATTGTTGCTGTGCCTCAGCACAAAACAAGAAGCAAATTGTGAATATTTGATATCAAAATGAATTAACTATATTGACCAATTCCATTGCAGAGAAATTCTCATGAACCATCTTTTTCCTCAATCTCTGATATCCTATCTTGGTCTAGGTTTCTTCCTTTCCCCCAAGAGTCCTTCTCTGGCTCACTCTTCTCCTCATACCAGTTTATGAGTTACTCCTGACTTTCCTTGCTACCACTACATAACTATACAGACCAATTTCACTCTGCGAGTATGTGTATGTATGTATGTATGTATGTACATGTGTACCTATCTATTTATCTATCCATCATGCAAAGATAGGTCCCAAACTTCAGGACCTATCTTTGCATGGTAGATAGATAAATAGGTAGGTATACATGTACATACATACATACACATATTCACTTATATATAAAGCACACATATATATGCATGTATATATATTAGCATACATTTGCATAGAGGAATATATGTATAAACACGCTAGTGTAGAAACAAAAACCATATTTGCTAAACCAAAGGGTTTAAATTGTTTGATGATCAATATACCCTTGATCTTCATACCTAATAAAATAAGCAGAGTATTTTCTCAAAGTGTCTCAGGCAAATGTTTGTGTAGACCCCCATCCCCCACCAAGCCAAGGAAACCTCAGGGATCAAAGAACAAATGGTAATTGTTCTGATTGTGTAGTAGAGCAGGTAGGTTTTATCCCGTTCTATGCTGAACACAGACCCTCACTCCATCCAGGCTAAGGCAATAGCAAACATTTCTTCTATGATGCAGTGCAAAGCAAGGCAGGGAAACACCTAACAAGAGACAGGCACTATGCAAACAAGAGGTTAATCTTCACTATGTAAAGATCTGATTGCCATTAAGACCCCTTGCATCAAAGTCATGCTATAAGGTCACAGTGAGTTCTTGCCCCCTTTTCCTTTTTCATATCAAGATCTAAAGCATCCCTTCCTCCCGTGGAGTGGCAGCTCTGGTTCAGACTAGGGAGGTGCCTAACACAAGATACCCATTAAAAAGAGGCAGGACCTCACAGAGGAGAGA
The DNA here is from genome assembly GCF_000001405.40 of Homo sapiens. Taxonomy (NCBI): domain Eukaryota; kingdom Metazoa; phylum Chordata; class Mammalia; order Primates; family Hominidae; genus Homo; species Homo sapiens. The sequence goes on along the minus strand of NC_000002.12, from coordinate 225,733,700 downwards.
GGCCGGGGGAAGGGTTAAGACCCTGCAAAGAGATGCTCCCCGACAACCACAGGGTATCTGACACTGGCTTCTCTACAGTCATATGCTCAGACCACAGGCCTAGGAACAGAATTCAGGGAGAAGTAATAGAATAGGCAGACCTTGTCAAGTTGAAATTTGTTGCCTGAACTTAAAATAAAGTCCTGATTAATCACTCTGCAAATTTTACTGGCAGCACCATCTTATTGAGCAATATGAAACCCCTCCCTTCCATAATTAGGGAATCACATCAACAAGTTTATATTACACTTAGAATATCCCGGGCATTCTCTTGTGCCATCTTGGAATATCTAACAACTAGGGTATTTTGGGAGGTCCCAGCACCATAATTGACTAACTAAAATGAGAATTAAGGGATTTGAATCATTGTAGGCATTTTAAACTACACCTATGACAAACCCAGGATGTAACACTCCTTCTAGATGGGTTTAATGGTGTTGGCTTGGGTTTTATTGTATCTCATATATTTCATTTGAAATCACATATGATCTGATGGAAAGAACTTTCCCCTGCACAAAATAATAGAAAGCATTCCTAAAGGGATGTGTTTTAGTCAAGGGAGAAAGGATTATGCCAAGGGATGTGAGTTAGTTCATGCAGCTTTGCACATCACTCTCATAGTCATGCCTGTGTCATATGGTTATTTTATCTTCTCATTAGCACATTTAATACGCTTAGATTCTATGGTTTAGAACTTTGAAATCTCAAATGTTTCCTTATGGGTACTGGAAAGGAATCCAAATTATATTTAGGAGAATATCACAAGTAGGATTTATGGCAAATTCACAGTTCAATCAAGAAATTTATACACATACACTCATACATATATATACATATATGGACATATATATCTATAACATATATACATATTTACTATATATGGTATATGATAGTTGAACCTTCACTCTTATGGACATAACATAAGCCATTGTCTAGATTACTAAGTCAGGAGAAAGACACCAATCAATATCCTGTACAGTATATACTCCCCGCCCATGGAAATAATTCAATCCATTCTTGTTGTTGAAGGAGAGAACCCAAGTCATAATGCAGTACCTAGATATGGAGTCTAGAATGAATCTCAAAAATTGCTCTGGGCAGGAAGTAGTTTTAGAACCCTTGTTGAGTACTGAAGACTTTTCTTGATGCCTCTTTTCCTTCTTCTCTGATGTGTGTGTGTGTGTTTTTTTTTTTCCTTATCTTTATGTCACCAATCAAGCTTGCCTTCTCATTTTTCTCCCAGTATCCCCATCTACCCTGGATACACGATCTCATGAGATTAACTATTGACCAGTTAAATTTAAACCACAGCTTCCTTTTCTAAGCTTCAGGACTACACATCCAAATGCCTCTTTCATTTTCCTATCTGAATGCCCTACAGCCTCCCATATTAACTTTCTGAAGATCTTTCTAATCATGTCTCTCCTACCTCTATCTTTGAATACAGTGCATCACCAAAAGTAAATGAGATCTTGTTAGGTTAATTTTCACACAGTTTGTTGAATGAAAACAATAAGTAAAATGACTGTTTTTTTTTAAAGCCACACTCATCCCCTCGATATTCTGACAGCTCACCCCTTTCCCAAAGGAGAGTTTCCTGCCATGATGAAAATTGCTGCGTTTTGTTATCCCTGACTTCAGGGTTGTCCTTCTCAATGTATCATCCACGTGCTGCCAAACACCTGTCAAAACAATCCAGATAGCAAGTCTTCTTCATTCTTCTGCTTAAACCCTTCAATGGCTCATACTGGTTTAAAGCTTTTTCACTCATGTCCAGCAAAATGCTCTGAGGGCAAAGTACGTACTTCTTTCATGGCTTAACCAGAGGAGTTCCCAAATAACAGAAGGGACTATTTTATATTGCTTTTAACAGCAGGTAATGTAGGAGAAGGAGACAGATTTTTTTTTTTTTTTTTTTTTTTTTTTGATGGAGTCTCACTCTGTCGCCCAGGCTGGAGTGCAGTGGCGCGATCTCGGCTCACTGCAACCTCCGCCTCCCAGGTTCACGCCAGTCTCCTGCCTCAGCCTCCCGAGTAGCTGGAACTAGAGATGCACACCACCACGCCCAGCTGAGTTTTCTATTTTTAGTAGAGACGGGGTTTCACCGTGTTAGCCAGGATGGTCTCGATCTCTTGACATCGTGATCCGTCCGCCTCAGCCTCCCAAAATGCTGGGATTACAGGAGTGAGCCACCGCTCCCGGCCAGGAGACAGATTCTTTAAGCAAAATTTTCTTACTTTTTCTCCAAACCAGCCACTCTTGGCTAGGTAAAAGATGTTTGAAATCGAGGAAACACAGTAAATTGGTATGTCTTTATCTTTTTTCTTCTTTTTGCAGAGATCCTAGGCTACAGGGTGGAGAACATCCCAGGTCAGACCAGGGATAGAGACGGGGATGAAAGGACCACATAGAAAAGGCAGACCATCTTGAGGGTAGCACTAGAGAATGGAAAATTAGGGCCTGCCTTGGGCAGTGAATGAAGAAAACAAGAAATGATCTATGAGGTATTCCCAACTCCCTCCCCAAAGCAAACTCTGTCCAGTCCACACCTGAAGTAAAGACCCATTCTCTGTAGTCTTTGGTGCTCGACATGTGAAGGGTACACTCGTTTTTGTTGCGGAGGGCAGGGGAACATGAGGTGTACCTTTCTAACTTCTTAGTGTCAAGCATACAGAAAAGGCAAGGTGAATTTTTGAAAAGTCAAGCTTCCTAGCAAAGCTTTTCATATCACTGTCTTAATCTGCCTCTGAATACTCATTTTCTGCCATGAACTGTCAACAATGCCTAAACTTCACTGTTGAAACACCACACCACGATCTGTGCTTTCACTTCTGTGCCCCTTCGCATAAAATGTTCTGTGTTTCTCCACTCTGCCTTGAACTACTAAACCCTCCTAATTTTTTTTTAAGACTCAACTGATCTTCTACAGAAATGTTTATCTCACGTTTTCTCTCAAGTTGAGTTTTGGTGCTCTACAATATTCATGTTGCAATATATCATCATTGCAAGCAGATATATTTATCCCATTCACTAAGTTGCTAGTTGCTTGTATAATTGTATCCTATTAATCTTTCAGGTAGCTTCTTTAGCACCTAGTGGATATTCAATAAATTTATTGAAGAAAGAAATACTAGAGTTATATGCATATTTGAATTTTTTTCCTTAGCATAAATTAGAGTTTATTTTCCTTATAAACTAAGGGTGATTCAGAGAGTATAATGGCAGGGCATTTTTCCAGCACGCCTACAATCCAATCATGTTATAAATCCATTGAAGATCATGGTGATCTCGGCAAGGAGCTACTTCAAGTGCTCTTCAAGTGACAGTAATCCTCTTCCTGAGGCCAGGTAGAGACCTGCCCCAGAAATCTGCCAAAAGCACAGCCAAAACTGAATTTTTGCCACAGCTACCTCATTTAGTTTCTGAAGAATGATTTACACTTTTTAATGTTCTAAGAGTCAAGTATAAATGACATTATGAAAAGCGTATCCAGTGACTTCAAGGAAGCATTTATTCTCAGGTGTCTGCAGGCAGCATCTTTGTTTTGACAACCCACAAATCTCAGCACAACCAAGTAATGTCTGTGAAAAATTAAACTTCTAGTTCCCAGTAATAGTGATTTTTATCTCAGTCTCCTTATAGAGGAAATGTATCTTTGAATTTTCTTAAATTTAATCCTGACTTTTAAGAATTGTTTTTTATAACATGAGCCCATTCCCAATTATTAAATATCCACTTAATTATTTAAATATATTATAAAATATGGATAAGAATGCATTGGATTGTGTTTATTGTAGCATCCTTTGATGAATATCACCTATGATATTAAAGTGACTTAATTCAATTGTGTTATAAATGGTCTACTGCCTATTGTGAGATGTAGGTTTTTCTGGATAAGATCTTGAGTCCATCATCTGAATAAAATATCTATATAATTCATCTTCACATAATCTGCAAATTTATGAAATAAGAGATAGATACCCAACTTAAAACACTGAAAGAGAGATGAAAGGGAAAATGCCTTGAGTGGAATTTTGTGGTGGTATTTGGGAAAAGGGAAAAACAAAGTGGATTATTCACTCTGCAAAGATTCTCAAATGCTAACTCTAAGGGTTTTTCCGGAAGGCCTTGACAACATTACGATTTATGTGGAACCCATTTGATCATTCTAGCTCCCCTCTTGCTTCTTGTCAGGCAGTTTCCCAGGAGCTGGAAATGTGGCAGTGAATGAGACAGACAGGACGCTTACTCCCATGGAATTTGAATTCTAAGATGGTAGTTCAGATAAATAAATGAAGAAAATATTTCTGATAAGTGCCTTTAAGAAAATGAATGCAGTGATGTACAGACTGTTGCTTGGAGCAGAAGGGAAGGACCACATATCAAATCAGATTCTCAGAGAAGGCCGGGAAGGTGACTTCTGAGTTCAGATCTGAAAGACAAAAACCAATAAGATTTTCTAAAAAGCAGTTGAATAATGAGAAACAGCAAATACAAACACACTGAAGAAGAAATAAACTTGGCAAGAATGTGGTCATGAGGGCTGAAACTTCATGAACAGGAATACATAGTCAGGGACCAGAGCAAATAGGAATGTATGGATTAAAATCGGAAATTGGATTTTGTGCCAAAGACAAGAAACCACTGTTGATTGCTAAGCCATAGAATGACATGATCTTAATATTTTTGAAACATCTCTCTCTTGCTAACAATGTTAATGTCCAAACACCATTCCAAAACAATAATGTTATTTTACTTCTGATTAATTTTCTAACCAACAGCATATCGAGTATTATTAGTAGTTTTAAGTGTGACTTAATTTCCAAGGCCTATCTTTGTATTTTATTTTTATTTTCAGTCATTATCATCATAACCGTTAATGTCATCCATAATCTCGGGCATTCTTTCCATGCTGCAAAAAATAGAATTCTAAATAATTAGAGTTTTATTATACTTTTATCCCCCCAAATATGGGCCTTAATATTTTAATTCTCTCTATAAAACATTTCTGTCTTTCTTTTTTTGACTGTCAATGAACATTTAGTTTTTTATACAGCTGTAAACCTGTATTCAAGTAGATAAAATGCATTTAAAGTTTTATGAAATCCTTTAAAAATAATTGACCACTGAAAGTACAGGACTAATCTTTCAAATCTCCAAAGCTCCTAAAAAGCAATAAGTTAGAATCACTGAAAAATAATTGATAGGGAAATAGGTTATATATAAATATGCAGAAATATTATTAAACATTTGTTGTTGAAAATGTTTATAAAATTCATAAGAAAAACATGTTCTTTCTCTACAATTGTATGTTTTCAATTTATACATATTTCAAACTTATAAGGAAGAGCTAGAAAGTGGCACAGGTAAGGTATGAAAATAAAGGAAAAGAAAGGAAAAGAAAATACTCATAGGTCACAGATGCTTATCTTAAAATCTCAGTCACTAGATCACTATATCCAAACATAAAATATCAGGAGGAATTAGAAAGTCAAAGAGAGAAATGTTCCAAGTTACTTTGCTTTGACTGACAAGAAGTGGATTAGTCAGCATCCTCCAAGAAAGACTTATTGTAAAGAATTGGTTCACATGATTATGGAGGCTGAGAAGTCCCAAGCTCTGTATTTGGCAAACTGGAGACCCAGAAGGGCTAACGATGTAGTTTCAGTCCAAAAGTTGGTAGGCTTAAGATGCAAGAAGAGCTGATGTTTCCATTCAAGTTCAAAGACAAGAAGAAAGCAATCTCCCAGCTCTAAGGCAGTCAGGCAGGAGAAATTTCCTTGTATTCAGGGAAGGGTCAACCTCTTTGTTTCATTCAGGCCTTCAACTGATCGAAGAAGACCTACCCAGTTTGGGGAGGACAATCTGCTTTGTTCAATCTATTGATTTAAATGTTAAGCATCACAAAACACCCTCACAGGAACACTCAGAATAATGTTTGACCAAATAACTGGGCACCTCATGGCCCAGTCAAGTTGACACATGAAATTAATCATCATAAGCAGCAAGGCAATCTTTACAGCTTAGGCCAGTAGTCACTGATTTATTCATTCTACCGTCATTTGTTGATACCCTGAGAAGCATGAAGTCTATTTTCCATGGTGGGGATTCAGTAAGATATAAGAAATTATCTCTGACTTCAATAGATTCATGCTCTTCGGGAAAAAGGAAAATGCATACATAAAATGCAGTGAGATAGTTACCAAAGGGAATAGGTTAGAAAGAAAGAGTGAGGTCACAAGTCACAGAAGGGATGCTCAAAAGTTTTAACTCTAAAATGTAGAGAATGGTAGTGAGATTACTTGCAAAGAGGAGATAATTGTTCCAGGGAGAGGAAGCATACCGACAAAAGCAATGGAGACAATCAGGAAGGACAGAGTGGGAAATGCAAATGGACTGGGAAGGAAGAAAAGCCTGAAAGGTCAGGAGAAGCCCAGGGACAGTGGAAGGTTATGTCATCAAAGGCTTTGTATGTCCTGAGCAATACATTGCTCCTTGATTGTTACCAGGATCCAGTATAAAATTTTTCCTAAGTAAAAGGGAATTCAACAGCTCACATTTTCCCAAAATTAATAAATGAATTTATTTCATTTTGGGAAAATTTTAACCAGTCTTTACTTGAATTTCACCAAAATCTTTTTTGCAGTTACCAACTGTTGATACTCATGCTGTCCTCCAATGACTTGTTCTGTCCAACAGTTAGTCTTCAAATGCACCTCATTACTCTTTTACTCAGCACCCATTAATTAAGCACAAGTTATGTCAGGTACCATGCTATGTGCTGATAGATTAGAGTGGACAGAACTGGTGTAACCCCTTCCTCATGAAGCAGAACAGCTTCTAGAGGAGTAAGTAGAGAATTACAAAAGAAAAATGCATACTTTTGAAATGTGATTACGGCAATGAATGTACAGACTAGCTAGTTGTCAAAACTGAAGTCAAAATCTGGCCCAGATGAAAGAATCGCAGAGAGACCCGAAGAAATTTGTTTTATGTCAGAGTTCCTGTGTCACAATTGTTAAGGTCCAAATCAACTCTTAAGTCACTTTAAAGTATGCACTAACCCATGGTCTCATCCAGGAATAGAACTATTATTTTAATTGCCATTCTTATCTGGAAGCAAGAAATAAATTTTAAGTTCCTTTTTGACTTCAGGGTCAGATTTATTTATTCATTACTTCTATTGATTATCACTGACTGACTTAACCACTCCCTTTCAGTGGTGTTGTTACTTAGTTCACTTTGAAATTATACCCAGAGCTCATGCTGTCAAAATCCAAGAAGCAACATAGGGAATAAGAATAAGGTTTGTCACAGTTTTCTGCCTCTAGGCAATTAAATTTTTATACTGCCTTATAACTAAATAGGAGACACAAAACCCTGTAATTGAAATGAGATAAACTCATTTGCTTTTCTAAAGTTCAAGCTGTTTTTCGTCATGTCAACTCCATTCAGAGGCTCCCAATATCCCCATCCTGAAGAAGAAAGCAAGAGATATGCCCCTCCAGTCTTTGGTAATAGTTGTGATACTGAAAAAGTGAGGGAGAATAAAAGAAACTCAGAAGCTGGTTCATATCCACTAAGCTTTGGCCCAATTCTCCAGGCTAACCTGGCATTTTAAAGACCAAACAATTTATTGAGGTTTTTTCTTATCAGCCTTTTACATACAACCAGGTCTTTCCACTGAGCTGAGCTCCTCTCCTTGTCTTCCTGTGCTTGTTGGATCCCAGCCATTACCATTCACCATCCCATATTAATCACACACCCACTTTAAACTGTCTGGGCCCTCGTCCACTCTGCTTTGAAAAGATCTGCCTTCACAGCGTTCACGCTCACAGGTGATGGGACTAAGGCCCTTTACAACTCCTGGTGAGCTGGGATTCTCTGTGCCATTTGCATAGCAAGAACATATGAAGGCTGAAAAGGAGACTAATGTTTGGGGGTGAATGCTTTTAATAGAGTAAAAGATTCTATGCACTGAACTGTAAGATAAAACATTGAATACACGATTTTGGGCTCTAATTTTGCATTTAAATGTCACCTATTTTAAGAACACCAAGACATTTAACTATACTAGGGATTGAAATTTTTAATTCTAAAAATATGAAAATTCAAATACAGCTGGGAGTTAAATTCAATTAGCTTTGTTTAATAGGCATTATTGAGCTCAGAGTGAACACATATTAATTCATTCATCCACTTAGCCATTCATGTATTATTTAACAAATATGTATTTAGGATCAACTCTGGGTAAGACTATGAGCCCCAAACATGTGGGAAAAGATTGGTTTTTATTTTCTCATCATATTGGACTTATATGACACAGAAGCCTATAAATGTAATATTTGAGACCTTCAGGATTAGAAAAAATGTTATCTATTCCTAGAATCAAGCAAACAACAGCATTATTATAGTTCTATTATCTCATTAATTCATTCATTCGTTCAGTAAGCATGTACTGAAATCCTAGTATCTATGTTGGATGAGGCTCAATTGCTATAGAACGAAACTATTATCTCTATAGATTTTTTGGATAAATACAAAAAATTAGCATGGCTTGCTCACGAGATGTTAAGATCAGAAGGCAGGAGAGCAAAATAGATTTGCTGCTTTATCAAGAAGTGGAAACTCTCCTTACACAATTGAGAATAATTAAAGACTTTAATAGAGAAAGAGGAATCTGTTCAAGTTAGCAAAATCTTTTGGAGGAAGTTTGGAGAAGGAGTTAGAGGACTGAAAGCCTAGGGAGAGGAAGGAGGCCTGGAAGGGAGTTACTGCAGTGAACCCTGTGAGATACAGTGGGATCTCAACCTGGCACTCAGGCTGTGGGATGAAGAGGAAGTAACCCATTTGGAAGAAGTTGATATAATTGTATTAGTGTGGGTTCTTCAGAAAAACAGAACCAATAGGAGATATATGTATATATACACACACACACATATGTATCTATATATACATATTTATTCATATATATATATATAAAACACATATATTACACACATATATAGATATTTATTATAAAAAGTTGGCTTACATTATTGTGGAGGCTGAGAAGTCCCCCATCTGAGATCTGCAAACCAGAGCATCAGAAAAGCCCGTGGTGTAATTCAGCCTGAAGGCCTGAAAGTCACTGGAGCCAGTGATGTAAACCCCAGTCCCAAGACAGGAGGCTATGAGATGAGATGTCCCAACTCAAGTAGTGAGGCACGAACAAAAGGGGTGCGTCCTCCTTCCACATTTCAACCTATTCAGACCCTCCATGGATTGGACAAAGCCCACCCACACTGGGGAGGACACTCTATTTTGCTAAGACCAATAATTCAAATGCTGATCTCCTCTGGAAACATGCTCACAGACACACCAGAAACAATGTTTAATGTGAACACCATGTGGTCCACTCAAATTAATACATAAAATTAACCATCACAAACCCCAGTTATGTAGATTTAGGAATCACCATTATGTAGACAAATATAAATCTGTTAAGGATCAGAAGTATTATGCAGTAAAGCCTAATATTTCCATAGCATTTACCATATGTCTAAATGCTGTACACAGATTCACTTTCAGAGAACAGACTCACTGATTAAATCCTTGCAGTGATCCTAGGAATAAGCTACAATTTCCCTGATTTTACACGTGAAGACACTAAGATGAGAGAGGTTAAAGAAAGTTTCTCAAGCCTCTGAATAAGTGCTAGATTTAAAACCCAAGCACACTTACCTCCATGGATTTAACCACTACACAAATGATATTATTGTTACTGTCATTGCATCTTTATTATAGTAATTCTTGCTCATAGTAACATTAAATTGTACAGAAAAAAAATAAGCTAAAGTATAACATTGGTCTATTTCTTTATTTCCTTATCCATTCTCTATGAATCTCTTTTCATCTTGATTGTTTTTAGATCTTATGATGGTTCCCTCTGTAATTGTCAATGATATGCTTATTGACACTCTTTAATAAAGATGACACCTATTTCCCCCTCACTCTGAAAGAAGAGTTACCTTAAATGCACTTCAACGCACATTCTCCATTCCTGGTCCCAAAGTCTGATAGTTGTGATCATTGCTCTTAGCTTTTATATTGACCATTTATCACACTAGTAATATACATAAAGTATTTATTGTTCCGTAACATTCTTATGGGATCTGTTGATCCTTAACCACTTCTGATGATGAGTTGTCCTAACCCTCACCCCTACTTTCCCAATATTCCCACACTTGCCTTGCTCTTTCACCTCCTGTTATGCTAGTGAAATTTTTTCTTAACTTTACACCTCCATGGTACCCTTCTGGTCCTGAGTCATATGTGACAGACTCTATGAGACTTGTTAGACTCTAGGGTTTTTGATAGAAATACCATAAAAATCTTCTCTGTGTTTGACTTCCCCAAACTCCATAGAAATTCCAACACCCAACACTCATCCCCAACCCCACCACACTCAAGAATGTAAGCTTTAGAAGAGACTGGGAGGCACAAGTCCTTTTACCAAGGATGAATATCAGTGATTTATTATATGCTATTTTTTCTGAACTCTCACCCTTTGCCCCCAGTTCAGAGCATTCTTAGCTGCTGGAAAGATTCATTCTCTATGATTCTTCCAAATCTCTAATTTAGGATTGTCCTTCAATAATTAGCACATTTTATCTAATTTTGCTTTTCTTTTTTAACTACCTTACCCTGTGTGTAGAAGATCCTTTAGACCAAACCTCTCCAGAAAATTGATTCTTCCAATAACTTCCTGAGGATCAATGTACCACACTCCAAAAATGTCTGAATCTTAATTCCAGCTTGAGCTGGAAAATAGTTCTACAGAATAGCCTTAATTAGTAAATGAGTTTTACCAAACCTTAAACCCACGCTTTCCTAAAGCAAAGCTGGAAAGCAAAGCTGGCCAAACAAAAATATTTTTGAAATTGAACCTGACCCTAACTGATAAATCTTTCTGGTTTAGTTCCTCAAATAGAATTGTTTCTAAATTTGACCTGGTCTCAAGATGTTTGGAGACAAAAACAGCTAAAGATACCCGTATCTATTAATTCTAACCTCAGGTCTCCCACATATTGTGGGCATCTGAAGGCCAGTCCTGTTTATGCCATGTCTTTCATCTCAGCCCTTCAGGGATCTGCTGGAGAAAATGGGCTTTTAAGAGGATGGCTGAGGAGGCAGAGTTTCTGCCACTTGGTAGGCTGAATTCCCATGTGCTGCTGACTCCGATGAACTGGCAGCTCTTAAAGACTGTTCAAATTCATGCTCAGTCCTCAGGTGGCCTGCAAATATCAGACATTTTTTTTCTGATTTTTTTCTGGTTTTCTCCTTTTTGCTTTCCTCTCTTATTGGAAGACCATTTAAATGGGTTAAGTCGGAGCTGTGGTTATTTTAAGTAGATGCTCTAACCATTCTCATTAAAGTTTTAAGGATCTTCTAGAAATAAGAAAGTAGTTATTAGCAAGTATTTCATGAATTTTTGAAATTAGGAGAAAGACAAATCATCAAAGTGTCTCAGTTTTGTGCTTAAAAATATCATAAACCTATTTTATTATTGCTACATGCTGCCATACAATACTTTTTTTGGTAATAAATTCTTAGGGAATCCTGAGGGCTTTTAAAATATCGTGGAATAGATTCTTACAACCTGGAACCATTGAGGTCTAAATATGGGAAGAGTGCTGGCTACATAATCTTGCAAAATCCTCTAACCCTCTAATGCTTTGATTGATGAATCTGATACTACTTTGCTTCAAGCTTCATAGGTCCATTGACTACTAATCAGGCTTAATAAATATAATTCTACTTGAAAATATAAAGTACCATAAAATTATTGCCTTGATGATTTTTAGCCAAGTGCATTGATAAGAATTTCTGACAGTCTTCCTGAGCAGTGATCATTCAACAAAACTGTTTTCTGGATGGAATGTATCACATCCAATTTCCTTAGAATTATATTTTCAGAGGTTTTCCTCTTCATCTATAATCCAAGATGAAAAGTTAAGTAGTTAATGAACAAAGTTTCCTAATATGACTTACAAGATAAAAGCTTATGAAGAAAAATTCATGAAGGCAATTTATTCTCTGAAAATTCAAATAAGTGGGAGTTGAACAATGAGAACACATGGACATAGGGAGAGGAACATTACACACCAGGGCCTGTTGGGGGGTGGGGGGCTAGGGGAGGGATAACATTAGGAGAAATACCTAATGTAGGTGACTGGTTGATGGGTGCAGCAAACCACCACGGCATGTGTATACCTATGTAACAAAACTGCATCTTCTGAACATGTACCCCAGAACTTAAAGCATAATAAAATAAAAGAAAATTCAAATAAAGTTTACTAAGTAAGAGGGCAAATCTATTTTGATAAACATGGATTAGATAATTGGGCAACATGTAAGTAAGAATACACTGGCTTAACTGAAAATTTAAGGAATCAATTAGCTTCCTTAGTGCTTAATGCCACCAAGGGGAATTTCATAAAATGTTCTTGAAGCTTTTTTACAATTTATTTAAGAATCAGGTTAATTATTGCACAGAGACCAAGATATATAAAACTGAGCACAGATTTATCATGACATTAAAATACAGTTCCTGATAGGCTTACATATGATAAAACTGTGAGAGGATAAGCATGGTGGCTTATACATTTCCACAATCTATTTTTTACAACGTTAACATCTAGCTAAACTAGCAGTTGCAGAAGCAAGTTCATTGTACTGTGAGGCTTCTGTGATGGTTAATTTTATGTCAACTTGACTAGGCCACGAGGTAGCCAGATATTTGGTCAAGCATCATTCTGGTGTCTCTGTGAGTGTTTCTAAAAATTATTTATTTAACATTTAAATCAATAGACTGAGTAAAGCAGGTTGCCCTCTCTAAGGTGGGTGGGGCACATTCAATCAGTTGAAGGCCTGAATACAACCAAAAGGCTGACCCTTCCCTGAATAAGAGGGAACTCCTCCTGCCTGACTGCCTTCAAACTGGGACATTGTTTTCTTCCTGCCGTCAGACATGAATGGAAACATCAGCTCTTCTTGGGTCTCACCCTGCCAATCTTTGGACTAAAATGACATCATCAGTCCTCCTGGGTCTCCAACTTGCCAATCACCCTGCAGATCTGGGGACTTGGGACCTGGCTGCCTCCATAATCACCTGAACCAATTCTTATAATAAATCTATTCATATCATATAAATATATGTGTGTGTGTCTGATATGTATGCATATACATATCTATATAGATATACACATATATACACATCTAGATAGATATCTTTATACACACATATATATACACATATATATAGATATATACATACATAAATAGATATGTAGATATATATTAATATATATGATATATATATTAATTAGCTTAGGACAATCAACAACCCTGTGTGTGTATGTTGGGGGTGTGTTTTGGGGGGGTGGTAGGGATGGTGTTTCTGTGTGTGTGTGTGTGTGTGTGTGTGTAAGTGATGACTGTGATGACTATTGAGGAAAAGGACCAGGATTTTTTTCCTAAACAACTCTTTTGTTTTAAGAAATGGGAGAGCCACAGGGAAGAGACCAAGGGCTAAAATTTCCTAGTAAAATATATTTTGGTCTGATAAAAGTTAATGACTCCTTTATTTGGGAATAGCTAATATTATAGAATGCATCTTCACCAATCCACACAAATATTACTTGGGACATAAACAATATAGAGAGTAAATTCACACAAATATTTTTTGGGAAATACAAGATATAGATAGTAAATCTACACAAATATTTCTTGGGACTTATAAGATGCAGATAGTAACTTTATTTTTCCAGTTCACCTCTTGATAATTATTTTTTTCCATCTAAAGAAATGGAAAAAGAAGATCCAAGAAACTTTGGTGACGTTCTTAAATTAGTTTTTAAATCAGTCAAGCAATATTAATGCATTCCTACAATTATACTTTGAAAAACATATTACAGTATATAAAGAAAAAGTTAAAGTATCCCATCACTACTCCCAACCAACGCTGTGCCACAATCTTCTTGTTAATGGTTGGTCTTACAATTTCAAAACTTTGTCAATTCATTTCCATGAATGTATATATACATATACAAATATATGTATTTTCAAGATAGCAATGGAATTTAAATACACTGTAGAACTACATTGGAACTTTTAAATTGAGATATGAACATATTTATCTGCTTCATTCTTTTTAGGTATAATATATTTTTATTCCATGGAGTAGTAGTTCCTTAATTTCTTGTACTTCTAAGAAACACACAGTAGATTTAATTTGCAGTGCCCTTGAGGTTAGGTATTTCCCTGTGAATGATATGTGAGTGGGAGAGACATGTTATCATTTTTAAGTGGAAGCTTTAAGAGCTGTCTGCAAGGCACCACACCGTCTCTTCTGCTAGGAATACGGTATAAAACTCCAGACTGGTGGTGGCACTGTCTGCCTGGCCCCTGGATGAGAACACAAGGCAGAGCCCCAGCTGACCTGAGAGGACTCTGTGTGAGCAAGACATCACCTTTTGTTTTAAGCCACTGAGATTTTGGAGTTGTCTACTACTGCGACATACTCAAATACTTCTCAACTCATACCCAGTACTGATATACAATCGGTATTGTGGGCTAGTTTAATCATTTTCGTAATAGAATTATTGCTTCCAATTGTTCACGAATACAAAATAATGGCAATACACCCATTTATATTTATATTGTACAATTTTATACCCACAGGCAGATTTTTCTGTAGGCAATTTTGACAAATACTGCCAAACTGTCCTCTAAAAAGGTTGTAGTGACCGCACGTGGTTGTTCACACCTGCAATCCCAGCACTTTGGGAGGCTGAGGCCGGTGGATCACTTGAGGTCAGGAGTTGGAGATCAGCCTGGCCAACATGGTGAAATCCCATCTCTACTAAAAATACAAAAATTAGCCAGGCATCGTGGTGGGTGCCTGTAATCCCAGCTACTCAGAAGGCTGAGACAGGAGAATCAAATCGCTTGAATCCGGGAGGTGGAGGTTGCCGTGAGCTGAGATCGTGTCACTGCACTCCAGCCTAGGCAACAGAGTGAGACTCCATCTTAAAAAATATACAAAAATAAAAATAAAAAATAAAAGGTTGTAGCAATTTATTCTGTTAGAAATGGTCCACGCATGGGCAATATAGAGAGACCCTATCTCTACCAAAAATTTAAAACAAAAAATTTAGTCAGGTATAGTGCACACACCTGTGGTCCCAACTACTTGGGAGGCTGAGATGGGAGGATTGTTTGAACCCAAGAGGCTGAGGCTGCAGTGAGCCATGATCATGTCACTGCACTCCAGCCTAGGTCACGGAGTGACACCCTGTCTCTAAAAAACAAAACAAAAAAAAGAAATGGTCATGAGAATACGCATTAACTCATAGTGTAGCCAATATTAGATATGACCTATCAATCATGTTAATTTGTGCAGGATCTGATAATCTAGAAATATCTACCAGTGTTGTTTAGCTTGCATTTTCTGATTATTGATTTGACTATATTTTGTGTATTAGCTATTCGGGTCTACTCTGAATTGCATGTTTCTATTATTTTGCTTTTTCACATGGATATTTAGGGGCTCTTATGTGTTACACATTTTTACTTTGGGTATGTTGTAAATTTTGCAATTTTTTTTCTGGACTAACTTTTGCCTTTTCATTTGATTTGTGTGTATTTCATTGCACATAGTTTTTACTTTCGTAGAGTAAATTTATCAGTTTCTTGATATATATGGAATTTGAAATTTGTTGCATGTAAGAACTCTTTCCCCACTCAGCAAAGCATTATAAAATGTATTACATTCTATTATGACTTAAATTATTTATAAAATGCCATTATAGTTTTGAGGGGTATTTTATCTTTATTCCTCAATGTAACTGGAATTTATTTTAATAAAGTAGAGACCAAAATGAATTTTTGTTTGAATGAATAAGCAACTATTCCCACTATTTGTCGAATAATCTTTTTTCCCTGCTGACTTGAAATGCCACATGCATTCTGTGTTTATTCCATATATATATATATATATATATATATATATATATATATATATATATATGCACACACATACACACATATAGATATAGATATAATATACTTTGCTCTCTCTGACCTCTATTCTGTTATTTTTACCTCCCCTACTCTATTTTTTTGTGTCAATATGACACAATTTTAATTATTGGACTTTCATAGCATGTTTTAAAACCTATCAGGCCAATTTCTCCCCATTTGTTCATTTTCAATTTTGTATTGCCTATTCTCACACATTTTTAAATCTAGATGAATGTTAGAGTCAACTCATCAAGTTTGATACAGAATCTTGTTGGATGTTGAAATTTTAGATTAATGTGTGTGGTGGAGTCAAGGTGGTGCCACTCAGGTCCCCTTCAAGAAGACTGCAGCCCAGCTGCAGAGAGTGAGGGAAGCTGTTGGCTCCAGCTATCCACTCCCCAGGGCTGTTTCTACAGCTATTTCTGGAGCTGAGAAGTGTAAAAAATAGACCATTTGGACCCAATATAGGATCTTTCAGAGCTCCAGAGCTCCCTTCAGGGCCTCTTGAAAGGTTGGCCAAGACTTTGTGGGGCCTCCATCACTGTTCAGCTTCATCCTTGGCCGAGTGCCGTTCTTCACCTTTCCCTTCACATTTGCTGATCGCAGACAAAGACCTTGCATCCCAAATTCTGTCTCAGTGTCTGCTTCTGGAGGGCTGAATCTGTGGAAATTTGGAAAGCACTGATATATTTACATTATTGGCACTCAATGGCTAATGTGCGGATATTGTTCTTGAGAATAGTTCATCCTTAATCCTCATAAAACCAAGTCCCATGTAGCAAGTCTGTAATCACTGTTTGTTTATTAATTCCTAGAATGCACACCACCATGAGGGAAAACCAGCACAGTACCAGAAACGGAGTTCAAACAGATGTCAAGCTGGTAATATCACTGAATGAAGTGGGGCTTAGGAAGACAGTAGGGAGGGGGAGAGAGTAGAGCAAATGGGAGAGGATCTGCTTTGGGTACAGATGGGATACTCAGCTTTAGCCTTTCCCTGCCATGTGGACACTTGGGACCAGGGAGGTTCCTCCCCCAGTTTTATTTTTTCCGAGGGAATACTATATATCAATGTATTACCTACTATTTCTGGCTGCCTGATCAAGAATACGCACAAACATGTTTCCAACCATTTTTTTTCCTAGAAGGAATAAGGTTTCTGAAACAGAGAAAAAAATTGCTCTATTGAATATATATTAAAACTTAATTCATCTTTAACAATTTGCCTGTTTTCAAAGTCATGAACTATGAGATGACAATGTATTACCAAGGCCAAATGTCTGCTGCTAGGTTCACCGACTTTCTTTTTTTTTTAAATTTTATTATTATTATACTTTAAGTTTTAGGGTACATGTGCACAATGTGCAGATTTGTTACATATGTATACATATGCCATGTTGGTGTGCTGCACCCATTAACTCGTCATTTAGCATTAGGTATATCTCCTAATGCTATCCCTCCCCCCTCCCCCAACCCCACAACAATCCCCGGAGTGTGATGTTCCCCTTCCTATATCCATGTGTTCTCATTGTTCAATTCCCACCTATGAGTGAGAACACGCAGTGTTTGGTTTTTTGTCCTTGCGATAGTTTGCTGAGAATGGTTTCCAGTTTCATCCATGTCCCTACAAAGGACATGAACTCATCATTTTTTATGGCTGCATAGTATTCCATGGTGTATATGTGCCCCATTTTCTTAATCCAGTCTATCGTTGTTGGACGTCTGCATTGGTTCCAAGTCTTTGCTATTGTAAATAGTGCCACAATAAACATACATGTGCATGTGTCTTTACAGCAGCATGATTTATAGTCCTTGGGTATATACCCAGTAATGGGATGGCTGGGTCAAATGGTATTTCTAGTTCTAGATCCCTGAGGAATCGCCACACTGACTTCCACAAGGGTTGAACTAGTTTACACTCCCACCAACAGTGTAAAAGTGTTCCTATTTCTCCACATCCTCTCCAGCACCTGTTGTTTCCTGACTTTTTAATGATCGCCATTCTAACTGGTGTGAGATGGTATCTCATTGTGGTTTTGATTTGCATTTCACTGATGGCCAGTGATGATGAGCATTTTTTCATGTGTTTTTTGGCTGCATAAATGTCTTCTTTTGAGAAGTGTCTGTTCATATCCTTTGCCCACTTTTTAATGGGGTTGTTTGATTTTTTCTTGTAAATTTGTTTGAGTTCATTGTAGATTCTGGATATTAGCCCTTTGTCAGGTGAGTAGGTTACGAAAATTTTCTCCCATTTTGTAGGTTGCCTGTTCACTCTGATGGTAGCTTCTTTTGCTGTGCAGAAGCTCTTTAGTTTAATTAGATCCCATTTGTCAATTTTTGCTTTTGTTGCCATTGCTTTTGGTGTTTTAGACATGAAGCCCTTGCCCATGCCTATGTCCTGAATGGTAATGCCTAGGTTTTCTTCTAGGGTTTTTATGGTTTTAGGTCTAACATGTAAGTCTTTAATCCATCTTGAATTAATTTTTGTATAAGGTGTAAGGAAGGGATCCAGTTTCAGCTTTCTCCATATGGCTAGCCAGTTTTCCTGGCACCATTTATTAAATAGGGAATCCTTTCCCCGTTTCTTATTTTTGTCAGGTTTGTCAACGATCAGATGGTTGTAGATATGCAGCATTATTTCTGAGGGCTCTGTTCTGTTCCATTGATCTATATCTCTGTTTTGGTACCAGTACCATGCTGTTTTGGTTACTGTAGCCTTGCAGTGTAGTTTGAAGTCAGGTAGCGTGATGCCTCCGGCTTTGTTCTTTTGGCTTAGGATTGACTTGGTGATGCAGGCTCTTTTTTGGTTCCATATGAACTTTAAAGTAGTTTTTTCCAATTCTGTGAAGAAAGTCATTGGTAGCTTGATGGGGATGGCATTGAATCTATAAATTACCTTGGGCAGTATAGCCATTTTCATGATATTGATTCTACCTACCCATGAGCATGGAATGTTCTTCCATTTGTGTGTATCCTCTTTTATTTCATTGAGCAGTGGTTTGTAGTTCTCCTTGAAGAGGTCCTTCACATCCCTTGTAAGTTTGATTCCTAGGTATTTTATTCTCTTTGAAGCAATTGTGAATGGTAGTTCACTCATGATTTGGCTCTCTGTTTGTCTGTTATTGGTGTATAAGAATGCTTGTGATTTTTGTACATTGATTTTGTATCCTGAGACTTTGCTGAAGTTGCTTATCAGCTTAAAGAGATTTTGGGCTGAGACAATGGGGTTTTCTAGATATACAATCATGTCGTCTGCAAACGCGGACAATTTGTCTTCCTCTTTTCCTAATTGAATACCCTTTATTTCCTTCTCCTGCCTAATTGCCCTGGCCAGAACTTCCAACACTATGTTGAATAGGAGTGGTGAGAGAGGGCATCCCTGTCTTGTGCCAGTTTTCAAAGGGAATGCTTCCAGTTTTTGCCCATTCAGTATGATATTGGCTGTGGGTTTGTCATAGATAGCTCTTATTATTTTGAGATACGTCCCATCAATACCTAATTTATTGAGAGTTTTTAGCATGAAGGTTGTTGAATTTTGTCAAAGGCCTTTTCTGAATCTATTGAGATAATCATGTGGTTTTTGTCTTTTGTTCTGTTTATATGCTGGATTACATTTATTGATTTGCGTATGTTGAACCAGCCTTGCATCCCAGGGATGAAGCCCACTTGATCATGGTGGATAAGCTTTTTGATGTGCTGCTGGATTCAGTTTGCCAGTATTTTATTGAGGATTTTTGTATCAATGTTCATCAAGGATATTGGTCTAAAATTCTCTTTTTTTGTTGTGTCCCTGCCAGGCTTTGGTATCAGGATGATGCTGGCCTCATAAAATGAGTTAGGGAGGATTCCCTCTTTTTCTGTTGATTGGAATAGTTTCAGAAGGAATGGTGCCAGCTCCTCCTTGTACCTCTGGTAGAATTCGGCTGTGAATCCATCTGGTCCTGGACTTTTTTTGGTTGGTAAGCTATTGATTATTGCCACAATTTCAGAGCCTGTTTATTGGTCTATTCAGAGATTCAACTTCTTCCTGGTTTAGTCTTGGGAGGGTGTATGTGTCGAGGAATTTATCCATTTCTTCTAGATTTTCTACTTTATTTGCATAGAGTTGTTTGTAGTATTCTCTGATGGTAGTTTGTATTTCTGTGGGATCAGTGGTGATATCCCCTTTATCATTTTTTATTGCGTCTATTTGATTCTTCTCTCTTTTCTTCTTTATTAGTCTTGCTAGTGGTCTATCAATTTTGCTGATCTTTTCAAAAAACCAGCTCCTGGATTCATTAATTTTTTGAAGCGTTTTTTGTGTCTCTATTTCCTTCAATTCTGCTCTGATTTTAGTTATTTCTTGCCTTCTGCTAGCTTTTGAATGTGTTTGCTCTTGCTTTTCTAGTTCTTTTAATTGTGATGTTAGGGTGTCAATTTTGGATCTTTCCTGCTTTCTCTTGTGGGCATTTAGTGCTATAAATTTCCCTTTACACACTGCTTTGAATGTGTCCCAGAGATTCTGGTATGTTGTGTCTTTGTTCTCATTGGTTTCAAAGAACATCTTTATTTCTGCCTTCATTTAGTTATGTACCCAGTAGTCATTCAGCAGCAGGTTGTTCAGTTTCCATGTAGTTGAGCGGATTTGAGTGAGTTTCTTAATCCTGAGTTCTAGTTTGATTGCATTGTGGTCTGAGAGACAGTTTGTTATAATTTCTGTTCTTTTACATTTGCTGAGGAGTGCTTTACTTCCAAGTATGTGGTCAGTTTTGGAATAGGTGTGGTGTGGTGCTGAAAAAAATGTATATTCTGGAATAGAAGCTGATCAAAATGCATGTCCTCTGTGAGACACAGAACACATTTGAGCCAGGTTTTTGTCCCAAACCAAAAATGATGTGATTCCTCCTTCCCTAGGGAAGAATAGAGAAGCAAGTGAGAGAGAGGCCAAAAAGTTATTGGATGCCCCTTGCACAGAGAGAAACATTACACTGGAAAATAAGTTTTATGCATTGTATTAATGTGATTATACTATTTGATATTTTAGAAAATAATATGCTTAAACCCAGACGGTATCAGAACAGCTAACTTTCACATTCTGTATTTATGCATTATAAGTAGTAAAATATTTACAATATTTTATTTTATAAGAAAGAACAATAATTGTATAGTTCTTGGTATCATCATGGAGCCTTTTCTCCAGAAGAATACAAACTCTACTCTAATTTATTACTTATTCATTCATACATTTTTATCTGCTATAACCATTTATAATGTAAAGTGACAGAAAACAATGTTATTTCTTATAGAAAAATGGAAACAATACATATTTAGCTGTTTTACCATATTACTGCCTCCTATGGACCAAGCCAGTTATATTTGTTAGGGTGGGGGTTGAACGGTAGCTATGAACTGAATATTTGTGGCCCTCTGAAATGTATGTGCTGAGACCCTAGTTCCCAATGCAATGGAATTTGGTGATAGGGCCTTTGGGAGAAAACTACATCATGAGGGTGGGGCCTTCATAATAGGACCAGTGCCCTTATTAGAAGAAACACTAGAGAGCTGGCTTCCTCTCCCTTCCTCTCCACCTTCTGAGGGTATAACCAGAAAGAGGATCCTCACCAGGAGCTGAATCAGCAGGCAGCTTTGATCTTGGACTTCCCAGCCTCTAGAATGGTTAGGAATAGATTTCTGTTATTTAAGCCACCCAGTCTATGTTATCTTGTAGCAGCCTAGGCTGACAATGGTACAACAAATAGATTCACACATGTAACAAGTCAATATAATAGATTATTTTCCCTTTCTGTAAAAGTCCAGGGTAGCTCCAAGTGAAATAAATGTGCACAGATGGGGAAGAGGTAACTCAGTTTTATATACTGATGGAGAAACTAGTGGAAGGATACTATGCCATCTCCAGCATGCGTCTTCCTAAGTTGCCTAGTGTGGGAGTTGAGGGAGCCCACCCTAGTCAGCTTGGAGAGGTCAAAGTCACCACAGAGCACATCTAAGTAGCTTCCATAGCCTGGGCTGGCATGGATGCTCATCTTCTCTATTCACATTTTAAATTTAGTCAAGGGCCACATCCAAGTATGATTCTGGAAATGCAATTCAGTGATATACACAGAGAGAAGAGAAAAAATGAATTTTAAAAAAGGATTAGTCTCTGATCTCTTTCAGGTCTAAACTACTGCTACTCAGCCATTGTAATAACCATCTAGCAGATCAGTCCTGCAGTCTGCTCTCCCTAACCAGCCCCACCCTGAGGGCTGAGGCACACTATAGAACAGCATCCTGGTACAAACAGCATTCTTAGGAAGACTGGAAAATATTTTATTTAACCATAGCCATCTCCCTCTTTGTTGTGCTCATTCTCATCAAGTCTTCTACCTTTTCTGGATAGCAGACGACCTTGTATCTTTCTGTTTGGGGATAATTAAGAACATAGAACAGAAACTCACCTAATATTCTGCCTCATTCTCAATAAAATTCTTCATATCTTTACCCTTTGCTCTTTCTTTCCAACTTCAGATGATATAAGGCCATTCTTCCACCTCAAGACCAACTCTCTTACCTGTGTTCAGTTTTATAAAGTATCAAATGCATTAAATTTAATTTTATTTAATATTAACAAAAATCTTGAAAGTGAGGGGAATAAAATTGGAGAACTTGCCGAATTTCAAATGTCTTTTATTTAAAAGCAAAAGATTAAGAATACCCCAATAAAATATATACAGGATGTATTAAGACATCTAACAAGTAAGTAGGACCAAAATCTACCAATATTTATTTTGGCTCAAAAAGTTTATCACAAGTTTCAATGCTTTGCTGTCATCAATAGTAAAGTGACTATAAGATTTATAAAATGCAAATTTATATTATGGGGATAGTAGAAATAGTTTATAAAACTGTTTACAAAAATGAAAAACACAATGATAATCGTAAAGAAAATAAAAAGTGTATTGGTCAGAATTCAACTAGGAGGCAAAAACTACACAGTAATTTGAATGGGAAAAATTTGAAGTAAAGAGCTATTAACTCTAATAGAGAAAATCTAAAAAGCAGTAAAGAGAATCCTAAACATTTCCCTAGGGTTGGGGGAGATTGCTCAAAAGAGAAATACATATATGGAAGGTGAGAGTCCCTTCCTCAAGGCAGGGATCCAACCTCAGGAGACAAATGTGGTTGTGACCAACTGGATGGCAGAGATGTTTTCTAGGTTCCCTGGGACACACCTGGTTCATAGTCCCTAAAAAAGCAAAAAATATCTCTTTGGGGTTCCATTGAAATAAGATGGAGGTGCACACTACAAATGACTCATAAACATCCTGCTGGCAGCTGCACAATAAGAGTAAGAAGTAGGTGATAAAAAGAACCAGGAAGAGAGGACCTTCTTCCTGCAGTGTCGCTCTGTCACCCTCTGCTTACAAAGCTTAACATCATACCAGCTATATAGAAAAACTAATGTAAAGGGCCCAGCTAGATTTTCATACAGCAGGCAACGAAGGGCAACTTTTGGAGCTGAGGAGGTGTACATTGATCATTTTAAGTTATATTTAACTCTCTTTCTTACCTAGTCATTTCTGTGTGAACATATGTGCTTAACTTTCCAAGTAGATTAATTTCATCAATTCTCATAAATATTGCAGTAATCATATGGTAAAGGAAATGAGCATATTCAGGAAATGAGACTATTTTGGTGATGTATATAAGATGCTTAATATAGCCTTTGGACCTAAGGGTTTCCTAGATATCCAAATCATATTTCCCTGAAATGGTGGGTAAAATGGCTCTACTCTTTTAACTATACATATTCTCTTGTTTGTTTTCTTTTGTTTGAAGGGATGAGGGAAGGGCAGGCAGCTGAATTAGTCCATATTTTATGAGTTTTATTTTTTCTGATTTATTTTTCCCTTTGCAGTTTGTTTTAGTTTATGGAAATTATATCCCTTTGGATATCTATGAATATCTATGAGAATGAGAGGCAACTCCAAATTTTATGAGGACTGAAGCTTATATAGATGAAAGAGGGATGTTTTTAACCAAAAAATAAAATATGAAATTATGAATTATGTGAGCCACATGAAAATACCCTGCTAAAGTAAATGTATATCCAATCCAAGTTCTTCTTAGCCAAATCCCCAAAATTCCCATAGCCATTCCAGAGCCCCCAAAACAAGAAGTAGGATGGAAAGTAATTTAGAGTAGAAAAAGGTATCACTCTCAACTGACCATAGTCAAAATAGCCCTACTTTTACAAATTTTACCAAATCATATGACCACACACGAACACATTAGTAGGGTCTCTCCCCTCATCTTAGAGTAGTTTTAACATGTGTGTGACCATTAAATTTAAGCTTCATTAGTTTCACATTCAACCCACTTCTGGCAATCAATCTAACTGTAATTTATTAAACATCTTTTCCTTTACTTACCTATTTTATTTAATTTCCTTTTATTCATACTGTTAGTTTTCATCAAATGTTTGGTGATTCTTGGTCTTCTTCCCACACTTATTAATAAATGTGTTGATCAGTTAAGGGAGGGGTAATGAATATCCTCTTTAGTAGATCCATAAACTCTTAAACTTCACCTATGGCTTTGGTTTTTATAGATAAGTAAAATGTTTTCCACAGTGCCTGTATATAAACTCCACAGTGCCTACATAATCTGGCCCCTGCCTCTCTCCCTGACCTCATCTTTGTGATGACCTGTATGGTTCCCCAACACATCAAGTGTACTTTATCTCAGAAACTTTACAATTCCCCAGATATCTAAAATACTCCCTCAAGTATTTGCATAGTTGACTATTCATTGTTTGTATCCCATCTCACCTTCTTAGATCTAGTGAATGATGCATTGATAAAGCAGAAAGAAAAATCTATGAGAAGTCATCAGAAAATAAGGTGGCCAATCAATTTTTGGCCTTACTATTTCCTTGTACTAATTTTTCTTCATTTTTATGTCTTGACTTGTCTTACTTTCCTTTCTAAACCACTCTGATGAAGTTCTTCAGTGGTGTATTTTACAAAGTCCATATATTTATTTGAAAAGAGTCTACACATTCAAATAAAAATGATGTAAACTTCTTTCAAAGATTCCACCCAACAATATTTGATATGAATTACGTTTTCCAGAACTAGATAATCTTAATCTTATTTTTTAGCTTCATAACATCCCTACCCTTGTGTCTTTCCCCGGCAAACTTCATACCCTCATGTTGAAGTTTGTATTGCAGGCTACCCTCTCCTCATCTTCCAGTTTTTCAATCTCTACCTTGCTTATGACTGTTGCAATATTTGATGACAGAAACTTGCCTCTCTTGCATACAATCATTTGAATTTGAGACCTTTGAAGAGTGATCCTGGAGTCTGGGAGGAGGCAGGGGTTTCTAGGGACTTATATGTAAGATACTGGGTTGATAGGTTTCAGTAAACAACAGCGGGATGGTTTGGAACTTGGACAATGTAATTGGCGTTTGAAGGCTATGAGAAGTCAAGAAAATTTTAGAGTAGAACAAACATGTGAATTCTAGTTTCAGAAAAAGTCTAGAGGATCCTCAGGCAAGCAGACCATTTTGAGAGAATTATATTCGTGGCTATCTAATGATCTCTAAAGTGGTTTCAGGCCTCTGTGTCATTTTCTTCATAGTCTTCCTATTGCAAAGGAAAAGCATATGTTTACCAAGGAAGCAGTAAGTCTGTGTGTGTAACCTCTGACAAACAGGTGTCAAACCCCAAGGGAATGAGGAGAATGGGCAAAATAATGCCTCTACTAGCACTGTATAATCTTCTAGTCTCAGAGCAGGCTCCTTGCAGCCGTTTGAATACTTACGAGTTTTGCC
Source organism: Homo sapiens (assembly GCF_000001405.40). NCBI lineage: Eukaryota > Metazoa > Chordata > Mammalia > Primates > Hominidae > Homo > Homo sapiens. The sequence goes on along the minus strand of NC_000002.12, from coordinate 225,707,776 downwards.
ACATCTGAGTAGCACTTGAACATCATACCTTATAGTCCTTAAGGTGAAGGTTGGGTTAAGTTGATGCTACCAACTTCAACATTGATATAAATAATTATGTCCATTATATAAGCTCAAAGATAAGTGAGGTTGCCGTCTTTTATTCATGACCATAGCCTGATTACTGATCACCATGGCTGGTATTACAACAAGTATTCAAGAAATATTTATTCAGTGAATGAAATAAAGTAGTTTAATATGTTAACTTTATATTTATGTAAAAAATTCTTAACTATTAAAATTAAAAAGTGTGGATTTTTTTATATTGAAGTGTTATGAGTAACACCTTTCAAGGACCCTTGTGAGAAAATATTGCTAGAGCATTGAGGCACAAGTGCCCAGCGGGATGGGACATTTTAACTTACTACCAAGTCTCTCTCTTTCTTTTTTCCCTTTCCTTAATAAACGTGATATCATATGGTATATTCACAAAGAAAGACAAAAAAATTTAGATTAATGCATTCTTTAAAACCAAATACCTCCAGAAGGCAGCAATAGTTACCCTAAGGAAAATCAACAAGCAGAATCAATTTAAAAGCCAGCTTACTATTTCACCCTAGCAAACTGATTTGTTCTTCATTGAAACCAGCTAGAAGATCGATAAGAAATTATTAAGGACTAAGATTTTAGCAAGCATAAAGTCCTCTACACTGATCTGTAGTACCTATGAAGTTTGTTGTATTGTAGAGAAAAATACTGCTTTTTCAGTGACGAGTATATATACCTAAGTTAGATGGGTCACTTCCATTCAGGCTACATGGAACTGCATAGTGATTAAAATGTCTTTGAGTATCTGTATATGATGAATAGCAAACTAATACAAATTAATTTAAATGAGAGTCTATGTTACATTGGTTTGGTTTTTGATTCAGATAAGCCTGGTTTGAATTTCCACAATCAATTACTATTGTGTATTAGTTTGGGAAAGTTTTCTAAACCTCAGCATCTTTACCCAGAAAATGAACATATTCATAGGGTTGAGGTAAGAATTTGAAAAGATGTCTTAAAAACTTAGTTCAGTGTTTTGCATAAAGTAAGAAATAAATTGTAGCGGTCTTACTATTGTTATTATTAGTCTTACTATTAAAATGAATTATAAACCCATAAGTAGTGACACTTAGGGTATCATTGTATGCATTTTGTGAACTAAAATTATTCCTGATTGGTTTTATCTCATGCTCTAACTTGTGTTTCATTCTCGTTAAAATTCTCACACATTTCTAATGTATGTCACCTTGCTATATTTGCACATTAATTACAATTGCTTTATTTGGATAAAAAGCGGAGTTTAAATAAATATATAGATATAAAACTTCCTAAATAATACTCACATGTATATATAACAATTCTGGTGTATAAAGTGTCACAGGATCTCACCCAATATTTGTTTCATATAATGAGAGAGAAGAGCAGAAAATATAACCTCAAAAGAATATATAAATCAACTAGCATCAAAGCTTTACCAGTATACTGAGTTTTACCTTTTATGCCCAGAACAGTGCTTGGTATACAGGTGGACTTCAGTTAGTATTTGTTGAATAAATACATAAATTAAATAAATGAACATTTTCTAATAGTTTTAAGTGCAGAGCAATTGGCCAGGCACTTTGTAGAATACAAGATTTATAGCAAATAAATGTAGCTTCTCTTTCTGGAACTCACCATGTAAGTAGAGAAGACAAATTCCCAAAGAAATAACTATTATAAGACAGATGGCATTGTAATGAAAACCCGAGCACAATACTGTGTATCAAGGTAGTGGGGGAGGGTGCTTGAAGGGTGTACATTAATTCCAACTGGGGAAAAACATAACACAATCCTAATACTATTATCAACAGTTCAGAGCCCTTGACACTAATTTCTAAGCAATATGTAGAATAATTTTAATATAAGCCTGATCTCATGAAAAATATTGGCCTCCTAAAATGGGAGATGGGTACCAATCACAAGGAGTTGATTTAACCAAAAGCTGGGACTTTTTTTTCACACCACTCTTTACCCTGAAGTACCTGAAAGTCATTTTGATGAGGAGGGTTATGAGGTGGTGCATTCTTGAGTTTGGCCCTGTGGATGAAATGTTATTTCTGGGGGAAATGATGCAATTTCCAATGTATGGGACAGAGTTGATTCTCTAATATAGCTGTCTCAGTACCAACTTCATATTCTAATCCCCTAGGGGGTTCTGAGAAAGAAAGAAGAAAAGAGAAAAAGGTGGAGGAGAAAAAGAAGAAAAAGTTGTCTAGCCCTAACCCCAGACTAATAAAATCATAATCTCTGAGAGAGGGGCCCAGATATTGGCATTAGATAAAAATCTCCCAAGAATGTAATGTGTTGCCATGACTGAAAGCCACATTGGTCTAAGACAATGCATCTCAAACTTTGCTGGGCATAAGAATCACCTGTATGGCTTGCTGAAACAGGATCCATGAGCCTCAGCCCTAAAGTTCTATCTGGCATAAAGGTGAAGGTTTTTCATTCTAACAAGTCCCAAGATAATGCTGTGCTGTTGGTCTCTGAAGTAGGCTCTGAGTGGCAGTGCTCTAGGCAATGGCTACCAAGGCTCCCTAAGTATAGGCAGAGCAGCGAGTTGCCAAAGAGTTGCTGCTCAAAGGGTGATCTATGGACAGGCAGCATCAGCATCTCCTGAGATCTTGCTTCAGATTCCAACTCTCAAACTCTTCTAAATCAGAATCTATATGCCAACAAGATCCTCAGGTGATAAAGCATGTACATTCAAGTTTGAGAAGTACATTCAAGTTTGAGAAGTTTGCTTTAATACTCAAATTTGATTCCATATTGGACTGATCTAGATTTTTTTAAAACTGCCAGCACCTGTGTACTGCTCTAGGCAGCCTTCTGGACATTGGGAGTTTTTAAGAACTAAGTGAGGTTTTTTTTTTTTTTTTTTTTTTTTTTTTTTTTTTTGCACAGCAAGGTTTGAGAGAACCACCACTCTACAAGACATGAGGTGAGATGATATTATGCAAAATTTTCTCTAAAGTTATTTTCTTCCGATCTCCTGGTTTGTTACATTGCCCGACATTCTAATATTCACTCATGCATGTTAGTAAGAATCTTCTCAAATACAAATCACTATAGGATGAACATTGTTTTATCAGTCATTCACATCATTGTGTCAACATAATTTAATTAGAATCTGAGATCACAGAGATGGAAAAAATGATTTGTAATGGCGGTTGGGAGAATGGAAGAAACCAATAATTTCAAATATTGGGGAGCTTTTTTTTTCATGGGCTGAGATGGATGAAAGGTTGGACTGTTGATGGTGGTGGGGTGGTGATAGGTTAGTTTTTGTTCAAACAAAAGGTAGAGTAGCACACTGAGCATTTGAGTAGCTGGAAGGGTGGGACAAAACAGTGATAATAAATTTCTTTCTTTTTATGAAATGAACATGGAAATAATTGGTGAGAAATTATGACGTTATAATTAATTATGTTGAGATTGGATATAAAAGAGAGTATGTAAGCGGTTGATGAAGTAGCCATTAGAAACTATTAGAAGTCTCTACATTATTTTACAGGCATTTTTTGTAAACTGACTGAGCTCCAGAATCTTGTCATATATTTACCATGCTCGATGACATTTTAGATATTGATATCCTAGCAACACTGTACATACTGACTTGCTCCTTATTTAAGCCAGGTTAACTCTAAAAGTATGACTGAATAAATGAATGTGCTAAGTAGCACCCCTCGAATAAATACCTTGTCTACATACACAGGTCTAGGATTGCCAGAATTTTCTCTTTCATGCCACCAGCACACCTTAGATACACTCTGAGTCATTTAACTGGAATTAGGTACATATGGAAGAAAGAGAAGTGTCAATGTTCCTCTTACTTAATGGATCACCTTGAGGGAGAAGCCAAGCAGTGATTAAGGGCAACTGGGGGGTCACAGAACAAATTAGAAAGTCTAGACCCTCAATACTCACCAGCATCAGGCTTCTACAATACATGCAATCTCATGGTCAACTGCAGAAATTGAAAAATGTTGTATTTTTCTTTGAAAAAGTTCTTATTTTGTTTCTTGATAAATAAATACCAGTAACGACAAAGTCAACTAATTTAAACTATTGCTTTTATTATAATTACACGGGAGCACAAATAAATAATCACAAAAAGTATTGTAAAATATTGTCAATGCACTAAAGAAAACAATTTATTTTCAAACAACATCTGGTTACTTTAGTAGTATCAAAGTACATTTATAATTACATGTTACCTAAAAAAATCAAGTACAAAAATTAAGAGACATTAAAACATCAGTGTTTATATTATTATATATATAGAAATGGCTAATAACACATGAGTAGAGAAATCTGTTATCTAATGCTTATTTGCACAAATTTTCAGGCACATACCTGACATTTCTAATGAATTATGAAAAATGCAATATGACATTCAAATTTTTAGATATGGTAAACATGTTATATTGGAATGGATGTTAAATGGTTTTCTTTAAAAACCCTGTCTTTTAAAAATGTAGTGCCGTTATCCACTAAAAAACATATTATTTTTATATCATCTTCTCATAGCTATTTGTTTCAATTGTCTGAAAGAGCAAGAAAGTAAACATACAACTGCTAAATACGTAAACACATTTTTAGTGCAAGATAACAAGACCTGTGACTTTACTGTGCTTTGTTTTTTATAATCACAGTGCACTTTACACAAGTTGCTACACTATAAATGTTAACTTAAGGAGTTCCAATCAAAAGAAGTGCATACTAAACATTTTCATATATATTATATACAGTATGTATACTGTACGTGGGTGTATACATGTGTAAATGTAGATGCTTTTAGGGTGGGCAAACCCAGTTATATTTGGGAACAATTGAACACTTCAAAAGAATTTTCATGTTTGGTTGAGACAAATCCAACAGCATTTCTTTAAAAAAATTCCCCTTAAATTTGAAACTTCATAATATTTAAAGGGAAATATAATAAGACATTTTTTCCATATTACACACATTTTGCTGCAATGTAATTGACCCAAATATCAAAGAGTTTTAAATCATCCAAACCCCAAGTCACAATGTTCAAGTCCAACATGGCAAAATGTGTTACCCTTTTAATGATTTACATAGACAGCAGTACATATTATATATGCACACATCGAGGCTTACACATAAACATATTCTATACTTAGACATTAAGTTTAGTATGTTTAGAATTTTACCTTGACTATACACTTGATCTGAAAAAAAAGAGAATGCCATATGTAAACACAATTGTATATCTTCTTAAAAACAATTGGCTTTATTTTGAAAATATTGATGATTGCATAATTAAGCTCCTTGAAGGATGGGACAACATCTTTTTCAATGTTTAACACCAAGTGCTTTAGAATTTTTAAATGCCTGATACATAAGTTTGCTCAATAATCAACTGTTAAATAACAGATTAGTAAAAAATGGTCCACATTCTACAATTAGCTGTCTATTTTGTATACATGGAAGATGTAGTGACATAATGTTAAATGCTATAGGTACCATTTTTCTTTTATTTCCACTTAAGTTTGGGACACAATGAATTGTGAATTGCTATCTATTCTACTTCTATTTCTTTGCAAGTGTGAATTCCCTCTCATCTCGGATAACTTACTGCTTAAATCGTAGGAATTGTTTCTTAATTTCACATGTGAGTGTAGTTATTTTACAAGCTCTTTTCTACTTGTCTTAACATGGAAGTGATATTAAAATTGCATTTGTACGTGCATTGTGTTGATGTCTTATTTTATTAGTTAAAATAATAACCCAATGGCTTTAGTTTTATTGACGTAGTCACTAGATTTGCTCAAAAGAATCAAACTAAATTCCATGTATAGGCAAGACCTACCAACAAAATGTAGTAATAAAAACATTCTTTTATTCTCTAGAAGCATTCAAAGAAAATTTTGTCACTACTTTGGAAAGTAAAGTTGTATCTAGTTGTCTCCAGACAATTGGCATGTATTTGAATATATAATACTTTAAAACTACAAATTTAAATCTCCGGACGTTTTGTTTTACTTTTCTAATTATTTTACATGGGTGAGTATTAACCTTCATTTACATAAATCCATCACATTTGGCGCCAAGCTTGCTTCAGTAGCATAAACATGGGAGAGATGTGAGCGGTGTTTATGTAATAGACTACTCTTATACCTCAGAGGATGCTGGCTTCTGCGATTGAAATAAATGCAGATTTTTATATTTTCTTTTCATCAATTCTAAAGAAATTTATATCTTCTCTGCTAAGGAGTGTTTCACATATAAAAGCATCTTGTGACATCCAATAAAATTCTGTTTCTATGAAATTTGCTGTGAAAGGACCATTTTTCATAAGTATGAGCTCTTTCAACCTGATAACCAGGCCATGATATGATTTGTTCTTTGGCACTGCTAGAAATATGAGCTTTATCATGGCATAGTGTTCTGGCTATCTGTAGGCTATATTCTGACCAAATTAATATATTGAAGTATCCCAGTTGATTACTTTCAGAGAGTCAGCTTATTTTTCTCTACATACTAATGATCTCCTTTTCTCCATTTAGAGAAACACTACACAAAAAGGAAATTGATCATGGAATGATTATTGCCACAGTGGACAATCGTATAGGCACAGAATAACAGTTCTTGAGTCAAATCTCAGTGAAGCCACTTTTCCAGATCTTTCAGTCACTTTCCACTTAAGTAGAGATTTGCGGAAATAAATGAAAATGGTTGCCTAAGGTCAAATTTTCAAACAAGTTACCGCCTCAGAAAATAATGCATTTGAAAAAGGAGTGCATGAAACCTGGCCCTAGCATAAGTTTGATAGAACAAACAGGAATGGTTTAATCCAACACAGATCATTTTAGTACTTTTGTTTCCTTCTTGACAAATGGCCAACATTAAATAAACTTTCTGCCTAAATCAGAGTGATATGGGAAAGATACGCATCTGAAAAACACACTTGCATCTCCCCACAGAAAGATGTTCCCTAAATATAAATTTTAAGGGAGGGTTAATCATCACCATACTGAGCCTGAATATATACGTAATCATAGACATGCTGAGAATTAGTATCTTGTGTCTGACTGATAGGCTTGAGTATATGTGGTCATAATAACTTAAATCAGGATAACAACTTGGGTCATAAACACATTTTATTTCCATTCTGATTTTATCTAAACACATTTTCATCACCCTTAGATTTGTGCTTCATAGATTATTTGGTTTGAAACATAATCTATAGCTGGTGAAACATGCTGGCGGGTTTTATTTAAGCTACTTAAGATCCCTTCCTAATTTCCTGCATTTGTGATCCCGGTTTTCTACCACCTCAATTATACAAGCAGAACCTGCAACTTCAGTAAGCGTTTTATGTATACAGTTCTCCCACTGAGTATTCGTTCATGTACACACACACTCACACACACACACATGCACGCACGCTCACAGACACACCAACCATACACTGCTCCCACTTACCTTTTTCCTTATTTTTTCAGAATTTGAATTGGACATCAAAATACACATTAATTATAAAACATTAGAAAATCATGTTATAACATTGAAAAGGCTTTTGAAAGAAACTATTACTGATAAAGCATTACTAGGTTTGTAGCAATATAGATTACAAAGATTCTCTAACTCCTGTTATATTTGGTTTTATTGAGCAGCACTGAACTATTGCTGTCAATACCCTTACAAGAAAAACTGCTATAACAATAACTTCAAAAACACATCTTTTCTCTCAGAAATATAATACTAAATTGATTGTTAACAAAGAACCACATACTATCAATTTTAGGAGGCATAAATAGTAATTTAAATATACAAAATATATGCGATAGTTTCTTTTTTATTCATTCGTGGCAATATTTATATTCAACTAACAAGTTCTTCTTAAAAGATATATATGATTTTTTTAACTTAAATTTCACCACTACATAAAATTGAATCCACCCCATCCCTCATCCCCTGCATTTCCTGTCTCTTTCTTGAAACAAAATGAAATGAAACATGATCATAATTCTTTGGTCATGGTGTCATAATCAGTAAGAATGGGTGTGATGATCACATACAGAAGATTATGACCCAGAAATGTGGTGATAACCAGTTTGAAAAAATTAACAAGAAATACATATTTTATTAATAGATCTAAACTTTTAGAAAGATTGGCATTTAGTGTATTAAAATATGTAAACTGGTCTAGTTGAATGTTTATTTCTCATTTTCTTGGGGAAACAAGCATACACATGAAAAGTTACTTAAATATAGTGATTATGGTGGCTACAATGCCACTGGTCCCACTTTCTTGAAAGCAGTCATGCTCTTGAGCTATTAATTCCTTGTTCCTTCCATTGTCACAGTGAACCCTGGTCTCCTCCAATCAGATCAATGATGCAAGGACACATGTCCCTAAAGTCATTTCTGAAGGAAATGTTTTCTGCTGGGATGTCCAATATATCCTAGTAACTTTCTCTGGAGTCTGACTAACCATTGCTTAGTTATTACTAAGTCAGACTAATGGTTAGCCTAACCATTGCCAGAGGATGCTAAAGAGAAATTCTTATAAAGCCAATGTAGCAAAAATATTGTTGTCAATGTAACTTGGACGTCCAAATTAAGCATCACATTTGCATTCATTTCCTGTCAAACCCTTGAAACTTAAAAAGCACAGATGCTCTTAACAAATATGATATTCAACTTCTACGTTACTAGCACCAGATCATATATTACGTGATTGAACATGATTTATAGTTGTGAGCTCTTGTACAGAAACCAAATGTGGGCAAGGGAAAAAAAACATTTTAAATGCAAAAATTAATAATAAAAGGCATCAAGGGATTACATATAAAAGAGATAACAAACCAGTTAATACTGAAATTATATCATATAGTAAACTCTTGATATTTCTGTAATTTATATACGTATAATGTGTATTATTTCAGATGTCACCCATAAACTAGTAAAATATTTACATTTTAATATCTTCTGGATTCAAAATAATCCGGGATAAATAAGTGTGCCTTCATTGCAAGGACATATGCATTTTATCTTGAACTTGCCACGAATAGGCACAGCTTCCCGTGGCATTCCACTCCCACAGAAAAGATATGTAACAGTTCATTATCATATGACCGAGTCGACCTCCCTCTTCATATTAAGAAATGTAGAGCTCACACCATCCTGCACACACTCATATGGCAGTATCCCAGAATACCGTTTGCTGTTTAGAATACGGTGGAGGGCTGTACTTCTTGGCACCTGCATTCTTCTTCCAGCTGGGCAAGATAGGCATGCTATCCTGTTTGCAAAGGCCCTTTTCCGTTTTCTGTCTAGCCTTTATTTCCTTGCACAAGCAACGCTTTTTCTCAATCATCTCAAGCATTGTATGGTCTCCATGAAACCACTGCATGCATGCCACCTAGCAAAAAAGAAAGAGTGAATACAGAAGAAAAAAATGGAATGAAAGCATATTTCTTTTGCACTGTGCTAGTAGTTTCTTAGAACAATGTCAGCTGTTTCTATATCTCTTCTAAAATTCTTTTTAGTTTTGTCTTGTTTTAGACAAGGTCTCACCCTCACCCAGGCTAAGAATACGATGATGCAATCACAGCTCACAGCAGCCTCAACCTCCTGGGCTCAAGTGATCCTCCCACCTCAGTCTCCCCAGTAGTTGGGACTACAAGCATATACCACCATGCCCAGCTAATTTTTTAAAAAAAATTTTGGTAGAGATGAGGTCTCTCTATATTGCCCAGTGTGGTCTCAAACTCATGGGTTCAAGCAATTCTCCCGCCTCAGCCTCCCAAAGTGCTGGGACTACAGATGTGAGCTACTATGCCCAGTCCAAAAACTCTGAAGATAAATTAAGAAATAATTCTTACAAAACAAAAATAAAAGAATGGAAACTATAAACAAATTTTGTACTTAAATTAGTAAACATCGCGATATTTAACAATTTGGGCATGAATATTTTTCAATATGTTCTGAAAGTTCATGATATGAAAATTAAATCTTTTACACTTTTAAGCAATTTTCCAAATATTTACCTGTAACTTTATGTTGGCTCCATTGTCTTATTTGTGCCCATATTTTTAAATTCAATTATTGGAATTACTTTTCAGTGAGGTCTAATATTAATGTGATATGTTTTAAAGATTTGAATGAATGTTTTTTTATTCTTGAAATAATTTTAAACAGGTTTATTTATAAACAGAATGTAGTAGAATATTTTTAATAATTCATCTCATCAAAATGATTTTAAGTGCACACCATATGCTTAGAATGTAAATGCTTAAATATTTCTTCTGCTAAGAAGTTTTTGCTATAGTTTTTGATGCTTCGGCAAATGTCTACATTAGAACCATTGGTCCCTGTAGTCAGACTGACAAGGATTCTAATCAACTTCAAAAATTTAGAAAAATGGATTCATGAGGTCAGTTTGGTTACCAGAAGAAAGCTCGGTGTGGACTATATATTGATACATACATACACATATGTACATATTACTGGACAAGTAACCACTGCTTCCAGGTATATGTGGCACCATGTCTACCAGTAACTGTTCTTTGGAACAGAGCTAGCATGTTGCGTCTGTCACACAAGGGCGGCAATAAAATTGGGCCCATGAGCTCAGCTAGGTTGTGGAAGCTTCCACATAATTGTTTAAACAAATCTACTGTATGACTTGAAGCATTAAAATAGTGCACTTGAAGTCATTGAACTTGCTGTTACAATTTTAGGGTGATAATTAGAGCAAATACTTACATAATGCTTACTCTATAGCAGATTTCATTCTAAGTACTTTGCATAGTTTAATTCATTTATTCCTCATCAAAATGCCCTGAAGTTGTACTATTTATTAACCCATAGTGATGAATAAAATGAGAGTTAAAGTGATTTGGTAACTCTCCCAAAGTTACAGAGCCAACAAATGGCAGAGTCAAGATTTGAACCCAAGAGTTTATGCCCAACACCCATGCTTTTAACAACTACACTATGCTGCCTCTCAATGTATGTATACACAGAACTAGAAAGAACTGTGAACGTGGATTTTAGTACAACACCCTATGCATAGATGAGGAAGTTATATATCTAGTCCAAAACCAGGCAGGTAGGTTTTGGTGTGAACAAAGCTAAATCAAATTCTCACAATTCCTAATCATTTAGGGAAAGGGCAGGTCCTAGACCTAGAAAACATGGATTTAAATCCTGATGTGTCAAATTTCCATTGGTCACTGGGCTTCCTGGCTTCTTTATCTGAATGAGTGAATTGATAAATTTGGTGTGAGGTTTAAATAGGATAATGAAGGTCAATTCATTTTAAAAACAGTAAACCATTGCCCAAGTCTTATTATTCTAACACTGATGAATACCTAGTAGTTTTCCATACCTATGCTCTGCCAGGCATGTTCAAAGAGCTCTGTTTTATATTAAATCCTCCAAGCCACACTGAAAGAATTTATCTACCTGCTGCAATTACAAAACTAAGTCTCAGAAAGTTTAAGAAACTAGGTCATGGTCACAGCTAATAAATGATACAGACCTATATCAAACTCAGGTCTGTCTGACTCCAGAGTTGATATTTTTCTAATTATATTATGCTCCATTACCTGAATTTTACTTATAAATTATAATAATAGTTATTGTTGTATGTATTACTGTTTCCAGATGCTACTCAAAAATACAACTAAATTTGTGGCTTTATGAGTGAATAAAAACTGCTTATGAAATAATTAAATCAAAGTTACTAGCTTGGACTTGGAGCCCAGAAGATGATACTCTCAGATAAATATCTTGCTTGTACCTAATTTGATAGAGAGTTCCTTGAAAAAATGGGCTGTATTTTATGCCTTTTGGTGTCCTCTAATTCCTAGCTCAGGACTGTAGACATGAGCATTCACTTTTTAAATAAAATTTTAGGTGTTTGTTGAGTTAATCTAATGAATAAGTTTGTGTTCCAACAGGAGACTGTCAAAGTGGCTCAGAAATTTTTCAAAAGACTTACAATATTTCATAACATGATAATCTGTGCAATAAAAATGCAGTAACTCTATTTTGGTGAAAATGCAAGAAAAATTTATTGAGTAACTACAAACTGTCATAATGAAATTTATAACACAGAATTCCCAGAGGACAGGCTTCAAATCTCACTCATCTTGGTGGTCCCAACATGTAGAACAGAGTCCTAGGCTTTCAATAGAAGTTTTATGACTTAAATAGAAGCCAACATCATAGAACAGTTTTTGTTGTCTCTCAAAAAAATAAAATAAAATCCAGATAATCTTCTTAGTAAAATACTATGGGTTCTATACATTTCAACATCATTGCAAAACCTCCAAACTTCTTTAAGTCCCAATATTTCTTACAGCATCACTTCTATGATTTTATTTTATTTAGTTGTCTACACAAACATTAAGTCATGTGTTACTTAATTCCCTTTAATATATTTTGGCATAAATTGGTATGTGCAACTGAAAAATAATTTTTCTGGATTCCCTTGACAACAGGGTCACCTATATATTTCACAGTTGCATAACATTTCATATATGTATATACAGTGTACTGTATTATCCATAAAATATGTATTTTGTGTCAAGCAGAAATGCTATAGAGGTGTGTAAATTTATTAAGAATATATTTCTTAAACTCTAAAGAATAGAAGAATAAGAATAAAAATTATAAAGCTTGGAATTTTATTCTTTAGATTTTTATTTTGCATTAAATAGTTATATGTCCACTTGATTGATAGAATGGTCTGAATTGCTAGAAAAAGAAAATAACTTTTTTTTTCAGACTTACTCCATAATATTTAACTCATGTTTTGGAGACATGTGTAGTGAGTAAGAAAATATTGCCCAATATATAAACTTCCATGAAAAAAGCATTGCCCAATACATGAAAGATGGCTAGGTATCAGACAATAATTCAAACTCAGGTTGCTGGAAGATTGTCCATTCAAAATATAAATATATATTTGAAAATATCTCAACAAATATATAGATTCTAGTATATAATCTTCTTATTTTATATCTGCTATCAATTTGTTTCCATTTAAACTCCCCCAAAATATTTCTGTTAAGATGTGATAAATAAACATAGAATATAATTATATTGTGGGAAGATATATCTGCTTCCCACATTTATTTTTAAATAGCACATGTTTGGGTGCATAGTCATTTTAATTCTCAAAATCGAACTCCAATGTTGCTACTGTGGCCATTTCCATCGTTGAGTCCCCCAAAAATATATCTAAATATTATTTTTTGTTGATAGTAAGATGTCATGCTTTCATTCATTGTTTTGGATATAATAAATAGCATGTTTAGCAAGTATGTGAAGTATGTTAAAAATACTACCCATAAAAAATTGCATCGCTTTTCTATTTTCTTTTCTTTTATCACAAAATTCTTCATATTCTTAAAAGAAAAAAAAAAGATGTGTAAAATCCCATTCCACCTCTCCCTGGAATTGAAAGAACTCTGGGAATTGACTATTAAAACGAATTTGAAGCCAAGCCCAGTAAATAAACTCTTCTAGTTTAGTTATTTAATTCAATGGCCTTATTTCTTATCTTTAATCCAAAGGCATTTATTATACTGTTTATCCCATGAAGAAAAGAAAAAATGTATACGTAAGTAGGTAAGTACACATCAAAAGTTAACTGTAGGACAGTTGTTCAATTCATATGAACACACACCTCTAGGACAAGATTTTTATACCAGCATGATTCAGCAGAAGCAACATCCTTGGATAATAAGTCCATGGAAATAAAATCAAGTGAAGCTTCCTGTCTAGGAGGTGAAATTTCAATCTCCACCCCTTTTTTGTGGGCTACACACAGTGACTTCTTCCTAAAAAGTACAGTGTGGAAAGCTAGGAGGAAAGTAACTATACATTGGAGGAACCTGGTGTTATGGTCTGAACGTTTGTGCCCCCTTAAAATTCTTATGTTGGGATCCTGACCTTCGAGGTGATGGTACTAAGAGGTGGGACCTCCTCAAGGTGATTGGGAGGTGCATGGGACTAGTACTCTTATAAAATAATCCCAAGAGAGCTCTTCCACCCCTTCAGCCAGGCTGCCGATACAGCAAGTAGTCAACAGTCTGCAACCAGGAAGAGTGTCTTTACCAGATCATAACCATGCTGTCACCCTGGTCTTGGACTTCTCAGTTTCCAGAACGGTGAAAAATAACTTTTTGTTGTTTATAAGCTACCCAGTGTATAGTATTCTGTTCTGGCACCCCAAACGGACAAGAAACCTGGCAAACATCACCCCCAACAGGCGATCAACCGTAGTAAACTATACTGGCAGTATGTATCCTTGGTATAATGTGATGAGACCAGAGACACTTTTACCTCTGCCATCTTCCTCCTCAAAACCCATAACTCCACTCTAATCATGAGAAACCACTAGAGAAACCCAAATTGAGAGACAGTTTACAAAATACCATACCAGTACTCCTCAAAGCTCCAAAGGTCATCCAAAATAAGGAAAGTCTGAGAAACTGTCACATCCTAGAGAAGGGTAAGGAAACCCAATGACTAAGTGTAATTAATTTACATGCTATCCTGAAAGGGACTCTGGAGCAGGAAAAGAACATTGGATTAAAAACTAAGGGCACTGGAATACAGTATGGATTTAAGCTGATAATGATGTATCAATATTGATTCATTAGTCATGACACATGAACCATGGTAATGTAAGATATTAACAATGGGAGAAACAATGGGTGTGGAATATGTGGGAACCCACTATACACTCTTTGGAACTCGTATGTGAATTAAAAACACTACTTTAAAATTAGAAATATATATGTACACACACATATATGTGTAAATATATGTGTGTGTGTGTGTGTGTGTGTATGTTTAAAGATAAGTGAAGAGACTATATTCTTTTCAAATCTTAATTTTAACTGTATCTTTCATTCTTTAAAAGGAAGCAACATGGTATCATGGAAAGAGCTAAATGACTTGATTGGGATCCTGATCATTGTGTGACATTGAAAAGTCATGAATATCTCTGAATTTCCTAAATACTATATATTGAATGAATATTGGTACATAATTCATACATACATAGTATATAAATTTATATATGCTTCACATATACATTTTATGGATATTGTACTGTGTGTGTGTATATATATATAAAAAATACATGTTGCTACACACGTCACACTTTATGTGGTTGTAGGAGGCAGAGAGCTAAAGCATATAAATGGAGAAATCCCCATATATTGTAACAATCTCATCTAATGATCCTTCAATGCATAAGGAGTGACACAAATGAGAAAGAACCTTTAGTTCACTTCAATAATTACTTTCTCTAGAAAATAAAATTAATTACTTCCTGAGATTAAGAGTATATTTTCTCCAAAGAACAAAGGAATAGCAATGCAGTGCCATAATAAATCTCCATAATATTCAATTTTCCAAAGTAGATAAATCATAAAGAGAAAAGAAAATACTCTGAAATAAGCACTTGGAGTATTTCATTATTGAAAATGATACCAAAATAAAACTGATACAAGCATGCATATCTCTATTGATTTTGATTTTTGTGCCTCATTAGTTAGCATGTGAAAAACAATAATTTATCAAAGGCCTAGGAGACAGAGCACGATGCCAAGCAAGCGCCTTGTTAACCTTGGAATTAATTTCATCTAGGAGTCTTGAGACTTGTCGTGAGAGTAAAATTTAATTTCTTGAACAATAGGCACAGCAATCAATCAATACTAATTTTCAGATGATCTGGGGCAACATTGTCAGTCCTGTGTTGCTGTCTCTGGGCCAACCTCTCCAACCTGCATTGCCGGTTGTGTGAGAAATTGTCATTTCCTGCATAAGGAGTGTAAGTTTAACCTGGCTGAAAAGGAAGCTGGAGTTCTCAAAGTTCTCTGGATTTTCCCTTTAAGGGAAGTTTCTCCAGGAGACCATGGATAGCATTGGTGAGGGAACAAGGAAGAGAAGGCATGAAACCCAGTGTGTGTGACTCAAGAAGGGGAGACAACTTCAGAAATTATGGGAGGCCGCGAGTCACCTGCAACTGTGCTTGTCCTGTCTTTAGGAGTCATGAGGTCGGCCAGGGGTGTTATTGCTCTCATTGAAAATGTTCTTCTTCTCCCATGTAGTGGGCAAAGAGGTTGATTTTTGAATTATAAAAACATACAGGAAAAAGTAAGCACATAAACACCATGGCTTTTTTACATATATCTTCAAGATAATGGATAGGGGTCGGCAAACTACAACCCACTGGCCAAATACAGCCCACTGCCTGTTTTTGTGCTGTCCATGAGTAAGAATTTGTTTTTATATTTTTAAATAGTTAAAAAACTAAAATGAAGTGTATTTCATGACACATGGAAATTACATGAAATTCAAATGGTGGTGTACATAAATCAAGATTTGGGGCACACAGATGTACCTATTTGTTGACGTACTGTCTACAAGGTAGAATCGAGTAGTCAGGATAGAGACTATAGGCTCATAAAGCTGGAAATATTTATAACCTGCCCCTTTACAGGGAAAAAAAAAAGCGCTCACTCCTGAACTATCATGTAAGATGAAAAATAATTAATAAAATTTAACCACTTTGCTATGATGCATAAACTATCTGAAAAACTCAAATAAATAGTATGCTAGACCTGTAAAAAGTGGGAAAATAATTTTAATTAAACATCTAAAAACTTGTTAAATTTCCACTTACCTGCACCTCAGTAAATGGTTTTTGGAAAAAACTACTGTTACCCTAACATCACACTCTTTCCTAAACGTGTTTTCAACTAAGTAAATGATCATTTGACCCTTAAAATAAGTATCTATTAGAATTGTCTGATAGAAGGCAGAAAAAGATAATGTTAGTATTGGTGCTATATAAACAACTATAAAACAAAATCAAGAGTATTGATTCACACGGGCTTACAATATTTTTCCTATTGAGTTTGGCCCATTAGATAAACCAGAAATGATGAAACCTAGATTTGAAATCAGTTATAGAAATTTATTTAGAAAATTTCTCTATTCTAAATATGTCAGTTACATATTTTATAATTCCATCATTAGAAGGAAAAGCCGTATGTTAGAATTAAAGAGAGAAACTGATTTAAATTGTATAGATAAGAGATTTAATATTAGGTCAACTCTTTTTAATAACCCTGCAGAGGTTACTTAGTTGCCTGTGATGTGTTACTGTGGTGACTTAACCTGAAAAATATAAATTTAATTTGAGAACTTTCCCCCTAGTTTTAGTGAATTTATTTCAACTATATTTTGGAAAGTATGGGTCAACTTTACATAATTTGGACAACAACATAGCCCTCAATAAATCTTTTGAAATTGATATAACGTAGAGCTGGAAGGATTATAATTTTCTGCACTTGTCAGCATATTCAGTAATAAAATTGCTTCCTTAGTTATCAAATCACAAGTCTTTCAAATGATCATCACAGAGAAAAAAAATATTTTTAATGAGCATATTTGACCCATGTATCTGTTATAAAATAATTGATATGTTGGAAACATATAGAGGCAACACTACTCCTCAGAATATTTTACACTAAATGTTTAAAAAGGAACAGTCAGATAATTCATGTGGGTTTACAATTAATTATAGACACCATTTGTGCCACTTTAAAAGTATAAATTCAAGGCTAGGAACATGACTCTGCACTATAATTTTCTTCCTTTTTATGAAGGCCGAATGAAGCTATTTGAACAGGTAATCTAAGTGGGCAATACCAAAATAGTAGGGGCTTTTCAATTCCATTGGCCGGAATTTGATTTTAGGCTTTCAATCTCACTTTGATGACATTGTATAAGTTACTTATCTGGCTTTCTTGAATAACATGACAATTAGGGATTATATATAAAATGTACCTAACTTTCAGACTTTGATATTATTTGAAATAATATGCACCTCTGTCATATCTTTAGGTTTTTCCATAGTCCTTCTCCTGTATTTTTTTCCATCTTTAACTCTAATCTACTGATCATGTATTTCTTTAATTGTCCCCTTATAATTCTCCCTCATTTATCAGCACTGTTGACTCAGAACACATGTTTTATGAAAAATTATTAGGCAAGTCTACACCTGAAGCATGTACTGGAATTGCAGTATTTATTTCCCATGTCTAAATTTAGTTTTGAGATATAGACATATTGAAAAAATGTGAACCATGTCTTGATTTCAGAGTTGCTTTTGAATGCAAAATCATGAGTACACATTAACTCCTGCTCTTCTTTTTCTAGATCTAAAAATCACCTGTGATGTACAGTCTCTGATCAATTGCTAGGTACATAATAACAAACATCACATGTTGATATTTTAAGTTATATATACTATTTATTTTTATGTATCTGGGCTTGCTTACCTTACCAATTACATAAAAGTCACTCATCAAGAAGATTTAAAAGTTATAAATGAATAAGACAGTTACGTGATTATAAAGAAAAATCATTTCAAATTAACATCTATTGCTCATTTTCTCTGCCTGTAAAATGAGGAAAACACCTAATGCTTCAATCTATAGTGATGTCCTTTAAGCAAGACCCATGTCACAAATTACTTTCAGGGATGAAGGCTGGTTTCAACTACCATGCTGAACAGTGACAATTAATAGCTTATTTCAAGCTCCTAATAGAATGCACATCCCTTTTAAAATATGTATGTGTGTGTTTGATGTTCAATTTTCAAGCTGGGCGCAGTGGCTCACACCTGTAATCCCAGCACTTTGGGAGGCTGAGGCAGCAGATCACTTGAGGTCAGGAGTTCCAGACCAGCCTGGCCAACTTGGCAAAACCCCATCTCTGCTAAAAATACAAAAATTAGCCAGGCACGGTGGTGTACACCTGTAATCCCGGCTACTCGGGAGGCTGAGGCAGGAGAATCGCTTAAGCCCAGGAGGCAGAGGTTGCAATGAGCCAAGATCGTGCCACTGCACTCCACCCTGGGTGTCAGAGCAAGACTCCATCTCAAAAATAGACAGACAAAAAAAAGTTGATTTTCTATTTTCTGAGGAGACAGTATAAGATGAATAAAATGGATAAGATGATGTGGTTTTTATCACTTATTATATGTGAGATCAGAACAAGTTACCTAACCTTTCCTTTTTTTAACCTGTAAAATGAAAATAATAAAATAGGTTTCTTGAGAAGATTAAATGTCCTAATTTGGTATCTACTGAAAAGTGGACACTTCTAAAAATATAAGCTTTTCTACCCCAGTAGACAATGAACTCTTTAAAGACAGGGACTCCATTATTAATCTTCATATTCTTAGCTTTTAACACAGTAAAATTATGCAATAAATGTTCATAAAAAATGAATGAATAAACAAATGGATCACACTAAGTGTAACATTTTCTGAGTATTTTCAGGAAAGGTGCTTTTGAAATCCTTGATTTCATGAATGAGTTCATTCCACTTTGGCTCAACTGAATCCAACAATACCTCAAATTGTACAAAGTTAACAAAAATATTGCCTGGGCTTTATAAACCCCAGGAGGCATCTAACCTGAAACTCAGTCCTCAATGCCATGTGAGTCACACCTGGGTGTTCAATGACTGAGAACGTCTCTTTTTCAAACTCTGGACATCAATCCTTGGCCCTTTGGCTGAAGTTGAGACACAAATCAATGCTCCCTAAGCCTTAGTATGCATTCAACCAAGGAAGTATGCAACTCCCTTGGGAGTTTATTAAAATGCAAATTCTTAGGCACCAATGTCAGAGAATCTGACTTTAATTCTAGATAAGGTGGGTCTTAAGCAGTTATAGTTTTATTAGGCTTCCTAGTGATTTTGATGGATGATAGGCTGAGCACCACATTTTGAGAGATACCCAAATTCTAGTTAATGATAAGAGGTTATACTAACTCAAGAGGGCGCAGAAACGTTCTCTCAAGATCTGACCTTTCCCGTTCTCTGTCCATACGTACTGGGTACAACATGCAAGTAAAGAATCAATTGAGATTTTGAGAGAAGTCAGACAGATTTTTGTCTTAGCAAATTATTTCAAGTACAGTCTATCCATTTTGCATATATTTATAAATGTATCCATGTATCTCTATGCATATTTACACATATGTGCATATATTATATATTTATGATTAAATCACTGAATCATTTTAAGGTCTCTTAGTTAACATATTACTTAAGAAATAAAATTGCAAAAGTGTCTTAAAGAATATATGTGTCAATAATGTCATTCAAGAAAAAGTGGTGGCCTAAAGTTAATAAGGTGCCATATATTGAGATTTTTGATTGATCTAAAGGAATTATCCCAAAACATTCTTCAGTGACATCATAAAAGTTCTAAGATAAATTGGCAAGTTATATGCACCTTCTATCTTGTGACTTTGGAGAGAAGGATTGTCACAATCTATAAAATAAACATAGCAGTATCAACAATGTAATAATACCAACAACCATGATTTATTGCACATAACCATGTTCCAGGCACTCTATGAGCCCTGGACATATCTCAATTCCCTTAAAGCTTAATAACTCTTAAGCATGCCCTATTGATATATTTCAGATAATAAAATGAAGCTTGAAGAGATTAAGTTACACGTATAGCATCACATGCCTAATAGAAGACAGAATTAGAATTGCAATTCAAGACTAAATATATCACATGCTAAATAAAAACTGCACTCAGTATTATAGCAGATTGCTTCACAGCTAATTATGAGTAAAGTAGTTCTTATTAGAAACACATACACACAAGCACAATTACTTCCCTTCATATAGCCCATGACATGGGAAGTGCACTTGATCAAACAAAGGCTGTTAAGTTTGCTGCTGGAAGATAAGAGGACTTATAAACTGTTAATCAAAACTTTGATGGATAAATGAAAATTTGACCTTTCTATTTGTCATTGTTGTCATCACTACCATTGTCTTCGTCTTCATTATTATCAAGATCCTAGGCACAATAACCACAGTGTTTCCACACAGTGGGCAAGGCACTGTGTAATCACTATGTCTGCTCCATCTTATCTCACCTCCAAATAGCTTACTCACTGGTAGAACCTCCATATACTTGTGTACTGAAAATACATTGCCCACTATGGGTACAGCATCAAAAGAAGTCCCTCTAAAGGTAAATTTTTAAAATTTTATTTCATCAGCCACACTGCAGATCATTTCAGTAAACCCTGTTTTCCTCAGTTTCATGGTAGCAGACAAATATAGTACAGTAATCCTTACATACATATTTATGCTTCTGTAAGTATATTCACAAGTATGTTAGTGTCTCTTGAGTTACATGAAAGTGTTAGCTGATACACTGAATTGCATTAGGAGAAAAAGCCAGGGAGAAAGTCTTCACCCGTGAAAAAGGCCAGGAATGGTTTTCTTCCCTCCATGAAATAAGATGCTAATTGCATGAAACCATCATTTTACAAACTCTTGCTGCAGCGAAATTTTAGAGAATGAAATTTCAAAATCTAGAAAATACATCACATTTGCATATTACAAGATGACAACTAATACAAAATCAGAATAGAATGTTAACTTTGTATCTCTTAGGAGCAAATGCAAAGAGCAAATTGGAAATGTATATGATTTAGCACATGTTCTCTGCTGAAAGACTATAACCAGACATACAATGAAAACCTACCCATCCAACAGCACACCATCTATCGAGGTGTGAGTGACATGGTATTTCTTCTTTATGCATGTATACAGAGCATACATACAGGTGTAATAAGTAAATTATTACGGGTAAAACTACAAGAAAATAAAATGACAGAAAAAAATCATAATATTGCATGAAAAAGACTTGATTTGTAACTTAATTCTTGTGTGTCTGAAATTGGCTAAAAGTTTTGTTCCATTGAAATTTGTATAAAGTTGTGAAGAATATCTAAAATAAGCATAAGTGACATGTGATGCAACATACTTATATATCACATCGTAAGAGGCTTTTCAGAAGAAAATTGATTCACACTAAAATATATTTTAAAAACTATGTTTGTGTCCACATACAGAACCATGGTATAATCTTTAAAAAGCAATATATGATTCTTGATTTGACTTTTGACTATTTTATGATTATAAAGTATTTGGCCTTGGAGATTAAAAATGACTATAGAAAAAAATGTGACATATTATTTTCCAATAAAGAAGACAGAACTTATTTCTCAGTAATTCAACCTAGTAATGACTACAACTACAGTTGCAGCTATTAATTGATTAAGCTAATTGTTTGTTATAAAGAAAAAATCCTCTGAGCAGATTCCTGAGTTAATTTATGTGTTTTTAAATGAGCAAGAATTCTGTAAATAGAAGGCCTTCTAAAGAGATATTCCCTGAAGGAACAAGCAGTATTACAAGATAAAATTCAATTATAAAAAAGGTATTGATATCTTTCACTAAGTATATTATCTTAATCATTTATATTAGCATTAATACAATTTCAAGTTTAATTTCATTATAAAATATTGGTTTTTAATAGTATATATGGGCTTGACCACAGATAAATGAGGGAGAGCCACTTCTCAGTAAACATGTGGTTTATCCAGCAAAAGAAAAGGAAGCTCATAGGCAAGGAAAACATACTAATACTCAAGAACAGACTTAAATTATAATTGTTTAAACAGCTAAAAAACATTTTTAGTTTTATAACTTTGAATTGAACTGGGGAAGTACCTGTAAAATATGTTTTTTCTTCACTAGAATGCATTTCCCAAAATGAGCCTAAGTACATTATAAAAGGAGAAACATGCTGGCAATTCCAATAATTCTGTTCTGGAGCCAGTTATTTTGCTAGCTCTGGGCAAGTCATGTCACTTATCTTGGCCTCAGGTTAGAACAGACCAGTGGGTCCAAACTGTGGAACATATCACACCCACAGTTGTGTTTTGTATAAAATGCAGCATATTTGGTTGGCTGTGGTGGCTCATGCCTATAATCCCAGCACTTTGGGAGGCCGAGGGGGGCAGATCACCTGAGGCCGGGAGTTCGAGACCAGCCTCACCAACATAGTGAAACCCCATCTTTACAAAAAGTACAAAAATTATCTGGGCATGATGGCAGGTGCCTGTAATCCAGCTACTCTGGAGGCTGAGGCAGCAGAATCGCTTGAACCCAGGAGACGGAGGTTGCAATGAGCTGAGATCATGCCACTGCACTCCAGCCTGAGTGACAGTGAGACTCTGTCTCAAAAAAAAAACAAAAAAACTATATTTAAGATTTTTGAACCAAGGTGGAAAAAACAAATCAGGAGATTACATAGTAAGAGAGAAGAGAAAGGTGAGAGCTGGGGGTGGGGAGAAAAGGTAAGGCTGACAGAGCCTGAATTTTGGCTTCTCTAAAAAAAAAAAAAAAGAGAGAGAGAAAGAAACATAGCAACAATGAACTGCAGCAGAGATTTCTCTGCCCTTTTCAAGTGGGCTTGCCTTTCCAGTTCAACCTAATCCCAATTGTGATCTCCACACAGAAGCAAAGTGCCGGTTGCCATTTTTCATCTCACTGGTAATAAAACTTTTCATAGAGCAGAAAAAAATATTTGCCATACTTGATTCTATCAAAATGAGGAAGTACTGATTTCCATTCTCTCCTCGGCAGCAGCCACAGGTATTGGAGTTTGTGTCTCTCTGACCAGACCATCTAAATAAAATCTCCTTTTAATCTGTGACTCCAAGTCTGAGTCACATTGACCTAAAGCCTGACCCTTTTCCTCCAAAATCCAAACCAACACTTACTCCCCAAGTAATCAAAATAACACTTGTAATTTTGCCCATAAATTGACTAGACTTCTCTCATAATTGGACTTCCTCAAAAGAGATTGATCATTTTGCCTTTTAACCAAATTTGTCCAAATATGTATGAGGTCAGTATGAAAAGGCAGAAAAAAAAATGAACGTCCCTTATGAGAAACCCAAAATCAGCATAGGAGCAAGCCGTTTACTTCCAGTTCGTGACCTACCAAGCCAAGAGTTCAAAAGATAGCCCCCTTCCTTGCTGCTTTTATATTTTCCATCTTGCTCTCTTTTATGGCTTCTCTCCTGCTTCTCATGCTGTTTACCCATTGCCAAAAAAGACACCTTTCCCTTTGGAGCACCTAAAAATGAGGTGGCATGGCCCATCTATCTACCTGTTGTCTAAAAGAGACATGTATGTAGAAGGAACCTACCCAGGGATTCCATTGGTGTCTCAACTAAAAGTCTCAAAATGTAATTTCCAAAATTTGCTGTTAACTTACTTCTCATTAAGATAATATGATGTCATTTGCTCAAGTCAAAATAACTGGAAAGAATTTTTTATTAAATGCTGATTAAGGTTTTTAGCATTGAGGATGCCAGCTAGCTTAAAAATATCTTCTCTAAATCAATACTCACGAGGCTTCTATAGTTGTGACAAACACACACTGTAAGCCTGAAGGTGATCGAAGTTATTACCCAGAAAATGGCTCTCCCCTCTCAGGCTCTCTCAGCACCAAGCTTTCAAGGGATATTGCCTGTGGGTCATGGCATTATTCTCATCTATAGATAGGGACCAGCTTAGGCTCAGAAATAGAATAGTAAAGTGCCACCAAAAAGTTTTTGCTGAAAATTATTTCAGGCTTGTCCCTACGCCTCTTCCATATGATATCATCCCAGTTCACAAGCCACGATAGCATTTGCCACCATGATATCTTTCAGTTGTATGCTCCAAAGAATGCAAAGAGTCAACAGAGGAATAATACTGGGAAGAGTAGTAGGAAGAACAGAATGGGGGGGGGAAATGACTATTACTACCCTAGTTTTCTTCCTAGTGAAACTGCTTTCCTCATGTCATTTATCTGCCTAGAAATGTCAATGGCTTCCATTGTCAAGAGTATTAAGTCTACATAACTTCATCTGTAATGGAAACATATGGAACTTAGAGCTACATCTGCCTTTATGATCTCATTGCCTACAATTCTCTCATAAGAACTCTGGGCTCTCTCAGCTTATGGCACCCATCCTATTTCTGATTCAAATTGAAAGATGATTTTTTTCTTATTCAAGACTCCTAGGTCTCATTCCAAAGATGAAGCATGCCTGCTACTTTTGAAAATATGAGGAATTCTTTTGATAGCTGTTTGTACCCAGTTTCTAAGAGCCTGAAGAAATGACAACACAACTTCACAAAGCCATGCTTTCATAAAAACCGTAATGACAAGTCTCCTTTCCTCCTCCACCTCCAGTTCTTAGACTAAGATCCATTAGCCACTCAGAAATAAAATACAAGTAAGGGAAAAAATTAAAATCAAGACAATGGAGAAGCAGGAGGCTATGAGTGTTTTCTAATAGTTTGTAGCTACTGGAAGTGTTCAATTGGAGTTGAAGTGGCCAAAAAATTATAACACTCTCCTACTTTCATATCTTCTTCCTCATTTTAACAGCTTTTACTCATGGCTTTTCACACTTACTGAAATAAAGAGAATTCTAAATGCATTGGCTACACTGTGGTAAAATAATTCACTAAAGACCTTATAATGTGTCACAGCTATGCTTTGACCATAGTGGGAGATAATAAAGACCCTATATTTTGTAACAATTCTTATTTTTCTTGGAATATCTTCTTCAAGACCAGTATATGATGAACTTTCTCTAATGATACCAATGTAAATGCTTTTCTCAGTTGGCTACAGAAGGCATGTTCAAGCTCAAGATCATGCTCACAATGATTGGATGGTTTGGCTCTTTCAATAAGTGTCAAAGTACAATAAGGACTAGATAGTATTTCTCTGTAGTAATAATAATTGAAATGCTAAAAACAATACAAACAATGGCTAACATATAGTGAGCACAAGCAATCTGCCGGGGGTCTTCCAAATGTCTTATATATGCTAACCTATTTACTCCTCATACTCACACCAGCCTTATAAGGTTGACATTATGATGCTCACTTTATAGATGAAGAACTGAGGCTCTGTGAATAAGAAACATGCCCAAAGGGACTGAGCAAATAAGTGGATAGAACTGGAATCTGAACTCAAGTGAACTAACTCCAAAACCACCACTTTTAAGTCTTGTAGAATGTGGCTCTGCAATTGAGGTTGTGCATAAATGCAGTGAGATTATGGGTATTTTATATTATGTATCTACCACCATTCCTGGAAAATAGCATGTGACCAAAAGTGCTCATTTTCTTTTTCTTATTCTTCCACAGATTGAATAACTGAGGCTTGATAGAGTTACATCACTTGTCCAAAGAGATAATGCCAGTGAATGGAATAGCCAGATCGAATTCCAGAATCCGTAAAGCTCCACTGCTTCTCTCTGAATGTAATAACCCATCCACAAGCCCTAAGATATTAGACACATCAGTGATCACTCCATCTGCTTTTGGCCCATTGCTGTTGTCAGGATTTATGCATTTATGTCTGCAATAATTATTTATTGAGGACCTTCTCTCTTGCAATTGCATATGGCCTTATAACTGAATTCTGACTTTATGTCTCTCTTAGGATAGACAGATAAAAATTTTTCATATGTGATCTTCTTTCTGTCCCCTACCTCTCAGCTATGAGCCTGAAACAGCAGATTCAGTAGAACAGAGTTTCTCAGGAATGGCAGAGCCACAAGTTGGGAGGAGCCCAGCTCTGTCCAACAACCTGGAACATCCATCAACCAGGAAAACTGTTGCACTTTATGTGATTAAGAAACATTTTTTAAGGAAAAAAGCAGTAAATTTTTGGGTTATATTTGTTGCAATAGCTGTGTTACTTTCCTAATGCACAATCACAAATGTAAAATGCCACACACAGAGTGTGAGGAAATATATTGCTATTGGACTACTTGTAGTCTATTTAATTTTTTTATATAGCTATAGCCAGATCTGGGGTGAAATGGTTTAGAATAATAATTTCCAATAGTATACATCATACCTTTAAAAAGACTTTTATGGATGGATAAATATCTAATTATGGAACTGCCCTGCAACGTAAGTGGTGAGAGAAACTCTTTATATATGCTTTGTTTTTTTCTGAATGCATAGGTTCAGAATTATTAAACAAATCCTCATCTTTTGACAGCCAGTAATCAATTTCTCATTTGCAGGGAATCTAATTGCATTAGAGGGGACACTGGGGAAGTTATGGACTACCTCATCTTTCTACTATAAAAAATGAAACTACTTGTCTGTATTGAATTTGATTTTATATGTTCAATGAAATATATCATATCCTTATAATAAAGTTATATAAGTTGCAATGACTATCTTTACAAGGTTTTCTTATCAGAACATTCCTTAATTATTTTAAAAAAGAATTTCTTGAGAAAACTGAACACTAGAACTCTAGAAAAATGCAAATTATTGCCTGTAGAATAATGCAGGGAGCAGTGCCATACTTGGCATTCATAATTGGACAGAATCTACTCTATAAGATTGCAACCCCTTTCTATGTGTAAGCAGAATCAACTACATACTCTTAGGCTTTATTGGTATCCTCTTATAAGAAAACTGAGAGCTTTTCCTATACTTCTAAACTTAAGAAACACATTACATTCTGCCAGAGATATCCTTGCTTAGCAAGGGAGAGACTTCTTTGTGCAATTTTCTTAAAAACATTTAATGACTTCTGCTGACGTTTTGACTTGATGCCTTGGAGCAAGTGAGTAGCTAAACTGAAGAATCCAAGCTCTCATTGATTGTGTGCAAGAAATATGCAACAAGGGAAAGTGTGAAGAGGGAAACTGAACAGTCATAGTATGTTAAACCCGGTGCTATCTATCTCATAGATTATCTCATCTAATCTTATATGTTCATGTAACAGTATCTACCAAAATATTTATGACTATATATTACAAGTGAGGAAACTGAAACTCTCAAGAGCTGGGTGGTAAAGGGCAGAAAGTTTTAGGCCAGTGCTGATTGATTCTAAGGGTTGTCATCTTTCTACATGCAAATACATTATTTCAAATTAGAATAAAGATAAAAGTCAAAAATAAAATAGATTAAAAAATTAAATCAGGCCGGGCACAGTGGCTCACACCTGTAATCTCAGCACTTTGGGAGGCCGAGGCAGGCAGATCACAAGGTCAGGAGATCAAGACCATCCTGGGCAACATGGTGAAACCCTGTCTCTACTGAAAATACAAAAATTAGCTGGGCATGGTGGTGCATGCCTGTAGTCTCAGCAACTACAGAGGCTGAGGCAGGAGAATAGCTTGAACCAGGGAGTTGGAGGCTGCAGTGAGCTGAGATCACACCACTATACTGCAGCCTGGGAAACAGAGTGAGACTGTCTCAAAAAAAAAAAAAAAAAAAAACAATTAGAAGCTCCACTCTTAAAATGAGAATGTATTACCAACATGTTTGCAATATTTAAATGTTGTTTGAAATTCTGTTGGGTGGTGAATAGAATTACTTCAATTAAATATAACTATCATGTGCATTAATGAACATTGTAGGTAATATTGTTGCAAATACCAAGATGCTCTCTGCACCATATATAATTAATGCAAAACATCTCAGTGGTTAGTTTTAATTTTGTTCTAGGACCATGACTTCAAATTATACAGTGTTATTAATATTTTCTTTTCTACCTTTTTTTTCTCAAATAAAGTACTTGCTTTTATAAGGCATTCCTCAAAAGTGAGAACATGATTCCAAAAGCAATTGTTATTGTGTCCATACTTATTAAGCTACATTTTCCCCTGAACAACACTTGCCAAGTTTCTTATACAATATACTTAATCTCTCTTTCTTAGCTGGGATAAGAATAAAATAATGTATTCATTGTCCTTTGAGGATTGAACAATGATAAGAAAACCAATGATGTCATCAATCTACTTTATCATAAATTACCATTATCCTCTATTCTTTAGGACTCTAATTACAGCTCATCTTAATTACCTCTATTTTTCAGATAAGGCACCTGAGTCAGAAAGGTTAAATAATTTGTCCATGAAACTCAGCAAGGGGATAATTGAGCCAGGGTTAAACCCAGAAATTCCATATGTCTGCACATTTACATCCATTCTCACTGCTTCATGGGCAATGCATTTCATAAGTTAGTATTTCAGTTGAAATACCTCTTGGCCCCTCAACCTTGTATCTGATACCTTATCATGCAATTCAAGTATATGTAACGTCCAAGAAAGAAACGAAAAGTCTTTTTATTTTTACTCTCTTTAATAAAATGCAGCATATTGAAGAAAAGATTGACTTCTTCCAATAAGATTTTAGAAAAAGGACTGAAAGAACTTTATCTTCAAAGATACTGCTATTAATTGGTTCTAAGTTTTGAGAAGAGTAAGGGATGCAATGAGAGGAACTAGAAAAAGATCAATCCAACCACACAGCTGGCAGAATTAAATACATAAATAAATAAAATCTGAGAAGGACTCAATGAAATTGAGACCCAAAAGTTCATACAAAAGATCAATGAAACAAAGTTAGTTCTTCAAAAGAATAAATAAATTGATAGATCATTAGCTAGATGAACAAAGGGGATAAAAAGAGAAGATTCAAATAAACGCAATCAGAAATGACAAACATGACCTTACAACCGCTCCCACAGAAATACAAAAGATCCTCAGAGACTATTCTGAGCACCTCTGTGTAAAAGTTAGAAAATCTAGACAAAATTGATAAATTCCTGAAAACACACAGCCTCCAAAGATTCAATCAGGAAGAAAGTGAAAACCTGAATAGACCAATAAGAAGTTTGGAAATAGAATCAATAATTAAAAAAACAACCAACCAAAAAAGAGACCTGGACCAGATGGACTCATAGGTAGATTCTATCATATGCACAAAGAAGAACTGACATCATTCCTGCTGAAACTTTTCCAAAAATTCAAGGAGGAGGAGTTTCTCCCTAACTCATTCTAAAAAGTCAGCCTCATCCTGATACCAAAATCTGGCAGAGACACAATGAAAAAAGTAAATTTCATGCCAATATCCCTGATGATCATAGACACAAAGAACCGCTACAAAATACTAACAATCCAAATCCAGCAGCACCTCAAAAAATTAATTTAAGATGATCAAGAAGATTTTATTTCTGGGATGCAATGTTGGATCAACATATGCAAATCAATAAATATGATTCACCACACAAACAGAATCAGAAACAAAAACCATATGCTCATCTCAATAGATGCAGAGAAAGACTTCAATAAAATCCAATATCCCTTCATGATAAAAAAAAATCCTCAACAGATTAAGCATTGCAGGAACATACTTCAAAATAATAAGACCCATCTAGGACAAACCTGCAGTCAACATCATGCCAAATGGGCAGAAGCTGGAACCACTCCCCTTGAGGACTGGAAGCAGAACAGGATGCCCACTCTCACCACTCTATTCAACACAGTACTGGAAGTCCTAGCCAGGGTAAATCAGAAAAGAGCAATAAATAAAACACATCCAAACAGGAAAAGAAGTAAAACTATTCTCTCTTTGCCAAAGATATGATTCTATGCATAGGAAACCCTGAAGACTCCACCGAAAAGCTCCTGGAACTGATAAATAACTTTAGGAAAGTTTCAGGATACAAAATCAATGTGCAAAAACGAGTAGCATTTTTATACACCAATAATATTCTAGCTTAGAACCAAGTCAAGAACATAATCCCATTTATAATAGCCACAAATAAAATGAAAAACATAGAAATCCATCTAACCAAGAAGGTGAAAGATCTCTACAAGGAAAACTACAAAACACTGCTCAAAAAAATCAGAGACTCTCTAACACAAATAAATAGAAAATTATTCCATGCTCATGGGTTGGAAGAATCTGTATAGTTAAAATGGCCATACTGCCTAAGGCAACTTACACATTCAATACTATCCCTATCAAAATGCCAATATCATTTGTCACAGAATTATAAAAATCTATTCTAAAATTCATTTGGAACCAAAAAGCCCAAATAGTCAAAGCAATTCTAACCAAAAAGAATAACGCTAGAGGTATCACATTGCCTGACTTCAAACTATACTATAAGGCTACAGTAATTAAAACAGCATAGTACTTGATATAGTTTGGCTCTGTGTCCCCAACAAAATCTTATCTTGTGGCTCCCATAATTTCCACATGTTGTGAGAGGGATCTGGTGGGAGATGACTGAATCACAGGGGTAGGCCTTTCCTGTGCTGTTCTCGTGATAGTGAATGGGTCTCACAAGATCTTATGGTTTTTAAAATAGAAGTTGCTCTGTACAAGCTCTCTCTTTGCTTGCTGCCATCCATGTAAGATGAACTTGCTCCTCCTTGCCTTTCACCATGATTGTGAGGCCTCCCCAGCCATGTGGAACTGTAAGTCCCATTAAACCTCTTTCTTTTGTAAACTGCCCAGTCTACAACCATATAATCTTCAATAAAATTAACAAAAATAGGCAATGGAGAAAGGATTCCCTATTCAATAAATGGTGCTGGAAGAATTGGCTAGCCATATGCAGAAGAATGAAACTAGACCCGTACCTCTCACCATATGTGAAAATTAATTAAAGATGAATTAAAGATGTAAATGTCTGACCTCAGAATATAAAAATCCTAGAAAAAAAACAGGAAATACCCTTCTCAACCTAGGTTTTGTGAAAGAATTTATGGCTAAGTCCCCAAAAGCAATTACAACAAAATCAAAAATTGATGTGGGGCCTAGTTAAACTAAGAGCTTCTGCAGAGCAAAACAAATTACCAATAGAGTAAACATACAGCATATAGAATGAGAGGAATTATTCATAAACTGTGCCTCTGATAAAGGTCTAATATCCAGAATCTACAAGGAACTTAAATCAACAAGCGAAAAACAAAAACAAAAGCAAAAAATCCCAGTGAAAAATAAGCAAAGGACACGAATAGACATTTCTCAAAAGAAGGCACACAAGTGGCCAACAAACATATACAAAAATGTTTAAGATCGCTAATCATCAGAGAAATGCAAGTCAAAACCATGATGAGTTACCATCTCACATCAATTGGAATGGTGACTATTAAAAAATCACAAAACTACAGATGTTGTCAAGGGAGCAGAGAAAAGAGAATGCTTATACATGGTTGGTGGGAATAAAAACTAGTTCAGCCACTGTGGAAATCAGTTTGGAGATTTCTCAAAGAACTTATAATAGGAGTACCAACTGAGCTAATAATCCCACTACTGGGTGTATACCCACAGGAAAACAATTCATTCTATCAGACACATGCACGATATGTTCATTGGAGCACTGTTCACAATAGCAAGGAAGTGGAATCAACCTAAGTGCCCATAAACAGTGGATTTGATTTTTTAAAAAATGTGGTACAAATACACCATGGAATACTAGGAAGCCATAAAAAAGAACAAAATTATGTCCTTTGCAGCAATATGGATGATGCTGGAGGCCATTATCCTAGGCAAGCTATTGCAATACTAGCAAGTCAAATATTGCATGTTCTCACTTATAAGTCGGAGCTAAACAGTGACTACACATGAATGTATAGATGGGAACAATAGACACTAGGGATCACTAGACGGGGAAGGGAGGGAGGTGGGGGTGTGAGCTGAAGAAATGCCCATTGGGTACTATGCTTACTGCCTTGGTGATGGGATCATTGGGACCTCAAGCCTCGGCATCGGCAATTTACCCATGTAACAAACCTGGACATGTATACTTTAAACTATAATAAAAGTTGAAATTTTTAAAAAGTTCGATGGAAATTCTTTTACCACTAATAAACAATAAATTGTGAAAAAATCACTAATATGACATATGTGGCTTGTAAAAAAATTTCTAGTTAAATAATTTGAGAAGGTAATAATGGATAATCACTCACTTTACTATAGATATTAAGAATTTCATCCTTTCTTTCCTGTTAACACATAAGACTGGGGGCTTGCCCTCACTTTGCTGACACACAGTCTACTCTAAAATCAGTATGTTACTGGAAATATAACATTCAAAATACACCCCCTTTTCAAATTCCCTGAATACTGATGACCTCATGCCTTTGGCAAAGATCGACAGATCTCCCAACACTCCTATTGTGACCAAATTTAACCTCCTGTTCCCTCAACATACTGCCTCCAGGAGAATCTACAAATAGATGAGGTTCAAGATATGTGATAAAACATATATTCCACTTTTGACAAATATCGAGGGGCTTCCTGGTCTCCAGGAAAGGAGAAAAATCAACAGACTAATGACATGTCGGGGGTCATGGTCATAGGATGGTGATTCTGGATTGAGGGCAGTTTTCCTGCACCCTCTGCTGATTCACTTTGCATGTGTCTAGCTTCTCCGCTAATCACTGTAGCACCTTAACACACTTCTGCCCCTCACATACTCACAAGTCAAAGTCCCAGCGGGCAAATATAAACACAAAGATTCCTTGTCAATTTTTCCAAACACACTAACCCTTCCTACAGCCACAGCAAAGCTTCTAGATAAAGGGATGTTAAACTCTTCTGAGGGGGACTAATAAACCCTCAGCTATTTTGAAATTAATTTCACTTGCAAACACCAGAAAACATAGCCCTTCTTTGTACAGCATGTCAGAACACATTTTTAACCCCCAACTCCAAATACCACAACCTAATATACAATCAAAGCCCCAACTCTCTACAAGTTACATTATCTTCAAGTCCCCAGTCTCCTCATCAAAGTCTTGTCAGAAGAAATGAAAGTTTTTACTTTTTTTGTTTCCTCTCTCTCTCTACCCCACAGCTCTCAGAGCAGAAAGCTACTTACTGAAACTCTTTTAGACTCAGCTCAGGCGATTTCAGACTCCAAGCTTTGTGGCTTCACCTGACTTCCTCAGCCCCGAATGGGGTCCTCTGCTCATCACAGGGGAAATTTGTGAGCTACAGTTCTGAAGTCCATCTGGGTCAGGAACAGACAGCCTGCTTTGTCATTGTACCCAAGATAAAAGGGAAACAGAGGACTGTTGGTAGTGAGTACACACAGGACTGTAGACGGCTTTGTTCTTTTCATACTCCCTGCCAGGGAAGAGTGGATAGGAGGTACTATTCCTGGAGTCACAGGCTGAATGTTCTTGTTTTACCACATATCATTTCTCAAAGAAGACTGAGCTTTCTGACTATCCTGCAGATCTAACAATTGCTCTTTAATGCCAGAATCCTAACCCCAAAAGGGTTATATGACTGCAGCATAAGACATTAATTTGATTCACAGTGGTCAAGGTAAGAACCATATCACCCATCACTGCCTAAAGAAAAATTTAAAAAGTGTAGTTTGTAATGAATGCACAGCAATAATCCAAAGATTGTGTGTATTTTTCTAAAGAAATTGTTACATAAGCTTACCTCGTTTTATTGTGCTTTGCTTTATTGTGCTTCATAGACATTGCATTTTTTTTTAAATAAATTGAAGATTTGAGGCAACCCTCTGTCAAGCAAGTCTGTTGTCACCGTTTTTCCAACACTATGTGATCACTTATTGTCTCTGTATCACATTTTCATAATTCTCACAGTATTTCAAACTTCTTCAGTATTATTATATGATATGGTTTGGCTCAAACCAGATCTCCAAACCAAATCTCATCTTGAATTTCCATGTGTTGTGGGAGGGACCTGGTGGGAGGTAATTGAAGCATGGGGGCAGGTCTTTCCCGTGCTGTTCTCATGATAGTAAGTAAGCCTCACCAGGTCCGATGGTTCCATAAGGGGGAGTTTCTCCACAAGAACTCTCTCTTTGCCTGCCACCATCCATATAAGACATAACTTGTTCCTCCTTGCCTTCCACCATGATTGTGAGGCCTCCTCAGCCATGCGGAACTGTAAGTCCATTAAACCTCTTTTTTTTTTTTCCCCAGTCTCAGGTATGTTTTTATTAACAGTGTGAGAACAGACTAAAACATTATATCTGTTTATGGTGATCTGTGATTGCCTTTGATGTCACTATTGTAATTGCTTGGGGGCACCACGAACCATGCCCATATAAGATGGCAAACTTAATCAATTAGTGCTTTACGTGTTCTCACTGCTCCACCAACCAAATATCCCCCATCTCTTCCTCTCCTCAGGCCTCCCTCTTCCCTGAGACATGACAATGTTGAAATTAGGCCAATTAATAACCCTACAGTGGCCTCTAAGTGCTCAAGTGAAAGGAAAAGCTGCACATTACTCGCTTTGAATCAAAAGGTAGATATGATTAAGCTTAGTGAAGAAGGCAAGTCAAAAGTCAATATAGGCCAAATGCCACGTTTCTTGTTGCCAATAGTTACCCAAGTTGTGAATGCAAAGGAAAAGTTCTTAAAGGAAATTACAAGTGTTACTGCACTTAATATTTGAATGATTAAAAAGTGAAACAGCCTTCTTGCTGATATGGAGAAAGTTTTAGTGGTGTGGGTAGAAGATTAAACCAGCCACACATTCTCTTAAGCCAAAAATTAATTCAGAGCAATGCTTTAGCTCTTCAGTTATACGAAGGCTGAAGTAGGTGACTGACCTATGGAAGAAAAGTTTGCAGCCAGCAGAAATTGGTTGATTAGGTTTAAAGAAAGTAGCCATTTTCATAACATAAAAGTGTAAGGTGAAGCAGTAAGTTATCCAGAACATCTAGCTAAAATAACTGATGAAGGTGGCTATACTAAAAAGACTTTTGATGTAGAAGAAACAGCCTTCTGTTGGAAGAAGATGCCATCTAGAGCTTTCCTAGCTAGAGAGAAGTCAATACCTGGTTTCAAAGGACACGTTGACTCTCTTGTTAGGAGTTAATGCAGCCAGTGACTTTAAGTTGAAGCCAATGCTCATTTACTATTTCAAAATATTAAGGCCCTCAAGAATTATGCTAAACCTACTCTGCCTGTGCTCTAGAAATGAAAAAAAAAAGTGTGGATGCCAGTACATCTGTTTACAGCATTATTTATTAAATATTTAAAGCCCATGTTGAGACCTACTGCACAGAAAAAAAAAGAATTCCTTTCAAAATATTACTGTTCATTGACAATGCACCTGGTCACTCAATAGCTCTCATGGAGATGTACAAGGAGATTAATGTTTTTATGCCTGCTAAGATAACATTCATTCTAAATCCATGAATCAAGGAGTAATTTTGACTTTGAAATCTTATTATTTAAGAAATCTATTTCATAAGGCTATAGCTGCCACAGATAGTGATTCATTTGATAAATTTGGTAAAAAAAAGTAACTTAAAAACTTCTGGAAAGGATTCACCACTCTAGATATCATTAAGAACACTTGTCATTCATGGGAAGAGTTTGAAATATCAACATGAACAGGAATTTGGAAGAAGTTGATCTCAACCTTTTGGATGACTTTGAGGCACTGAAGGCCTCAGTGGACTGCAGATGTGGTAAAGTGGAAATTATAACAAGAAAACTAGAATTAGAAAGGGAGCTTGAAGAAGTAACTGAATTGCAGCAATCTCATGATAAAACTTGAACACATGATGAGTTGCTCTTTAGGGATGAACAAAGAAAGTGGTTTCTTGAGATGAAATGCACCCCTGGTAAAGGTGCTATGAACATTGTGGAAATGACAAGAAAGGATTTAGAATATCACATAAGCTTAGTTGATAAAGCAGTGTCAGGGTTTGAGAGAAATGACTTTAATTCTACTGTGGGGAAAATGTTCTCAAACAGCATCATATGGTTTGGCATAGGTAAAGGAGGGAAAAAGAAAAAAAAACAGCATTGCATTCTACAGAGGAATCTTTTGTAAAAGGAAGAGTTAAATTGATGTGGCAAACTTTGCTGTTGTCCTATTTTAAGAAATTGCCACAGCCACCCCAACCTTCAGCAACCACTACCCTGATCAGTCAGCAGCCATCAACACTGAGGAAAGACCTTCTACTGGCAAAAACATAGGACTTGATGCAGGCTCAGATGATCGTTAGCATTTTTAGCAATGAAGTATTTTTTTAATTAAGGTATGTACATTGTTTAGACACAATGTTTACACTTAATAGACTGGATTATAATGTAAAAATAATTTTTCTATGTACTGGAAAACCAAAAAATTATTGAGACTTGCTTTATTGCAATATTCACTATATTGCCATGGTCTGGAATTGAACCCATGATACCTCCAAGGTATGCCTGTAAACAATCCAAAGAAATCTTAGCAATATTGATTTTAATACAGATCCCTGTCATTCCAAAACACATGATAAACAATGAATTACTGCTTGATGCTGCCAAAATGATTGCTGAAAGCCTATGTAGGAATTTTTTTTTTTTTTTTTTTTTTTTTTGGAAAATACTGAAGACGTTTTCCCAGGAAGGACATAAACTAATGCAATAGCACCCCTTTGTGGTGACATAAGGCTATAAAAATCATAACCAAGACCATTAATTTGTAAGGGTCTTTTTTAGAATTTCCTGCAGAATTACATTGAAATGGCCTAAAGACTCATTTAGTAATCCTTTCCTTTCTCTTAGGCAGAACCACACTACTATCATCTCACCAATATGGAAATTTACTGTGGTTTTAAAGGTCTCCAAAGGAAAGATTGCATGACCTCTCCCCGTACAACATTCCAGGGTTCTGCTTTCAGGTCTAATAAAAATAACTTGACACACGAGCATGCACCCATTTCCTCTAGTTAAACCTGCCTCTTTGGTTGAGATGAGAACCAGATGGCTGTTATCCTTTTTATTCCTTGGCATCTATGTACACCAACTGTGAAGGCCAAGGATACAGAACCATAGCAAGATTGTACAAAATGGATTTGGTCAGAGGAAGTAATCATGACCTATCTATAAAACCTTCCAAAGTAGGGCCTGCAAATACCACTTCTGTTTGGAGCAGAAAGTGTTTTAGTGGGCCAGAATGTGCAAAGCACATTTCTTCATTTGAAGAGCTCTTCATCTTCCCCTCATGTAAGGTGAATCGCTGCAACCTGGGTGTACTTCATAACAACCCGACTCTCCTTGGAGGAGGTGTGCTCACACTGCTTTCAAACAACTTGAGTCTTTGGAATGATCGTATCTATTTATTTAACCTTCTTGCCCTTTGCACATCATCTGACTGCTGGACAGAACGGAAATAAAAATTGTTATTTTTCTCTTTTTAAAGTCTAACACAATTACACATTTTCTACTACTGAACTGAATGCTACTTTGAATTTTCTCCATTTCAGCATTTTAAATATTAATAAAATTTTGATTTTTTTGTTATTCACTTTAGCAGTTCCCAGTGGTTTTCAAATTATAGAACAAACTGAGCTCTTCCCAGAACATTCTGGATATTTGTTTTCATAGGGTTGACATTACAATACTGTGTTTCTTTCTTCCTTTTTTTTCTCACTAAATGATTTTTTAAATTGTAATCAAGAAAAATAAGTTGTTGAAAATGTAAGCTGCCAGTTTTATCTCTAGTTAGGGTTTATTTTTGTAACACATAATCAGTTGAAATATATAGAGATTAGCTTTGCCCATTTTTGTCCATACGAATGAGCTTTTAAGGGATGAATTAAACAATGGTGTCTTATTTGTAGTAGGTAGAGACGTGATGTGCAGAAACCTACGTTAAGGCCTTTCATTTTAAAACAATACAGGGTAATAAAAGCCAAATTCACGTGCCATAATGACTTTTGATCTCTTTTGTAAAAAGAAAGAGATAGAGTCATGAAAAATAGTAATAATTAACATCTGCTCTGTATGTTCATGTACCACATGCTTTATGCCTCAGGTAGATAACATACATTGTAAAAGAACAGCCAACTTCATGTTCCTGCCTGAAACCTCACTGTAAATAAAATATGAGTCAGACATTCATTATGTAGTTTTTGGTATTCATACTTGTCCTTAATCATCCTCTATTACGTCTGTAGTTAATGCATATGCAATCAATTTTAAGCCATTAGCAGCAAAAAAAAAAAAAAAAAAAAAAAAAAAAAAAGCAGGGGACACCAATTAGGACACAATTTTTTTCTTTATTTATTCCTGTGTATGTAATTACCTTACATTAATAGTTTGACTTGTCAAGTAATTTCTAGCCCAAATGAATGGAGACATGTTAACTTTGGAGATCCTCTCCCTCCCTCTAGTGGTGATGAACTGCACAGGAAATCTTCAGTATGTGTTTGCTCTATAATACCCAGGAGAGTGCAGCTGACACACACACAGGAAAGGACAGTGCATTGAGAGTAAGAAGAGAGGGGTTCAAGGCCGAGATCTGCCATTACTCTGTGAACTTGAGATTTCACTTGGCCTTTTGTTTCTCAGTTTTCTCATCAGAGATGGGATAATGATTATGATTTGCAGGACTGTTGTGATGGTCACATGAGAAAACATTAGGTCAAATATATTTAGACATCGATAAAACATAATTAGATTTCTTCTTTTTCTAAGAGAAAATACAAGAAACATAATATACTCAATCCACTGATCTGATCCTCTAATGGAAAATCTGAGGCAGCCCCCATGGCCTCAGTCTCCTGGTACGCAGAGTATATAGAGTAGACAAATCTAGAGAGAGTCTTATTGATGTTGTGTTCAAACATCAGTCCCAGTGATGAAACCAACTGATGTCATCTGCTGTGTGACTCTTGGAGAAGGTCATCACATGTAGTTTTCTTGCTAAGCATGGTGAACTCAAATCTAATCACAAGAGAACAATCAGACAAAGGGACATTCTGGAAAAAAAGCAAAATCGTTCTGGACTCTGAAAATGTCACTTATCTTGAAAGACTAATGAGGTTGGGAAGTATTTGTGATTCAGGAGATTTGGAGAAACAAAGAAAGAAACTGAAAACTATATGTAATGTCGTATCCTTGATTGGATCCCAGACTGGGGAGGGGTATAATATTGGGGCCCTTGTAGAGATTTGAGGATTCCCTTTATATTAGATGATAGTAGGTAGTAGTGAATTATTATAAATTACCTGACTGCTTTTTTGAGTTTGATTGTTTAGAAGAATACACTCGGTCTTAGGATAGTCATGTTCAAATATTCAGAAATGAAGTGACATTATTTTAAAAAACTGTATGTGTTTAAAAGCACACACATTATACTAGTCTTCCAACCGTGCATCTGTAAAGCATCTCTATTAAGGTATCTCTATTAAGTAGTTTCAAAAGGAAAATATGAAACAAATGATTGCTCTTAGGTATTCTATCCATTGAAGATTCATTTGGGTTAAGAATGCCCTCTTTTGTAATGCTAATTGTTCAGGGAAGGGCTCTCTTCTACAATCCCCCTGTCATCTGAGGCTTAAGTGAGATGATCTCAGGGAATCAGAATTTAAATTAAAAGGAGACAGCTCCTTAGCAAATTTCTGTTGACTTGACTTTCTACGTGAATCAGCTTCCTCAAAATGGGAGTAATAATGATCATGCTTATGGTTCCTAATTCTCCCAGAGCATTACCACATGCTCTTCATCCCCTAATCATTTTTCTACAATTTTTCCCACCTCAACATTTGTTAATCCTATAATGCTAAACTGCTTGCATTTCTCTGACAAATTGTATGACTTCAGACTTCTCACTCCTTTGTAAACTGTCTTATGTCTGACTGTAAAGGCCTCCCACCCACTCTTATTAAATATATATGATATTTATATTTATATATTCACACACACGTATTTGGCTTCTTTATCAGGCTGAAATTTCTTTGAACACAGGAGTTTGTCATATCAACCATCTTCAAACTCAAGCATCTAGCAGAATATCTGGTGTTTAGCAGTACACAACAAGAATTTGTTGGCTGAATACAGGAAGGCAACTTATAAATTCTGAAGTCTGAGGACTAAGCTCTGATTTTTTTAGCTTGCACAAATTCCTATCTAACGGGTCTGGAGAGTCATGCCCTACAAACCATAAATTCTCATCAGAATGGTTTTATTTAACCCTATATACCGTGACTTACTTTCCAATCTGACCCTGGCATAACATTACATGACAAAGAAGAAAGTCAAAATATTTTACCCCAAAACATGTTTCTTTGCTGTATTTTGAAATGGTCCTGCAAAGCTGTCCTCTGTGTGTGTGTTGGGGGGGTGGGGGGGCATGGAGGGGGGGGAATATGTATCTGTAAAGAATCTCTATTAAGGTAGCTAGATCTTTTTCTTTCAGGCCCTCCCAATCCTGAAAAGATTAAGAATCTAGTACTTTTTAAAGGTCCAAATAAGAAACATTTGTCATCTATTGTCTCTAAGGGCAGCCACTTTAAGACT
Organism: Homo sapiens; assembly: GCF_000001405.40. NCBI lineage: Eukaryota > Metazoa > Chordata > Mammalia > Primates > Hominidae > Homo > Homo sapiens. The sequence continues at coordinate 225,666,680 of NC_000002.12, read as the reverse complement.
TCAAAAGAACCTTGGTCTCCACAATCTTTTATCTTAACCTGAATATTTCCTTTCTATTGATCTCAAGTGTTTAAACAAACTCAACCAATTATCAATCAAAAAATGTTGAAATTTACCTGTAGCCTGGAACCATCCCCCCAACCCCGCCCAAGCTTTGAGTTGTCTCGCGTTTCTGAACCAAACCAATATATTGTTTCAATGTATTTCATTGATGTCTCATGCCTCCCTAAAATGTATAAAAGCAAGCTTCACCCTGACCACGCTGGGGAAATATTCTCAGGACCCCTGAGGGCTGTGTCACAGGTCATGGTCACTCATATTTGGCTCAGAATAAATCTCTTCAAATATTTTACAGAGTTTGACTCTTTTTGTCAACAAGTACTAATGTTGATGACTGCAAAATGTCAATGACAGTGATATATGTCAGTTATTGGTGTTTGCTTGGTGGTGCAAGAGAAGGTAGGCTACATAGGTGACATGGGACATATGGGGTGAACAATTTGGCATTAAAGTAGGTGACTTTAGCGCATGGAGACTTTGGAGAGAGAAGAAAAAGGTAAATTGGCCGAAAGTTAATTTTACACACACCACCCTTTTGCCAAGACCCCAGATGATGGTCTTCAGAGCTGTGGCATCTAAGGTTGCCAGAGCAGCATTAGAAAGTGTGCACCTAACAGCATCCTCCAGGGTATCCTTTTTCCCCAGGTCTAGCCACTCCACCCAAAGCCCCTGGGAATAGCTGAGAGGGAGGGAGTGGGATAAGAAGGAAAGAAGGTCGTGATGTGCTCTACTCTAGGCCACCTCGTTTGCCTCACTTACCTCCTGTCTATCTGGGTGGTGGGCTTTTTTTTTTTTTTTTTTTTTTTTTTTTTTAGACGGAGGCTTGCTCTGTTGCCCAGGCTGGAGTGCAATGGCACAATCTCAGCTCACTGCAACCTCTGCCTCCCAGGTTCAAGCAATTCTCCTACCTCAGCCTCCTGAGTAGCTGTGATTACAGGCACGCACCACCACACCCGGCTAATTTTTGTATTTTTAGTAGAGACGGGGTTTCACCATGTTGGTCAGGCTGGTCTCCAACTCTTTTTTTTTTTGGTCTCAAAAAAAAAAGGAGCTAGGGAAAGGTGGTGTGCTGCCCTCTCCTGGCAGATTTAGCAAATCTTCACGCAGCTCATGAGACTGTTCACCAGTTGTGTTAAAACGCTCCATTTTTGTGACTCCTATTGAGAAGACCAGCAGGACAGGAAGGGGAGAGACCTTCTTTCGGTTCAATAAACTGTAGTAGTGAACAGCTGTTTGTCACTGGGGGTGTTCACACTTAAAAACATTTTTTTTTCTTTTGCCTTTGTATTTGAATTTAGCTGCAAGAGTATTTTTAAAGATTCTATGGGCATGTAACAAGTGCTAAATCACCCAAGGAGGAGGTCTCCATGTGTTTAGGGAACCTGCTCAGCAAAGCCAGGGCAGAACTATAGAAAAAAAAAGAGCAAAGTTCAGCTTCAATAAACTTATGCAAAATTTTGTAAAGAGAAAATCTAAATAAAGTTAAGTAAAATGTATGGAGAAATTATGTAAGGTTTGTGCTATTTGCAAAGGTAAAATTCTATATTATTTGTGGAGAGAAGGCTTCATAATCCCTTCTGTTCTCAGAGACTATAAATGTCTTAATTTACTCCAATCATAGTTCATGTTCTGCCTTAAATATATACTTGTATCACTCGAGTATGGAATGTCTTTCTAGAATTGTTTCCATGATAGTTTCTCCTAATATTCATAAACCTTTGGGGGTTTTTGTTTGTTTGTTTGTTTTTGAGATGGACTCTCGCTCTGTCGCCCAGGCTGGAGTGCAGTGCCGTGATAGCTCACTGCAAGCTCTGCCTCCCAGGTTCACGCCATTCTCCTGCCTCAGCCTCCCAAGTAGCTGGAACTACAGGCGCCCGCCACCACGCCCGGCTAATTTTTTTTGTATTTTTAGTAGAGACGGGGTTTCACCATGTTCGCCAGGATGATCCTGGTCTCGATCTCCTGACCTCGTGATCCAACCACCTCTGCCTCCCAAAGTGCTGGGATTACAGGCATAAGCCACCGTGCCCGGCCGCATTTCAGTTCTATTCTCTAATTTTTCTCTCTCATCCTCAGTAAGTAGGTAAAACTTGTAAGTAACTAGCTGAGGTGGGCCTATGTGATGACTGTGTGCAGAGCCACAGTCAACAGTCCCAATGTGTCTGCAAGTTATTATAACAGTGATACAATGACATACTAATCCGTTTCCACTGTTAGCAATTATTTATTCATTCAATATGTATTGAGACAGCAAGAGATTTCCAGGATAAAAATAGACATTCCCAGCCCTCAAGAAGCCTCCATTCTAATGCAAACAATTATAAGCTGAATTTTTGGAATCCATACATGCTCCTTGGAAAAATGCAAAAAGCATTCCATGGTTGGATATATTTGAGAAACATAAGCAATATTATATCCCTCGCTTTGCAATTTCCGGTGCACATCAGCAAATTTGAAACTCAGATAGTAGCAAAATTTACTTAACTTGACTTTCCCCACACTGCTTTACTGTGTAATAGAGTTCCTCTCTGATGCAAAAATAAGGCCTTTCATGGTTATGACAGTAAGTACAGGGAAGAGACAGAGAAGGGAGAGCTGCTTGGGAAAGATAAAAAAGCCTTGTGGATGGGAGAGCACACTTGATCCCAGACTTGACAAATAAGCAATAGTTTGCCAGGAGTCAAGGACTAGGGAGGGTGTTCCAAGAAGAAGGAAGAGTCAGGCAACTCTTGGAGGCATGCCAGGAATATTTAAAAGTGATACAGGGCCGGGCGCAGTGGTTCACATCTGTAATCCCAGCACTTTGGGAGGCTGAGGCAGGCAGATCACAAGGTCAAGAGATCAAGACCATCCTGGCCAACATGGTGAAACCCCGTCTCTACTAAAAATACAAAAATTAGCCAGGCGTGGTGGTGTGCACCTGTAATCCCAGCTACTTGGGAGGCTAAGGCAGGAGAATCGCTTGAACCTGGGAGGCGGAGGTTGCAGTGAGCTGAGATCATGACATTGCACTCCAGCCTGGGTGACACAGTGAGACTCTGTCTCAGAAAAAAGAAAAAAAAAGTGAGAAAGAACTGTGGTGGGTGTGTGGATGAACCTGAGGTGTAGCAGGTGAATGGAGGCAGGTAATGGATAAGGAAGCTGAACAGGAAAACCAGGGCCAGGTCACACAGGGCCTTGAAATCCAAGCAAAGTTGTTTGTGATTCATGCTGTGGGCAGTGGGCACCTTTAAGTATTTTGCATGGAGGAACTCAACTACAATCACTCTTTTGCTGCTGTGAAGAATGGATCTGGGAACAGAGGGTGAGTTTAGAGGCTGGAGCTGGGAAAATGGGTGAGAGATGCTAAACCTGTGATCAAACTGCAGAGTCATCTTGCGAGACTTGTTTGGATTCAAGAGAAAAAAAGCACAAATCATAAAGATGCTGGAGTGGCCCCAGTCCCCTTCTGTACTGGTTTCCTGGGCCCATCTTGCTTCTCCCTAGTGCTCCATGCATGCTTACAGTAAAAACAGTGCTTTGTACTTTTTTGCTCAAAGAAAATGTTAAAAATAGCCCATGTTTTAAATAAACGAATGACTGAAAATGAACACATTTAACACTTCTGGTCTAAAGTGTGCTTTTGTATTCATTATTTATTTTATATGGAGGTAGAAATCAAAATACTTGGAAATTCCGCGAGGCCTGGAGACTGCGATCGTCGGATATGAGTGTTTGCTTTCTCCAAGGGTAGGTCCCTTGTTTCATTATTTAGGTTTATATCAGACAAGTGACAGTACAGATTGTGTTCCTTCCTAGATCGTTCCTTGAATGATAAGCAACTTCAGCTCTATTGGTTTCTCCCGAAAAACCTCTACCCCTTTCATATGCAAAGTTGATTGGGTTGGGTAGGATTACTCCTGACACCTTTTGGTCCTTCAAATAACTTTCTCATTTTCTGGGAAAGAAGTCATTAAATGCAGCATTCCAAATGCCATCCCTGTCAAAATAGCTGACAACTAGGGATTATTAACTAGCTCTAATGCAGCATTTACTTTAGAAAACAAATGCTTTGACATGACAGTACAGTTGGGGTTCCCCCCTCCCACTTTAAAGTGTCTGTTCGTAGGATTCTGTGGAAGTCCAGAAGCCAGATACATTTTGGTGAATACGTCTTGGTCTTTTGTGTTGTTGGTTAAATCTACAACAGTACTCTGGAAGCTGATATCTATGTGTGCATGTGTGGGCGAGGATATGTTTTCTTTTCAGAATGTGGAAAGGGTTCGATGTGCTCAAGTGTTAATATCCACAGACACTTGTGCACATGCACAGCTGCAGGGCTGATGTCCCATGGCACTAGTCCATGGTCCACAAAAATGTAATAACCGATGAATGGAACTTAGCTTTCTTCCAGAAGTTACTTTCCCAACCTCATGTCAACTTTGGAGATTTTGCTCTTGGTTGGCACTCTGCTTATTTGAAGTCCTAGTTGAATTTGTCCTCTGCTATGACATTTTAGTCTCAAAAAGTCAAAAGGCAAGACCTGGGAAATTGAAGAGTGATTAAATAAATGGATGAAAGTGAAGGAAAATAAGTTTTAGAATGGGAGCAAATTCAGGGGCAGGTGCAGTGGCTCACGCCTGTAATTCCAGCACTTTGGGAGGCCGAGGTGGGCAGATCACTTGAGGTCAGGAGTTCGAGACCAGCCTGGCCAACATGGTGAAACCCTGTGTGTATTAAAAATACAAAAATTAGCCAGGTGTGGTGGTGCATGTCTGTAATCCCAACTACTTGGGAGGCTGAGGCAGGAGAATCACGTGAACCCAAAAGGTGGAAGTTGCAGTGAGCAGAGATCATGCCACTGCACTCCGGCCTGGGTGACAGAGCTAGACTCCGCCTCAGAAAAAAAAAAAAAGAGAGAGCAAATTCAAAAAGGAAGTTATATATGAGGCAACTATGCATAAAGCAGGGGTTTGATAGATAGAACTACCTGGTTTTATATCTTACATCCATAAAGCCACTCACTGGTTATAAGACCTTCAATAGGTAACAGAAACTGTTTAGCCAAAAATTTTATCATCAGTGAAACGGGTATAATATTACCTACTTCAAAAGTGTGCTGTAAGAACAACATTAGATAATACAGCATTCTGAGCACTCTGGCAAACACATAAGAAGCTCTCAACAAAAGCTATTTTAGGAATCCAATTTATCTGGAGAAGTGTTTTCAACCTGAAGGATAATGTTCATTTGCAGCACAGAATGAAGAATGAAGATTTGTCCAGCAGGTGAGCTGGGTGCTAGTGCTAAAGATCTCTAGTGTTTCTTGAGTAAAAAACTCATGGCAAAGACATATTTATTATTCTGAATGAAGGGTACTGCCACTCTGAGCCAGTACTAACAGCATGTAAACATTTATTCCTAATGCACATGCAATTTAAGTTGGAGGTAAATTTACCCACAAGTTAGCAAGAATACTATTTTCCGGAAAGACTCTCAAGCTATCTGTTTCAAACATGTTAATGGAAAACAAAAGAAATCAAGAAGGAATTTTTCCATTTAACCAGTCATGCTTTTTTCTGTTCTTTTCCTTTTCAGTTGGCAAAAGAGGGATAATGATCTCCTTTCCTGGAAACTCAGGTTGAATTAAGGGATTTACAATGCACAGAAGATGTCATAAATCCTAATGAAAACAGCTGCACATATTCATAAATAATGCATAGCACTCTGAGATCAGTAGCTGTGATTCATTTTTCCCCTAAGTATTATTTTTAAAGGCATACTATTTAAAAGTTAGAGAACCTAAAATTGCAAGATTAAAGTAACGAAAAAAATTCAAAACAAAAATCATCAGCAGATTTTGTCATAGATTTCTACAGGCGTTTTGCTTATTATCCCAAACAACGCATACATCTTCTGTGTCATAAAACAGTTTTGTTTGATTCAATTTTTGAAAGCCAAGTATAGATTCCAAAGTGCGCTACAGACGCTAGGTGGCGCCATGTATCCACCTAGTGTTATGCTGTGTTTCCACAGGCTGAGTTGGCCCGCCCCATCTGAAGCCAGACATTCGTTTTAATAGTTAAATCGATACATTTTATAATGTGAATGGTTGCAGGCATTAAAAAAAATAGGCATTTAAAACTGGTATGTGGAATCTTTAAGTAAATGCTGAGGTTGGCAAAAAAAAAAAAAAAAAATGTATCCTGTGTCTCTAATACCTGCTGTCCCGACCCTAGCAGATAATAGCTTCCTATATAGACTTAATGTTTTCATTGTATTTTCTCCTACCTTAATTCAAAGAGGTGAGTAAGTAGTATTGGGGGCAGGAGAGCTGACAGTTCTGAAATGCTACCTGTAGCCAATTTCTACGTACTTTGCCTCCAACCCACATATGAGACCTACAAGGTAAGAAGAAATGCCAGACCTAAACTCCCTATTACATGGTAAATAACTTAGTAACTAATTTTGTAATTGTGAAAGAAGGAGTAATGAATATAATGGGCTCTAGGGGGGTACCAAGGACAAGGTGGGGGAAATCAATTTGCCCCAGGTGCAGGCAATAAGGAGATGCACTGTCTACAGAGAACTTAAAACCAGTGATAGAACCAACTAGAAATCTGTCTGCTTTTTCTTATCACCATGCACTAGCAGTTGTATACCAGCTTGGGGATAGTGGGGTGGACCAATCATTCCTTCAGTGACTACTGCCTTTGGAATAACACTGACTGAACTACTTTTCTCTTTAGAATTTTCCAGCAAGCAGAAAAATTGAATTTTTTGGAAAGAGGAAAAACTGTTAGGAAAAGGAGAAAGAATTAATATTTTTTTCCCACAAGTAATGTCTGTCCAGGACTTTACACACCTATGTTATCTCATTAATCCTCAACAACAACCCCAGACTCAGAAAGGTTCAGCAACATATTCCAGGTCTTACAGCCACTAACCAGTAGAGCCAGGATTCTAATAAATCTTTACTTCCTGTAAGTCTCATATCTATCTCAGGTTTTTGTCTATCTCAGGTTTTTGACTGGTTAATATCAGGTTCTGAGTGGTAAATCTCAGGTTTTTGAGTGGTTAATGTCATAGCCTTTGACATTTAATAAATACAAAACTTTGGATAAGCTATGTAACCTTACTCACTTTGGTATCCTTGGTTGTGATGTGGGATAATAATAGTACCCATCAGTGAGGACTGTAGGGAACACACCTACAATGATGCAGGCATGCTCCGAGCCCAGTCCTGGCACATGGTAAGCACATGAGAGGTGACAAAAATGGCACATCATGTTCATTATGCAAACTTCACCTAAGAACCCTGAATAACTTTTTGTCCCTTCCAGATGGTAAAGAAAGCTGGAGTACGTACTTCTGCTACTTCACACCTGTAGCTCTGGTGGTGAAGTTGATAACTCTGACCTCGGATGCTGAAGAGAGGGACACACACAGGTACCAGCGACAGCAGAGTTAGATAACAGGCATCCTCAGAGTCCACTGGGCCCAATCCCCACCCTTATTTGTCAATTGGTTCAAGACTTCTTTGAGAACATCTTCTTGCTTATTATACCCTCCTTGCTCTGACAGAATAAATGACAAGGTTGTTGGCGGCAGGCATGAGCTTGTTTTGTTTTATTCCACTCTATAATGGAGTTACTGAGAGACTGATCATGGAACTTCTGGACTTGAAAAAGTGACCCACAAATATTCTGCTGCCTAAAGTATGTAAAAGTTAATAAGCACGCAATGGCTAAATAATATGTAAATTACTTAGCCCATACTTCAGCTAAGTTGTAAAGAGTTATGACCCTCTGAATTCTTTGTATTAAAGTAGAAAGGAAATAATTCCAACATTTCATTTTACATATTCCTTGATTCAGCTACTATTTAAAAGTAATAATAAATTTTATTTTCCACCTTAGATATGACATTAATTAAAGCTCATAGAGAGTGCCATAAAGAACTAAAGCCTAACATTTTTATAAAACAATTTGACAGGACCATATAAAGCACACATAAGATAATGCTTTTTATATATTTTTTGCACTTGCATTGTTTTAATGCAACTAGGCTATAGTACTTGGTAATAGATCCACTTAGCCACTGACATTCTTATTTGTAACATGAATTTATTCCACATTTCACAGGGCTAGATCCAAATTCTTTGGTAAATATCATTTTTATAACAAATAAGCATAATTTCTTTGTAGCATAATTTCTTTTTAACATAATCTTTGTTAACATAGCACTTTATTTTACAATTTGAAGTTAGTACAGAGAAACACTTCTCAAACATAATGCTGATGTTGTACTGTGAACTTAGGGGGGTGTTCCAAGACCTCCTCTTAGGGTTTTTCATGTTTGGAAATATATGTAAGGTTGACATGTATGCAGAAGGAAGTAAATAATAAGAGCCAATTTTAATATGTGTTGCACAGCCTGAAAGAAGCTGTGTGGTGGTGAGAAGCTGTGTGTTAATGAGTTCAGATTTTGTTGGTTCTGTTCTGTGTGTTGTTTCTGCTTTTCTTCCATTTCCATCATGTGGTGTAATCATGAGCATACAATAAAATCAGCTGTGTAAAGGTACAAATGGCATGGAAAACATGTTCTCAGTTCAGGTCTGATAGGAGAATCTGGAATATCACAGAATCTCAAAAAAGAAAAAAAGAAAACACTTTTGTTCAACACTTGAGCAGCACATTATAGAGAAGGGGCCGTTGGTCACACAGAGTGAGGGTGGCACATGCTCTCCAACTACATATTCTGTGGCTATCTCATTCCCAGCACTGCTTTCTCCTGTGGACTGTAAAACCTTAGTCTCAAAGTAGGAAACACTTGACAATGTATCCAACTGATCAGGTAAAATGTCCCTGGTCTATAGGACAAGGGGCTAAACTAAAGTGTGCATGACTTTGGCAAAACAAGTCATCTCTATGCTCATAGTGGCCTGAGAATTGTAAAGAGAAAATATTTTTGAAGTTTTTCTACTCTTACATTTTACGGTGTTTTGGTTTTTGTTTTTACTTTCCTTTTCCTTTTTTTTTTTTTTTTTTAGAGCAGTTTTAGGTTCACAGCAAAATTGAAAGAGATTTCCCATATTGCCCTTAGGACTTGTTTTTGTTTTTCTGCTTGATTCTATTGAAGGCACAAATTAAATGAGGATGGAGCTTTGCAGCCTTTAAGGTCAGGTTATTCAGAGTTGGGGTGGGCACCCAGGAGATGAAATTAGATTTCCTGCTGGGCGCAGTGGCTCACGCCTATAATCCCAGCACTTTGGGAGGCTGAGGCAGGTGGATCACGAGGTCAGAAGTTTGAGACCAGCCTGGCCAACATGGTGAAACCCCGTCTCTACTAAAAATACAAAAAATTTAGCCTGGTGTGGTGGCAGACGCCTGTAATCTCTGCTACACAGGAGTCTGAGGCAGGAGAATCAGTTGAACTTGGAGGTGGAGGTTGCAATAAGCTGAGATCGCATCATTGCACGCCAGCCTAGGCAACAAGAGTGAAGCTCTGTCTCAAAAAAAAAAAAAAAAAAAAAAAAAGGAATTAGATTTCTCATTTCACACTCTAGGCCTTACTCTCCTGGCTCCCTTTGTTGTTAGCCTTTCTCACACTCTCCAGGCTCCCAGGCATGTTTTATGTGCAAATGTACTATCTAGAAAGTTCAATGAAAGCTCAGAACTCACAGACCCTGCTTTGGAAATATTAAGGACTGAAGAACAGGAACAAAATCAAATTGTTTGAGAAAAGATTTTTTGAAGCGCATATACAGAAAGATGTTTATAGAGAGAGGTGTTGAGTAAGTCAACAAATGATGACTGAGGGCCTCACTTTGCGCTGGGCATTGGAGGAAGACCTCTGAACTGAGCACAGTCCCTGCAAAGAAATTCACCTAAGTCCTTCACCCTGGTCTTCACATGTACTGACCCCACATCCCTATTTTGGGTTGTCTATCTTCTTTTTTTAAGTCTGTAGAAAACAATTCTGGCATCTGAGCATGTTCAGAAATACACTCTAGATATGCATCAAGCTATGGACCCCCTAACATGTTCCCTTATCCAGGATTGCCAGCCGGTGCTGACATAATGACATAGCTGTGGAGCCCATGGAAAGAGAGAACCTGCATCTGCTCCAGAGGCAGCCTGGGAAGACTCTCATTCTCCTGCAAGGTCGTCAAGCAAAGGGGAAGTTAGGAGCTTGGTGAGAGGCCAGGGGGCTGCTATGAAAAGGAATAAGCATTTGCTAAGTAATCCCGAAGAGACAAGTTGAAAGGAACGGGGCTTAGTAGCCTGGATAACAGCTATTAAGTATACAGAAGGGACTGGGCTGGGCAAGTTTTGTCCTGGGTGGTGAGGACGCAGGTATCATGAAACACAGGACCCACAGAGATCATGGCTTCAGAGGCAAAGCACTATGTGGTTTCTAAGCACTCTGTGTAGGTTTCTAAAGAGATTTGGTCTGTCAAACTTTGGAATGTGTGTCCAAAGGAAATTACAAGTGACCTTTTCCTACCTCCCTCCCCCAAATCAAGGATGATCAGAGATAATTCAGTTTAGTGTGATAAACAAGCCTCCGAAGAAGTTGAGGTTTCAGTTCAACACTTGGGTCACTCTTAGCTTTGTAATTCCTTGACATGAGAATCTGCTGTAAAAAAAATATGTGTTTGTGAGTGAATGTGTGAGATTGTGTTGGTGTGTGTGTGTGTGTATGTGTGTATGTGTGTGTGTGTGTGTGTGTGTGTGTGTGTGTGTGTGTGTGTAGTGGAGGTTGTGGCTCTCATTTCCTTCCTTCCTAGAAAAACAAATTCAAACATGTCTTGGGAACATTTTTCCAAGGAAAGCTGCAGTTCTGTTTGGAGACACATCTTAGCCGCTCCATTCTTGCAGGAAAGCATGGTTTGATATGGCCTGTGCATCAGCTGCTATAGCATCACCTGTGCAGCAAGAGTATAGATGGCACTGTTTCCAATGGGGTCACTGAAGAAGGAGGCTGAGATCAGCCAGAGATGGAGGAATCACATGAGCATCACCATCTGCTGTGTCTAAGAGCATTCACATCTCTTTCTTCTGAGTACATGGCTTTCTACTCTATTACAGAGAATACAAAAGAGAAAGTAACGTGCTCCAAGTATAATACATGACTCCTGTGCAGTTTGACTTTTTTTAACTAAGAAAATAAGTTAACTTTCTAATGGTAGGCACAAAAATTCAGTCTGATTTCCAAAGATTTCTATGAAGGTAAATGCAGAAACGTGGCTGCATTACAAGGAAGTTCCAAGAAAATGTCTATAATTGCCCCATGTCTAGTCTATTTACTCAGGAGCAAATTAAGAAAAAATAAAATCTTATTTTTAACTCTCTGAGTGTCAGAGAATAATATGTGTTTTGGGGCAAACTCTAAATGCTTTAGAACTCATACTTTTTTCCAGAGTTTCTCATTTTCTCTTACATATTTTGAAGTTCCAGTCAAATACAATTATACATTTCTACAGATCGTGTGTCTGCTGTAGTTACCTGAAGCTAAAACTGATTTCAAAGGCAAGCAAACATACCTTCCCCTTTGTTCATATACCACCTCTGGTGGTGGGCTGTCACTATTGGCCCCAGGCCCATGGGGAATGGGGACCAGTCACTTTGGTCACCTCTGTGAATCTCTGCCTTAGTGATGTCAAGCACTTTCACCTAACTCCACCTACAACATTTCTTAGACAGCTCCAACCATGACACGAAACGGTGAGTGACAAACTAGGACCAAGAAAACTGAACAGAGATGGGATGACAACAACAATCTGAGAAGTAACACAGGTCTTTTTGTACGAAGGGTAATGCCCCATAATGTGGCTGAAATGTCATAGCATTCGTAAGGCCAGATTCCTCCATAGACAAGCACCACTGGAATTATTTAGAGGTGAGTGACTGATTTTGTTTGTTTTATTTATTTTTTGTTTTATTTTATTTTTTTGAGATGGAGTCTAACTCTGTTGCCCAGGGTGGAATGCAGTGGCACAATCTCAGCTCACTGCAACCTCTGCCTCCTGGGTTTAAGCGATCCTCCTGCCTCAGCCTCCCAAGTAGCTGGGATTACAGGTGTGTGCCACCACGTCCAGCTAATTTTTTGTATTTTTAGTACAGATGGGGTTTCACCATGTTGGCCAGGCTGGTCTCAAACTCCTAAAGTCAGGTGATCCACCTGCCTCGGCCTCCCAAAATGTGGGGATTACAGGTGTGAGCCACCGCACCTGGCCTTTTATTTGTTTTAAATAGATCACATGAATTCCAATGATTTTCCTAGTAAGAAGTCTATTAATCTCCTATTAAGAATTCTGGGTTTTAATAACTACCAGGAGTCTTGGTGTTGCGAAAACTGCTTAAAAAGTGACCAGAGGGATTGTTTGTTTGATAGTGCTAGGTGTTCCCTATCCTTGTTTAGGTATGAGTAGTCATTGTTAGATTCAACAGTTTTACATGTTTTTCCACCATTGTCTTGCATGCCTGAGCACAGGGCAGTGCCGTCCTAGTTGTAATTTAAACAGACATCTTAGTCAAGACTATGGTTGAGGGCATGGGAAGTAGGTGAGAAAAGGACTTTTAATAAGTTTTTTTTTCTTTTTCTTTTTTTTTTTTTTTGAGATGGAGTCTCGCTCTGTCACCCAGGCTGGAGTGCAGTGGTGCGATCTCAGCTCACTGCAAGCTCCACCTCCCAGGTTCACCACATTCTCCTGCCTCAGCCTCCCAAGTAGCTGGGACTACAGGCGCCCGCCACCACACCTGGCTAATTTTTTGTATTTTTAGTAGAGATGGGGTCTCACCGTGTTAGCCAGGATGGTCTCAATCTCCTGACCTTGTGATCCACCCACCTCTGCCTCCCAGAGTGCTGGGATTACAGGCGTGAGCCACCACGCCCAGCCAATAAGTATTTCTTGACTTAAGTTGAATGCTAAGTCAGAGGAGTTCAGAGCAGTGTTCATATGAGCTATGCTTACCACTTCATCTCTAGAGTATAGGAATGCATGTATATTACAACTGGCTATAAGCCACAGAGGAGAAGCCTAGAGGCCAGCCTTCTAATTTATAGCTCTGACAGCCCATGTATGATTTGACTGTGTGTCAGAATCTCTATCAGCAGGTAAGGAAACTAACAGCATATAAAGGCGTCCTGGGCTTTCTCCCTTGCTACATTTTGAAAAACGAAGAACTTCCCATCAGGTGAACAAAGAGTTGATAATGCAAAGGCACAAAGGGTATACCTTGTCTCTATTCTGGAAGTTTATCCCAAGAACCTGCTTTCATTGAGAGTTTGAAGGGGCTTAGGGTGAAACAGCTATAAAGACAACTAGGAAAAAAGCAAAACAAAACAAATAATACAAAACATCTCTGAGATATTGAAGGTAATATACTAGCAAGGGTCATAAACTTGAAAACTTGATTGTATTAGTGCAATCCTCTGCCAATTAGCTAAACTTCTCTTCTTTCAGTACCCAATGTTTTTAAGCTTTAAATGTTGGTAAGTACAATATTTTTGGAATAGCTTTAATTAGCTAAGTTGGCAGTTTATCTTATTTATTTTATTCAGTGTCTTACTGTTTCTACTTCTTTTATATCCAAAAAGTGTTTGAGTTGGTACATTTAGTTATAAAGGCATTTAACATTTATATAAAGGCATTTAAATTTTAAATTAAGACACAAGAAATTCTAAATGGTACTTGAGATACCCTTGAGAGAAGCCTCTCATTTCTTGTATTTGCAGATACCTCATATATTTATAAATCAACTATTTTGCATATTTAAGTCAGACAAAAACACTAAGAGGCACAATGTCTCTCATTAGAAGAAAACGCAATTATTCTACTTAGTTATGTTTTTAAAATAGCCTGACATTTAAAATAATAGATGAATATGTAATTTTCTCATCAGTAATGGGCAGTTCCCTTGGAGGTATCATCAGTGTTTTATAAGTTGCTATTTCAGAAGAGTTTCATGAATGCAAAGATTGAAGCTAGGAAGCAGAGAGAAAACATTCCAGAATGACACCACCCTACTTAACACCTATAATACTTAACAGTAACGACAATTAAGCCTCACAAATTAAGTCAATGTATTGAATTCCTATTGGGTGAGCTAAAGATAGGACATTTATGTGTAGTGATTTTTCCCCATACTAATTCCCCATCCACAACCACGTACCCAAACGAACATCAGAGCAACATATTATGCTGTAAAGGATTAAATGATATTTCAGTTTATGCCTTTATTTCTTGTCTCTTTTCTCCAAGTGATAATTGAGATCTCATTTACCATGCATGAACACTTACATTCCCTTTCTGAGAACATTTCTGATATTGTTGGTATAAGAGAGAAAAGTCATTCATTTAAAGGTTGCCTTATTAATCTGCAGTTTTTGTTAAATATCTAGATTATCTGGCCAGTCAATTTGTCTGGCCAGTCAAATTGTCTTAGGCCAGTCAATAGCCTAAGAAAGAAGAAAGACTAGCTGCCATACTCAATCCAAATGAATCGGGATATGAATATTTATAAGGACATCAATATTCAACAGTGTCTTACAGTCATGCTCCAAGCTAAATAAAAATAAAACCACCAGAAATATTACAGTATAATAGGATAAGAGCTAAGAAATATGTACAAATTCATTGACAACATCTGTGCGAGTGTTCTGGACAAAACATTTAAAAAGAAATCTACATAAAACAAAGTAGATAAATTTATCAAATATTGATAAATTTTCAGAGACAGTATAAAAGTACACAAAACATGAAAGAGAGAAAGAATTTAAAAAAGAACCACTAAGCCAATACATATAGTACAAGTTTACTACATTTATATTACAGAATGATGGAAACCAGAGACAAAAACGATTTGGTAACAAACAGCAAAGAAAGTTTCACCACCAATCACAAGGAAGAAAGATATTCTTTTTCAAATGAAAACACAGACTGCCAGAACTCATCCCCCGCATCCCCTAACCCATACACACATAGAAAAATAAAAGCAAATGCGAAAGTTGTCTACAGCAACAGGACAGACAGAGGTGGGAAGCATTTGGCAAGTTGTATCACAGGAAGTCAATCACGATTGGCTAACGATGATGGTACCTGGCTCTGTTGCAGGTCACTGCTTTGCCTGAGGGGAGTGACTGATGGAGGAGGCACACCTGACGTCGACGCAGACCGGCCTAATTTGCAGCTTACTTTAGGCTCTGGAAACAAGCGGAAAAAGACACAATATTAGCTGACTGACATCTGGAATAATGAAGTGGCTTTTCAGTCTTTCTGTTTGTTTCGCTACTTATTCTTGGAATATACAAAATGCTCCTGATGTTTGCTAATAAGTAGCAGGTGATAAAACACTTTCATGGCAGTTGACTCTAAAAGGAGCTTTATACCCAGATTGGCTTCTGGGGAACAACTCTCAGAAGCACAGGCCTTGTGCCTTTGCACATTTTACCTCACTTAGGGTTGGTTTCTATGGAGTCATCCCTGGAGCAACAACAACCCATTAGGAGAACAAGCAAGTACCATGACTATTTTGAATGTTTCACTTTTAGCTTTGATCCGTAGGATTTCTGTGTCCTAAAATGTCTTCTATCCCTTCTCCAAATGTTCTGTTTTCCTTCCTTCCATGAATACTATCATCATGTTTTCAATGTAACATTTCTTCAACTCATCTTGATTTTCATTAAATTTTATAACTGTCTTCCAAGACTTTTACTATCTTTCATAATATTATTTTTCCAACTTAAAAAGCTTTCTCCTACCTCTTCTCTAATTTGAGGAGCCCAAATTAGCTGCCTAGGCCACTGACAGGATGCTTTAGAGATTACAGTTTGAGGACTGAAAGAGTTCCCTTCATCCAGAAAGTACAGGATATTTGGGAGGTAGAGATGATTAATTTAAAGACATATTTGAAGATATTTGACAAAGGAAAAACAAGTCATAGAAAGAAAAATGGACATTTATACTTTATCACAAACTTCAGTGTAAGCTGTTGGTTTTTGAGTGCCTAGTACATTCCAGCTTCTGTGAGGAGTTACACCTAAATTATCTCTAATCCTAAGAACTCTCTTTGGAGCTACGGAGTTAGCTATCAATATCCTCAACTTACAAATTAGAAACCTAAGGTTCTCCACATCCAGTCTTTGCCTAATAAATAAACAAGTGCTTTTCAAAAAGCCTTTCTTTATAAACTTGACCTAAAAATTAAACTCATCGAACAACTGGCTTTAAATAATATGACATAACTACGGTACTGAGAACTGACACGCGTGCCAGAGAGCCAGAATGTGCCCAATTCCGTTGGAAGAAAAGAAAATGTGTTGCTCACGCTGGGGAGGTGCACTATCCTCATGCCATTTCTATATGAATCGCACTTCAGAGAAAAGCATTGACTATATCTGCATTGCATGAATGGTTCACTGCCAACTTCAGTTTCCATCAATTGCCTTCCACTCCTCCACTCCCAACCCCTCTCAGACACAACATGCAGACACACAGAATGAGTAAGCTTACGCCTACTTACACACAGACTCATACACTCTCACCCATATGCACCTTTCCTCTCTCAGTCCTGTTTCCACCTATTCAACAATGCTTCACCTCTCTATTAATATTATTCTCCTAAGGGAACTAATAGTTTTCTTTCTTGGCAAATAAAATAGTGTTTTCTCTGTACTTCTGATTTAGAGGAAAACAATAAAAGACAATAAACAAGGTTTGGACTTAGAGCTAATTTTGAATCTGACTCTGCTAGGTGTATGATCTTAAACAATTGTTTTCATTATTCAAGTTTTAGTTCTTCTCAAATAAAATGAATTTAGTCACTTATTCAACATTCGGCATCTATGTATTTTATGCCTACTATGTGCCAGGAACTTGCCAGAGAGTTGTGACCAAAATCCCAATATTGCCCTAAGGGACTGCACAGTCTATGCACTAAACATAGACATTAAACAACAAATGATGGGCCAGGCACAATGGCTTATGTCTATAATCTCAGCACTTTGTGGGGCTGATGCGGGTGGATCACTTGAGCCCAGGAGTTGGAGACTCCATATTCTAATGACGTTTATGTATTCTCAGGGGAGAGACATTAAACCTAAAATCATTTGCCAAAAATTAGGAAATATGTTAGAAGGAAGACGTAGAGGGTGCTGTGATATCATTTATCAGAGTATCCACTGTGTTCTGGGGAGCAGGGCAAGGAGAGACCCTGAAGAAGCTGCAGTAATTAACACCTGCCAAAAGGACTGAATGGGCAGCAAAATCTGAAGTGGGAAGTATCCTGGATCCACAGACTTTACTTTCCAACCGATCCAGAAGTCAAAAGCATTTCAGAATGTATTGCTTGCCTATTATAAGGAAATAGTAATAGTGAAATATCCTGGTTTCCAGGTTAGTGGAGAAGAGTTGAGCTAGTGCTAAGTAAACAGATAAACTGAATTACATGCAAAATTCATAGAAAAACACCAGACACATAACAAGTGCTTTTAGTGAATGCTAGCTCTCACCCCCTACACACATACACACACATACACACGCACTTGCACAAGTACGTGCATAGTGACCCTTACCTCTATTCCTCCTGCTACTTTTAATGAAACCAACTACATTCTCTTTCTGGAAAATGACTCTCTTTCCACCTGTGATATGCATTCCTTCACCTCTCTCTCAACCCAATGTCCTTTTAGCTTCATCAACTTGTTTCTTGCTTGGCCTTTTCCCTCTGCACCTTCTCTCTTAAGAACATCAGCAGTCGCATGGTTTCAAAGATAATGTTTTCCCTTGGAGTCAAATGCAGGTTCCCATAGCTCTGTCCCCTTCCCATGCTCCTTTTTGATTTTGAGCCCCTGTGCTTCCTGGTCCCTAGGCTGTCTACATTGCTTCAGGATGCAAACCAAGTTCCAGCTTCTTCTCAATATCTTGGATCTTCCTTCTACTTTTCCTATGTATAGTAGAAACATCACCTCCATTTTCCTAAAGTCTTAGGGTCCAAATCTTGTACTTTTTCAGTTTAGAGCTTTCTTTTCCTCTCTCTATAAATTTAGTCCTGTTGGAATTTGCTTTTTTTCCCCCTTGCAATGGCTCTTATAGTTATCTCAACTCATCTCAGAAACCTCCCCATAATCTCTCTGCTCACATCTAACTTAGACACAATGCAGACTGTGTTTCCTAGATACTTTAGGCCACTCATCTTGTTCAAAAATGTTCAATTATTCCATATTTATTATCATGAAAAACGTCTATTTTCCAGAGGTCCTCTGTGACCTGGCTCCATCTGATCGGATCCACTCTATTTTCCACTGCTTCTTGCTTTCTAAAATATATACTATTTGGGCCGGGTGCAGTGGCTCACACCTGTAACCCAGCACTTTGGGAGGCCAAGGCAGACAGATCACCTGAGGTCAGGAGTTCGAGACTAGCCTGGCCAACATGGTGAAACCCTATCTCTACTAAAAATACAAAAATTTGCTGGGCGTGGTGGCGGATGCCTGTAATCCCAGCTACTCATGAGGCCGAGGCAAGAGAATCACTTGAACCTGGGAGGCAGAGGTTGCACTGAGCCAAGACCATGCCATTGCACTCCAGCCTGGGCAACAAGAGCAAAACTCCATCTCAAAAAATAAATAAATAAATTATATACATACATATGCACACACACATATGTATGCACACACATATATATATAATTTGATCTACCCTCTTGGTATCGACTTTTGATTCTTTCACCTTTCACCTCAAGTTGTTGCCAAGCATGGACTTTAATCAAACCATATCTCACCATTTTCTAAGACCTAGTTCAAAGTGTAGTTTTATTGAAAAGCATCCTGTGATCTTGTTTTCTTCTTTCTCTCTTCTGAACTGCCTTATCACTTAGATAGCATTTGCACTGCTTGTTGTGGTTTTCAGCATTTTTGCCGGTAGGAACCACCTAATAAGCATTCAATTATTATGTATTTTTCTTTCACTGAAGATACTCAAATTAACCTAGAAAAGGTCACTGCAACTCCTCAAAGCAAGGAGGCAATGATGTAACAAAGAACCTGTTATAAGACCTAGTTTCAAGCCTCTCTCGCCTACTTACCATGGCAGTGATTCCAGTTAGAGGGGATGTGACCCTCTGGGGTCCTACAGAGAAGGCACGGCATTTGAAAATTCTCCCTTGATTTTGTGCGGGTGTTTAACGTCTGCCCACCCATTCTTGAAAATACCACTGGATTCTCTCTGAGGCTGTTTAAACACAAGTGTATCATATGATGACATAGATACAATATCCTAGTAACTTATAAATTAACCTCATTTCCCAGGATGCCTAAATCCTTGCATACCTTAAGGAATCATCCTTTATTATATAAAACAACAAGCAAAGCATCCATCAGAACCCTGGTTGACATGTTTCCATAATAAGCCAATGTTTCCATACATGCCATGACTAGCTTAGCACATTTGGTCACATGGAATGAGAAAATTCAGTATTTTTTTTTTCCTAGAAAAGGATGACAAATAATTATTTACTATAGAGATTTTTTCCAGTTTATGTTGAAGATATTATCATCTGATGAAAAAAGATTATCTAACCAGATCAAAGGCTTTTATATCACCTAAGGTACCTAAAGATTAATTTCCCCTTTTATTGGTTTCTGGTCAGACCAAACCTGTTTTCACTGTAGGCAACATTATTTCCAATGCACAGACTACACCTCACCAAAATCCAAGCAAACTCCAAATGTCACCGTGACCTGGAAACGTCTTGCTCTACCCCCATAGGATGCCAGTCCAGATCATGTCTAGGTTCATCAAGCCCCAGTAGGCACTGCAATATAAATCACTAACCACCCATTGAACATGGCAAATTAAACTACTAGCCAAGTACCCTGTGTGGGCTAGTTCTACAATGAGGTCACCCAGTGGTCTAATGTTCGATACCAGCATGGAATATGACTCCATATGCAGGGATAGAGTAAGATCATTACCATATATTCATAATGTACACATACATACACTGGCAGATACACACAGACACACACACATACAGTCCATAACACTGCTGCTTAATGGTATCACATGGCAGGAACTTTTTTTTGAGACCGAGTTCTGCTCTTGTTGCCCAGGCTGGAGTGCAATGGCGCAATCTTGGCTCACCGCAATCTCTGCCTCCCAGGTTCAAGTGATTCTCCTGCCTCAGCATCCTGAGTAGCTGGGATTACAGGCAGGCGTCACCACGCCTGGCTAATTTTGTATTTTTAGTAGAGATGGGTTTTCTCCATGTTGGTCAGACTGGTCTCAAACTCCCGACCTCACGTGATCTGCCCGCCTTGGCCTCCCAAAGTGCTAGGATTGCAGGCATGAGCCACCGTGCCCAGCCAGCAGGAATATTTTTTAAATGGTGAGATTTTTGTTTATCCCATTTATTTTGGCTCTTCTTTCAGTTTCACATCATTCCTAACCTAAATGCATTTGGAATTTCCTATGGTGTTTCTGAGACCAGGCTGATGAAACAAATCCTTACAAGGTTGCATCCACCAAGGTTTCTTTGACCAAAAGAATTATCTCAAGCAATCATGAAAATCCTAGAAAATATTCTAATTATAACCATGCCTTTCAGAGATCCTTTAGGCCTGTGACATCAAAGTGCAATTGTTCAGCTCAACTAACTTGACCAAAAGAATTATCTGAAGCAATCCTGAAAATTCTAGAAAAGATTCAAATCAAGCCTCTCACAGATCCTTTAGGATCTGTGCATCTAAATGCAATGTTTGGCTCACCTACCTTTGGAAATGCAATGCTCTTTGAGACTTGAACGGTGAGGCTGAGGAGTCATGACACTGGACAATAAGTTTTGATCCTGAATTTTAATAGAATAATTGCCAAGAATTTTGGGGTCCACCAACAAGGGGCACATACCTGGAAAGAGATCTAAGACAGAGCTTTCCTACCCCAAGGAAATCCTAATTGAGAGATTAATTATTAACTAGAAGGCACTTGTTCTTCCTAAGTCCAAGGAAATATTTCTTCCTTTGAAAACTCTTCTAGTATCATCCCAGAAGTAAAAGTTGACTCACTTGTGCAATTTAGTGAAGATCAAGTGTAAAGAGAATAAGAAAAAAATGAGAAAGAGGTTGATTCAGAAAGAGAGAGAGAGAAAGGCAGTGGAGGAGGGAAACAGAGAGGAAGGAAAAGGAAGAAAGAAGAAAAAAGAAAGGAAAGGAGGGAATGAAGGAGAGAAGGAGGGAGGAACACAGTCATTTTAACTCCTTTGAGTAAACAATTATCAAGACAATACAATGAGATGTTTCCAGGTCTGTAACTCACCATCATCAATTTTATTAAGTAGGTACCAGTAGGACTATGTAATTTATTAGTTAGCTTTTTTCTTCTTCTTTTTTTTTTTTTTTTCTGCCCAGGCTGGAGTGCAGTGACGTGATCTCAGCTCACTGCAACCTCCACCTTCCGGGTTCAAGTGATTCTTTTGCCTCAGCATTCAGAGTAGCTGAAACTATAGGTGCATGCCACCATGGACGGCTAACCTGTATTTTTAGCAGAGACAGGGTTTCACCATGTTGGCCAAGCTGGTCTCGAACCCCTGATCTCAGATGATCTGCCCACCTTGGCCTCCCAAACTGTTGGGATTACAGGCATGAGGAAGTGTGCCTGGACATTCTTTTTGTTCCTAATAAACTTTCATTGCTTTTTATGGAACCAAAAAAGAGCCTGCATCACCAAGTCAATCCTAAGCCAAAGAACAAAGCTGGAGGCATCACACTACCTGACTTCAAACTATACTACAAGGCTACAGTAACCAAAACAGCATGGTACTGGTACCAAAACAGAGATATAGATCAATGGAACAGAACAGAGCCCTCAGAAATAACGCCGCATATCTACAACTATCTGATCTTTGACAAACCTGAGAAAAACAAGCAATGGGGAAAGGATTCCCTATTTAATAAATGGTGCTGGGAAAACTGGCTAGCCATATGTAGAAAGCTGAAACTGGATCCCTTCCTTACACCTTATACAAAAATCAATTCAAGATGGATTAAAGACTTAAACGTTAGACCTAAAACCATAAAAATCCTAGAAGAAAACCTAGGCATTACCATTCAGGACATAGGCATGGGCAAGGACTTCATGTCTAAAACACCAAAAGCAATGGCAACAAAAGTCAAAATTGACAAATGGGATCTCATTAAACTAAAGAGCTTCTGCACAGCAAAAGAAACTACCATCAGAGTGAACAGGCAACCTACAAAATGGGAGAAAATTTTCGCAACCTACTCATCTGACAAAGGGCTAATATCCAGAATCTACAATGAACTCAAACAAATTTACAGGAAAAAAACAAACAACCCCATCAAAAAGTGGGTGAAGGACATGAACAGACACTTCTCAAAAGAAGGCATTTATGCAGCCAAAAAACACATGAAAAAATGCTCAGCATCACTGGCCATCAGAGAAATGCAAATCAAAACAATGAGATACCATCTCACACCAGTTAGAATGGCGATCATTAAAAAGTCAGGAAACAACAGGTGCTGGAGAGGATGTGGAGAAATAGGAACACTTTTACACTGTTGGTGGGACTGTAAACTAGTTCAACCATTGTGGAAGTCAGTGTGGCAATTCCTCAGGGATCTAGAACTAGAAATACCATTTGACCCAGCCATCCCATTACTGGGTATATACCCAAAGGACTATAAATCATGCTGCTATAAAGACACATGCACACGTATGTTTATTGTGGCACTATTCACAATAGCAAAGACTTGGAACCAACCCAAATGTCCAACAATGATAGACTGGATTAAGAAAATGTGGCACATATACACCATGGAATACTATGCAGCCATAAAAAATGATGAGTTCTTGTCCTTTGTAGGGACATGGATGAAAGTGGAAATCATCATTCTCAGTAAACTATCGCAAGAACAAAAAACCAAACACCGCATATTCTCACTCATAGGTGGGAATTGAACAATGAGAACACATGGACACAGGAAGGGGAACATCACACTCTGGGGACTGTTGTGGGGTGGGGGAGGGGGGAGGGATAGCATTGGGAGATATACCTAATGCTAGATGACAAGTTAGTGGGTGCAGCGCACCAGCATGGCATATGTATACGTATGTAACTAACCTGCACATTGTGCACATGTACCCTAAAACTTAAAGTATAATAATAATAAAATTAAAAAAAAAGATTATAAGGGAGCCGAAAAAAAGAAAAGGTAACTTTTTATACAATTAATTTGCCAGTTGTGTATTTTAAAACAATAAAACATAGGAAAATGCCATGTTTAAGCACAAGGAACATGGGAAATCCTTTCAAAATTTCAAGGGATTTGGGAACCACCAGTTAGGAAATGCTTTCCTGGAAAAATCTCTATGGCAAAATCCAAGAAACACTGTTTTCTGCCCATGAGACCTGAGGGAAGTTATACAAACTCTCGGGGGATTTTTTATCATCTATAACAAGAAGCAAATTCCAAGGTTCTACTCATTGATTCTTTGACGCTAGTAAATGAAATTTGTTAAAATAATTGAATGACCTCAAAGATACTCTTGATTAATCATGAGCTAGTTTATTAAGGTCATTTATTTTACTCCTGTTTTCTGGTCAGCATTTTTGTTTTTGTCTGTGTATTTGTTTTTTAGTAACAATGTTGATAGAATTATGCATAACTCAAGTTTGCTATTTGTTCAAATGTTCTAACACTGTTGATAAAAGTTTTGGTAGTAAATAGTTTTTAAACACCCATACAAATTTATTTAAAAATAAACATTTAGGAGAGGTAATGGTCATCTGTCATTTTTCTCTGTCTAAAATCAATTTCCTCTTTTTCTGGAATAGTAATTTGATTTTTCTTCAGAGAACAGTATCACCAGTTATCTTAGTTCTTATGGTTCTGTAGTAAGAGCTGACTTCAACTCTACCTCCAGAAGTGGCCACATGAATCAAGTCTGTCCAATCGATTATTCTATCCCTTTGGTCTCATTGACTGGTACAGGGATGGACATGTGACCAAAGTCAGTCAATGAGAGTGGCTTTCATACTTCTGCTGGAGCTTTTGGGAAAGAGCTATACCTTTTCACAAGGTTTGCTAAACTCCCATCACTTCCTAGCTGAACAACCAGGAGAAATTTGCTTGACCTCTCTACACTTGTTTGTTCACAGATAAAATGGGAGAAATAATGGTACCTAGTTCACAGGATTTCTGTAAGAATTAAATAAGATAATACATGTTAAGATTTTTCCATAGCAAAAACCATGTACTAAAATCTCAAGAAATGTTAGTGGTTTTTATTATTGGGGGTCAATCTGATTTTTTTTAGCTTCCCTGCTTATAATAAATTACATACCACTTCCACACAATGGTACACACAGCTCAGCTTATACGACCAGCTTCATCAGTAGCCTTGCCCCCAGCACACTGCCCCGGTTTATCCTAAGCTCCCTGCCTTCTTTTACTGTAGGATTTTAATCACACTACTTCACTCTGCCTGGTACACTTGGTCCTTCCTTCCCTTTCTTCCTCTACTAAGCTCCATGCTCTTTGAAAGCAGGAACCATGTCTGTCTCTTTTCTCAGTATAGTTCCCTGAGTAACATGATAACTGATCCTTGATAAGGACTCATTAAGCATTTATTGATTGAATTATTCTAAATAATATTTTAAAGTATAAGCCCACTCTAAAAGATGATTTTTATGTTTCACATGGATAAAAAGCCATGTTTCTCCATCTGTTCACCTTCCCCATGTTTCCAGAAAAAAAAAAAATCTAAATTACATTGACTAGTTTTCTTTTTTTATTTTTTGAGATGGAGTCTCACTCTGTAGCCCAGGCCAGAATCCAGTGGCACAATATTGGCTCACTGCAACCTCTGCCTCCCGGGTCCTGGTTCAAGCAATTCTCCTGCCTCAGCCTCCTGAGTAGCTGGGATTACAGGCACGTGCCACCACGCCCAGCTAGTTTTTGTATTTTTAGTAGAGATGGGGTTTTACCATGTTGGCCAGGCTGGTCTTGAACTCCTGACATCGTGATCCACCCACCTCGGCCTCCCAAAGTGCTGGGATAACGGACGTGAGCCACCGCACCTGGCCTACATTATCAAATTTTCAACTAAGTACTTTATAACCTTAAAAAAAAAAAATTGTGTGTGTGTTTGTGTGTGTGTGTGTGTGTGTGTGTGTGTGTGTGTGTGTGTGTGTGTTTGAGGGATTGCAGTTCCTGTGTTGGACAGTAGATGACAATAAACATATTATTTGATACGTATTCTGGGCCGATTACAAAACTTCCAGAACTAGTCTTTGTAAATGCCTAGCATAATTCAGACAGAGTCTTCTATTTTATAATGTCTTTTGTGGCTTTTCGCAGAAACAGAAAGGGCATTCTTCGTGAACACTGTTGGTGCAGCATCTCCACAGGGCCTTTCCAAAGGAATCTAACAGCTGTGGTCTAGGAGCAATGTCAGGGTGGACTCCTCTAGGAGAGGGCACAGGGTGGAACCACCGCCCTGCCGTGACAGACACCTGTCACTGATGCTACAGTCAAAACTGGAGTCAGCACACTGTCATTGTGGTTCTCAAGCAGAATTAATCTTGTATTGAGAGGCAAGGCAAGGAAAGGCACTTTCTGCATCATCCCAATGGTTTCTACCTAATTGTTTTCCCCAATAGAATCAGAATAGTTGGAATCCAGAATTTCTCTACTGAGAATGAAATTACTATCAAGTTGTATTTTTTTCTAGCAGTGTTCAGGGTATCTATATAGTATACGGTATCATACTGTATGCATGTGTTTAGCAGAAACCAAGTTAAAGGGGAAATATGTGTGTGTATGAATATAATGCATATATAAAATATGGTAACAGGTAATTAGCTGACTTTGCAGATCTAACAATATGAAACTTATGTTTAAAACCCGTAAGTAGCCTCATGGCTTTATATATGTACACACACATCAGTTAATATCACCAAATTCCTTGACTCTAGGCTGATCCCATAACTTTAGCTAACCACCTTCCTAGAAAAAAAAATGGGAATAAGAACACAAAGGGTTTGACGAAATTTCACAAAGCAGCAAAGACTAGGACTAGTTCCCTGTTTTACTGAATCAGAGGCACTAAGGCTCCCTTGCTGTATAAAACCAACTGAGATCACAGATATAAATAAGCTCCTTGAAGGCAGGGGTCATCCTTTTGTCACCTCATAGTGTTCTCACTGAGTGAGTAAATGACTGGACCAAAGAAAGACAAGCATACATAATGTTGCTGATTTTTGAAAAAAACAACAAAAACACATGTGTAACATGGCTGCTCAGGTGCTCAATAATTAATTTTTATAGATACCAACAATCAGTGAAAAACACCTCTCAATTAGGTATAGGAAAGGTGAAATCTCATGGGTTAGAGAGCGAAGATAACAGTTCTCCTTCGGATTTATAAGGCAGGTTATTTGGGGCAGCCTGTTCACGTTGATCTCCATAAATCTGTTTCTCTTGGTTTAGGATGGGTGATCATAAATTAGCTGACTCTGTATATGTGATCACATAAGCCCTGGGTTAAAAATCCATAAATGGCTTCCTGTCATTTTCAGGTAAGACCCGAGTCATGGATGTGGCTGGCTCACCCTCACCCTTGTCAGGTTCTTAGCTTCTTCTCTGCCCTCCTTTTAGCTCCTCAATTATGTGGGTCATGGCGTCACAGAGTTCTGGCATCTACTACGTCCTCTTCCTTGATTGCTCTTCCTCCTAACTCACCTTGAGAGCTCAGTCCCCAGGTTATTAGGATGCGTTGAAACACACTCTAAAGGAAGCGCCCTGTCACTCTCCTTTCATCACCGATTGTAATTACAGTTTTAAAATTTTGTCATTTCTGTAATGGCTCTCTCCCTCACTGGCATGTACTCAATGGTTGGTAATTTTATATTGAATAAAATAGATGAATAAATGAAAGAATAAGCGAATGTGAATAAATGAATAAACCTGGGAGCACAGAGGTGGAAATAGAGAAACCCAGCCTAATTAAATCATGGGAAGAGAGCTGTAGTAGGAGTCAGAAACCCAAAGTTCATTTCTTTATTTGAATCTACTACTTATCAGTGAATCTGGGCAATTGACTTGATTTCTCTTGAGCCTCAGTTTTATCACCAAAAAAAAAGAAAAAAATGTCAGATAATGATACCAGCCCACTGATGCACAGGTTTTTGTGAAGTACAGATGAGACAGTACACATAAAGGCATTTTAAAAGCTCTGGTATAATAAAAATAAGACATTATTTTAAACAGGTCACAGATAACCCACAAAGGTAATAAACTTAAATTCCACAACTCAGGTTATATATAATCTGCAATAACCTTAGAG
The DNA here is from genome assembly GCF_000001405.40 of Homo sapiens. Classification (NCBI taxonomy): domain Eukaryota; kingdom Metazoa; phylum Chordata; class Mammalia; order Primates; family Hominidae; genus Homo; species Homo sapiens. The sequence goes on along the minus strand of NC_000002.12, from coordinate 225,639,271 downwards.
CAATTTTTAAAAATTATACCAGAGTCTGTTCTCTTTAAACTTGTCAATTTAACTGTTTGTTTGAACATACAGGATCTTATATGCATCAGAAAACTGTATTATTTTTTTCTCCCCAGAAGCCAGAGCTGTACCAACCTGTTCTGGGGGAGCAAAGGTCTTTCTTGTGCTTTAGAGAAACTCTCTACTGAGTCCCAAGACTTTTTTTTTTCACTTTGATGATTAAAAATCTTTCAGTTTCTTTTAGTTACAAAAAGTCTTACTGAAGTAATAACTTAAGTGCCCAGTTACTTACATTAATCAAAACTATGAATATTATCTCAAGGAAACACTTCTCCCTTGGCCCACTTTGGGCCAGCTCCTGGCAAACAGAAGAGATGGCCTCTGTCTTGGCCTCCTCTCCCTGTTCTTCCACCTCTGTTCCCAACTTGGTCCCCACAATGCCTGCTCTCATCTGGGCAGAAACAGGAGAGAGCAGGAGAGATGGGGAAAGGAAAGGTTCTTCAAGGGCCTGGCACGGGCTAGTGTCTCTCACCCTCTGGCTGGGAAAGGTGTTTGACACTGAAGCTCTGTCTTCTTGGGGTGCTTTCCAGTGTCCCTGAAGGCCTCCTCTGATTGGTTGGCCATCTCTCACCTGGAGACATCATGGTTGTTCGCTCTCTGTCTTTTGTGGGTAACTGGGTATCCTGTAGGGCACCTTGAAACACGTCCTGAGAGTCCTGGCTGCCCCAGGCACTCTCATGGTCTAGGCCACCTCCAGAGTTCCTCTCCAGGACCAAATCTGGTCCATAGAAAACACACTTTATACACATCTTTAACCCACCATCAGCAGCCGAACAGTTACTTGCTAAGCAACTTTCTCTGTGGTCACAGACCATTCACCCAGTCTCTTGTGCTTTTTCCTTCCACTCTATCCCTCAAACTGTTAGAAATAATATCAACTTTTCTGAATGGTTCCATTAAAGTCTCTCTCATTTGACTTTCCACTGCTGGAGACACTTCTCACCCCTCTTCTATTGGATGGACACTCATCTCTCTGTCTCTCTCTCTCTGTCTCTCTCTCTCTCACCCCCCTCCCACACCACACACACACACACACACACACACACACACACACAAACACACGAGTCTGTTTAAAATTCTCTCTAATATCTAGAGTCTATTTAAAATTCTCTCTAATATCTAGAGTCTATTTAAAATTCTCTCTAATATCTAGTCTCTGTCTCTCTCAGCCTCTAACCACTTTCCTAGGCTAGAAATGAGAGTTCAGTTAAGGACAACAATATTCATTTCGATCAACTCCTTTGCAAGCTCTGCTTCTGCAGTCAAGCTTTTCGCCTTGAAATGTGAGAGTCATTATCTTCTATTATTTTGTAATTAGCCTTTTGCATTTTGTACCCTGTTTATTTACATTCAAACTCTAGAAAGACATGCTTTGACCATTTAAAATGGTTAACTCCCTCCCAGTTCTCCTTTTCTGGTTGTTTCTCAAAGCCATACTACCAGTATCAGGAGAAATCCAAATAAAACTTTCTCTGATAAACATGCATTCTAGCCAGCAGAAGTCACAGTTTTCCACAGAGAAATAAAAGTGGGAGTCTTGGGGCTACAGCTTACAGTACCCTCCAAGGCCCCTCCAAATGAGAATTCTGTTATGCATTTGCTCCTCAAATTTAGAAAGGGAGAGTTAAACTGCAGAGTGAGAAAACGGTGAACAGAACCAGGCAGCAGAACCTGGCAAATGTTCCCCGGGGAAGCCACCAAGCACCCAATTAGAACTGGAAAGGAGAGCAGATGTGGAGAATTGTCTTCTGATGCATGATCTGACTGCACAGAATGGCAGCCTTGAGGGTCGTAACTCTGGAAGTTCACAGCTGCCCGGTGCTGAAGTGGAGCCAAGCAGGAAGTTAGAGAACAGCCTACAGTGAAGTCTAAATTACAATGAACACCCGAACTCCAACAGATTGGTTTGCTGTTCCTGTTGCGTAACAAAAATGAATATAACGGAGAACTCATACTCCTTATCAATACTCAGTCCCTAAACTATGAAAACATGATGGTTTAACACAAATACTTCCTAAAGTGAGATGATGAAGGAAAAGGCAGGCGAGTAGAGTTTCATTTTTTACTTTAACTTTTTGTCAATGAGCATACTCTACTTACCTGTTATTATACTACTATACTATTACCTAATAATAAAGCAATAAAGCATTTTCACTTGGAAAAAAAATAGCAAAACACAAACAGATCATGGTATCTGTGTCACGCCACACCCAAACTCAGTGTCTTAAAATGACACTCATTTAGTCTTGCTCATGAGTCTATGGGTCTTCTGGGTGATTTTTCTGGTCTCAGCCTGGCTCACTCATGCATCTTTAGTCAAATGTGGGTCAAGTAGATGGTTCTGCTATTCCATGCTGTGCTTTCTCACATTTTGGGGGGTTCTCCTCTATTGTACTTCATCATCCAACAGGCTAGCCCAGGCATGTTCACATGGTGGTGGCAGGGTTGGAAAAGAGCCATGAAAGCATTCATACCTCATGAGGCCAAGGATCAGAATTGACATACAGTCACTTCCATCTCACTCTATTGGTCAATGCAAGACTCAAGGGTAGTCCAGATTCAAGGGATGGGAAATTGACTTTACTTCTTGATAAAGAGCTATGAAAGCACATTACCATACGTGTGCATGTGTCTTTATAGCAGCATGATTTGTAATCCTTTGGGTATATACCCAGTAATGTACCCTAAAACTTAAAGTATAATAATAATGAAATTAAAAAAAAAAAAAGAAAGCACATTACCAAGGGCATGATTACAGGGAGAGGGGAATAATTAGGACCATTAGGAGAAACCTTGGCATCCTGAAGGAGATGGGCCACATGAAGAAATGAAAGAAAGAAAAGAAGACACAGCTTAGAAATTATGTAGATATATTAAAAAGTTGAATATTAACCAGGTTCTAAAAGCAAAGTTTTTATCCACACTCCTGAGTGAGCTGCAGGAAACACTCTATCCTCTCTTATTTGCCTGGCTCCTACTCATCATGCTAGTACCAAATTTAGTGTCACATTCTCCAGGAAGCTTGTTTGAATGGCCTTCCCTTTAGCCAGCTGTGCTTGGCTTACTTATAACATTCTTTGGAATAATTGGTTGTTTTATTTTCTGCTTTACCTGCTAGAATATGAGTCTAGGGTACATTATATATATTCCTGTCCTCCCCACCCTCTGCACAACACAAAGTATACGTTGAAGAAATTTTAGTTAGAAAATAAACACAAAGGGAATAAATGACTAAAGGAATAGATAAATGAATCTCAAGCTGGATATTTATTAGAGAAGATGTACACATTTGCAGACATCAATATTTTCTTGTGATTCCCACATCCTTGACAACCTGGTTTTAAATCCTATTCATTGCTTCTAAGCAGAACAGAAGCATTGTGAGAGATTAGGATTACTTATTTGATAACTGTGTACGATGTAGCAACCAAGTCTTAAGACCTGCCCCTCATTCTTCCTCCAAATTCCATCTATAAATGCAGACTCAAGGCAACCCAAAAAGGGTCATCACACTGGCCACAAATCTTTGTTGAAAAATGCACAAGTCAATGAAGCATACATTGTCGCACTAATAGTAGTCTCATAACCACTTATATTATGTTCTGCCAAAGAAATATCTTATCATATTTGCAATGTGCTGATCTTTCAAAAGAAAACATCTAGTCTTGGTCCTAGAAAAAGACAGGTATTTTTCCAGTAAAATTGAATGGGAACGGAATAAACGTTTGTCTACTAGCTGTTATAAACCGGCTTTGTACCAAGCATTCCATGCATTTTTTAATTTAATCTTCATCATAACCTACACAGTGAGATTTATTTGATCTCTCCTGTAAAGATAGAGAAAGTGGGTCACAGCAGTGTTTTGTTATTTCATCAAACAATTGACACCAAAATATTAATTTATTAATATTGTTGCCAAGCATGATTTACTTACACACTAAAAAAAGAAAACTATGTCGATTTATTACGGTCTTCCAAAAAGGACCGTCATGAGTACTGTTCTGCAGCTCGCAGTCCTGCTGCCCAATTCTGCATGGTTTGCCTGTTTGTCACCTCTCCAAACTTGTGTGCATGGGAGTCTTCTTGGATATGGAGGCTGAAGCATAAATGGCTTTGAGTTATTGCTGTCAGGAAGTTTATCAGCAAAGTTAGCCAGTCATTTCAGTGTTATCAAGTAAAGTACGGGAAATATGTTTTAGAAGTTTCAAGAGAAAATCATCTTTCTTATAAATCAACTGATAAAAATTCAGTACTCAAAGACTGTGCTTTTGAGTTCAATTGCAGTTCCATTCCTGAATCCCAGCTCTGTTGCTTATTGTAAATGGCCCCCATTTTGCCACATCTTCCCAGGTCTCCACTTTTGAGCCTTTGAATAACCTCTCAAGGTCTTTGTGATCTCTTCAATCTTTAATGTAGTGACCAGAAGATGAATTATGGCTGCAAATGTCTTATGAACCATGGTTTGGGTGTGTAAAGTGTCATGTTGGAGCCAGAGTGCCCACTGTCTTTGACAAAATAGAATGAGGATTTAAATCCAGATTTGCAGGTTGCCTGACCATTTGGTGCTCAACCACTGCATTATACCTTATGCATGCATTTATAATTAGTATAGAATTTACAAGCACAGTGTGTAAGAAATGGCTTTTTTTTTGTTTTCTTTAAATGAAATTAAATCCACATCTGTTTTTCACTTTTCTGAACTTGTGTGTACAAGACTCCTCTTGGATATGAAGGACTGAATCATAAATGATGATGGAAAATGCTTCCCTACAATGGGTCATGAAGTCCCAGAACCGTTCTGCAGAGCAGAATATATAATATGGTCCTCCTAGTCTTTAGCTCATACTGGTTGTCACGTGAGGGGTCTACTGTTCGAGCACAAAGAGCCCCTTGAAGTACAGAATTCCATATTTTGAAGGTTAAAACCATATGGCGCATAAAGCCCAGCCTATGCAAACTCTACCCCACCCAACTTCTCTGCCAGTTAGAGGTCGTGCCATTTTGCAAGGGTGCTATGAAGGATTAGGCTGCTGGCCCTCACTATTCATGGAATTCTAAACCTCTATTTCTCTTTTAGTGCTAAGGAATTCCCCCTTCCTTCCCTGGCCATCAAAGGCTGCATGTCTCTCTCTTACCAGTGTTGCTATTGCTAGCATTTCCTTGTCCAGGAACAGCAGCTTCTGGAAAATAAAAGCCAGGAGGACAAGGTATCTACTGGGACCTACTGCTTCCAGTAGAAAGCAGCTTCTCTGTGCCACAGGGTCAAATCCATGCTTCCACCTAATGGTCATCGCTTGATTTTACAAACCAGAAAATGCAAGTGTGTGGTCTTCGGGTCTTACCCAGCTAAAAGAAGTGAATTATTCTACTCAATTGTTTTCTAAAAATTGAATTACATTTAAAAGTTGGGAGATTTCACATAATAGCAGTTAAATCTGGGAACCCTGGGTGAGCATTTCTCATGGCAGCATCAGCTGGCACTGAGTAGCTTTTGTCCACTTGGGGTGCCCCTATGCTTTCCAGGTCACCTGCATTTCCATCATTGAGTCCTGAGGTGCATCAGCTTGCAATAGATTTTCCTTGTAATGGAGAAATATTTCTCCTTAGCAATGCTTCTAACAAATGTGGGAATATAGAACTTAGAACAAAAGGGCTTCAAGTTTCAAGAAAAGTGGGAAAAACATTTTCCTTTGTGGGAGTAAAGTACATTTGTAAGTGTTTCATGTATAAGCAAAATACATGAAGGAAGGCATCTTTCCTGCTTCACTTGCTAATGATACCTGTCTGTCCTGAAGGCATCTCAATTAGCATCTCATCTTAGACCTTTTCAGAACAGCAGAAGCACAGAAAGTTGAACACGCAGAAACCAAGGGTTTTATAATATAGCTGATCCTTCCCTTTATAGTGTTTTCATTCTTTTTAGATTTAAATGTTACACTATAAACCCTGTTTGCCTATATATGTCTGTGTGCATGTGTGGGTATGATACCACTTTGTTCATAAGCCAAGGGCTGAGTTTACTTCCAAAAACACTTCTGTCAGGGTGGCCCAGCAGGGCCAAGCCAGGGCAGGTGTGTCTCTTCACCTTTTTCATCCCATGTGGAATATTCTCTTTCCACTCAATTGATAATCATAATGATTTTTAAGAAGATCTAGAATAATCCTGATGTGAGACTCCATGTCTTCCATTAATCTCTCCATCATTTTTCAAGCCTACACTAATTAATTGTTCTCTGAATGATTTTAAACGTATAGTAAGCAGTAGATAATAATGAAAATAATACATTTAATTATAACCTAATTAATTTGTGTTCAATAGTTCTGTGTCATAAAGAAACATAGTAAAATTTTTGAGGGTCACAGATTGTATTTTACAGTCTGTGGGGGGTAGGTGTGTGTGTCCCCAGAAACCATAACAGAGTTGGATACAAGCTGTGTGGAAACTATTTGTTAATGGGTTCAGTGGTTGAAATCTGAGTTTTTGTCAATACCATATTTACTTGTATAATCTCCTCACGCTTTCCTATTATGTTCATGAGCATTTGGGTCCCAGTTCTCCACTGCCTTCAAGAATCACCCTGTGGGGAATCTGTGATTTACTAAACAACAGTGACTTTAACGAAGTACCCCAGCAACCAGTGTTAATGTTAATTAGAATTGAGATCTCCTGACACATTTGCTTTACTTCAGCAATTCCTTCATTCCTCAAAAGAGCTGTTAAGAACAACCATTTCAAGTGGCTAAACTACTTTTGGTAAAGCAATAGCCTGTGACTGGTAGAAGTTTGTATGTATATCAGTGTGGAGGGGGGACAGAGAGAAATAGACGCAGAAGCAGAAAGTTGACAGAGGAAGGAGGGGTTTATAAGTAGAATCTTCTTTCCTCTCTAGTGTGAGGTAGGAAGTTGAGTACCCAGGGGCAAGGAGGCAACAATGATGAGGAAGTATAAAGAGAAGGAGGAGAAACAGTTAATACTGACTCATTGTCTTCTGTTCCAAAACAGAAAGTCTAAAACTCCCTCTTGATGTACCTACTTGCTTATTTTGGACAGAGACCATCTCATTGATGAATATTCAAGTAGTGCATGGTTTGCTTAAAACACCAAAGGTGGCCGGGCAATCCCAGCACTTCAGGAGGCCGCTTAGGCAGGTGGATCACCTGAGGTCAGGAGTTTGAGACTAGCCTGATCAATGCGATGAAACCCCGTCTCTACTAAAAATGCCAAAATTAGCCAGGCATGGTGGTGGGCACCTGTAATCCTAGCTACTCGGGAGGCTGAGGGAGGAGAATCTCTTGAACCCAGGAGGCGGAGGTTTCAGTGAGCTGAGATCATGCCATTGTACTCCAGCCTGGGTGACAGGGTGAGACTCCATCTCAAAAACAGAACAAAACAAAACAAAACAAAGCAAAACACTACCAAAGGTGAGTGTGAACTTCAGATACTCTATACATTTTTGCCATTTTTGGCATTTTCTAGTTCAGAACTGGCACCATTTAGGTTCTTTCTCTTCAGAAAAATAAAAGCTAACAACACAACATTTTTCCCTTTCTCCTTTTCTTTCCTGAAAAGTAGTAGAAGGGTAGACTAGAGGTTCAAGTAATGGTAACATTAATTTGAGTTTCGCTTTCACATAAGCAACTGGCTTGCACTGACATTATATATGTAACTCTACACTTGCCCCTCTGTTTTGCATTTCTTCTAATATGAATACAACCATCTCATTATTTAAAACTTAACAGAATTTATGTCTTCTTCCATCTTTGCCTACCTCCTTCATAATCTAAGATAAAGAATACATACTAAAAATATGTATGTCATTTCTTCTGGTCAGTAGACAATTTCCTGCTCTACAAACAACACTAAAAACCTCAGGAGGGCAGATTTTACATGCTGTAAACCAAAAGAGATGCTTTGGGGTTTTGATATGGAAGAAAGTGAAAGTATGGTATAAATTCTGTTTACACTCTGAATTTATTAGAATATTCATATCAAAGTGTAAAGACACTGTACGGTACATGTTTATCAAACTATATGTAACTTACTAAGTGTTCAAAAAAGTTTAATTATGGACTATCTAACTGTTTCATTTCTATGTATTTACCCACACTTTGAAATGTGTGGATTTCCCCAGGGTGTCATCTGAATTTCCTGCTCTCCTAGTTTAGACTCATCCAGTCTTACTGTTCTAACCACGCCAAAGGAGTCTAGTCTCAGTTTTGAATCCACTAAATCTCTTTAGCTACAGATCTATAATCTGAACAATCTACTGGTTTCTCAATTTGATGTCCCAGAGCATTTCTAACTTAACATAAGCAAACTGTAAGTCCTGACTTTCCCTCGTAAATCTTGCTCCGCATCTCACATTGACAGTCTCTATCTCAGTAAATGACTTCCCAGTCACCCAAGTTTAAAGCCACAGAGTCATCATTGGGTGTTCCATGATGTAAACTGAATTACATTATCCCTATCCTTAAAAAATAGTAAATAACTACAAAAATATCCAAATATCCACCACATAAACTTAAAAACCTAATTACATGGCAGACACCATCTACTGCTTATGCAACATCATTCCCCTTTTATCCCTGCTAATAGGCTTTTGATTTCATTTCCAGATGGAAGGCAAAGGACCCTTGCTTTAGGGGAAAAAGGGTTCTCTACAAGCCCATGGAAATCCCATTTTCCTTCACTCAGAGATTGGACCAGACAAGATGTTTGCCAGTTCTGACCAATTAGATGAAATGGAGAATCTTTGAGGTATGATGCCCAGAACTGTGTAGTCCATCAGCTTTGTCATCATGAAAACAATCATCAAGGGTAGCAGAACAGAAGAACTGAAGGATACAAAGTTCCTGGGTCCTTGACGTCCCTGAACAGCTGCAAAACACCTGGAACTGCCTACCTCGGAGCTTGATGCTAAGGGTGCAAACAAGGGCTATTATTTGCTAAGCCTCTGGTAATTTATACTTCATAGCTAAAAGGCTTTCTAATTAATAACAAGGCCCTTCAGGACTTTTGCTATCTTGTCACCACCTACCTTTGCAGTTTCTTCAATCTTCCCTCATCCTTTATACCAAACACTTTGTTCCATCCCATAGACTTTTAGGATTTTATCCAGAAGGCTGACTTTTTTCTTCATCTTCCTGGTGAGAAACTCATTGTTTCAAGTTCTAGCTCACATATTCTTCAAGCAAATATTATTTATCTACCAAAAGTTCCCGATTATTACTGTTAAAATCACTCTGCCCCAGGAAGAACTAACTGATTTCTCTTCAGCTGTGATTTGGATATGGCTTGTTCTCACGAAAACTCATGTTGAAATCTCATCCCCAATGCAGCAGTGTTGGGAGGTGGGGCCTAGTGGGAGGGGTCTGGGTCATGTGGGTGAGTCTTCATGAATGGCTTGCTGCTGTTCTTGAGGTAGTAAGTGCTCACTTTGGTGAGACTAGACTGGTTCTTGAGAGAGTGGGTTCTCATAAAGCCAGATGCCCGTTGAGTTTTGCCTCTTCATACATATCTACTTCCCCTTTGAACTTCCACCATGTTTTGACCCAGCACAGAAGCCCCAACCTCATGGTGAGCAGAAGCCAGCTCCATGCTTCTTGAACTTCTCAGCCTGCAGAACCGTAAGCCAAATACACCTCTTTTCTTAATAAATTACCCAGCCTTGTGTACCCAGAAACACAGAATGGATTAAGACATCTTCTGTTTCCCATAGTATTCATATTTTTATGTAACACACGTGATTTTATGTGTCAACTTGACTGGGTTAAGGAATGCCCAGATAGCTAGTAAAACATTTTTTCTGGGTGTATATGTGAGGGTATTTCTGGAAGAGATTAGTATCTGAATCACTAGTCTAAGTAAAGAAAATCACCCTCACCTAGGTGGGTGGGCATCATCCAATTTGCTGAGGATTTGAATAGAATGGAACAGAGAATAAAGGGCAAATTTACTCTTTCTTCTTGAGCTGGGACATCTGTCTTCTCTTGCACTTGGACATCTGCATTCTAGCTTTTGGGATTTTTGACTCAGATTGGGACTTAACACCATTGACTCCCCTAGTTCTCAGGCCTTTGAGCTTGGACTAGAACTCTGCTATTTTCTTTCCTGGGCCTACAGCTTGCAGAAAGCAGATAATGAGAGTTTTCTGCCTGCATGATTATGCGAACTAATCCCTCATAATAAATCTCTTTATATATTTATATCTATATATCCTATTGGTTCTGTTTCTCTAGAGAATCCTGACTGAAACACACAGTATACTGCAGTTGTCTATTTGTCTGTCTTGCTCTAGACTTTGAGCACTTAAATGTAAGGATATCTTTTTTGTCATTGTATTCTCAGATCATAGAACTGTGGCTATAACATAATAGAAACCCAGAGAATGCTTCTGATTTTTATAAAATATATATCTAGCCACAATAGAAGTATATATTGTTCACGTATTTTCAATAGAATTGGTACAAATTTTGATAATTCTTTAAAACTACTGATAAGCCCCAAACTAATCATAAGACTCAATTAAATAGTGATGTCAAAGTTTTTTGGGGAAGTGACTTTTTTCCCCATAAAAACACTATTTGTGAGCCAGGCACAGTGGCTCAAGCCTGTAATCCTAGCACTTTGGAAGGCTGAGGTGAGTGTATCACCTGAGGTCAGGAGTTTGAGACCAGCCTGACCAACATAGTGAAACCCCGTCTCTATTAAAAATACAAAAACTTAGCTGGGCGTGGTGGTGGGCACCTGTAAGCCCAGCTACTAGGGAGGCTGAGGCAGGAGAATCACTTGAACCCAGGAGTCGGAGGTTGCAGTGAGCCAAGATCGCACCATTGCACTCCAGCCTGGGCAACAAGAGTGAAACTCCATCTCAAAAAAAAAAAAAAAAAAAAAAACTATGTGTTCTCTATGTTTCTTTTTCTTTGTGACAAAATGCACACCTATAGCAATTTATACTTTACTATCAAAAATATACTTTGAAATTTTTATTAAATTTATATAGTATTCCTTTGGCCAAATTTTAACTCATGCTTTAGAGTTGGTTATCCACATATGTGCTATGGCTCTACCACCAAAGCTTCAAGTTACATGTTAAGTCTGGGGAAGCTAGTACTTTGCTCCTGTCTGGGTATTGTTCCAGGAATATCCTCAGCAATTGCAGAGACCATTCATCCTATTCCAATTTTAACTTGTGCACGACTGTCTGAGAGACCACAAGCTAAATTCATGTAAATTGCTTTCTAAGATGAGTATCAGAGCTGAAAAGAATATTAAAGGATTAGTCTTTTCTTTGGAGCTCTAACACTCTTAAGAAATAGAAACCTGAAACTACAGGAGGTTCCTTGATTATTTGTTGTTTATTTCAATTGACAGCTCTCTGTGAGTCCAACACATAAATTAATAAATTCAAAGCAAACATATGCTGTTTTTTAAAAAGTTGATGTTTAATAATACCTACCTATTAACCATGTAAAATTGCATTGCAGATTTTAATTTTAACTTGTGACATTTAAAGGTACATTCTATTAAAACTTTTACATTTTCCTTTGACTTAGATTTGGGAATTTAGTGCCATTCCCAATGCCCAGTTATCACCTTCAGCTCAAGATTTCAGATGCCTCCTAATATCTACTTTCTTTACTGCTTTCAGATTATCTTTGTTACATTTCTGTTCTCAATGTTACTTTTGTTCATTTTTTATCAGTTGCCCAAAATATTTTTTGAAGCAAATGAAGCATAAATTCTAAATTACTCAAACTTCGCAAGTTAAAACTGCTTTAGATGAGGCCTCTAGATATTTTTGAAGAAATTTAGTATAAAACTTTTTAAGTTTTCAAGGCTGCTATCTTGCATAGCTCCAAGAAGCACCGTTCAGGTATCTTTCATCTCTGTAAATAGTTGTACCTTTGAGCAGTACAATATATTGTTATATCCCTTTATGTAACCTACGTGAATGGTTACTTGTGGTGCCTCTCTGTGTGCAGACAGAGATATCTGTGGTGATAATTCTGTAAGTGATATTGCATGAAAGTAGTCTCTAGAGACAGGAGGAATTACCTTCTGGAAGATCATAATCTGCCTTACCTGAACTGTGGTTTCCCGCTAACAAGGTGGGGCTCACAGAGCATCTTCCTAGTCGACTGGTGACCACAGGTGTCCCTGGTGTTCCATCCCATTCCTGAGCTTTGACAGGCTCTCTGGAGGAAGACGCCCCATGGTGGCCTCTTTCCTTGTTGTCCAACTTTGGTAATGGCTCCGTGCTGTGGCTTCGGACTTTCAGTTCCTCTGTTGATTCTGTGTAGTAACCAGAATTACATTCTGTTAAACAAGAGTAAAGTTCTTCCTAAATTACTTTCAAAAAATTAGTGTGATTTTCTAAAATTGTCTCAATATGTTGTTGGAAACTCAGACTTGGAGACTACAACATTTAAATATAACAGAAACATAGACTCCAGGGGGCCTTTTTTCTGAGTTGTGTAGGCTAGTATCTCTGGGAAATACAATTTTCTTTTTGGAAAAAGAGTACCTCGACGAATCTTTAGTAACTCTTCCCTTGGGCTCATCTCTGAGTACACTTATTTAAGAACACTTCACACTCACTCTCTTTACTTTCTAATCTTTACAAAAATTCAGCCAAACCACGCTATCCAATCTGCTCCTGATAACATCACCTAGTGCCTTTTATTTGGCAAATGTATAAGGCTTTTTTATCAGCCATTTGACAATTATTTGATTACTCACTCATTTATATTTTCAATTCTCTTGGCTTTGCTGATGGTCCATCCTCCTGTGTCCTGTTCTGTATCTAACACCTTTCCTTTGTCATTTATATCATCTCATCCTCCATGCATCCCTGGCACACTGGTTGTTCCCGAGGTGCTAGCTTAGCCACTGTGCTGCTTCTGCTACACATATTCTTTCTGATTTTTGTCCTCAAGGATTCAGTTAGCAATCATCTAATTGTTAGTGATTTCTAAATATTTTATCAGATGCCTGGACCATTCTTTTTATCTTTACATTCATTTATCCAACTGCCTGCTAGGTGAATCCATCTGGAGTCCCCATATGAACATTTCAGATACTGAACTGATAATTTCTTATTAAACTACTGGTTCTTTCTGTCCAACCAACTATCCAAGCTAGAAACTTTTCTCTCTCTTTCTTTAAGTGATAATGCCCAAATCTATCAGTCAGAAGATTGTACAGATTTTATTTCTGGATGTCTTGCTCTTGCTTCTCTTCCACTTTGTTTCATGTCTACCTCAATGGCTCTGGTTCAGCTCTAATCCTCTCACTTGAATTACTGCAACCCGTCTCTGACTCTATCCTTGACTCCTCAAAGTATAAGCTCCTTATACTGCCAAAATGATCTATTGAAAATGCAAATCTGATCATAATGTAACCCTGAATAAAATCCTTCCAGAAGCCTCCTGTTGCCCATAGAATGTCTAAGCTCTTTAATATCATCGGCAAGAATCTCCACCTTCTTGCTCTTTCCTTCCCCTCTAGCTTTGTCTTTCCCTGTTAACCTACCTGTATTACATTGGTTGTAGGTTCTTCCTCCCTACTCCTCCCCCAATAAAAACAATGCTGTTTTCTACAGCTATTACCACCCCTCCTTTGAATGCCCTTATGTCTTGTGTTTCTTTGCTTAACTAACTCTACTCTCTCCTGGTAACTCAATTTAAGTATCCTCTGAAGCCCTCCCACCCATTCACCACTCTTGCAGGGTCATGGTCATCTCTGCACTGACCTTGCTTTATAGTTCTATGTATCTGCTCTTCCCGAAAGGCCTTGAGTTATTTTAAGGCAGGTATTGAGGTTTTGTTTGTTTTGCGTTTTTAAAAAATGGTTGACTCCACCACCTATCATATTGCTCCATGAATTTTTAATTTAATTAATTTATTTATATTGCAGATTTCTCAGTTCTTCACACATCATTCTAATCTATGTAGGAAATATAACATTCCTGATGGAACTGGAAAATCAAGTGATAGCAAGTATGTTAATGGAGCTAATAGTATTTTCAAAAATCTGATTATCTAATAATCACAAGTTGTAAAATTCACCAGGTTAACAGTTTAATTCAAATAAGGAATTTTTTTAGAAAATCACAGAAATGATTCAAAAAATCTGAATTTTTTTTTTTTTTTTTTTTTTTTTTTTTACGCTTGGGTTAAAATCCTTATCAACTTTCAGCAGTGTGATAACACAAATGTCACACTTTGGTTCACCATTATCTGAATCTGTGGGACACAGATAGAACAGGCTGTCATATATTGAGCAGTCCGGGTCAGGAATCTCAGAGGCCTCAGCTTTGCAACTGTGGCTGTGACCCATGTCACCTCTTGGGGAACCTCATTTTTCTTACGTACAAAACAAAGAAAATACCAGCCCTACCTAACTTCCTTGATTTTATTTTAAAAATCTGATAATATTCTACAGTTTAAAATATTTTGAAAACTAAAAAGTGCCAGACACATAAAAAGTAGTATTGAGTTAAATACAGTCATTTGGCCTTTATTAGTTTATTTAATTTTTCTACATTAGATAATTACTAAGAGTCTTATACAAATGGAAAATTGCCAAATCACATTCAGAAACAGAACTGTAGCCTATTATCTACAGTAACTAGCTTGGGAAGTCAACCTATGAGGTACCAGTCACACTTGTAGGGAGTAGACCCGTCTCTAGGAAATAATCCTAAAAGCTAAACAACCACCCATGTAAAAATTGGCCTCAAATAGTCAAGACTTGAGTAACAACTTAGCTTCCCCAATTTTTGCCCCAGTTTCCAACTTAGGAACAACTGAGGAAAAGTAAATATACACCTTTAACCAATCACATAGAATGCCCCGTTTCTAGTGTGCTTACCTGCCACTTCCCCAAGTTAATAGTCCCCAATCAAGGTACACTTGAAGCCTTTTCATTGTTGTTGATAAACGAAACACTTTAGACAAACTTAATTTAGCAGAGTTTATTTGAGAAAAAGAAATGATTTGTGAATTGGGCAGCACCCTGAACAAGTAAAGGCTCAGAGATCTCTGCCCAGCAACCTGGTCAGGCAGTATTTATAGAAAGAAAAAATAAATAACATATAGAATATACTTTTCTTTATATACTTTTCTCCAATAATACATGTTTACTTTAAAAATTGTTGCAGTAAAGAAAAACCTTTAACTGAGAAATATGGAAATAGCGTGTTAATTTTCCATTGGCTATGATGGAATTAATATTGTATTTTAAAAATGCATATTGATCACTGTAGTTCTAAAACAATTTTTTAAATAAACCAGCAGGTTGCTAAAAGAAGGCATTTTATCTAAAGTTATTTTAATACGTGGTATAGCAGTAATTTCAAATTTAAGAGTTGCTTTTACAGTTAACAATGGAATATGCCTTCTCTGCTATGTCTGGAAATAGAAGCTATTTATTATGAGCTTCTACAGGTATTTTTAAATAGAGCAAGCATGTTGAATTTAAAATATGAATAACCCCACCCAACAATTTTTAGTTTGTTTTTTGCTTTGGTCGAACTTGGTGTGTGTTCATCACCCATCAGTTATTTGTGAGGGTGTTTATTCTATATGAATATTGTTTCATGTTTGCATAGGAAAATTGTAGCTAAACATTTCATTGTCCCCAGTCTGAAAAAGAAGCACAATTCTATTGCTTTGTATTGCTTATAGTCATTAAATCGTTACTTTTACATAAAAAAAAAAGAAATATCCTGATTGATTACAGGCCAGCCTTCACCTTATTGATTACAGGCCAGTTTGCAGTCTGTGATTGGCTGAAAAGTTGGCTGCTATGATTGGCCAAGACTCAGCTACTAGTTACAATAATATACTTTTATGATAGGTTGTAGTTTATTTACATACTAAGTTAGGTTGCAATTCATTACATATGGAGGTAGCTTTAGGCCAAATTTAATTGAACATTTTTTCCCCCATAAAGCCTTCCTACTCCTCTGCCTGCCTCTGAGTCTTTGCCAAATGCAAGCTCTGAATAAATAGCCTTTGCCTGTCTCTTTTGTTTGATCTTCATTTATTTCCATATTGCTATAGTCTCTTCCAATACAGTCTCAGAAAGATTTCAGGTTTTTAAATGGGCCTGTGTATAAACTTGTTTTAGTTATAATGAAATCAAGTATATGAAGTCTACATATTTTTTTGGAATGAACATGTTTCGGAAATTTATTAATCATTAATGATGAAGCAAGATGGTAAAGCTGATCCAAAGAGCATTTGGAGGACCTAAGTATTTATAGACATTTTTAAAAGAATGTTAGAATAAAATTGCTAGGTTAGAAATAAAACTGGTTGTGGCTGGGCATGGTGGCTGAAGCCTGTAATCCCAGCACTTTGGGAGGCAAAGGCAGGTGGATCACCTCAGGTCAGAAGATCAAGAGCAGCCTGGCCTGGCCAACATGGTGAAACCCCATCTCTACTAAAAACACAAAAATTAGTCGGGCGTAGTGGCAGGTGTCTGTAATCCCAGCTACTTGGGAGGCTGAGGCATAAGAATCGCTTGAACCCGGGAGGTGGAGGTTGCAGTGATCCAAGATCGAGCCACTGCACTCCAGCCTGGGCAACAGGGCGAGACTTTGTCTAAAAAAAAAAAAGAAAGAAGAAAGAAAGAAAGAAAGAAAAAGAAAGAAAGAAAGAAAGAAAGAAAGAAAGAAAGAAAGAAGAAAGAAAGAAAGAAAAGAAATAAAATTGGTTAATGTCCTTAAGGCAATACAATTACAACCTTTAGAGTCATCTTTCTACCAAATAGAAATAATTTGCATCTCTAGCTGGGGGCAGGAAGAGGGCATTTGGATGGTAATCAGTGCTCTGCAGAAAAAACAAAGCAAGGAAAAATAATTGAAAGCAGGAGCCAGGTTCAATGCCTCACGCCTGTGATCCCAGCACTTTGGGAGGCCAAAACAGGAGGATCATTTGATCTCAGGAATTCCAAATCAGTCTGGGCAACATAGTGAGACACTGTCTCTACAAAGAAGATAAAATTAGCTGGGCATGGTGGTGCAAGCTTGTAGTCCCAGCTACTTGGGAAGCTGGAGTGGGAGGATTGTTTGAGCCTTGGGAGGTCGAGGCTGCAGTGAGCTGAGATTGTGCCACTGCAATCCAGGCTGGGCAACAGACTGAGACCTTGTCTCAAATAACAATAGTGATAATTGAAATCAGGAGCTCAAACAGGTATTTGTACATCCAAGTTTATAGTAGCATTATTCACAAAGGACAGAAGCAACCCAAGTGTCCATCGATGACTGGGTCAACACAACATGGTACAGGCATACAGTGGGGTATTATTCAGCCTTACAAAAAAAGGAACTCTGGCACATGCTAGCATAAGGGTTTATTGCTACTGGAAGGATGTTATCATAAGTAAAATAAGCCAGTCACAGCAAACCACCATGGCATGTGTATACCTATATAACAAATATGCCCATTCTGCACATGTATGCCAGAACTTAAAGTATAATTAAAAAAAAAATAAAAAAAAACTGTATTAAAATATACCACAATATAAAAGTACTATTTTAATCATTATTTTTATAAAAATATAGTTAAATACATATAACATAAAATTTCCCATCTTAGCTATTTTTAAGTGCATAGTTCACTAGTGTAAAGTACATTCATTTTGTTGTATAATCAATCTGCAGGGCTCTTTTTGTCTGGCAAAACTGAAGGTCTGTACCTACTTAATAACAGCTCCTCATTTCCTCCTCCCTTTGGCCCCCGACAACCCCTCCTCTACTTTCTGTCTCTAAGAATTTGACTACATTAGGTATGTCATGTAAGTGGAATCAAATAGTATTTGTCTTTTTATGAGAAGTCAAAATATTGTAAAGGCAATATATTCCCGCACAATAATTAAAGATAATTTAACCAACACTTGTTTTTCAGTGTCCTGAGACAAAAGGAATAAAACCAGTATCAGAAAATAACATTATAAACTATTCCCAAGCTGTTTATTCACAGCTTCAAAGAAAGTGTAACTCTAGCTTCCAAACGTCATAGCCTCAAAGCCTAACGACCCATCTACTTCAGCCCACCTTCTCTTCTAGATTTTTTTTTTTTTTTTTTTTTGAGACGGAGTCTCGCTGGTCGCCCAGGCTGGAGTGCAGTGGCACGATCTCAGCTCACCGCAAGCTCCGCCTCCCGGGTTCATGCCATTCTCCTGCCTCAGCCTCCCGAGTAGCTGGGACTACAGGCGCCCACCACCATGCCCGGCTAATTTTTGTATTTTCAGTAGAGATGGGGTTTCACCATGTTAGCCAGAATGGTCTCGATCTCCCGCCCTCGTGATCCACCCACCTTGGCCTCCCAAAGTGCTGGGATTACAGGTGTGAGCCACCGCGCCTGGCCCTCTTCCAGATTTTAAACCAGGGAGTGTCACTTAGGTCTCCAGCCTCAATTAAATAAAAGCCTACAGCTTTGGAAAGGAATTTTGTGTGTGTGTTTTTCTCTTCTTCTTTGTTTTCAAGTCCCAGAGGTTAGTCTTCAGTAAATTTTAGGCAGGTGTATTTAGAGAAACTTGAACAAAAGGATTAAAGAAATGGTACTACTCAGACCTGTGCCTGTATACCTTAATGTCTGCCTCCTAAATAGAAAGCAGAGCTGAAAAATCTGTAAGAAAATCATAAATGTATTATGGAGAATTTTATTTGGGAATAAATCTGTTTTTTCATGTGTGTGTGCGTGCGTGTGTGTGCGTGCGTGCGTGTGCGTGTGCATGCGCGTGTGTGCGTGCGTGTGCGTGCGTGTGTGCGTGCGTGTGCGTGCATGTGTGCGTGCGCGTGTGTGCGTGCGTGCGTGTGGGTGCCTGTGTGTGTGTATGTATTCAAGAACTGCTTCCTAACCAAGGTGTTTTCTAATTCAAACAAATATGAAAATCTTCAAAATAGCTGTTGAAAAGAGACAAATTGAAAGTGGACAATTAGACTCTTGTAATATATAATATGTAAATAAGATATATTGAAAACTCAAGGAAACGTATTCAGAGGAAAAGGACATATTTATCCATATCCATATATCTCAATGTCTTTTTAAAGTCTGTTGAAAACAAAATTGATTTTAGTAACATAAACTCTCTGGAACAAGATCAATCTTACATACTGTGGTAAAGCTTTATGTGGAATCTGAGTTATTTTAAGTGTTCACAGTTACAGCCCCAGCATGTAGCTCACGGTGCCAACTGCATAGAACGCACCTATCCTCTATTCAGTGAATGAATGAGCGAATGTTGACTATTGCTCTAAAATCTAATTCTCACATTGAAATCTGAACTTGAATTAAATTTATTACAAAAATGGATGTATTATTTTATTATATTTGTATTTCAGACTGGGTGTTTTGTATATCATTGTCTTAAATTTGTTACAGTGTTTAGGCTGAAGCAGGATACAGAAGAAAGATAACACCAGGAGCAATTCATTTTTGAGCAAACACTCTCTCCAGGATTCTAATCCATCACACCTCATGCAGCTAACCCTGAAGTTTCCCATTTCCTGCCTCTCTATGCTGTCTGTGGGTCTACTTCTGTCTCTCTGGCTTCTTCTCTGTCTCTCTCCCTCTCCATCTGTGTCCTGGATCCTGGGCCACCTAGGAAGACTTGGTTTCCTGGGTCTAATGGCTTTTACCGCTAGGTCTGACCCCATACATTAGTGGGTTTTACCAGAATCTCTTATTCACTCTTCCTCATCAACATTGATTCACTCAGTAACAAACGAGTACTGAAGATTCTTATAAATCCTCACCACCTGAAGATCTCTTTTAAGCTCTAGGAACAAAACAGTATAGCATGAATGAGCCTTTGCATATGACCGCCTGGGTGGGGGCACAAGCTCTTAAAACTGGCAGCACTATTCTCTCTCTGAACTTGCTCTTCTTCTAGCTAAAAAGTCATGGTCTTCAGAGCCAGACAAACTTCCACTTTGCATTTTGGCCATGCCATGTATTTGCTACTTAACCTTAGTCAAGGTTCCTGAACCCCAATTTCCATATTTGTAAACAAAGATAATAATTGCTATTATTGTGTCCCTGTGAAGATTAAATGAGATAATGCATTTAAAGTTCCTTACATAGCAATGCTAAGAATTATTTTTTCTCCTACTGTTCTTTTTAGTGACATAGATTACCCTTCTTACAGGTTCACCAGGAAGACACTTGGCAATCGTCTAATCTATGTCATCCCTAGCACAGAGAGTGCCCACAACTTAGCAGTCTTGGGATTAGGACAGGAAACAGAAGCATATAATACTTTTCCACACTTTTCCCTAACCAACATCATGGCTCTATTCTTGCCTTCACTTTTCTTCTTTGTGTTAAGGCAAAAGCCCCTACCTGCCTGTCTCCTGTCATGATCCATTTCCGTTTATTTTCCAGTGAAATTACTTCCTGATTCCCCAAGGCCCTTAGAACCAAGTTCCAATGCTTTGGGTTAAGACATCAGGCCCTTCGTAAACTAGTTTCTGGCAGCTCTCAACATTTCTTTTCCATTACCTATTTTAATTGTGGAGATGATGAGTTGTTTTCTCTATATTTGCTCTTTCTTCAGCCTGACACACCTCTCCTCCAAAGCAAAATGATGAACTGATTAGCCAGGTCTTCTTGTTTGGGAATACTTAAGTTGGGTGTTATCATTCAAGGAAGACTTCTCCTAATTCCTTTTCCTAGTTTGAGTTAAAGCTGTGAGTAAAGAGTTAATACCAGGCTTGGGCTGCCCTAAAGAAAGTGACCTCGGAGCCTGCCATATTGTAATACTTTCACCTTGGCAATTACAATAACACAGAGTGTAATGTTGCACCTGTCCTATTTATTGTAAGCCCTGATCTGTTGGCCTGCACCTGGACAGGTGGACTACTAGGTGACATGAGGACCTGGGACAATATGACAAAAATAATAAAATATTTGTGCGGAGCCAAGGCTGCAGCTTCTTTGGATCTTCTTTGGATCAAGGTGACATGTGGGTGCCTTGGTTTTAATTCCAGCAGTCATAAGCCCTTGGTACGGTAGCTGTGTATATGGTAGCTGCTGGGGGTACCTATGAGATATAGAGCCAAACTACATTTCTGCAACCTAAGCAAACAGGGTATTACATTAAAACGTTGTGTCATTGATGGGCCACCCTATGCCTTCCATGGCACATGTCTTGTGCTCTGATGTGACTTGTCACAGTTGTTGTTTATATATCTTGTTGCCCCCGTTGGATCACAAGCTTTAGACTAAAGACTACATCTTTCACATTGGTACTCAGTATCTAATAGAGTCCTCAGTGAGAATTGAAGGGATGGGATGAATAACTGCATGCCTGCTTCACCCAGGATAATAGCTTATTACTGTTTGCTTCTGGCTCTAATCCCATCCCTGGCTCATACCCACCTCTCCAATGTTTCCCTGCAGATGGGCCATGCATAGCAAGCATAAACCAATAGCCCTCAATAACTGGAGAACATGAGTTAGTTGCTGTTGTCAAAATTGTCTTTTCTTAAGCCATAAATGTTTCCACAATTACCACTTGTTATTAATAGGCCATAAAAAACAAGTAATTTGCCTGGAAAAATGAGTTTTATTTGGAAATATGAACAGTCACATCATTTACTTGGGAAAATTTAAGATTCTATTCTCCTATTTTTTTGCAATATTTAAAAGGATTCAACTGTCATTCATTTAATTGCTTCTATGAACATGTAGATGACTCAGATGATTTACATAAAAAGCTTTTGTATGTGTGGTTCATGACTGCTGTTTTTTTTTTATTTTTTTATTTTTTGATAGAGTTTCACTCTTATTGCCCAGGCTGGAGTGCAATGGTGCAATCTCGGCTCACCGCAACCTCCATCTCCCGGGTTCAAGCAATTCTCCTGCCTCAGCCTCCCTAGTAGCTAGGATTACAGGTGCCCACCTCCACACCCAGCTTTTTAATTTATTTTTTTAGTAGAGATGGGGTTTCACCATATTGACCAGGCTGGTCTCAAACTCCTGACCTCAAGAGATCTACCTGCCTTGGCCACCCAAAGTGCTGAGATTACAGGCATAAGCCACTGATGTGATTTTTGAAATGTCACAATCTCACATAGAGATCGCTTGGTTACAAAATATGGGCTCTGATTGTGCCTGAAAATAGAGAGACCAAAGGTCTGTTGCAGATGAGCAATTGAGCTTTCTGTGGACATAAAGAATGCTTCCAAGTTGTTGCTTCATATTGGCATAATCAACAGGATCAAAGACACTGCATGCTACTCCAACTGCTGAACAATGAGAATAAGGAGAAGTGATCAAGGCAGATTAATTAAGCAGAAAAGACAACACGTTTTAAGCACTAAAGGAGGCACTGAACTAAGTTGCATTATCAGATGGGTATTAGATTCAGTCATCAAATTTTAGGACTGAAACAGCCCTTGGAAATCACCACTTGGAACAGTTCACTCAAGGTAAGATGTGTGTTTGTAATTACTGAGATGGTTGTCCTGCCTCTCGGAGGATAACTCCAGGGAAGACCAGTTCCTACCTCATGGGAAACCTTGGCTCAATTCTGAAAATCTTTAATTTCTAGAAAGCTCTTACAGAGCTCACGTTGACTTTCTTTCCAGTACCACCATTGGTTAGTTGTTGGTACTCCTGATACGAATCTAGAACTCTCACTCTACCAGTCACCCTGACCTGTATTCTAATTGAATATCACAGAGTATTTTAAAACTGTGGTTTCTGGAGCTGATAAGAGCCAGCCAGACAGAGAAGTTTACCTACAAGCCCAGGCAAGTGCTGGGGGCTTCTCGTTGCACTGCTATTATTCCATCCTCCAAGTCTCTAGGGAAAAGAGGGCAAAGGCCCTGTGCCTCCACCATGAAAGAGTATGGAGGAGCGGGGGCATATTTTTATATTTCATTATTCCTTCTCTCTTGTATAAACTGTTATTTGGGGTCAGCTATGTCAATTCTTACATCCAAGGGATGCCTTCTCTTCAAATATATAGAGAGAAAGAACAACAGCTCAGTCATTTGGAGATTCCATGGTTTTCAGTACAGTTGGAAAGAAAGCCCAGGTTTGTGTTTATGAAAGCAAACAAGATAAAATGATGTTTTACACACAGATGGGGCACACTGAATCAAGTGGAATATGCAAAAAGTCCTAATCACTTTACAGGTGTAAAAACATCACAGAGCCTTCACACAACTTGCCCAAGATCGCACAAACAGCAATTAGCAAAGACCTGATAAAGAAAAAGCCTTTTTCTTTATCAGAGATTCTTCAACAGAGTTTACACAAGAGAGAAAGAATAATGAAATATAAAGCATTGCCCCTGCTCTGCCATGCTCTTTCGTGGTGGAGGCACAGGGCCTTTGCTCTCTTTTCCTTAGAAACTTAGAGGGTGGAGAAATAGCAGGTCAACGAGAAGGCCCCAGCACTTGCCTGGGCTTGTAGGTAAACTTCTCTGTCTGGCTGGCTCTAATCAGCTCCAATCAGCTCCAGAATCCACAGTTTTGACACACACTGTGACATTCAATTAGAATACAGGTCATGGTGACCAGGAAAGTGAGAGTTCTAAATTTGCATCGGGAGTACCTACACCAGGCAGTGTTCACCTCTCACTGTAACACAGGGGAACACACACACTGACTTATACACAACAGTTCTCCATAAAATAGTTGCAAATAATAACAAATTTTCATAGCATGGAATAATAAATAGAATTTTTAAGACCATGTCTGGCCTTTAAAAGCTCTCCACCAAATATCCAGACGTTGGAATTATTCTTTTTTTTTATCAGAATACATGAGGATTGTAGAGATATTGCCACCAAATTATTTCTGCCTGAAACATCCCTCATTAATAGTAGATCTCAGGTATTGGCACATTTCAGTAACATTTTCTTTGAGAAATTCTAGTATTGCAGGGCAGAGCAGGGCAATTTGCTCAGAGAACTCAATCTATTTTTTCATTTATGTTTGTACTGAGGAAGTCAAGAGACTAGCCACATGCTGACCAAATCCCTTTGTCCTTCTTTCTGGGCATCTAGTTAAGCCATGTTTATGAGCATTCCTTGCAGCTAGGGAGAGCTGTATAACCGAGGTCTAGCCATTAGAATGCAGGTGGAAATGACATATGCTACTTCCAGGTCTGGGCATCAAATGTCCTATAAAATCCTTGTCCTTTTGCTTTCTTCTGCCAGCTGGAATTTTTTTGACATTTTAGAGGCTGTCACACCCACTAGATGGAAACTTCCCGATAACCTGGAAGAGTAGCCCATCTTTCACTGAATTCACTAATTGGTTTCCACTTTGCCTGTGACAAAAATCACGGCCTGTGACATAACCCAGAAGTAAATCATATTCCAGTACACTGCTGAGGTTTTGGAATTGTTTGCAATAGCAGTTGGACTATTCTCTAGATGTAACTCTTAATTCTAATTATAAATTCATGTAGCACTCAGCTTCTGCCCAACTCTTCATACAGATTTTAACAGAAATTATTTCTCATTTTCTCTTCTGTAAAACACAGTCTAAATATTAGA
The DNA here is from genome assembly GCF_000001405.40 of Homo sapiens. Taxonomy (NCBI): domain Eukaryota; kingdom Metazoa; phylum Chordata; class Mammalia; order Primates; family Hominidae; genus Homo; species Homo sapiens. The sequence continues at coordinate 225,614,685 of NC_000002.12, read as the reverse complement.
TCCTTGTGTTTCTAATGAAGAAAATGTTTTTATTGGTATACTGACAGAAAAACTAAGAGATAGAGAA